>NC_000007.14:141256779-141881779 GCF_000001405.40 Homo sapiens | reverse complement strand
ACCATCTAATGCCTCAGAGGAAATGTTGGGGAAAGTTTTTTTGGGGGGGAATTATGGAGTTCAAATGTACCTGTGGGGGAAATGATGGCCAACTACACACAGCCATGGAGCACCTCTCCCACTGAGAGAGCTCAAAATATCAAGTAAACCAACATATTTCAAACAGATCTTCATAGAGAAAACAGAGTTTATAGAGAAGCTATGCAGATGCCTAAGCTGAAGAGGGAGGAAGCTGGAAATCCTGTACAAGGTTTCTCAGCACTAGTACTAGTCACCAGCCCTAAATACCAACTAAGTAAGGGGTGAATGAATTGATTGCACAGATACTCACTCTTGCTGCAGACCTCTAGGATACTAGTTACAAAAGACCCCACAACCCCCACAGACATTTAAATTGGCAGAGAGATCTTCCCAAAAAGTAGGCAGAGACAGCTCCAGCCTAGTGGAGTCTAGGAGATTTTTGCACGTCGTGCAGCTGCAGCAAAATGCTACCATAGGTGCCCGTTCTCCAAGGCTCTCATCTTCCTCTGAGTACCTCTAACCCCAGCTGGCTGCTGGACCAGGAGAGAACAGGGCTTCCTGTGTGCTTGTGGCATTTCTGTTCTGCATAACCCTTATCTGCTAGCTCCTTCCAAGTCAACTGCCTGGCTGCTGCCACAAGGGCATGTACACAGCACAGCCTTCACTGTCCAGCATAAGTGCTTTGCTGGCAGCCCCACCTGAATGCTTTCCCGGGGGCCTGGAAGCACTTTGGCTCCCCTAACACAGCCAGCAGCCAACCTTGAGAGGTCAGAGGACAAAGCGATGAGCCAGGTCCCAATACCCCAAAAGGAACAGCACACAATTCAAGAGTGCCAAACTGAGATCTTTGGCTGGTGCTTATGCAGGGAAAGAGCCTCCACTCTCAGAGCACTAAGAAGACTAAGACGCAGGCTCATGGGCAGGTGTGGCAGTGGGGCATTCCTCTTTCCACAGGGCAGGTCCAGAAAGGGTGTGGCCTGTCTGTCAGACATAGGTTTTGCCCAGGGGAACCCCACAGCTTGGAACACCAAACAAATGAAATGCAGGCATGGTGCCAGTGATTGGAGGAGGCTCCCCTAAAACCTGGCAATGGAACTGGCAAGGATGTCATCTTTCTCCCACCCCCCACCACAGAGTACTGCTGTAAATGCACTGAAAGATAAAAGATCCATACAGTTGAGTAAGAGCCTATCTGCTGGCTGTTACTCTTCAGTGCTATCTACTGGATCATAGCCCAAGTTACTACACCAAAAATGTTGTTCCAGTATATATCACCTGTAAAACCCAGGGCAAGAACCTAGCGACAAATAAAGGTCCTGTGCAGAGCCTTGGCCCTCTGAAAGGACTCAGAGACAAAGCCAATCAACTATACTCAATTTATACCACAATTAAACCCTCAAGAAAAATAAAAATTTTTTCAAAGCCCCATTCAAATGAAAGCAAATTCAAAAAGACAAAGGGACACCAGCCCTCTCAAATAAGAAAGAACCAGCACAAGAACACTGGCAATTCAGAAAGTCAGAGTGTCCCCTTACCTCCAAATGAGCATACTAGCTCCCCAGTAACGGTTCTTAAACAGATTGAAATGACAGATATTGAATTCAGAACTGGAATGGTAAGGAAGCTCACCAAGATAAAGGGAAAAGTTAAATCAATCCAATGAATCCATTAAAACATGCAAGAGTTGAAAGATGAAATGGCCATATTAGGAAACAATCAAATAGAACTTCTGAAATTAAAACATTCATTACAAGAAATTCACAATACGATCTGGAAAAATAACAACAGAATAGACCAAGCTTGGGAAAGAATCTAAGACCTTGAAGACAGGTCTTTCAAACAAAGTCAGCAAGATAAAAATAAAGATAAAAGAATTTTTAAATATGAAGAAAATTTCTGAGAATTATGAGACTATATAAAGAGACCAAACCTATGACACATTGGTATTCATGAGAGAAAAGGAGAGAGAGTAGGCAACTTGGAAAACACATTTAAGAATATAATTCTTGAAAATTTCCCCAATCTCACTAAAGAGGTTGCCATGTAAATTCAAGAAATAGAGAAACCTCTGCAAGATACTATACAAGACAATCATCCGCAAGACACACAGTCATCAGATTCACCAAGCTAAATAAAAAAGAAAAATCTTCAAAGAAGCTAGAGAGAAAGGTTAGGTTACTTACAAAGGGAACTCTATTAGGTTAAGAGCGGATATCTCACCAGAAATCTTACAAGCCAGAAAAGGTTGTCGGCCTATTTTCAGCATTCTTAAAATTTTAACGGAGAATTTCATATCATAAGCTAAGCTGTATAAATAAATGAGAAACGAAATTCATTTCAGACAAGCAAATACTAACGGAATTTGTAATCACTAGACAAGCCTTACAAGAGGTGCTTAAGGGAGTACTCAACATGGAAACAAAAGGATACCTGCTACCACAAAAACACACTTAAGCACAAAGGCCACAGACACTATAAAGCAATTACTTCAAGCCCACAAAACAACAAGCTAACAACACAATGAAAGGACCAAGATCTCACATATTAATATTAACCTTCAACATAAATGGTCTAAATAACCCACTTGTAAGGTATAGAATGATAAGTTAGATTTAAAAATAAGACTCAATTGTCTGCTGTCTTCAAGAGACCGATCTCACATGGAAAGACACCCACAGCCTCAAGGTAAAGATACGGGGAAAGATAAATCATGGAAAGAAAAACCAAAAAAGAGCATGGGTCATTATTCCTATATCATATAAAATAGACTTTAAACCAACAACAATCAAGAAGAATGGAGAACAGACTTACATAATAATAAAGGGTTCAATTCAACAAGAAGACTGAGCTATCCTGAATATATATATATACCTGACATAGCAGCACCCAGACTCTTAAAACAAGTTCTTCTTGGCCTATTAAATGACAGTGACAAAATAATACTGGGAGACTTCAACACCCTATTGGCAGCATTAGACAAATCATCAAGGCAAAAAACTAAAAAATTCTAGATTTTTAAATTTTTTTTATTTTTTCATTTATTTGAGATGGAGTCTCGCTCTGTCACCCAGGTTGGAGTGCAGTGGCGCGATCTCAGCTCACTGCAAGCTCCGGGTCCCAGGTTCACACCATTCTCCTGCCTCAGCCTCCCAAGTAGCTGGGACTACAGGTGCCCGCCACCAGCCTGGCTGATTTTTTTGTATTTTTAGTAGAGATGGGGTTTCACCGTGTTAGCCAGGATGGTCTCGATCTCCTGACCTTGTGATCCACCCACCTCAGCCTCCCAAAGTGCTGGGATTACATGCGTGAGCCATTGTACCTGGCAGAAATTCTAGGTTTAAAACTTAACACTCAACCAATTAGACATCTGCAAAATATTCCACTCAAAAACCACAGAATATACATGTTTCTCCTCTGCACATGGAGCATATTCTAAGATTGACAACATACTCAGTCATAAACAAGTCTTAATAAATTCAAACAATTTAAATTATGCCAAGCATACTCTCAGACCATAGTGCAATAAAAATAGAAATGAATATCAAGTATTTCTTTTCATGGAAATTTAACAACTTGCTCCTGAACGACTTTTGGGTGAATGATGAAATTAAAGCAGGAATCAAAAAATTCTTTGAAGTTAATGAAAATTGACACACAACATATCAAAAATTTTGGCCTGCAACAAAAGCAGTGTTGGGGAAAGTTAATAGTGTTAAACACCTACATCAAGAAGTTACAAAGATCTCAAATTAACAATCTACTGTCACACCTAGCGGAACTAGAAAAAAAAAAAAAGAACAAACCAATCCCAAGGCTAGCAGAAGAAAAGAAATAACTAAAATTAGAGAAGAACTGAACAGAATCAAGATGCAAAAATCCATACAAAATATCAATGACACCAAAAGTTTGGTTTTTGAAAGTATAAATGAGAGATAGACTGTTAGCTAGATTACCAACAAAAGAGAGAGAGAAGATCTAAATAAATACAATGAGAAATGACAAAGGTGACACTACAACTGATCCCATGGAAATACAAAGTATGTTCAGAGATCATAATGAACACCTCTATGCACATAAATTAGAATATCTAGAGCAGTTTCAGAGAGCAAGATGGTCAACTAGCCGTAGCCAGGTGGAACAGCTGCCACGAGGTACCCAGATGACTGGCACACTACTTACAGATCTTCAGAGGGAAAGCACTGAGAGTGGACAGAGGAAAGACACAGAAGGTGTTCTAAAGGGGAAGGAAGCTGGGAACCCTGCACAGGGCAACCATGCATTGAGACTGACTTCTGGCCCCACACAACTCCAGGGGATCTGGTGAGTTGAACTGGAAAGGAGCAACCTGTTCTCACGATGGGACTCTGAAATCTCAGCAGCAGATATGTTGACCACCATGGACACCTGAGTTGACAGGGAATGCTACTTAGAGAAGTGGTAGGGGCAGCACACCAGCCGAAGGTGAGCCCAGAAGGTTTGGTGTGGGAGCGTCTATAGTGGAGCATGTCCAGGGAAGCACAAATCTCCAAGTTCGACTTGCTACCATAAGAGAATTTAGCCCTAGGGGAAAGGTCAGACCTAAATTCTGCAGGGCAATCTTGGCCATCAGATAGGACTGCTCTGAACTGAGCACCCCTGGGTCTGCTGGGGCCCCAGTCTGGTAGCACCTGCTTAGAGGGCAGCCTTGGGTGTCTTCAGGGCCCACATCATAGCTCCGGTGCTGGTGGACTGTGCCTGGCTAGCAGAGAACTCCACTGAGGCAGCCCCTGTGGCCACTCAGCAGCCTGCCTGCCCCTCCCCACACTGCAGCTTTCTCAGGGCCCACGGAAACCCCTCACATTGCTTTGCTGGTATGAGTGTGCACAGGCAGGTTTTGCCTTCCTTGCACTGCCAGCAAGCCTGTGTGCATGCACCCCACACTGCCACTGCTGCAATGGGAGTACACTCCACTCCCCTTTTCCCCACAAGACCCCCATTGCAGTCCAAGCCTTGGAAGGCACACGGTCAGCCAGTCCTGCCCCTGCCAGCACCCTGCCCTTTTGCCAGCACTGCCACACAAGTGAAACTAGGCACAGACAACAGTGAAATCTCCCCCCTGTCCTGAGCTACCACTCTTGCCTGTGGCACACAGAGAATGCACACAGAGCTGAACCTATCAGCTCCCTGCCATTGTGCTACCACCACCACCAGTGCAACTCTGTGCAAAGTTGCCAGCAGGAGTCCCCACACCCTAGAACCCTGCTGCCTCCACCACTGTAGAAGAGAGAAGATCCAAAGATCCAAGAAGAGAGAAGATCCAAATACAATCAGAAATGACAAAGGAGATATTGCCACTGACCCCACAGAAATACAAAACCCTCAGAGACTACTGTGAATACTGCTATGCACACAAGCTACAAAACCTAGAAGAAACATATAAATTCCTGGAAACACACAGCCTAACAAGATTGTACCAGGAAGAAATTAAATTTATGAACAGACTAATAATGAATTCCAAAATTGAATCAGTAATAAAAAGCCTACCAACCAGAAAATCTCCAGGACCAGACAGATTCACAGCCGAATTCTACTAGATGTATAAAGAAGAGCTGGTGCCATTCCTAATGTAACTATTCCAAAACATTGAAGAGGAGGAATTCCTCCCTAACTCATTCTATGAGGCTAGCATTATCCTGATACGAAAACCTGGCAGAAACAAAACAAAAAAGAAAACTTCAAGCCAATATATTTGATGAACATAGATGCAAAAATCCTCAACGAAATATTGGCAAACTGAATCCAGCAACTCATCTAAACGCTAATCCTCCACAGTCAAGTAGGCTTTATCACTGGGATGCAAAGTTGTTTCAATAATACAAATCAATAAATGTGATTTATCACATAAACAGAACTAAACATAAAAACCACATGATTATCTCAATAGAGGCAGAAAAGGCTTTTGATAAAATTCAGAACCCCATCATGTTAAAAACTCTCAATAAACTAGGTATTGAAGGAACATACCTCAAAATAATAAGAGCTGTCTATGACAAACCCACAGCTAACATCCTACTGAATGGGCAAAAGCTGGAAGCATTCACCTTGAAAGCCAAAACAAGAAACTCTCTCTCACCACTCCTATTTAACATAACATTGGAAGTTCTGGCCAGAGCAATCAGGCAAAAGAAAGAAGTAAGACACCTAAGTAGGAAGAGAAGAAATTAAACTATCGCTCTTTGCAGATGACGTAATATACCAACAACAGTCAATCTGAGAGCCAAATCAGGAATGCAATTCTATTCACAATTGACACACACACACACACACACACACACACACACACACACGCCTAAGAATACAGCTAACCAGGAAAATGAAAGAGCTCTGCAAAGAAAACAAAACACTAACTCAGAAAAATCAGAGGTTACACAAACAAATGGAAAAACATTACATGCTCATGGATATGAAGAATCAATATCATTAAAATGGCCTTAACGCCTAAAGCAATTTATAGATTTAGTGTTATTCCTACTAAACTACCGATGGCATTCTTCACAGAACTGGAAAAAAAACTACTTTAAAATTCACAGGGAACCAAAAAAAAGATCCTGAGTATCCAAGGCAATCCTAAGAATAGGTAGGCCATAAAAGCCACAGGTCTTGATTAGGCCTCAGTGCTACAAATCTCAATGGCCATATGATTTGAGTGAGAGCCAAGGCTACATCAATGTCAGTGGCCATGGGATTCCTTCTGTGGCAGCCTGGCCTTAGAGCACCCCGTAGTGATACAATAGATGAAGCAATCACAAGCACAGGGACTTTACCAGCAAACTTGCCCCGAGTTTCTCAACCAGCTTACTGTTGAAGAACACTGCCAAACAAAGGCAGACTGTGAAGACTGCATTAAGTACCTATTTCATTGTACAAACATCGACACACAGCCACAAGGTTAAGAAAAATCAGAGAATCATGACATCACTAAGCAGGCAAAATAAGGTGCCATTGAACAAAATAAGGTGCCACTGACTGACCCTAAAGAGATGGAGATGGAAGAACAGCCTAACAAAGAATTTAAAGTTCCTATTTTAACGAAGCTCAGAGAATCTCAAGAAAATACAGAAAAATAATACAGAAATTAGTGAGAAACTTAACAGAGAAATGGAAATTAAAAAAGAAATCCTGGAGCTGAAATATACAATAAACTAAATTTAAAATCCCAATACAGAGCATCAACAGCAGAATTGATCAAACAGAAGAAATACGTGTGAACTCAAAGTATTTAACAATATACAGTAAGAGTAAAAAACAGAATGAAAATAAATTTTAAAGGCTTATGGGATAATATCAAAAGACCAAAAGTATGGGTCATCAGGATTCAAAAGAAGACAGAGAAAGCGAAAGGGGTATAAATAGTATTTAAGAAATAATAGCAGGAAACTTTCCAAACCTAGAGAAAGATGTAAATATCTAGGTGTAAGATATGAGGTATCAGATTCAATCCAAATGAGATACCCCATGACGTATTATAATCAGTAGCAGACCTAAGATAAAAAGAGGATTCTAAAAGTAGCATCATTAAAAGATGCTAGAAGCTCTGCTCCATCAAAACTTGGAAGCAAACCAAAAAAGAAGAAGATAGAAAAGTTGGTAAAACGAAAGCTATCACATGAAAACTGTGAATGGATGTCCCTGCACAAGAGCTCTATACCAGGCCTACAGAACACAAAGCCAGAGCTTTGTTAGGTTTAGGTTTGAGATGTATGTAGAACTATTTGGGGATGGGGGAAAGGAACTGCATTTAAAAATTAATAAGTAACTTATTAATTACAGAAAGAATAAATTTCATAAATTATGAAATATTTATATAAGCATATTATTACTAAATATGTACCAAAAAAAGTTTTTGACTCTGAAGAGTAGTACCATGAGTAAAATGGGAAAGAGAAACAATCTGCCATTTTCCTATATCAATCACTTACAATTACTTTAAATTTTTTAAACTATGCCTATATGATTATGATTTTAAATAATTTAAATATTTAAATTAAAAATATAAATATAGCAAAAACATTACAGTCAATGATGAAAGGACAATTAAAAACATTTTCCTGGCAAAAACTACCACAAATTCAACATTATTTTTACATAAACTTCTGTTTATATTCACTGCAATAGCACAAATACACACTTGAAAGATACATGTAATCGAAACATATTCTATGTTATGATTACTTACTGTTGCACCTACATATACTGTTTATGTAGGCCCATGTTGTGATCTCAAAAGTTGGTAACTTCTGCATACTTGTTAGCTAATATAAGATCATTTGACATGGTGCATAGAAGATTATGACCTAAACAGAAAATGAACAATGAAAAGTCTAGAAATAATTTTCTAAGGGAGGATAGTACAGAAGGTAGATTTACTATACGTGAGCTATGTAGATGCTTTCTTGTGTCCCTTTGGTTTCAGCTGTTTCCTTTTAGTTTGGAGTCCAAGGGTTATTAATAGAAAATTATATAAATATTTACATATAAAAATGAGTATGTGAGTATAAAAGTAACTGTTTAGGCAGTTTTTTTTTAATAGGGAGACTCCAAGTTTGGGTAGACTCCTCTGATGCAGAGTCTATAATAAGCTCAGAGTTGCTAACCACTGAAAGTGCACCTGAGCGGAAAAGATGACATCAGGCATGGTATTCAAAAATAATGTTAACTCTTTGGAATGAAGCTATAGGAACTAAAATGGATGACGATTCTAAAATAAGGATCTGATAAATGTACATGGCTTCTGAGGAGTTGTAAAGCCTGTTAGATACTTTTGTACACTGCTGTCGTGGCAATAGAAAGATATAAGATTTAAGCATAAAGTCACTGGCACACACTGATGGAAGACTTATGAGGAAGCCTGATGCCATGGAGAAGAGACAAATATACCTAAATTAAAAATAAGACTTGAGAACATGGATGGGAGACAGAAAAAATTAGGGATTGGCTTCCTACCACCAAAGGATTGCCATTCAACCATGCGGGTAAACATTTAGAATTACACATGAATTGAAAGAATCCTATTCCTTGAGGCTTTAAGACAATTTGATCTAAGGTTTCAATACATTCCTAATCAAAATGTCAGCAAGTTTTTTGTGGATATCTACAGACCGATTTCAATATTTATATGGAAAGTGGTTAGAGAATAGCCAAAGCAGTTCTGAAAAATAAAAGTAATTTCTTAAATTATTTCTTTATTCAATCATTCATTTACATTATATATTTATAAAATATTAATATTTTATACTATAAGTTATAATTCATTCTACATCATTTAATATGCTAAATTATTCTAGCTTTGGCCATTGGGAGCTGCTATAGACTGAATATTTGTGTTCCCCCCAAATTCTTGAAACACAATCTCCAAGATGATGGTATTCAGAGTTGGACTTTTGGAAGGTGATTAGGTCATGAAGAGGGAGCCCTTATAAATGTGATTAGTGACCCTATTAAAAATACCCCAGTGACCTCTCTTGCCCCTTATACCACCACCAGACACCACATATGCTAGTGCTTTAATCTTGAATTTCTCATCCTCAAGTGCTGTGAGAAGTAAATTTCTATTTTGTATCAGCCATGCAGTCTACGGTATTCCATTATAGCATCCCACAGGGACTAAGACTGAGACTCAGGTTGGGTCCTGTATCCCTTTGACATGCTCCATCCTTTTGTTTTGAAAAGCATTTTTTTATTGTGAAATTTTTTCTTTTTCTTTTATTATACTTTAAGTTCTAGGGTACATGTGCACAACGTGCAGGTTTGTTGCATAGGTATACATGTGCCATGTTGGTTTGCTGCACCCATCAACTCATCATTTACACACATTAGGTATTTCTCCTAATGCTATAACTCCCCCAGCCCCCCACCCTCCTACAGGCCCCAATGTGTGATGTTCCCTGCCCTGTGTCCATGTGTTCTCATTGTTCAATTCCCACCTATGAGTGAGAACATGCGGTCTTTGGTTTTCTGTCCTTGTGATAGTTTGCTTAGAATGATGGTTTCCCGCTTCATCTATGTCCCTGCAAAGGACATGAACTCATCCTCTTTATGGCTGCATAGTATTCCATGGTGTATATGTGCCACATTTTCTTAATCCAATCTATCATTGATGGACATTTGGATTGGTTCCGTCTTTGCTATTGCGAACAGTGCTGCAAGAAACATACGTGTGCGTGTGTCTTTATAGTAGAATGATTTATAATCCTTTGGGTATATACCCAGTAATGGGATCGCTGGGTCAAATGGTATTTCTAGTTCTAGATCCTTGAGGAATCACCACACTGTCTTCCACAATGGTTGAACTAATTTACACTCCCACCAACAGTGTAAAAGCGTTCCTATTTCTCCACATCCTCTCCAGCATCTGTTGTTTCCTGACTTATTAATGATCGCCATTCTAACTGGCATGAGATGGTATCTCATTGTGGGTTTGATTTGCATTTCTCTGATGACCAGTGATGATGAGCATTTTTTCATATGTCTGTTGGCTGCATAAATGTCTTCTTTTGAGACGTGTCTGTTCATATCCTTTGCCCACTTTTTGATGGGGTTGTTTTTTTCTTGTAAATTTGTTTGAATTCTTTGTAGATTCTGGATATTAGCCCTTTGTCGGATGGGTAGATTGCAAAGATTTTCTCCCATTCTGTAGGTTGCCTGTTTACTCTGATGATAGTTTTTTTTTTGCTGTGCAGAAGCTCTTTAATTTAATTAGATCCTATTTGTCTATTTTGGCTTTTGTTGCCATTGCTTTTGGTGTTTTAGTCATGAAGTCCTTGCCCATGCCTGTGTCCTGAATGGCATTGCCTGGGTTTTCTTCTAGGGTTTTTATGCTATTAGGTCTTACACTTAAGTATTTAATCCATCTTGAGTTAATTTTTTTATATGGTGTAAGGAAGAGATCTAGTTTCAGCTTTCCACATATGGCTAGACAGTTTTCCCAGAACCATTTATTAAATAGGGAATCCTTTCCCCATTGCTTGCTTTTGTCAGGTTTGTCAAAGATCAGATGGTTGTAGATGTGTGGTGTTATTTCTGAGGTCTCTGGTCTGTTCCACTGCTCTATATACCTGTTTTCTGAGGTCTCTGTTCTGTTCCACTGGTCTATATACCAGTACCATGCTGTTTTGGTTACTATAGCCTTGTAGTATAGTTTGAAGTCAGGTAGTGTGATACCTCTGGCTTAGTTCTTTTTGCTTAGGATTGTCTTGGCAATGCGGGCTCTTTTTTGGTTCCATATGAACTTTAAAGTAGTTTTTTCCAATTCTGTGAAGAAAGTCAGTGGTAGCTTGATGGGGATGTCATTGACTCTATAAATTACCTTGGGCAGTATGGCCATTTTCACAATATTGATCCTTCCTATCCATGAGCATGGAATGTTCTTCCATTTGTTTGTGTTCTCTTTTATTTCGTTAAGGAGTGGTTTGTAGTTCTCCTTAAAGAGGTCCTTCACATCCCTTGTAAGTTGGATTCCTAGGTATTTTATTCTCTTTGTAGTAATTGTGAATGGGAGTTCACTCATGATTTGGCTCTCTGTTTGTCTGTCATTGGTGTACAGGAATACTTGTAATTTTTGCATATTGATTTTGTATCCTGAGACTTTGCTGAAGTTGCTTATGAGCTTAAGGAGATTTTGTGCTGAGACAATGGGGCTTTCTAAGATATACAATCATGTCATCTGCAAACAGAGACAATTTGACTTCCTCTTTTCCTAATTGAATACCCTTTATTTCTTTTTCTTGCCTGATTGCCCTAGCCAGAACTTCCAACACTATGTTGAATAGGAGTGGTGAGAGAGGGCATCCTTGTCTTGTGCCAGTTTTGTTTTGAAAAGTATTTCTATAGATGCTCCAGCCTTATCTTGATTTTTCTTGTTGAGACCCTGGATCAGCCACATCTCCAAGAAGCCCTGGTTTATGTTACTGGATAGTATTACAAAATAATATCTCAACACAAGGTAGAGAAATAATTACTGTTTCTAGGTTTTCTCAGCAGACAGATCTAGGAAATATATATATATAAAATAATTTTCATATCTATCCATCTGCCTCTATATCAAGCTAAACATGAGCTCAAGCTGATGTCTTTGACTCTAATTCAGTACCACATGGTGCATTCTACCCTTTTCTGCCTGCATCTCTTTAACTTTTCTCTTCTTAGTGGGGTTATTGCCATCTGCAACCCTTTTTGTACTTGTTGAACCCCAATTTACATGTACAGAAATTTCAAAATTGTTAACACTTTTCTCCATGAGAATCAACTTTAGTAATGAGAGTACAGTGATGATGTATAGTTCTTCTACTTTTCACCTTATAGTTTTTCATCAAAATACTGTTTTCCAAAGTTAATTAAGGCAGTTCTATTTTCCCCCACTGTCTTCAGTGATGTTATATCACACAAAAATTATTTTTTCACAGTCTGCATTCTATCTTAAGATCCCCAGCTTCCTCTGATATTTTTATATGTCCATACATCAAAGCTTATTTTTCTGCTGTAAAATTTTATGAGCTTGGCAAATGCATAATATATCTGATCATACAGGTTAATCCCATCACCCTAAAATCCCTCTATACTTCTCTAGTCAAATACGTCTCCATTACTTATCTCAAAGACAAAAGTATCTGCTTATGTTTTTCCCATCTCTATAACTTTCTCCTTTGTTATAGATTGTCATTAGAATTGAATCATATACAATGTAGCCTTTTGCTATTGCTCTGTTCACTTAGTAAAATTCATTTGTGATTCATCCATTTTGTAATGAAAATTATTAGCTGTCTCCTTTTTATCACTGAATAGTATTCTGTTTGTATAAATGGATTACAATTGCTTTAACCATGCACTTATTGAAGGACACTTTGGTTGCTTCACATTGTTGACAATTATGAATAAATCTTCTATAAATAGTCATGTGCAGGTTTTTGCACTGATTTAAATTATCACATCCCTTGGGGAAATACCTTGCAAGCAAAATTGCTGGCTTGTATGTGAAGTCTATGTTTAACTATAAAAGAAACAGCAAAACTGCCTTCTCCAGTGGTTTAAACATTTTGTATTCCAAGCAGCAATAAATGAGAGTTTCTGATGCTACACATCCTTCCCAGCTGTTCGTTTTCTTATTATTGAGTTTCCAGGTGTGTGTGTGTGTGTGTGTGTGTGTGTGTGTGTGTGTACATACTGGATACAAATTATTTATCAGATATGAGATTTTCAAATATTTACTTCCAACCAGTGTCTTATCTTTTTGTTCTCTTCATAGTGACTTTTCTACAGCAAAAGTTTTCAATTTTGACAATTTTTTCTTTCATTCATTGTGCTTTTAGTATTTTATCTAAAATTTAACCACCAAACTCAAGGTCATGTAGATTTTCTCCTAGACGTTTCATAATCTTGCATTTACATTAAAGTCATTTTATCTAATTTTAGGTAAGTCACAAGATACATGCTGAAATTCATTTTATCTTTTAGAAAACTTTTATTTTAGGTTCAGGGGTACATGTGCAGGTTTGTTATACAAGTAAATTGCATGTCATGAGGGTTTGGTGTATTGATTGTTCCATCACACAGGTAATCAGCATAGTACCCAATAGGTAGTTTTTGGTGAGGGCTCTCCTCCCATCCTCCACCCTCAAGTAGGCCCTGATATCTGTTGTTCCATTCTTTTTGTCTATATGTACTCAACATTTAGCTCCCTCTTATAAGTGAGAACATGCAGTATTTGGTTTTCTGTTCCTGTGTTAGTTTGTTGGGATAATGGCTTCCAGCTCCATCCATTTTGCCTCAAAGGACATAATCTCATTCTTTTTTATGGTTGTGTAGTATTCCATGGTGCATATTTTCTTTTTTATACATATTTTATATATATTGCATAGAAACATTGAACTATTCTAGCACTGTTTTTTGGAAAAATTAACCTTCTTTACTGAATTTCCTTTGCAATGTTGTGGAAACTAGGTTGACAGTTGTTTAAATCTATTTCTAGGCTCTCTATTCTCTTTCATTAATCTTATATGCCTATCATTTTTCAATACCACACTGTCTTGATATTGTAACGTCACTAAAAGTCTTCCAATTGTGTAATGTAAGTCTTCTTTGTTCTTTTTCAATGTTGTTTGGGCCATTCTATAACTTTTGCGTCTCTTTATAAATTTTAAAATTCTTTTGTTACTATCTGCATGAAAGCTTGCTAAAATTTTGTTACGATTTCCCTGAATCCATGAATGAAATTGGAAACAATTAACATACTAACAATATTATGTCTTCCAATCCATGAAGGAAGAATCCAATTTCGGGGTGATTTAAGGGTTTTCTGCTAAGATGATAAACATATTGTGTTAGATTCATACCCAGTACTTCCCTTTTTTGGAGATATCAAAAATGATATTATTTTATACATTTTAATTCTAATTGTTCATTGTTAGTAATTTCTTTTGCATGTTGACCTTGTCTCTTTCAGCCTTGCTAAAATATATTATTACTTACGGGAGTTTTCTGGTAGAATCTTAGAGGCTTTCTATATAGACAATTATGTCATCAGCTAATCATCAGGAAACAATGTTCACATGGTTATTCATCATACTGCATTCTTTACCATGCTTTCCTGTCTCACTTCATTTTACTTTGCTATAGTAGAAGTGCATCCCCCCACCCACAAATGAACTTTTAGCCCTTAACTCTTGCCTAAAGCTGTGATTTCTAGAGGTCCAGCCTGTCGTCAACCTTTAACCTATCCCAAAATAAATAATAACCTATTTTTTAAATAAATATCAAAATCAGAAATTGAAACTATTAAAATATATAGAGAAGATTAAATCATTTTATTTTAAAGTGAAACGTATATAGAAACACTACACTGAACACATGCATAGCTTAAGAAATTATTTTGCAACCACCCCTTGGATCAATAAATACAACTTTAATAGCAACCGCAGAAGCCCATTCATGTGTCCTATTCTAATTCACTCATCACATCCTCAGAAGTAATGATAATCTTTACCTTTAAGTAATCATTTATTTGTATTCCTTAAAGATTTTATCACTCCAGTTTAAATTATCACACACTATAGAGTCTTCTACTTTTTTTTATTTGATATGTTCTTTACATCGATTCTAATCTTCAGATTCTCTCTACAGCCTTTTCACCTCTTTCCAATCTATTTGTTGAGAAGCTCAGGTGTTTTTATGGTAGAATTCTTAGCATCTCCATTCTCCCAATTCCACCTACATGGTGCAGTTCAATGTGTCTTTCTGTTCTCTACATAGTTTTCTATAAGTTGGTTGGTTCAGAAGCTTAGGTCTGATGAATAAAAAATATCATCTTTGGAAGGTGATTTTTTTTTAAATATTGTGAACTCATAAATTTAAAAATAGTTGATAGGTTGGAAGCACAACTTCTTTCATCTTTGGCCAGTAGAAGTCTCCTCTAATTGAGTCCTGAGTATTCTAATACAACCCTAGTAATCTTTCACATCTGGTATGATATGAATTTTCAAGTTCATCTTGTGGATTCCCCATCCTAGATGAGGAATCAGTCATTTCTCCAAGAAGCCCTGATTTCTCTTACCAGGAAATTGTATTGCAAGACTACAATATGGGCCTAGGAATGTTCATTGTAATCGAATTGGCCAATGTTGCTAAGTTATGGCAATGAACAGAGCCAGGAGTGAGAGACAGAGAAAGAGAGAGCACACGCACTGAGTCTGCCCATATATAGAGATTTACCTAAGCTCCTCCATATTATATTAAGAAATAGAATATTCCATATTTATTTGAAATAAAGGACACATTTCCTTTGTTTCACATTATACTCACAACCATCCTGGAATACTATCTCCATCAATATGATTACTGAAAATATTTTTTAAAAACTTTTGCACATGCTTTCCCATTATTCTCTTTTTTTAAATAAAATCTATTGTGTTACATCTACTCTGTCAGGGCATGTAAATATTACAATGGACTTTCGTTAAGTCATTTGAATAGAAAAAAACTTTTTAAATGATTACAGAAATATATATCATAAAAGTAATAATTAACCAGACAAAGGCAAAATGAATACCTCTATATGACAGAAGATTTCATTAAGATGCAAAGAGTAAAAACAAAACAGATTGGACAAAGATAATTTCAACACACATAGGATAATTAAAAGAAGCCCCCACAATATCCCAACAATATATAGTCTTACAAAAGCACTGAAGGTCTGGGAATGAGAGAAATGTGAAGCTCCATCTCTTCTCCCTTATTATTCTCCCAGTACCACTACTCAGCTCTGCAGAAACATTACAAAGTATCTAGAGTTACTAAAGATTCTTCTGTCAAAATATGTCCTTTGTTACCATCAGATATTTGGATAAGCAAGCACACTTTCCTTGGCAATTAGAAGCAGAATGATGTCTTTTATTTTTGAGTTGGTAACACATTATTATGAAGTAGCAGTGAAAGCAATGTACACAGCTGTATCATAAACAGCCTCCCTCACCGACTATTCCCATGAATGCCATTCCCACCAACACATCCCCAAGATAACTGATTTCCTGGTTTCCCTCCTAGGCATTTCTTCATGCAACTATACCCAAATAGAAATATAAACAGAGTTTTGCTTTGTTCTTACAAAAAGGAAACACATAAAAAAATTGGTCTACTCTTTGCTTTTCTTTCTCAACTGTGTACCCTGAAGTACTTTCTTGTAATGACAAAGAAAACTTCCTCATTCTTCCTACAGTTATGTAATGTTCAACTGAATGAAAGTGCCATAAATCATATGAGTAGTCACCTTTTGATGTCCATTTAGGTTGCTCCAAACATGTGTAATCACTTGTGTAAGAATGCAGAAGAAATCTGTGTCATGCAATACAGAAATATTAATTGAGAATAGTGGGTATGACAGGAACAAGGGAGACGATGGGGCAACACAGAAACTGAGATATAAGGATTAAGGGAGCTCACTGTGGAGCTAGAAGGTGGCTTGATAAACTTGGTTTTTGTGAGTGAATGAAGGGGGAAAAGGAACAAAGAGATGAATCTGGTACTAACAGAGAGAGAGAGAATAAATGAAATTAATAAAGAAACTGAGCAGGAAGTGGGATAGCAAAGGGAACATGGAGGGTGAATGTACCATGTCAAGATTGAAGAATGTGTGAGACAGAAAAAGGGGCCACAGGCCACCTGTCCCTCTGCCCTCTCTCCAATCCACCCTCAGCCCAAGGACACCGCAAAGCCATCTATCCCTTATCACATCGCCTTCCAGAACATACCTCCATTGCGCTCCCTCATTTGATGTTGGCGACGTTAGGTAAAAAAAAATGTTTCTTTCTAAAACCTTTCATCTATGGCTAAGAAGGTGCACAAATTAGGGTTAAACCTGTATCAAAACACATTCATTCTGAAGATTGCTAAGCAGTCAGTATGGGGGAGTGAGTTCACTGTCACAACTTCCAGTCAGAAAACCCATAGAAAGTTACTATCACCATTGAATATTGGAGGCAGGAACTACATTGAAAGCTTGAGGGTGGACCACAGGTCACTGAGAGACACAATAGTGAGGCTTACACGATGAGAACACACCATGAAACCATAAGGCAATAAAGGGGAAGATAATTCTGGCATCTAGAATCAAATTAGTACAGCAGACATCAGATAAATCACATTTCTTGCTTTTCCCATTCACAGTCTGAGAGTTCTAAAATCTTCATGTATTTCAGATGTTTACACTTGTCATATTTATTTTGGGACATGTATTTATATACATTAAAAAGAATAAATTGATGTATTTATTCTTTTTAATGAAGTCACCCAATAATGAATTGAAGCACTGTCTATGCCCTAAATGTTCTTTGTAGATTACAAACTATTTGATGATGAAAACTGTCATTTTAGATTTAAATTAGTACCTTCAGATTACTGAAGTCCATGATAAGGATTGTCCCCAGGACAGAGCTAAATTCTGAGGAGTTGATAGCAGTGTTTCATGCCATCTCCAAAGGCCTGTATGAATTTGTCATTCCTCAGGGTGAAGATGAAAGGGTTCAGAAAAGGGGTCACCACTAAAACCAGCAGTGACGCTATCCGGTTATACTTGGCTGCCTGTGTTTGCTTGGGTTTCGTGTAGAGAAACAAGCAGCTGCTGTAGCCGATCACAACACAGGTGAAGTGGGAGGCACAAGTGGAAAAGGATTTCCTCCAGCCAGAGGCTAACGGGATCTTGAGGATGGTGGAGATGATGTAGGTGTAGGAGACAATCGTAGGGATCAAAAGAACCAATGATAATGAAAACAGCCATTAGAAAAAGAATAAACTCTGTGAAAAGAGTGTCCTCACAGGATACCTTGAGCAATTGTCCTCAGTCACAGTAAAAATGATCTAACACATTTGATTTGCAGAAAGTAAGCTGAAAAGTGGCATAAACTGGCCAGATTTGAAAAAGGAACCCAAACACCCATGATACAATGACCATCCAGACACATGTGCTGCTGTTCATAATGATGTTGTACCTCAAAGGGTTACACACAGCCACATAATGGTCCACAGCCATCACTCCCATTAATGCCAACTCCGAGGTACCCAAAGAAAGGTATATAGCTGTGCAGCACAGGCTGTCAAAGACATGATCTGGGTGCTTGGAAGCAGCAACCCCCCAGCATAAAAGGGGCAGCGGTGGATGTGATCAGGATCTCCAGGACACAGAGGTGGCCCAGGAAAAAATACATGGGGGACTGCAGATGTTTATCAACACAGACAGTGACGATGATGACCGTGTTTCCCATCACTGTCACTGCGTACAAGAAGAAGAAGTTCACAAAAAGGATACGGCGTACTTCTTGGGAGCCAGGGAAGCCTAAGAGAAAAAATTCAGTGGCGCTAGAGTAATTCCCCAACATTTACTTCTGAGTGCTTTTAACTCATGAAATCTAGAAAACAAAAGAGAGTTAATACGGCTTCTCATCTTAACAGAATTAGAAACTGTTCTGCAATCCCCCTCCTGTTCACAGGCCACACACCATGACTAGAATGGTAGGCATTTGTCTTCTACTATTCCTGTATATGGTCAGTGGCAATTTTTCTAAATATGTACAATGTGTGAGGAAAATTGAGTTGGTCATGAAGATGATCCCAGTCCCCAGTGCCATACCTTAGACATGAGAGCCTATACCCTGCCCAGCATGCACCATTGCACCCCCAATGCTCACTTCACCTGCCTCCCTCTCTGCTCTGAACAGCCAGCAGTCAGCCTCCAGGACCACAGTGTGTTCATTTCTACCACTAACTCCCTTCCACCTGGAAGGTCCTAAACTACTCTGTCTGCCAAGTATTTTCTATCCTGTAAATTCCTGCTCCAGTATCATGTTCTATACAAAAGTTTCCCTGCCAACGCCCCTGAGCTGGTTACTCGATTTCTTTGTTTCATCAGAATGTAGGTTCCATTTACAGGATGTTTATTTTAAAACTTTTGCTTTACCTTCATCATTATTGCTGTGTGTTGGTGAGAGTGAGGGTATGGAAGTCTCCTCCTGAGGAGTATCTGTAAATTTTCAAGGGCAAGGACTGAGGATCTCTCAATCTACTGGTCAGCTGGTTCCCTGCATGGATTACTCCTTTCTTCCTTCCTATCTTGGGGATGAAAGCCTCCCTTACTTTTGTCCTCAGTGAATGTGTCTTCTCACAGAAGGCTGACAAACCACACCTGGCCTGAGTTGAACCTGGCCATCTCTCTCTAAGACTCTGACAACTCTTTTCATCATTGCGAGAGAAGAAAGATTCAGACAGAATATAAAGGAGGAACTTTTATCCTCAGCCTCTCTCTGTCCCACTTTGACCTCATACTCGGACTGGCAAACAAAAGGATTTAGGTCTACAGACCTTGCCTCTAGGAGAGCTCAAAGCCACCAAGTGTGACTTCCAGGTTCAGCCCAGGTCCTAAATATCGAGGCTATGGTCTCATTCTATTAGAAAGGTTGGGATGTATCCTCAATGTTCCTTATATAATCACATTTTTCTCCCAAAATCATACCAGAAATTAAAAAGTCAGCTGTCACTAACGTAAAATAGACCCCATTTCCTGAGTACCTTAGAATTTCTGGGCTTTATCCCTTACTTCCTTCAGGTCTTTGCTTAAGTGTCCAAGTTCAGGGAAACTGTCCTCATCATTCTGTCTAAAAAAACACATACTATCCTTCACTCGCTATCTCCTCACTGAGATCTACTTTTCTCTTTAGCCTTCATCACTTGAAATTGTATGTTTACGTTTTGTTTATTTTGTCATTCATTTTACAATGTAAGCACCATGAAAGCAAGAAGATTGTCATTCTTGTTCATTGTGTCTCATGATCTAGTATTATTTCTGAATGAATTAAATGAATTCATCAATTAAAGGATGAATCTATGGTCAGAGCCTATGCACACTTGGCTATGGCCAATGTTGAAGCAGCTGCTTTCTCTCCCTTCTGTCTTCACTGACACAGTGCCCAGTCATCATTCAGTCCTCTCTCTGAGACCTCTTGTAAAATGATATTTGGGTAACAAGGATCAACTCGATAGAAGAACTCAGTCCGAATTCCCACAATCTCTGCTTACGTGGGACCCAGTAAAAAGAAAGGAGAGATGATGGTTCTAACAATAGCAATGACCTGTGCCTATGTCAAGCACTGAGTCAGAGAATAGTTGAAAGTGCTTTCTGCTATGCAAGAAGAATTTGAAGATGAGCCTATTACTCTTTAATAAAATCTGAGTGTCCTCATCCTAGAGGGCAAACAGGCCCAGAACGTTCTATTCTGAGCCTCTCCTAGTTTCTCCTTCACAGAGCAGAACTCCTGGAAAACACTCATCTCCAGAGAAATACCCTGAAGTGAAAAGTTGAATGGCTCTCTAGGACTCGACCCAGGCTGCCTCCTGACTGATTAGTGCTGAGATTGCTCTGTGGGCCAGAGGAAGCTGCTGCTTCTTCACTCTCAGTGAAAGAGAAAACTGACTTCACACAAACACTGAGGAGAAAGTCTAGAAATCATAATGCCATGGGATGCCCCACTGTTTCCCTCTTTCTCTTTCCCTCCTTCTTTCACTCTGCAATGCATCCCTAAGTAATATTATTCACTAAGGAAAGTTAGTTCAGGGAAACCCTAGGGATGCATTGAAGGAAACACCAAAGAAACTTTCAGCTCTTCTCTCCCGAGACTAATCAAGTTTAAGAATTCTTAAAAGTTTTGAGTAATGGGAAAACTTGAAATCTCCCTCATCAAGAGTTTCTCAAAACCCAGGCCGTCTTCCTCTAGGCTGTAAGCCCTGTTTATAAACAAGTCAAGCCAGTCTTGCACTCTCTCATGTGTATCTCCCTAATTCCATTTAACCCTACAGAGACTACACTCCCTGTGATGGTTAACACAGGTGTCAACTTGACTGGATTGAGAGATGCCTAGATGGACAGTGAAGCATTGCTCCTGGGAGTGTCTGTGAGGCTGTTTCCAGGAAAGACTAACATGTAGGTCAGTGGACTGGAAGAGGAGGCCCATCCAATAGGCCATGGGTGAGGCTAGAACAAAGTTTGCAGAAGGGGGACATTCAGCTTGCTTAGATTCCTCTCTCTCTTTTTCTCTCTCCCTTCTAGAGTGAGATCCCTTTTTTCCTCCTGCCTTTGGACATCAGACCCAAAGTTCTTCAGCCTTTGGACTCTAGGGCTTGCACCAGCAGCCTGCCTCAGACTGGCAGCTATACTGTCAGCTTCCCTGGTCTTGAGGCTTTTGAACTGGGACCAAGCTACAATACCAGCTTTTCTCATTTCCCACCTTGGAGACAACCTATTTGGGGACTTCACCTTTGTAATCATGTGAGACAATTCTCCCTAATAAATTCCCTTTCATGTATATATAAAAGGGAATGTATGTGTATGTGTGTGTGTGCATGTGCATGTGTGTATACACATATACTATTGGCTTTCTTCCTCTAGAGAAACCTGATGAATACACATCAAAAATCCAGAGGCCAGGGATGAGTAACATGAGAAAATAGTGGAATAGGCAGCTTCAAGCTCCTGACTCTCAACTGAAAAGAAAAAAACAACCCGAAACTCCCAAAATCAACTTTATTAGAACTTCAGAAAATATTGTTTTTCAGCAACCAAGTAAACAATGATACAAGAAAAAAAACCCAAAAATATTAGGAAAGCTTCATGATGTTTTTACTTACCTTTGCCCACCCTCTCCCCATCTCACCAGCAGTCTTGAAAATGACAGCCTGTATCCCCAGTGTGAGATCCAGTCTCTGTTTCCAGAGGGTGCAGAGCAAACCTCATTCACAAAGTATTATGTGTGTCTATTCTAATCTGCCTTGACTACCTGAAGGACTGGCACAATGTGCTAATCTTTGTTTCACTTAACACAGATTCTACTCATGGCAAAAAGTGGCAGCTATTGTGTAAGTATGTTGTAAGACTGACAAAAATTCTGCAGGGTAAAAGATTACTATTGAGACATATAATAGAGCATCTAAAGTCTCAGAGGAAATGTCAGGGAAGGTTTCTTTGGGAAGCTATGGAACTCGGAAGAAACAATATATACCAGGGAATTTAGAAAATCACATGTTTATCTAGGGGCAAAATGCATGATCAGAAAAGATCCAAAAAGATGCTAACCCTTTATTTTTGACTGATGTCTAGGTTCAGTTTAAGCCTGGTTAAGTACAGGAGAAGTACCCCAGCACAGAGTCAACCTACTAAGATGAAAATCGTTGTTTGGGGTTTTTTTTGTTTGTTTCCTTGTTTACTTGTGTTTTGACTTTTTCGTTATTTGTTAGTTTTTGAAGTTTTTGTTTTGTTTTGTTTTTCGTATTGTGTTCCAGGAATTCAGTGAAATCTCTGTCAAAACATTAGCTAAACACAGCTAAAGAAACAGAGATTTCAATGACCACATATGACTAGGAATACAGTCTTTATAAAATTAGTATTACAAAATCACTAAACAAGTGGATGTCTACTTCAACAATAAAAAACAACAACAAACTTTTGGGAAGACAAATAATTTGACTTACAGAATTGTGACTGTATAATATCCACATGTCTGAGGTTCAACAAAAAAATCACAAAGTATGCAAAGAAATAAGAAAGTATGGTCCACTCAAAAGAACAAAATAAATCAACAGAAACCATCCCTGAGGAAGACCAGTATTGAACTTAATAAACACAGGCTTTAAACCACTGTCTTAAATATGTTCAAAGAACTAAAGGAAAACTAAAGGCAATCAGGAAAATGATGTATTAAAAAAATGAGAATGTCAATAATTTTTAAAAATGTTTAGAGAAAAACATTTTAATAGAAAAAAGCTATCAAACAGAAATTCTAGAGCTAAAGAGTATAATAACTAAAATGGGAAATTTATTAAAGAGGTTCAATAGCATATTTAAGCTAGAAGAAATAATTAGCAAACTTGAAGACAGGACAATTGCTATTATCCAGTTTGAGGAGCAGAAAGAAAAAGAGGAAAAGTAAACAGACTAAGGTACCTGTGGGACACCATCAAGCACTTGAACATACACATAATGGAAATCCCAGAAGGAAGAAACAAAGAGAAATGCGCATAAAAAGTATTTAAGAAATAATGGCCCAAATTTGTTGAAAACATGAATCTACACATCAACGAAGCTCAATAAACTCAAACTGGAGAAACTTACAGAGATCCACACAAAGGCACATTATAATCAGTCAAAAATCAGAGAGAGAAACTTGAAAGCCGCAAAAGAGAAGCACCTTGTCACATACATGGGATTCTCATAAGATCAACTGTCAATTTTTTATCAGAAATTATGTAGGCTAAATATAGTAAGGTAGTATATTTAATGCTTAAAGGAAAACAAATTGTCAACTAAGAATTCTGTATTTAGCAGCTGGGCACGGTGGCTCACACCTGTAATCCCAGCACTTTGGGAGGCCGAGGCGGGCAGATCATGAGGTCAGGAGATTGAGACCATCTTGGCTAACAAGGTGAAACCCTGTCTCTACTAAAAATACAAAAATTAGCTGGGCATGGCGGCGGGCACCTGTAGTCCCAGCTAGTCTAGTCGGGAGGCTGAGGCAGGAGAATGGCGTGAACCCAGGAGGCGGAGCTTGCAGTGAGCCAAGATTGTGCCACTGCACTCCAGCCTGGGCAACAGAACAAGACTCCATCTCAAAAAAAAAAAAAAAGAATTCTGTATTTGGCTAAACCATCCTTCAAAAAACAGGAAGAAATTAAGACATTCTCAGAAAAACGAAAGCTAAGGGAGTTTGGTACCAGTATCTGCCCTACATGAAATACTAAAAGGAGTCCTTCAGGTTGAAGAGGAAGAAACCTAGACAGAAACTTAAAGTTAATGAGTATATAAAGATCTCAACTAAAGATAACTACATGGACAAATATAAAAATGTCTTATTGTATTTTTGGTTGTTGTAACTCCATGTTTTATTTTATACAAAATTTATAAGACAAATGAATTAAAATAATTATAAATCTATTTTCTTGGTTATGCAATAGATAAAGATGTACTCTGTGACAACAACATGAAAGAGGGGATTGGAGCTGTATAGACTGGAGTTTGTGTATGATATTCCAGCTAAATGGGTATCAATTCAAACCATAGTGTTATAAATTTAGGATGTAAAACATAATCTCCTAGGTAAACACAAAGAAAAAACTTTTATTTATTCATTTATTTTTAGAGATGGGGCCTTATTCTCTCACCAAGTCTGGAGCATAGTGTTGTGATCATAGCTCACTGCAACCTCAAACTCCTGAACTCAAGGGATTTTCCTGCCTCCACCTCCCAAGTAGCTGAGACTACAGGCATAAGCCACTATACCCAGTTACATTTTTAAATTTTTTTGTAGATACAAAGTCTCGCCATCTTGTCCAGACTGATCTCAGACTCCTGGGCTCAGGTGATCCTCCTACCTCAGCCTCCTAAAAAGTGTTGGGATTATGAGTGAGGTACCATGCCCAGCCAGAAAATAATTTTTTTAAATACACAAAAAGAAATAAGAAGGGAAGCAAATGTTTTGCTACAAAAAAATAAAGTCAGCTTAACACAAAAGAGGGCAGTGATGGAGAAAATGAGGAGAAAAGATATTAGACAAACAAAACGCAAATGGCAAAATGGCAGAAGTACTTTCTTATCAGTAATTATTTTAACTGCAAATTGATTAAGCTCTCCAATCAAAAGACAGAAATTGGCAGAATAATTATTTTAAATTGTCCAACTATGTGCTGTTTACAAGAGACTCACTTTCAATCCCAAGATACAAAGAGGTTGGAAGTGAACTTTTTTAAAAAAGAGAGAGATTTCATGCAAATAGTAACTAAAATAAACCTGGAGTTGCTATACTAATATCAGAAAAAACAGACTTCAAGTTGGTTTCTTTTTCTCCAAGTAGATGGATTGGAGGCAGAGTTAACATGCCTCTCTCACTTAGAAAGACAAAGTAGCGTGTAGGTATTCACACTGCGAACTTTTTTCCAAGAAGCAATGCAGGAACTCAACAGGAAAACTGAAATCCACAGTGTCTTTGAAAGAAGCAGCAGGCTGCATTCTACACCATGAGCCACGCAAAAAACTGTAAGTCCTTGGAGTGTGACAGAAGGAAAGACTACCTCCAGGATTTACATTCTCTGGGGAATCTGGCAATTCAGCTTACAAGAGAAGCCCTTAACTCTGCCCAGTGCTGGAATTCACTTAGAAAGTGGTGAGGAATATAAAGAATGGCAGCAGAGGAGTCTTGCAAGTATTCACAGTCTCCAGCACAGATTGAGAGAAGCCATTCCTTATTCTGCCTCACAGGGGCCAATTAACTCAGGCACTGGTTGCAGGTTGAAAGAAGTTCTCAACTGAATTTCATGGTATAACCTCAAGTGAGGAAGAACTCTCTTGGCCAGAATTAGGGGGGTGAGTGGGAAGGATGCTACAGCCACAGGAGCAGGAGCTAGGTGCCCAGGCTGTGTGGGCAGACTGGGAGGAGTGTGGACTGAAAGCCACGGTTCCTGCCTCTGTGTGGGGAAGGCATACGGCCTGGGACAGTTTTGAGTTTTGAGAATAGAAGCCTTGAACTTAGCTCACTGCTCTACCAGAAAACTGCAGGTGTGAGTTCTGCCTTGCCAAGTGCAAGGGAGCTGAGGGAGGTTTACTGCTGCCTGTTACTCCCCACTCCCTGCATGCAGTCTTCTGCGCAACACAGGCAGTTACACTCCTCTCTGGAATATTGCCCCAGTGATCAGAGAACCACCTCTCTGACTCCCATAAGGGCTGCTACTTGCTACACACACAGAGAGTCAGAGCATGTACTTGCTTTACCCAGTCACCACTTGGCTTTGCCCCTCTACCTGTCCTAGAAGCTTAACACAAAGGAGAAACTTTTGGCCGCATCCATCACCTGAGAAACCAGAATATTTCCCTGGGTTACATAAGGCAAGCACAAATCCCAGTGCTACTACCACAGCTGGTGATCTTTTGCAAATGCCATCTCCTGGCTGAAGGCCAACCAACAGAGTTTATTACAGCATCTACAGGTAGAATAACAGTGCCCAGGAAGGAGAAAACTTGTGCATGACCTCAACTATCACCATTGCTTGTACCACCCTGGCCTGGCCAGGAGTTCATGAGTCTGTCCACATGACCTTTTCATTACTACTACAACTGGCATTTGAGAAAGCCAACATACTAAGGCCACCTATAACCAAGAAATCTCAGAGTCTCTGCTACTCCCCTGCCACCCCCATCAAAGCTGGTACTAGTAACCACTGGTAGGAGACTTGAGGACAGATCACATCTCTGGATCCCTTGCAGACATTCCCCAGCACCAGCCTGGAGTATGGCAACCACACTGGGCAGCTAGACCCAGAGGAACAACAGCATTCACAGTAGTCTAATTCTCAAGGAGCCCTACTCCTATGGGAAGTGGGAGTGCACCATATCAAGGGAAAACCCCATGGGACAAAAACAGTCAAATGACAGGCCTCAAGTCCCAGATCTTTCAATAATGGGACGTTTATTTCAGCAAAAGCATAGTCAGAGTGCTGGGTTCAGCAGGGAAAGTCTGCAGCCATGCCACAGCAGTCAGGCAGCCTTGGTGCTTGTGAAGGATCTTGGAGAAGGGACTTCTTTTCCCTCTCATCCACCACTGCAGAAACAGCTGGAGTTTTTCCCATGGGAGCTCAGTGTGGATGCACCTATAGAACCTCTCTGGAACATTTCAGGGTGACTGCATCCCCACAGAAGGAGCACCTTCCAGGTATAGGTCTGAACAAGATGCAGAGTCACAATTCCTCTATACTTGGAACATCAACATTCCTACAGATGAAAAGAGATGCTTCTCTGTTCTGAATAGCTAGAACACTGGGTCAGGAGTGTATCTAGGAGGTGAATAGCTTTCCTGCTGGCCTTCTAGGGGAAATTAGGTGGCTCTAGTCCTTCCTTCTCATAAGACTTCAGTGCATTTTACTCAGAGTTCTGCCAGCCACCTCCATCAAGGCCAGGACCTCTGCCCACCATTGGGTAGTACATTTACCCATCTGCTTTGGACAAAGCTGTTTTTACCTGTGGGAAATCATATGATTGGCTTTATGTCCCCATCCAAATCTCACCTTGAATTGGAATAATCCCCATAGGTCAAGAGTGGGACTTGATGGAGGTAATTGGATCATGGGGGAAGTCCCACCCATGATGTTCTTGTGATAATGAGTGAATCTCATGAGATCTGGTGGTTTTATATGTGTCTGGCATTTCCCCTGCTTGCACTCATTCTCTCTCCTGCCACCCTGAGAAGAGGTGCCTTCTGCCATGATTGTAAGTTTTCTGAGACCTCCCCAGCCAGCCATGCAGAACTGTGAATCAATTAAACCTCTTTTTTAAATAAATTACCCAGTCTCAGGTATTTCTTCATAACAGCATGAGAATGGACTAATAGAGTAAATTGGTACTTGGAGTGGGACATTGCTATGTGGAAGCAACTTTGGAACTGGGTAATGGGCAGAAGTTGAAAGAGTTTAATCACCAAGACAGTGGGGAAAATGTCTCCAGGGCATGTCAGAGACCTTCATGCAGCCCCTCCCATCACAGGCTTGGAGGCCTAGGGGGGAAAAATGGTTCTGTGGGCTGGGCCTAGGGACCCCCTCCTCTATGCAGCCTCAGGATATGGTGCCCCACGTCCCATCTGCTTCAGCTCCACTCATGGCTAAAAGAGGCCAATGTACAGCTCCAGCTGTTGCTTCAGAGGGTGCAAGCCCCAAGCCTTGGCAGTTTTCATGTGGTGTTGGGCCTGTGGGTGCACAGAAGTCAAGAATTGAGGTTTGGGAACATCTGCCTAGATTTCAGAGGATGTATGGAAATGCCTGGATGTCCAGGCAGAAGTTTGCTGTAGGGGTGAAGCTCTCATGAAGAACCTCCGCTAGGGCAATGCAGAAGGAAAATGTGCGGTCAGAGCCCCCACTCAGAGTCCACACTAAAGAACTGCCTAGTGGAGCCTGGGAGAAGAGGGCCACTGCCCTCCAGACTCCAGAATGGTAGATCCACTGACAGCTTGCACCGTGCACCTGGAAAAGCTGCAGACATTCAATGCCAGCCCATGAAAGCAGCTGGGATGGGGATTGTGCCCTGCAAAGCCACAGAGCCAAACTGCCCAAGGCCTTGGGAGCCTATCTCTTGCATCAGCATGCCCTTGACCTGAGACATGGAGTCAAAGGAGATCATTTTGGAACTTTAAGGTTCAATGACTGCCCTATTGGAATTCTGACTTGCATGGTGCCTGTAGTCTCTTTATTTTAGCCAATTTCTCCCATTTGGAACTGGTTTATTTACCCAATGCCTGTACTCCTATTGGATCGAGGAAGTAACTAACTTGTTTTTTATTTTACAGGCTCAAAGGTGGAAGGGACTTGCCTTGTCTCAGATCAGACTTTGGACTCGGACTTTTGGGTTAATGCTGGAATGAGCTAAGACTTTGGGGGACAGTTGGAAAGACATGATTGTGTTTTGAAATGTGAGGACATGAGATTTGGGAGAGGCCTGGGGCTGAATATTATGGTTTGGTTCTCTGTCCCCACCCAAATCTCACCTTGAATGTAATAATCCCCATGTGTCAAGGGCAGGACCACGTGGAGGTAATTGGATCACTGGGGTGGTTTCTCACATATTGTTCTCATGATAATGAGGATTCTCATGAGATCTGATGGTTTTATAAGCATCTGGCATTTCTCTTGCTTGCACTCATTCTCTCTCCTGCTGCCCTGAGAAGAGGTGCCTTCTAAGTTTCCTGAGACCTCCCCAGTCACGCAGAACTGTGAGTCAATTAAACCTCTTTTCTTTATAAGTTACATAGTCTTGGGTATTTCTTCATAGTGGAAAATGGACTAATACAGGATACCTCCCCTACTGACCTAAAAGCCTAAACTATTCAAACCAGTAAATAAAATACGGGGGAAAAAAATAAATAAATAAAGTCCACACCATAGGGGAATGAGAAAAGCTTCAAGAGACTTCTGCCATTCCAACCCTATAAAAAAACAGTGAATTTGCTCACACACTGAGTACATTGCTACCACAACCAGCACCTGAAAAAGCCATCAAAGAGACTCTATAACCAAGGAAGTAATAGTCTTCAACTCTGAAAGCACCAAGAGCCAAGTTAGACTATAATAAATTATAAACATTAAAATCACTGCCTTAAGGGGGAAAAGGAAATTTTAAAAAACATAGTCAAATCAAAAGTAAATTCAAGAATAATTAGAAGAAATAGACTACCCAAATGAGAAGGAATCATAAAAATAATATTGGTAGTATGACAAAACCGGGTTCTATAACACCCCCAAAAGATCACAATACCTCTATACCCAATGGAGCCAAACAAAGATGAAATCTTTGCAAGGTCCTATCTCCAGAATCATATTTTTAAAGTTCTATTCATTTTAGGTTTTACATGTAAGTCTTCAATCCATCTTGAGTTGATTTTTGTATATGGTGAAGGGAAGGGGTCCAGTTTGAATTTGAATCTTCTGCATATTGCTAGCCAGTTATTCTAGCACCATTTATTGAACAGGGAGTCCTTTCCCATTGCTTTTGTCACCTTTGTCAAAGATCAGATGGTTGTAGATGTGCCACTTTATTTCTGGGTTTTGTGACCTGTTCCATTGATCTATGTGCCTGTTTTTGTACCAGTACTATGTCATTTTGGTTACTGTAGCCTTGTAGTACACTTTGAAGTTGAGTAATGTAATGCCTCCAGCTTTCTTCTTTTTGCTTAGGATTGCTTGGGCTATTTGGGCTCTTTTTTGGTTCTATTTTGATTTTAGAATAGTTTTTTTTTTTCTTATTCTGTTAAAAAAATGTTGGTAGTTCGATGGAAATATCATTGACTCTCTAAATTGCTTTGGTCAATATCATTAAAATCGTTAGCCATTTTAATGATATTGATTCTTCCAATCCATAAGCATGGAATGTTTTACCATCCCTTTGTGTCATCTGATTTCCTTAGCAGTATTTTGTAATTCTAGTTGTAGAGATCTTTCACCTCCCTGGTTAGCTGTATTCCTAGGTATTTTATTTATTTTGTGGCTACTATGAATGACATCTCATTACTGATTTGGTTTTCAGCTTGGACATTGTTGGTGTACAGAAATGCTATTGATTTTGTATCCTGAAACTTTGCTGAAGTTGTTTATCAGATCTGTAGAAGTAAGTTTAGAATATCTTTCTTATCTCTTAAGGTCATAAAGGATATTTTCACCTGAGCCAATACACAATAAGCACAAACAAAGATGAATAATTTGTGTTAAATTAAATTATATTAAAGTTAAGTGCTCTCATTCATCAAAATACACCACAAAGGGAAGATTAAGCCACAAGCTTGAAGAAGATATTTAAATATATATAACTGACAAAAGAGTAATATCTTGAGCATCTGTAGAAGTCCAAAAAAGCAATATTTTAGAAATTCAATATACGAAATGTTCAAAAGACATGCAAAAGTGTTTTCTAAAGGAACCACTGGTAAAAGGAGGAGGAGGTGGTGAAATGATGCTAATCATCATTATTAACAAAAGTAATAAAATTAAGAGCATAACAAAATATTTGACAATCTGGAAAAAAAATTAAAAGTTTGACAATATCCAATATTGGAAGAACTCAGATTACTGGAGGATTTTTAAGTGAACATTTGCATTGTCTACAGCCCAACAATTTCACTCCTAATTATATACTCTGGAGGTATACACCCGGAGATATACTTGCAGATATACACCAATGCACACACAAACACATACACACACACAGCAGATATATACACAAGAATACTTTCCAGGGTACATGGTACAAATATATTTACAGCAATACTCTTCGAAACAGCACAAAACTATAAATAACTCAAATATCTGCCAAGAAAATAATGAACAAATTGCGTGATATTCACATTGAAATATTAGACAGCTGTGCCAGGCGCCATGGCTCATGCCTGTAATCCAGCACTTTGGGAGGCCGAGGCGGGCGGATCATGAGGTCAGGAGATGGAGACCATCCTGGTTAACACGGTGAAACCCCGTCTCTACTAAAAATACAAAAAATTAGCCGGGCCTGCTGGCGGGCGCCTGTAGTCCCAGCTACTCGGGAGGCTGAGGCAGGAGAATGGCATGAACCCGGGAGGCGGAGCTTGCAGTGAGCCAAGATCGCACCACTGCACTCCAGCCCGGGCGACAGTGAGACTCCGTCTCAAAAAAAAAAAATAAATAAATAAAAAGAAATATTAGATAGCAGTGAAAATAAAATATAGTCATGATACTTTAGATGGATCTTTAAAACATTAAGAACAGGTTTGGGGAGTTATTTTTACATATAGTTATGTACCACACAAGGACATTCGGGTCAACAACAGACTGCATGTATGAGAGTGGCCCCATAAGATTACAATATTATATTTTACTGTACCTTTTCTGTGTTTAGATATGTTTAAACACACAAATATCACTGTGCTACAATCGTCTACAATATGCAGTACAGTAACATGCTGTACAGGTTTGTAGCCTGGGAGCAATAGGCTATACCATACAGCCTACGTGTGTAGTAGGCTATACCATCTAGGTCTATGTAAGTCCATTCTATGATGCCTGCATAATAATAAAATCACCTGACAACACATTTCTCAGAACATATTCCTATTTTTAAGTGACACATGACTGTCTGTGTAATATACTATATTTATTTTCGCTTGGCTAAAAGTGGAATATTTCTTAGGCAAGTTTTATCTTAATAGCTGAGCTCCCCTTCACCTGCATACCGCTAAGATTTCCTGATGAACACAGGTTTTGTAGAATTTCCAAAAAGAGTGCTGAGTCCCAACCTTGGAACCTTGGAGCAAAGTGGATTGGTCCTGTAACTTATGGTAAGAAGCAGTATGCAGCCATTATCACCCCCTGAAGAGCAAGAAGAGTTCCCACACAGGGCTGGGAACTGAAATTCAGGCATAATAAGTAGAGAAGATAATTTAGCCCTTCCACGTCCTCACTAACAAATGAAATACCTGGAACTTGAAAGAAAAGACAATCAATACATCCCAACGATTCTATTATGACTATGATCAAATTATGGGACAAGAATTTTAGAGCAGCAACTATAAAAATATTTTAATAAGAACACTCTTGAAACAGAGTTTTTAAAAGTGTAAAATCTCACTGAAGAAATAGAACTGTAAAAAAGAAATAAAAATTATAGAACTAAAAAATTCAAAGACTAAAATAAAAAGCTCTTTGGATGACAAGTGGTATGTTGAGAGGTGAGAACATGGAATTGTAAAATGCTCAAAATCAGAGAACACAGAAAAAAAGACAAAAATAAACACAGAACAAGCACAACAGAAAAGTTACAAGTATCATAGGTATTTAGACAAAACTGCAGAGCAGAATTAATTTGAAAGACTGGAGGCATATGAGGAGTTTAATTTTGACAAATTTCAAGGGTCTAGAGGAGAGACAAAAAAATTGTTTCCAGGAGAGAGTTGTATGCGTAGGCCCAAAGATATCAATTTGAAAATTAGAGATAGGTTGTAGTCCCAGTGCCAATCTCCTCCAGAAAATCTGTTGACTTTAGATATCTTTTCTTAGATAGCAACCCCTTCACCCTCCCAAACCAGGCTACAGACTCTTTTCCTGGTTCATAATATGTCTGAAAAGTCTAGGAAAAACAAGCTCAGAGTAAAGTATATCTCTTTCTCAACTTCTTACCTGTTTTAACTAGTCCCTCCCCGCAACACACACACACACACACACACACACACACGTACACACAGAACTTTCTACAACTCCACCCCATCTTAGAATCTCAAGAACATTTCATAAACCAGCACTACTCCCCAGCACACCTCTACGTTGGTTGTGAGTTTCAGGAGAGTGTATGCCATGTACGTTTTTCATTCTACATTTTAGGGAATTTGTGGGAGTGACTGCACAGTGTTAAGAGCTCCATGCTGGAGGACATGGTTGGAAGAAATCATTTAAAAAACAAAACAAAACGAAACCTTCCCCTAAACTGGGCTGGAACCGAGAGATCAAAACATGACTCAGACAAGTCCAGTTTGGTGAATAGATGAGTTTATTAGGACTCACATAAGAGGCACTCCTGGACGCCAGAGGACAGCTTTGGAGATCTGCCCTGCTTTCAATCTCTAAGCTGCTTTTAAGTTAATTTTTTGGCTCTTTGCCTACTGTGTGTGTGTGATGGGGCTGTTTTCCTTGGTAGGTTCTCAGATATTCTCTGGGATATTTGGGTTCTCAGGGACACCTGCCCCTCAGCTGGGCACTATGGTCTTGGCTCACTGTCCAACCTTTATGGTTCAAGCAGTGGACATACATCCTTTAAGTAACATGGTGGAGGACCTGTCACATTAAAATCCACCCTGTCCACAAACTCATACATTCTTGCTGCCAATCTTGCATGAGAGTCCCTGAGCTGGGCACGACGGGAAGAACTATACATACTAATAATGTATAGCCATGGCTTGTGCATACAGGCCACATCCACAGTGTACACAAGAGCATAAAAAGCAGAAGCTAACTACAATTATAACACCTTTTGGCAAAACATAACTCCAATGAGTAGGTAAGATGTGTGACCAATCTGAAAATAGGTCAAAGAAACCTGAATGACTTATGTCATAGATCTGAGTTGACAAATGATTTAAAGTATCTGTAACATTATTCTCTTTATCAGGGATATAGGGACAACAGAGCCTATAAGGGAACATGTAGTTGGATCACCATCAAGTTGGCAATTGGGCTTCCAAGTGAAGGCAATCTCCAGTGAACCCGAGTCGCATTATTAGTGCTGCTGAACCAGTCACTCCAATTCTGTAGGGATAAAGGCAGACTATTCCAAGACATATCATTATCATTTGTTAGGGAAAGGTATTCATAAACGCAACAATCAGACTGGTTGCTGATTGTTGCTGTAGTCGCAGCCCAGTCCAGAAAGACATTACCAGCTGCTGTGGGTAGCAGTAACAACAGCCTGTGGACATAGACACAGATGTTTAGTAGGAACTTTCATGGGTACATCCACTCCTTATAACATTATTAGCGCTGTATATTCTCTCATTGGTCTTATCAGGGAGGCCACTATGGGTCTCAGGTCTGTCTTACAGCACCACACATAGCTTCTCTCCCTAGGAGTGGGTAAGCATCCAATTGCTAAGCTTCTGGCCTTGCCCACACTATCTGCATGGTGCCTGCTCCAGAGGTATTGGTGCTGCCATGTGTTGACATTGTAAGGCTCTCGGACCTCCATCAAGGAGCACAGCTGGGATGACCTCCCCTCCAACTGTCTTCATGGCATTCTCCAGTGCCATAAAACCAGTCCAGCATAGGGGCACTTTCCAGCTCAACTTCAGGTCCACATAGCTATCACCTCTTAGCAGATCCACTGGTGTTCTCAGGAGCACAGCCTGTCCATCTTTTCAGGAGCATTTCTCAGAGTCTCAGAGGCATCCCTCAGAGTTTGTGGGACCTGTTTCACAGGCCTTGCCAACCATTCATAGGAAATGATACCATGGTGGTCGTTGGTGACTCACTTAAAGTTTGTATAGCTTCAGGGAGATTCTTAGCCCAGGACCTTAGAGAACCACCCTGAGACAATGCACGTAACTGGGTTTTTAATGAACATCCTTTTTTTCTATAAGGCCTGTCCCTGTTGGGTTATATGGTAAGGGAAACCTCCAGTGTATACTTTGTTTTGATGCCCAGTATTGGATATCATGGCCCATGAAATAGGGGCCTTGATCACTATTTATCCTTCTTGGCATGCCATACATGACGCTAATATCAGTGAGACACTTGGCAGTCTCCAGTTGAGTGGTACTTTTTACTAGGAAGACCTGTGGCAGCCTTGTTGTTGTGCCCACACAAGTTAAGGCATATTTTTCCCTCCACTTTGAGGCAAGGGTCCAATATAATCAACTTGCCATTCTCACACAGATTGCATGGCTCGATGTATGTGAACTGATGTGGAGGGAATTTTTCTAGGTCACAGCCATGAACAGATTTCACAGTTCTGAACAGCTGCCAGAACATCTGCATTTGGAAAGGGATGCCTGCTGCCTTTGCTATGACCCACCCTATAGCCACCCACTGGTGGCCACTCTTATGAGGTATCCACATGGCATCCTCCTCCAATGGGCTAGGGTAAATTGCCTGAACATGAGTAAGGTGTCTGCCTCATGATTTCTGGGAGGTGACTTGGGGCTGTGTGCATCTACCTGATACACCATCAGATGCACATCGTTCTCTTGTAACCTGAGGTGAACATCCTGCCACATGGACATTCCCCAAATGGGCCTGCCCAAAACCTGTTGATTTTCTGCAGTCCATTGATTGATCCACATGGTAAGGCCTCTGTATGTAGCCTAACTCTGTCCAAGTGACTAGTGACCAGGGCTTGTGGGTGATGAGTATCCAAACTGCCCATAGCTTGACCCACTGAATGTTTTGTCCTAATCCCTATTCTATCCATAAGGTATCAAGGTTCATTTGCGCTACAACTGTTGACCATTGGTGCTGGCTGCCTTTGTTAAACCCACCAGTGTAGCAGGTCCTAGCAGTTACGGGCAGGGTCCCCTTATATACAGTGATTGGCGTAGTAGGTGGCCCCACTGTCATGTCAAACCCCTCCAGTTGTTCAAAGTGGATGGGTCTGAGCACCTCCTGTAGTGCTTGACTTAAAAGACTAGTGGATGAGACACCCCTCTGTTGCAGATAGGTGTGCCATTTTTGTAGGGTGTGTGACTGTGCTACCCCAGAGATGGTGTTGGCTACAAGGCCTTCCATTCATCCTTTTATGGTGTAGGCAGTTTTTAGTGTGATAGTCTGCTTCCTGGTGATGGCCTCCACTTCATGCAATGCCCTATACATGGCCAACAGCTGTTGCTCGAGGACTATACAGTAGGTCCTGCACTCTTTCATAATTGAGACCAAAATCCTACAGGTACCATTCACATTGGTTGCTTTTATCACAAACCCCAAATCATCCCCATGGCATCTTTAGTGAATTCTAACACAAAAGGGTGCTGTGGCAGTGGGGACCCTATTGCTTGCACTTGTTTCACCAATATTTTTGTCTTGTCAGATGCCTCTTGCTCCATGTATGTCCAGTCCCATTGTTTATTTTTCTTTATGAGGGTGTATAATGGGCAGAGGGTTTGTGCCAGATGAGGAATCAATATTCTCCAGTAGCCCAGTAAACCTAAGAACACCTGGTGTTAGTTTACCATCTAGGGAACAGGCTGCTGTGCTAGCTTATGTTTCACGTCTTACCCTACCAGGTAACTCTCAGGAACTTGACAGTTATGCCAGGCTCCTTTATCTTTTGGGGGCTGACTTCTCATCACCTGTCTTTTAGGGTATCCAAGACAGTTTGTAGAGCAGTCTCCAGATCTGTAAGAGACTCTGAGGTTAGCATGATATCATTAATATAGTGAAACAGGGAGATTGAGGCAGGCAAACAGGGCCTAGACAGGTTCCATGCAACCATGCTGTGACAGATGGTGGAGCTGTGCAGGTACCCTTGTGTTAGCACCTGGAAAGTCCATTGTTGGCCCTCCTAAGTGAAGACAAACTGACCTTGTGAATCTTCTGCTAAAGGGATACTGGAAAAGCCATTAGACAAGTCAGTCACAGGATGGACATTTCCCAGCTTGAGGACCACTTGTTCTAGTAGTTCAGCAGCTGCATATACAGGGAGCAACACTTTGTTTAGCTCATGGTAGCCTGCCAACATTTTGCAGGTGCCATCTGGTGTCTTCACAGGCTACCCAGGGCTGTTACAGGGGCTCTGGGCCAGCCTATTTGTACCTTATGGAATGCCTAAATTGTTCTGATGATTTCAGAGTGTGCCCCTGGCAGGCAGTATTGTTTTACATTCACTGCCTGCCTGTGCTGGGACAAGTGATTACTTTCTGAATTTAGTCCTTGCTCTTATCCAGCCCACTGAGATCCACCAATGCTTCCCCCATATCATAGATTCCATTTTCCACTAAATGGCAAAAGAACTGCAACCAATGTCTCATATCATAACCCTTTCTAAACTGGAAATGACCCAGACATTCAATGAGTAGCTAAAATAATTTTAAGATTTTAAACTACACAAAAAGTTTTACCTATGTTTATCTCATTTACATTTACTGAATTTATTCATTTTTAGTGGTTTATCTGGATTACTCATGAGAACGAAAGCTCATTAGACTTATTAGACAAAGCTAATAATCATTACGAGTTATTTCCCTGTTAACCATTTTAATGGCTTATAAATATCAGATGTTCGTCTAATCAAGAAACTTAAAGACATAAGCATTTTTACCAATAACTCAGAAAATTCAGCTGTTTTAATTAAACTGACAATATCAAATTAATCTTGCTTATCAAAAAAATCACACAAAGATCATTCTGTTTTGGGTGGATTTATAGTCTTAGAACCTTCATGTCAGAAACCTGACACCTTAAACTATCTAGGAGGGGCAAATATACAACTTATCTAATCAAGAAACTCAGACAAAAATGTATGCTGACACTTTTGAAGACATTTCTACTTTTATTTTATCAAAAATTTTGAAGCCAGCTTATTCACCAAAGATTATTGAATTCACGTGAACCTGAAGAGCATCTGGACTTATTTAATTTATGAGTACGTATTTACTTATAAGCTATTCGGTACCATGCTAGATATAACACATAGCATAATACATGCACATACACATAACACATTTAAACATGTTTATACATATACATGCAAGATCCGATAGCTTTTACCAATAGCTTTTGGAATTCTAGCTTCACAAACTCATTACTATATAAAAGACAGCTGGATCCAGATTATTTTTGATAAAATTGGGACCTGTTCACATGGCTAAACTTTATTTGCCCCAATAGGTAACCCAAGGAAAGCAGTGGATCAATAATTTGGGTAAAGCAGTTTCTATGGCAGTTTGATTTTTAAAAACCTCCTTTATCCATTTTTTTTCAGTTCCAAATGAGTTTAATTCTTTACATTTTAGCTAGAACTGGCTGAACCATATGAGGAAAAAAAAAATCTCAAATTGACCTTGAATTAGTGAGTTTTATCTCAATACCAGTAACTTATTAACAGTAGATTCAAAGCAGGCAGAAAAGGAAAGAGAAATAGAGAGCTTTAGAAGACTCTACTTAACTCTATAGTTGTAGATTAAACATTTGAGCTCTGAATTTTTCTTGTTGTAATTTGCCCGTCAGTTTTAAAATGTACACAAGAAAGGGCCATAATATGTAACCAGCTGGAGGATTAGAAAACCATGCCTTTTAGCTTCTGCTGGAGTTTCTACCCTTTCTCCCTTTCCTGCTCTAATGATTTGTGATTAGCCAGCCTTATTGCAATAACACCACATTTACTATCATTATCATACTTTAATATCTTGGCTTCTTGGCAATAGGTATTCAGTCCTTGCCCATGTTTTCCAAGCATCCCTGTACTCATGCAGTGGCCCACAAAAGTTGTGCAGTTGGGCAACTCCACTCCACATGGACATTGCCGACTGCCCAGGGATTCCCCACCATAGACACTCATTCCTGGCTCGAAGTTTGGTCTCTCTGACCCCATTTGTGATGCCAATTGTAACAAGAAAAATCCAGAATCATATTTTTAAAAAAACCTTTCCCCCAAACTAGGAGGGAGCCAAGAGACCAAAGAATGACTCAGACAAGTCCAGCTTGGCCAGTGGATAAGTTTATTAGGACTTACATATGAGACACTCCTAGATAGCAGAGGACACCTTTAGAGACCTGCCCTGCTTTCCATCTCTAAGCTGCTTTTAAGCTAATTTTCTGGCTCTTTGCCTACTGTGTGTGCATGATGGGACTGTTTTCCTTGATAGGTTCTCAGGTATTCTCTGGGATGTTTGGGTACTCAAGGACACCTGCTCCTCAGCTGGACACCATGGCGTTGACTCACCACTTGGCCATCAAGGATACCTGCTTCTTGGCTGGGCACCGTGTCCTTGACTCACTACTTAGCCATTAAGGTTCAAGCAGTGGTCATACACCCTTAAGTATCCTGGTGGGGGACCTGCAACCCTACACCAGTGACAAGGCCTATTTCTCATTGTCCACGACATGTGACTTTGGGAAAACTACTTAGATTCTCTCTGCTTCAGTTCTGCCACCCACAGACCAGAAATAGATACCAGACCCAGCCCTATCTCTTCTTTCTAGGGTTGTTGTGACATTTGGAAAGAGATTATGGGTTTAAGAAACTTTAAAGGGTTAGAGTGATACAAAGTGTAGTGAATTTTACATCTCAGACTAACCTGATATAAAATCTCTACTGACAAGTCCGTAAAGATCTTAGCTCAGTGCCTAGGATTCAGTAAATGCTTAGAGGATATCAGCTATTAGTGTTACCGCTCATTTTCTTGTTAGACTATGCTCCCAATTATCCAAGGATGACTTTGGTAGTCTAATATTGGTCTAAGTCTTTAAGTATTAGAGGTACTGCCTTCTGAATTGTCACCAGGCCTAATGTCATCTAGACTGTAAACAATTCCCCAACTATCAAGATAACTGTTCTATGAATGCTTTTCATTTCCATATTTTCTTGGCTCAATGCTGTTGCTCAGGACAAAAAACACCAAGTTGGTGATGATGACTGAGTGATGAAACAGTGATCAGAGGGACATATGAAGCTAGTGTAACAAAGATGGGAGGGGCTGGGGAAAGTATAAGTAACTATTAGGAGGTTCAGAGCAAACCTCAGGACACTTACTCCCTGAGCTAAGGTAAAGAATATTGTCCCTCATAGCCCTGGTCTCAGAAACTCTGTGGGGAAGATAAGTCCTGAGCCTAGAGCTGCCATTTCCACAGACAACTGAACTACCTTCAAACAGATGTGTTTTTAGGGGCAGCAGATAGAAGGAGCTGAATCCAGGAGTTTCCTTCCCTGAAATGCCCCAACAGAGGCACAGTCCTCCACCTTCCCTGGAACAGAGGGCTTTCATCTGTCTCTCTGAAGCCATCTCCCTCCCCTGTTTATGCCCAGAGCTGCTTTCCAATCCCATGGAGTGCCTCCGTATCTAACCATAGCCACTGAGTCTACCAGGTGTTCCTGAGAAGACAACTAAGCCAACCGCTCCACACTCTGCTGATTTTCTTCTACATCTCACAGGGGGAAGAGCTGGATCACCATGAAATATGTCTTCTATTTGGGTGTCCTCGCTGGTATGTACTCAAGACCTTGTACTCTGTCCTGTAAGGCACAGTTTAATGGATGGGGTGAGACAGAGGCAGGATTGCGAAGGGTGCAGAAAAAGAGTCAAAAATAGTGTCATCAGCAGAATTAGGAGTCCTGCCTCTCAGACTCCATCCAAAGGCTCTCCGGATAGGCTGAGCCCACTTTTCTAGTGTTAAGCTATAGGGTGGGTTAAGGCACACATGTGCCTTGGAGAAGGCTTAACAGTGAGTGTCCTCCCACCGACACTAATGCAGAAAACAGAGAAGTAGAAACAAAAGATCAAGTACTAGGACCCTACCTTCTGTAGTCCTTGCCCCACATGGGGTTCTTCTGACAGCAGAATTTGCAGATGAGGCATTTCCCACCATTCTCTGACTGCCTAGGTTGTATCACACATTAGCTGTGTGAGATTAGCCAAGTTAATTAACTCTTCTGTGCTTCAATTTCTTCAAAATGGGGGTATGACTACCCATATTATAGAGCTATTGTGAAGATTAAATAAATCTATGTAAAGCACTTAGAACAATGCCTGCTATAGAGAGCTCAATGTCTCTTGCCCTTGTTTACAGTCTACCCTTTTCTCTTTGGGGTTTCTAACTGTGTGATCACACAGAAGGGTGTGGTGAGGTACAGACCCAGTCTTGGGGAAGGTTAACAGGAGTAGCAAGAGAAGCCAAGACAAGAAGAGGGCTTTATTTCTGATACTAGAATCAGCCTTCCTCCCCTTTATTCTCTAGGGTATGTTTTAAATAATTCATTTATAAAAACAATATATGTTCATATTACAAAATTTAGACATTTTTAAAGTAGAAAAATAAGCATCATTCATAATCCCACCTCTTAGTCAACACATGCTAACACTTTGAGTTTACTCTCAGAATCTATATATTTTTTGCATTTAAATGTTTTTATTTATTTGTTTTTAGACAAATAGATTATATCCACAATTTTCTTGTTCTTTTTAACTTAAATAAGCATTAATATTCTTTTGCTGTTTAATATTCTAATTAGTTTAATTTTTATTATATATGATGTTCCACTTTTTGATGTGCTTCAATGTCCAACATTACTATGTCAGATATTTATGTTTCCAGTGTTCAGCTGTTATAGCTAACATGAGCATACTTGTTTGTAATCCTTGTCTATATCTGATTTTTTTCTTTAGAATGGATTCTTGGGGTTGGAATGATTAGGTCACAGGTTATAAACAATTTATGATTCTTGATGCCTGTTTCTAAATTGCTTTTCAAGAAGATGGAATCAATTTACTAGCAGTGATGAGTGTCTCTCATTATACTCTCTTAGATTGAATATTATCAATATTAAACAAAATTATTATAAATATAAGATAAAATGGCATATCGTTTTAATTTACATTTTTATTAGAAAAACATGTCAAATACGTTAACACTTCTTGGCCAACTGATAACTGTTTAAGAATCATCCAGATTCCTTTTCAAGTAAGAGACTGTTACCTTATTTTTATAATATTTATGTATTAAGAATGTTCATTATTTTCTCAGGGACATTTTTCTTTGCTGACTCATCTGTTCAGAAAGAAGACCCTGCTCCCTATTTGGTGTACCTCAAGTCTCACTTCAACCCCTGTGTGGGCGTCCTCATCAAACCCAGCTGGGTGCTGGCCCCAGCTCACTGCTATTTACCGTTGAGTATTTGGGCATCCCCATCCCCAAAACAGCTACTGTTCATTCTAGATCAGTGGTTCTCATATAAGGGTAACTTCTCTACAGGGTACACTTGGCAATGTCTGAAGATATTTTTGGTTGTCACAACCAGGGGGCAGTGCTATTGGCATCTAATGGGGAGAGGCTAGAGCAAAGATGCTGTTTAACATCCTACAATTCACAGCACAGTCCCCACAATAAAGATTTGTCCAGCCCAGAACAGCAATAGTGCCACTGTTGAGGAACCCTGTGTTACATGTTATGCCTCCTCAGACTCTCATAAGTTTTTTTCTTTTTTTTTTTTTACTGGCAGTATGAATGCATTTTATCACTTAAAGATCTAGCAGGTAACTGATGATGCACTCAAATTGGGTCAATTGAGGTGAGTTTTAAGAAGGAACCAATTGCAAAGGTATGGAGACATTAAAGGGACAATATTAAGAATAGTTCCATACCACCAGGGTTTGTATTAAGAAAATGCAGTTACCACCTCTAGGCCTAAAAAGGCAAGAGGAGAAGATAATTTCAAAGGAGGCAAGGAGAGATAGAGAAAAAGCGAGACCTGTGTGAGGAGACAGCCTGATAAGGATTGTAACCCCTAGTCAAGGAGCACAGCCACTCTGTGACAAAACTGCAGGGAGGGACCTGGGAGGATAAGTACTCCAATCTCACTCTTCTTCCTCCAGTTACTTTCTGGTGCTTCCTATTGGCCAATAGAAGGAAGCCAGAGGACAAGAGAGCCCACTGATTAAATCCATATATGTCCCCTTCCAAAGGTGCAGAGCAGAATGGAATAGGACTGTTAGTGCATCAGCTAGGGAACCAAACAGGAGACACCCAGAACTAGGTTATTTATTCTCTGGTCTCCACCAAAATGGACATTGTTCAGTTAGATAGGCGAGAAAATTACATTTCCTTGACATGCATCCTCTTCCTCTCCACTACATTAAAGAACACAACATTAAAATGTAGTGAAGGGCTCCACTACTTACTATATCACCCTGAGTGAATTACTCCTATGTGCCCCCATTAATTCATGTGCTAAATGGGGATAAAAATGGAATCCACTGCATAGACTTGTTGTGAGTTAAATGACATAATCCAGAAAAAGCACTTGGTACAGTTCCTGGCACTTTGTAACATTCAGTATCTTAGCAATGATGATGATGATGATGATGATTACTTCCAACCCCTCTCCCTCCAGAAATCTGAAAGTGATGCTGGGAAATTTCAAGAGCAGAGTCAGAGACGGTACTGAACAGACAATTAACCCCATTCAGATCGTCCGCTACTGGAACTACAGTCATAGCGCCCCACAGGATGACCTCATGCTCATCAAGCTGGCTAAGCCTGCCATGCTCAATCCCAAAGTCCAGCCCCTTACCCTCGCCACCACCAATGTCAGGCCAGGCACTGTCTGTCTACTCTCAGGTTTGGACTGGAGCCAAGAAAACAGTGGTAAGTGTGCCTTCCACAGCAAATCAGGGTCATCAGTTGTCCTTTAGGAGGAACATCCATATCCTCATAGCTGTGAGGAGAGAGGAGGAAAGGAGAGTGAAAGGAGACCCAATAGAGATGCTACCTGAGTGGTCTGGCAAACAGAGACCTGCCCAGAGGAACAAAGCTCCTCCTTTCCCAGGGTGTCTAATATCCCACTGCCTCTGCAGGGCTTTGGCAGCTGGAGCCACCAGGCCATCTGACTCTGCACAGAGGCCCAGCCATTCCTGATTGGCAGAGACACAATTCACATGAACAAGGTGTGGTCCTACTTCTCATACATGCTCATTTCACATGTAAAGGACACCTCTGAGAATTGCCTCAGGTCATTTAGTTCTCCAAGACAGGCCACCAATTAAAAATATACTCTACCTTAAAGAGACGTAAAGCCTTTTTCAAAATCCTCAAGATTAGCTCATAACCACACTCTTGATGATTTCTCTCCTTTGTCGCATTCCTTATTTTCTTTAAACACACACAAAAAGATACCAGTTGAAATAGAGGCTGGTGGTCAGAAGGACTAAAATAACCACTGTCAACAGGATGTTTTATTTTATCCCCGTCTCCCTCAGGCCGACACCCTGACTTGCGGCAGAACCTGGAGGCCCCCGTGATGTCTGATCGAGAATGCCAAAAAACAGAACAAGGAAAAAGCCACAGGAATTCCTTATGTGTGAAATTTGTGAAAGTATTCAGCCGAATTTTTGGGGTAATCTTATCTCTATATTCAGCTTTCATTTACTTGCATATGCCCGGTTAACTATTGACTCTTGATGTAAAAACTATTTTAGATGTCTAAATAATTTTTTGAGAATTTGATAAGGCTGCTGCAAAGCCAGCATTGTTTCTTCAGTAATGGGATCCCCTTAAATTGTCTTTATTCATTAAAGGACATTATAAAGTACTTCCAGTTAAGCACACCATTTCCTAGGTATTCATTCTTATAACTACAAGCAAAATTGTGAAAATAGGCATTTCTTTAAAAATAAATCAGACTTTTCACAAATAGAAAATGCCTTCACCAGTTCAAAAAAATGGAGTCTGACCCATTTTACATGTGATTTCTAGAGAGACTGTCCTCTGACTTTTTCAAGGTCACACAAAGCTAATTACAGCAAAATGAGAAAAAAGGCTCAAGCATCCTGTCCCCTGATTCGGTGCTCTTTTCAAGAGTCCAGCATATGCCTGCAGACAGGGCTCACCCAAGCGGGACACTAGGGTTCCTGTGAGAAGATCTGACACTCTTACTCTCTCTCTCTCTCTCTCTCTGCATGATCTCCGGTAGGAGGTGGCCGTTGCTACTGTCATCTGCAAAGACAAGCTCCAGGGAATCGAGGTGGGGCACTTCATGGGAGGGGACGTCGGCATCTACACCAATGTTTACAAATATGTATCCTGGATTGAGAACACTGCTAAGGACAAGTGAGACCCTACTTCTCCCTCTGCATTCCACTGGCTCTGCCATGGACTATACAAGCAGATAATTTTCCCTCTATTCAAAATAAAATCTCCAAATGAAAATTTGGGAATGTAGCATACTAGTAGCCAATGTTTTCTTGTTTGTGTCTCTGTATCCTACAACGGTGTGAAGAACTAAGATCAAATTCATGAAATGAACATTTACTACACTGTCCGGGATTACATTCGTTATCTCATTTAATGCTCATAACAAACCTTTGAGGTTATCTTTTGTTCCAACTTTACACATGAGAAAATGCAGGCTAAAAGAGGTTATTTAACATTGCCCATAGCTGGTGGATATCAGAGCCTGAAATGGAACCCAAAATTGTCAGATTCTAAATTCCTTGTTATTAGCCTCAGTGTTATATGGGAGTCTACAGCATCATAAAAGATGTTGGCTCCTATTTATTTGCCTCCCTCTCTTTCCACTCAAAGGGCTTGAAGCTCTCACTTGTGGCTAAGATCTTGGGTACTGGGATAAGCTCTCTGAGGAAAAGTCATACCTCATCTCAGTGCTACATAGATTGCAGTATGTTCAGACAGAGAGTTAGTGGAAGAGTAGAAAGTAAAAAACAAAACTTCAGAACAAGGTCAACAATCATAAATCAAGTCCACAAGGGAGTTTGGCAGCTCCAGTGAAAGGTGAAGATGTCATGTAAATCCAAAGAAGATATAGGCAGTAGCAGAGCTTGAAAGGCAGAGATGGCTGAGATGAGGTGAAGGGCAGAAATTGGGCTTAGCCATAGACCATGGTCCTAAAATAGTCCTATATGCTTGAGAAATTGGTAAAGCACTACTACAGACTGAGTGTTTATGTCCCCCCAAAATTCATAAGTTGAAACCTAATCCCCAAAGTGATGGTATTTAGAGGTGGGGCCTTTGGGAGGTGATTAGTTCATGAAGGCAGAACCCTCACAAATGGGCTTCATGCCCTCATAAAAGAGAGCCCAGAGAGCTCACCTCCTGCTTTTGCCATGTGAGGTTACAGCGAGAGACAGCAGTCTATGAACCAGGAAGTGAATTTCACCTTACACCAAATCTACTGGTGCCTTGATCCTGAATTTCGCAGACTCTAGAACTGTGAGAAATAAATTTTTGTTGTTTATAAGCCTCACACAGTCTACAGTATTCTGTTATAGGTGATGGAGTAATTCCAGATATCCAAAAGACTGGGACATGTAGGACAAGGATGGGTAAAGTAACCTTCCAGCAGGTGAAGATTCAAGAAAAAACTGCACATTCTCCTTGGGTAATATTTTCTACTCTTATGGTTTAAAATATAATCTACACTTTAATGAGTTTTGTAGTAGGCAGAATAATGGCCCTGCAAAGATGTCCACACTCTAATCTCGTGAATATAATACAGTCAGATGTGATTATGGTTATGAACATCGAAATTGGAAGTTTATCCTAGATTATCTGATGAGTCCAACATCACCACATAGGCCTTAAAAGTGAAAAACGAGGCCGGGCACGGTGGCTTACGCCTGGAATCCCAGCACTTTGGGAGGCCGAGGCAGGCAGATCACGAGGTCAGAAGATTGAGACCATCCTGGCTAACATGGTGAAACCCCGTCTCTACTAAAAATACAAGAACAAAATTAGCCGGGCGTGGTGGCGAGCGCCTGTAGTCCCAGCTACTCCCGAGGCTGAGGCGGGAGAATGGCGTGAACCCGGGAGGCGGAGCTTGCAGTGAGCCGAGATCACACCACTGTACTCCAGCCTGGGCGACAGAGCGAGACTCCGTCTCAAAAAAACAAACAAACAAACAAAAAGTGCAAAAGGAAGGCAGAAGGTTTTGTTGGGGAGATGCAAAACAGAACAAGAGGCAGGAGAGATTCAAAGCATGAGAAGAAACTGACCAGCTATTGCAGGCTTTGAAAACAGAAGAAATAGAAAGGGAACCACAAGGCAAAGAATGTGAGCAGTGCCTAGAAGCTGGGACGGGCTCTCAGCTGACAACTGGCAAGGAAATGGGGATTTTAGTTCTGGAATCACAGCTGTACTGAATTCTGTAACCAATCTGAATGAGCAAGGAAATAGACTCTCTCCAGAAAGGGGCATAACTCTGTTGACACCTTGATTTTAGTCCAGTAAAATCTTTGTCAAACTTCTGACCTACAGTACTGTAAGATAATAAATTTGTGTTGCTTTAGGCTACCTGTAGTAATTTGTTATGGCAGCCATAGAAAACAAACTTTTAAATCCACATATCCAAAAATAGCTATTAGTACTTTCTATAGTGCAATGTTAAAACCTTCAATGGCTCCCAGTTTTCCTGAGAATAAATTCTAAATTCTAGGCTTAGAATTGTAAACTTAGAACTCTAAACTTAGAATGGTATCTAAGCTTCCTTGAGACTTCCCATACACTTCTTCCCATTACCAAAAAAAGGTATTTTTCAATACATAGCCTGCCACTTGGCATTGTTATCTGACCCTGTGAAATGCAAATTTGGGTACAAAAGAATGTCAGAAAGAAATAAAAGAAGAGCCCAATACCCTCCCTTTAAGTTGGTAACCTTGTCAAGACCCAAATGTAACAAAGCTAGATCCATTTAAAAAACAACACAGGCTAGGCGCAGTGGCACACACCTCCAATCCCAGCAATTTGGGAGGTGGAGGCAGGCGGATTGCTTGAGCTCAGGAGTTCGAGACCAGCCTGGATAACATGGCAAAACTCCATCTCTACAAAAAAAAAAAAAAAAAAAAGTAAAAATGGTGGTGTGTGCCTGTGGTCCCAGCTACTCAGGAGGCTGAGGTTGGAGGATCACCTGATCCCAGGAGGTCAAGGCCGCAGTGAGCCGTGATCACGCCACTCTACTCCAGCCTGGGTGACAGAGTGAGGCCCTGCCTCAAAAACAACAACAACAACCAACTTTTTTGAGCTGAAATTAAATCTTCAAGCATTGAAATCATGTCCCAGGCAATGGGAAATATTTCCTCTTTTCCCAATTGCCTATAACTTAGGCAAAGGCAAATCATACCAATTACTATTCAATTAACTCCTCTATTTTGTTTTCTTCCCCCAGTTAAGAGTGCTGTTCTTCAGGCACAGTGACCAACAACATGGGCTTCAAGGCTGAATCATCGAAAGGATACTTTGCCTGACTGTGGGGGCTACTCCCCTAAGATCTCTTGCCCTCTACTCCTCCCTCCACTCCTGGCTTCGACATCTGAGGTTATACTGCGCTCTTTTCTTCAGGGAGGTGTCAGCTGATCTTCACTGATGTTATTTCACTGATCTCAATCCTCAACCTCCCAAAGGGTTTGAGATTGTATTCCACCTTTGACAGAGAGGCAAGTTTACTCCAAAATAAAAATATGCTCTTTAAATACGGCCCAGTAAGGTCACCCAGTTCTCCTTGTTTTCTTAGAATAGTTCCTCATCTTAGAGAGAACCTTGGGGTCATATTGTCGATACATCAGAGCCTGAAATTATCATGACAAAATCTGCCTTGCTCATTTGTATGAACTTAATGGAGGTGGGGGGAAGGGGAAAATGGAGTTGGTTAATGGGTACAAAAATACAGTTAGAATGGATAAGATCTAGTATTTGATGGCATAACAGGATAGCATTACAGTTAATAACTTATTGTACATTTTAAAATAACTAAAATAGTGTAATTGGAATGTTTGCAATACAAAGAAAGGATAAATCCTTGACATGATGGATACTGCATTTACCCTGTTGTAATTATTATGCATTGTATGCCTGTATCAAAATATTTCATGTAACCATAAATATATACATCTACTATCTACCCATAAAAACTTAAAATTTAAAATGTTTTAAAAGACAATACAGGAAGATAAGCTACCATTTTTTTAATATCTACTATATATCAGGCACTGTGTTAGACATTTTGACATGCATTATATTCTTCAAAGGTAGTTATATTCCCCGCTTACTTGAGGTTTCTGAAGAAAAGGTATTTAGTAACTTGTCCAAGCCTACATAGTTAGTAAATGGCGTCTTAAGTCAGGGACTGTATGTGTTCTGAAGATGATTAAATTATACCAAATCTATATTGCAGATATTAGTTGCTAAAACTAAGCAGGATAGAAATCTATTTCCCTTGATTATATGATTTTTAGAAATATAAAAATGGCAGAGCTGGGATACTAACCTTGGTGTGACTGACTCCAAAGCCTATGCCATTTCTCTTACATCTTTCCATGGCTACATTTCTAGATATGCAAGTGTTTCCTGAATACTTTCACTTATGCCTTTCTTTAGGTAAGGTTAAATGTACCTATTTAGATAATACAAGAAGTTTGATGGTTTCTCACATGCTTTTAGTTTTTAGCCCCTAGTGAAAAATTATTTGAAGTCTGTATAGAGTGAATCTTCCATTTTCTTATTTAAATTTAAAGTTTTCCTGGAAACCACTCCATAATATTCCAGTTCTATATTGCAGAAAGTGATAGACTTAAGCTCAATGTAGGTATAAATGAGAGTGATAGCATTATGATATCAACTAGTGATTGCCAAGATCATTTCAACTTATATATTTTGGTAAATAACCTTGAATGAAGGACAAAAGCCAAAACAAAAATTTTCAAACCAAATAAGGTAATCATCATATGTTGGGTTAATAAATCTATTCTTCCTTTTCAAAGATTTTCCAGTTTGTTAATAGCCTGGACTTTATCCAATGACTAATAACAGCAGAGATAAACTTAAGTAATCTGCAGATAAATGCCTACAACATTAATCAAGGCTAAGAATAACTTATAGAACTATTAGCACATCATTTTATATTTCTAAAAATCATATAATCCAGGGAAATAGGTTTTAACCTGTGTAGTTTTAGCAACTAATATTTACAATATAGATTTAGTATAATTTAATCATCTTCAAAATACATACAGTCCCTGACTTAAGATGGTTCACCTCTGGATTTATTTTATGATGGTGAAAAAGTGATATACATTTGGTAAAAGCTGTACTTCCAGTACCAATGCAACTATTCCATTCCTCACTTTCAGTATACTGGTCAATCAACAAGATATTCAACACTTTGTTATAAAATATACCTTTGTTAAATAATTTTGCCAAATTGTAGGCTTATGTAAATGTTCTGAGCTTGTTTAAGGTAGGCTAGGCTAAGTTATGATGTTTAATAGGTTAGGTTATTAAATGTGTTTTCGACTTATGATATTTTCAACTCACAATGGGTTTATTGAACATTGGACAAGTCAAGGAACATCAATGTAGAAATTTCTATGGCTATAGATCCCAGCAGAAAATTACTGCCAAGAGTAAAAATATTTTCAATTCAAGATTATCTGTCAACTATATGTCTTGGAATTACTTCATGGACATCAATTTTAATCTAGGAATTCAGCTTGTCTAGAACTTCAGCTGGACTGATCATTAAACCCTGATACAGATTTTATAAGTTATTATAAAATCTAGCAACAAATTGAAGAAATAATCAGATAAGCTTCAAGATGAGTATCTCTCATACACCTCCTTATTAGAATATTCTAATGCATTTGAATATTAAATTTTAAATAACCGTAGATATTAATCTCTTCTGACTTAGACCCATCCTAGTCAGTGTGACATCACACTCTTGGCTAAAGTGAATTCTCTACTGAAAAAGAATAAGAGGCCAAAGGAGAAGGGCTTTTGGAAAATCGCTATACATTTGTGTAACCTTTTAAAGGTTACTAAAGATATTGGTTTAAAAGTACTTAATGTTAAATAGAAAACAATAATTATGGGGGGAGACTATAGTGGAGGTGGATTAGCCTAAGTTCTGTCAGAATTTACATTTATCTGACCCAGTGTGTGATGGTTGCTAAGGGAAGGATTTGACAGAATGTATCACGGGAACATACATGACTGAGTTAAATAATCAATTAAGACTAAGTGGAAAAATCTGAAAATGGTTTCTTCCAAAAAATGAAAGAAAGCCATTGCAGATAAAAAGGCAACTATGGAGAAAAAATATTTCTCTATTTAGAAAACAGAATTCATGCAATTTCAGGCAGCTCACCGCTAGGCTTCTAGCCATATAAATATTATCTTTTTGCTTATTTTGTTATAGAGAGGATTCAAAAACCCTTACTACTCAGAAAACATCAGAAAAAAAAATCTAGGGTCTGCCTTTGGGTTTTTGTTTCTTCATTTTTTAGGAAAAATAACATTTAATGTTTAAAATATAGCTGTCTTGTTTAATGTTCAGAAAATACTTTTAACAGGATATCTTAAAAATGTGGTTTCTAATCAAGTTTTATAAATAAATTATGCAATATTAAAGTAATATTTATAGTTAAGTATTGACAAAACATTTTTAGGATACAATCGACTCAAATGGTATCTAAACAACAGAAGGAAGGAGGAACTATGTCTAAGAAGGGAAAAAATTCAGAGAATATGGAATCAAATATCCATGCATATCTGACTGTATTAGTCTGTTCTTGCATTGCTATAAAGAACTGCCTGAGACTGGGTCATTTATTAAAAAAAGAGGTTTAATTGACTCATAGTTCTGCAGACCATACAGGAAGCATGGCTGGGGAGGCCTCAGGAAATTTTTGATCATGGTGGAAGGCAAAGGGGAAGCAGGCACGTCTTACATGGCTAGGGAAGCAGGAAGAGAGAGCAGAGGGAGGTGCTACACACTTTTAAACAACCAGATCTCATGAGAACTCACTATCACAAGAACAGCAAGGAGGAAATCTGCCCCCATGATCAAATCACTTCCCACCACACCCCTCGTCCAACATAGGGGATTACAATTCAACATGAGATTTGGGCAGGGACATAAATTCAAACCACATCACTGACTCCTAGTGAGTAGGCAGAAAAAAACTCAAGTGGCCATCTTCATGGCTGTTCCATACTCTAAGTAAGGAAAGGATGCTCAATATCCAAGTATTAAAGACAGAAGATATGTATAAACTGGTTAGTTCCCAGTGAGAAAGCAAACACAATATTCTTGATTAAGATAAATATTATCTTATAAGTCTGAAAAACTGGAATTTTCAGAGCTTTATTAAAAACAGGGTGGCAAATTTGAGTAAAATTCTAATTATAGAGAAACACTGGAAATTACTAGATAAAATCCCCCATGATATTAATCCAGAGGATCAAATTACTGCACAGAGAGTGAGATTAGAGCATCAGCCCCAAACTAGGGAGATTCATAAGTTTGTAGTAGGCAATCTTGAAGGGTCTTGGAATTAAGTCATGGGAAGAGGTTCAGGCAAACAGAACATACGAGCAGGCTATCACTGGAAAATAATTCCCATGAAATAAAGGGAAGATATGAAGGGAATTTGCAGGAAAGAGCTATGATCTCTATCCAACCAATTTATGTGAGGGTCTGGTGGCAATGAAGAAAGATCTATTCACAGAGTCACGGACCCAAGTGTGGATTCTAGTCTACAGAAGCACTGGTAAAAGGAAGACACAACTCAAAAAGGAAAAAAAAAAAGTTCTCAAGGAATAAGGAAAGCACCAGGACACATTTTTAGCTCTGGAGCTAACACAGAGGTAGCTGGTGTGAACAACATAGCACCCTTGGAAAGACCAAAAAAACAAACCAATTGAGTGTTATGAAACACATATTCCTATGGCAGTGCCCCGCCTAGGCTCCCAAACCACAAGACTATCATAATGGCCTATATTAGACTGTGCATCATCTCAGAGATATGGAGTGTATGGGAGTCCTCCAGACCAAATAAATGCTTATTGTAGAACCAGAACTTTAGATCAGCACTTGGGGAAACAAAGACAAAGCAATAAAACATGAAGTTAGAATGGCAATTATTAAAAAGTCAAATAACAACATACTGGTGAGGCTGCGGAAAAAGGGAACACTTATACACTGTTGGTGGGAATGTAATTAGTTTAGCCACTGTGTAAAGCATTTTGGAGATTTCTCAAAGAACTGAAAACAGAGCTACCATTCAACCAAGCAACTGGATTACTGGGTATGTATCCAAAAGAATATAAATTGTTCTATGAAAAAGACACATTCACTTATATATGCCTCACAGCACTATTCACAATGGCAAAGACAGGAATCAATCTTGGTGTCCACTAATGGTGGATTGGATAAAGGAAATGTGGTACATATTCACCATGGAATACTATGCAACCATAAAAAAGAATAAAGTCATATCCTTTACAGCAACATGGATGCAGCTGAACACCATAATCCTGAGCAAATTAATGCAGAAACAGAAAACAAAATACCCCATGTTGTGACTTACAAGTGGGTGCTAAGCACTGGGTACTCACGGACATATGGATGGCAACAACTGACACTGGAGATTACTAGAGGAGGTAGGGTGGGAGGGGGCAAGGGTTGAAAAACTAACTATTGAGTACTATGTTCAGTATTGGGATGATGATATCAATCACACCCAAACCTCAGCATCACACCATACACTCAGGTAACAAACTTGCACACGAATCCCTGAATCTAAAATAAAAGTTGAAATTATTTTAAAAAATCAAAATTGAAAATAAAACATGAAGAGGATGGAAAACATAAAAGGGAGGAAGAGATGTGTCGTAGATTACATTTTCCAACAATAGCCACAACAACACCTCCCATTCCACAAGCTCTTCTGCAATGTGATCTTGCCACTCCCACAACAAGAGTGGAATCTCTCTCTCTAATCTGGGTTTCTCAGTCTTGGCACTATTAACATTTTGGACAAGATAATTCTTTGTTGTGGAGGGCTGCACATCATAGGATGTTTAGCAGGATTCCTGATCTCTACCACTAGATAATAGTAGCACAGCTTGCTTCTCAGTCATGACAATCAAAAATGAGGATCAAAATTGTCCCTGGTTGAGAAACACAGCTCTAGTGCTTTGAATCTAGGTGGACCCTGAAACTTCTTTGGTCAGTAAAACACTGCAAAAAGGATTCCATGCCAGTTCCATGGATAGCACTTAACTGGCCTGGCAGATTCCCCTGTTGCCTCTTGGAATGTTCACTTTTGGGATACTCCCTCTTAGTACCCAGCTAAAGTACTATGAGAAGTTCAAGCCACATGAGGAAGCCAACAGAGGCTCTGAAGTTGAGCTCCCAGTCAACAGTAAGCATCAACTGCCTAGCACATGAGTGAACCATCCACTCCAGTGGAGTCAACATCTAACTTCAATTGCATGAGTGTCTCTGACAAAAACCACATAGTTGAACTTAGTCAACCTACATAAACATGAAAAATAATAAATTATTGTTTTAAGTCACTAAGTTTTGGGGGTAACTATGAAACAATGAAATAGAAAGAAATAAGAATATATTAGAGAAGACAAAATAAGTGACCATTTTTTTTAACTGAAGACAGAAAATTCCATAATGTTTACCTTATAACCACAATGCTAGTTATAAAATTCATTATCCAAGTATTAATTATGTAATTAACCAAAAGAATATGGAAATGCTGGAGTTAAAAGGCAAAGTTTTATTAGTGTCTGTACCTAAAAGAATTAGGATCACTTAAATTTAAAAATATAAATAAAATAATTCCATTATCTATGCTCAGTAACAGCAAGTTATTACGGCAAAAAGGAAAGAGAATAGGCTTTTGACATATAAGGGACTTAAACCCCAGTTGCACCACTTTTTAGCTATATCCATTCCAACTGTGAAATGCTAGACATAAGACATAAGGATGGTGTCTATGATCTTTATAAGTAGCACTGCCCTGAAAATTCTATCCAATGCAATAGACAAGAAAAAGTACACATGAAAAAAGCACGAAACATAACAATCATTATTTTGCATAAAATAGAACTGCCAACTCTCTTGATTGGAAATCCCAATTGATTTTATTGATTAAATGTTATCTATAATGAATGTGTTCTGATAGGCCATAATAATTACTTTTAAAATATAAGGAAAATATTTTAATAATAACATTAACCAAAACTATAAACATATGGAAATTTTTCTCTGCCTCTCTAAAGAAAAGCACAAAATTTTCTTGAGTGGAATAAAAAAAGACTTGAATCATTATTTCTTTTATCACCCACATTGAAAGCATCTACCATGCTCCTAGATGGAGAAAACTTAGTATCACATTACCGACATCCCAATCCCTAATTTAACAATCAATTTTATGACATTCTAAGCAGAATCGCAAGAAATTTTCTTTAGTTTAACAAAACAATTCAAGAAAATAAATTTACAAGAAGAGCCAAAACATTAATAATGAAGAGTAAGTAGTGGAGGTGGTTTGCCCTGTCCTGCCAAACAGTAAAATGTACTCTATATCTCAATAATTAAACTCCTATGGCACAAGTATGAGAATCTGTTTCATAAATCAATAGAACAAAGCAAATAGTGAATAAAGTATGAACTGCTCAATTATCTGAGACACCCTCATTCGCCTCCTTGTTTCTCCTTCCGGATCTTTTTCCTTCCCTCTTGCTTGAGAACTCTTAGCTTGCCAGGCAGGATGGATGATGCCTGTAATCCCAGCACTTAGGGAGGCAGAGGTAGGTGGATCACTTGAGTCCAGGAGTTTGAGACCAGCCTCAGCAACATGGCAAAACCCATCTCTTTAAAAAAAAAAAAATTAGCTGGGCATAGTGGCACACACCTATAGTCTCAGCTACTCGGGAGGCTAAAGTGAGAGGTTTGCTTTAGACCAGGAGAAGTTTCAGTGAGCCAAGATTATACCACTGCACTCCAGCCTGGGTGACAGAGTGAGACCCTCTCTCAAAAAAAAAAAAAAAAAACACTTAGCTTTAATTAACTATATTGGAGAGCTCAAAACACAGTTTCATAAGTGGGCACATCCAACTGACCATAGACCTAATCCTCATGGATCTGTCTAAAATAAATATACGCCACTTCCTGACAGACTGGTTTATTATATGTGCTCATAGTATAATCTTATTTCATGAACTTAACCTTCTAAATGGCATAATTTTATAAAGAACAACCTGGAATTTCAGTGGCCACTTTGGGGGAACATTTGACACATCCAAAATTGTATCTTTTGGTTGAGGAGGCTGGGTCAAGCAAGTTGGCAGAATTGAAGGCTCCACTGATCTTCCCCCTAACAACCCCACCAATTTAACATGTATATCATGTATATCATGGGCCTTGCATGAGACTCTGAGACTTGCTGGCTTCAGGTGAAACTCAGAACATTCCTAGCGGTGGTGGCTACAGGGAGAGATTCCTGCTTGAGAAAAGTGAAGGGAAAAATATACAAGATTTTGTCTTGTACCATAGGTACCAGGTCTGCCATGAGGGATAGAGTACCAAGTGGGCTTTTGAAGGACCCTGATTTAAGGCCTTGGCTCTTGGACAGCATTTCTGGACCTGCCCTGGGCCAGAGGGGGAGCCCACTGCCCTGAAAAGTGAGTACCAGGCCAGGCAACATTCACCACAAGCTGACTGAAGAGCTCCTGGACCTTGAGGAAATATCAGCGTTAGCCTGGCAGTACTCCCTGTGGTCCTGTCATGGTCAGAAGGTGAGGCTCCCCTGCCTTTGGAAAGAGGAGGAAGAGTGGGAAAGACTGTGTCTTGTGATTTGAGTGCCAGCTCAGCCACAGTACAATGGAACACCAAGTACACTTCTAAGCTTTTTGACTCTAGTCCCTGCCTCCCAGATGGCACCTCTGGACCTGCCCAGGACCCGGGGGAACTCACTCCCATAAAAGGAGGGACAATAGGCCTGGCTGGTGTCACCTGCTGATTGTGGAGCTCCAGGGCTTTGAGCGAACAAAGGCAGTGGCCAGGGAGTAGTTGCAGCAGATCTTGAGCAAGACCCAGTGCAGTGCTGGCTTCAGGTCTGACCCAGTGCATTCATATTCATGGTGGCCACAGGGGTGCTTGTGTCACTCCACCTCCTGCTCCAGGAGACTCAGAATAGAGGGAAAGAGAGGGAGAGAGATTCCCTTTTTTGAGGGAAAGTAAGGGAACAGAACAAAAGTCTTTGCCTGGTAATCCAGAGAATTCTTCCAGATCTTGTCCATGACCATCAAGGAAGTACTTCTGTGAGACTACAAAAAACACAGCATTACTGGGCTTGGGGTTCCCCCTAATGAAGATACAGCTTATATCACAGCACCCAAGTCCCTTTGAATACCTGGAAAGCCTTCCCAAGATGGATGGGTACAAACAAGTCCAGACTGCAAAGACAACAATAAATACTGAACTCTTTAATGCCCAGACACAGATGAACATCAGCAAGTATCAAGACTACCCAGGAAAACATGACCTTACCAAATAAACTAAATAAGGCACCAGGGACAAATCCTGGAGAAACAGATATGTGACCTTTCAGACAGATAATTCAAAATAGCTGTGTTGAGAAAACTCAAATAAATTCAAGATAACACAGAGAATAAATTAAGAATTCTATCAGATAAATTTAACAAAGATATCAAAATAACTTAAAAGAATCAGGCAGAAATTCTGGAGCTGAAAAATGCAACTGACATATTGAGAATGCATCAGAGTCTCTTAGTAGCAGAACTGATCAAGCAGAAGGAAGAATTAGTGAGCTTGAAGACAGGCTATTTGAAAATCCAAAATCAGAAGAGACAAAAGGAAAAAGAATAAAAATCAGTGAAGCATGCCTACAGGATCTAGAAAATAGCCTTAAAGGGGCAAATCTAAGAGTTATTGGCCTTAAAGAGAAGGTAGAGAAAGAGATAGGAGTAGAAAGTTTACACAAAGGGATAATAACAGAGAAATTCCCAAGCCTAAAAAAGATATCAATATCCAAGTACAAGGTTATAGAACACTAAGCAGATTTAATTCAAAGGAGACTAACTCAAGGCATTTAATAATCAAACTCCCAAAGGTCAATGATAAAGAAAGGATCCTAAAAGCAGCAAGAGGAAAGAAACAAAAAATATACCATGGAGCTGCAATACACCTGGCAGCAGACTTTTCAGTGGAAAATTTACAAGCATGTAAGAGTAGCATGACATATTTCAAGTGCTGAAGGAAAAAAATCTTTTACCCTGGAGTAGTATATTTGTCAAAAATATCCTTCAGACAAAAAGGAGAAATAAAAGCTTTCCCAAAACAAATAGCTGAGGGACTTCATTAGCTCCAGACATGTCCTAGAAGAAATGCTAAGGGGAATATTTCCATCTGAAATTATTTATTTATTAGTTTTCTTTTTGCTTATTTGTTATTTTATGCAAACAGTATTAAGTTGTTATTAGTTTAAAATAACGGGTTACAAGATAGTATTTGCAAGCCTCATGATAACCCTAAATCAAAAAATATACAATACACACAAAATAAAAAGCAAGAATTTAAATCATACCATCAAAAAATCACCTTCACTAAAAGGAAGAAAGGAAGGAAGGAAATAAGAAAGAGAAGACCACAAAACAACCAGAAAACAAATAACAAAATGGCAGGAGTAGGTGCTTACTTATCAATAATAACATTGAACATAAATGGACTAAACTCTCCAATCAAAGGACATAGACTTGCTGAATGCATTAAGAAAACAAGATCCAATGATCTATTTCCTAAAAGAAACACACAAAAGCCAAAATAAACAAATGGGATCTAATTAAGCTAAAGATCTTCTGCACAGCAAAAGAAATTATCATCAGAGTGAACTGGCAACCTACAGAATGGGAGAAAAATTTGCAGTCTATCCATCTGACAAAGGGCTAATATCCAGAATCTACAAAGAACTTAAACAAATTTACAAGAAAAAAAAAAACCCTATCCAAAAGTGGGCAAAAGATATGAACAGACACTTCTCAAAAGAAGACATTTATACAGCCAACAAACATGAAAAAATGCTCATCATCACTGGTCATTAGAGAAATGCAAAACAAAACCACAATGAGATACCATCTCATGCCAGTTAGAATGGCAATCATTAAAAAGTCAGGAAACAACAGATGCTGGAGAGGATGTGGAGAAATAGGAACACTTTTACACTGTTGGTGGGAGTGTAAATTAGTTCAACCATTGTGGAAGATAGTGTGGTGATTCCTCAAGGATCTAGAACTAGAAATACCATTTGACCCAGCAATCCCATTACTGCGTATATACTCACAGGATTATAAGTCATTCTACTATAAAGACACATGCACACATATGTTTATTGTGGCACTATTCACAATAGCAAAGACTTGGAACCAACCCAAATGCCCATCAATGATAGACTGGATAAAGAAAATGTGGCACGTATACACGATGGAATACTATGCAGCCATAAAAAAGGATGAGTTCCTGTCCTTTGTAGGGACATGGATGAAGCTGGAAACCATCAATCTCAGTAATCTTGTGTCAGTAAACTAACACAAGAACAGAAAACCAAACACTGCATGTTCTCACTCATCAGTGAGAGTTGAAGAGTGAGAAGACATGGACACAGGGAGGGGACCACCACACACTGGGGCCTGTTGGGGGGTCGGGGCTAGGGGAGGGATAGCATTAGGAGAAATACCTAATGTAGATGACAGGTTGATGGATGCAGCAAACCACCAGGGCATGTGTGTACCTATGTGACAAAACTGCACGTTCTGCACATGTACCCCAGAACTTAAAGTATAATTAAACAAACAAACAAACAAAAGAAACACACTTCACCTATAAAGAGACATATAAACTAAAAATTTAGAGATGGAAAAATATATAACATACCAATGGAAACTAAAAGAGTGGGAGTAGCTACACTTATATCAGACAAAATAGAATTCAAGACAAAAACTATAAAAGACAAAGAAGGTCACTATATAATGATACAGGGGTCATTCAGTGAGAGGGTATAACAATTTTAAATATATATGTACCCAACACTGGAGCACCCAAATATATAAAGCAAATATTAGAGCTAAAGAGAGAGACAGGTTCCAATACAATAATAGCTGGAGACTTCAACACCCCACTTTCAGCATTGGACAGATCTTCCCAGAAAATCAACAAAGAAACATCAGACTTAATCTTCACTATAGACCAAATGAACTTACTAGATATTTATAGAACATTTCATTTAACAGCTACAGAATACATATTCTTTTCCTCAGGACATGGATCATTCTCATGGATAGACCATATATTAGGTCACAGAACAAGTCCTAAAACATTCAAAAAAATGAAATATTAATAAGTATCTTCTCTGACCACAGTGGAATAAAGCTGGAAATCAGCAGCAAGAGGAATGTGGAAGCTATACAAATACACAAAAATTAAACAATATGCTCCTGAATGACCAATGGGTCAATAAAGAAATTAGAAAGGAAATGTAAAATTTCTTGAAACAAACAATAATGGAAACACAACATACAAAAGCTTGTGGTACAACAGAAGCAGTACTAAGACGGATGTTTATAGCTATAAGTTCCTATATCAAAAAAGAACAACTTGAAATAAACAACCTAATAATGTCTCTTAAAGAGCTAGAAAAGCAAGAGCTTTTCTACCACATCCAAAATTAGTAGAGGGAAAAAAATAATAAAGATCAGAGCAGAAATAAATGAAATTGAAATGAAGAAAACAATACAAATGAGGAATGAAACAAAAAGTTTTTTGAAAAGTTAAACAGAATTGACAAACTTTTAGCCAGACTAACTAAGAAGAAAGATTCAAATAAATAAAATCAGAGATGTAAAGGGAGACATTACAATTGATAGCACAGAAATTTAAAAGATCATTAGTGGCTATTATGAGAAATTATGTGCCAGTAAGTTAGAAAACCTAGAAGAAATTGACAATTTTCTAGACACATCCAGCCTACCATGATGGCAGCATGAAAAAAATAAAAAATCTGAACAGATCAATAACAAGTAACAAGATCAAAGCCTTAGTAAAAAGGCTTCCAGTAAAGAAAAGCCCAGGACCTGATGGCTTCACTGATGAATTCTACCAAACATTTAAAGAAGAACTAATACCAATCCTACTCAAACTATTCCAAAAAATAAAGAAAGAGGGAATGAAGCCAGTATTATCCTGATATCAAAATCAGACAAAGATACATCAAAAACAGAAAACTACAAGCCAATATCACTGATGAATACAGATGCAAAAATATTTAACAAAATGCTAACAACGTAAATTCAACAACACATTAAAAAGATCATTCATCATGACCAAGTGGGATGTATTGCTGGAATGCAAGGATGGTTCAACATATGTAAATCAATCAATGTGATATATCATATCAACAGAAGGACAAAAACCATATAATCATTTCAATTAATGCTGAAAATTCAATTAATAAAATTCAACATGCCTTCATGATAAAAACCTTCAAAAAACTGGATATAGAAGGAACATGCTTCAACATAATAAAAGCCATATGTGACAGGCCCACAGCTGGTATCATATTAAATGAGGAAAAATTGAAACCAAAAGCCTTTCCTCTAAGATCTAGAACATGACAAGGATGCCCACTTTCACAACAATTATTCAATATACTACTAGAATTCCTAGCTAGAGCAATCAGACAAGAGAAAAAATAAAGGATATTCAAATTGGAATGGAAAATGTCAAATTATCCTTGTTTGCAGATGATATAATATACATTTGGAAAAACCTAAAGACTTCACAAAAAAAACTATTAAAACTGATTAACAAATTCAGTAGTTTCAGGATACAAAATAAACATACAAAAATCAATAGCATTTCAATATGCCAACAGTGAACACACTGAAAAAGAAATCAAAAAAGTAATCCCAATTATGATAGCCACAAATAAAATAAAATATCTAGGAATTAACCATCAAAGGGAAAGATCTCCATAATGAAAACTATAAAACACTGATGAAAGAAATTTAATAGAACACCAAAAAATGGAAAGATATTCCATGTTCATGGATTGGAAGAATATTGCTAAAATGTTCATACTACTGAAAGAAATTTACAGATTCAGTGTAATCCTACCAAAATACCAATGACATTCTTCATAGAAATAGAGAAAACAATCCTAAAATTTATATAGAACCACAAAAGACCCAGAATAGACAAAGTTATCCTAAGCAAAAAGAAAAAACATGGAGGAATCATATTACCTGACTTCAATTATGCTACAGAGCTATAGTAACCAAAACAGCATGGTACTGGCATCAAAACAGATACATAGACCAATGGAACTGAATATAGAACCCAGAAACAAATGCACACACCTACAGTGAACTCATTTGCAACACAGGTGTCAAGAATATACACTGGAGAAAAGACAGTCTCTTCAAAATATGGTGCAAGAAAACTGGATATCTATATGCAGAAAAATAAAACTAGACCCCTATTTCTCACCATATACAAAAATCAAATAAAAATGGAATAAACACTTAAATCTAAGACCTCAAATTATGAAACTACTACAAGAAAACATTGGGTAAACTCTCCAGAATATTGGCCTGGGCAAAAATTTCTTGAGTAATACCCCATAAGCACAGGCAACAAAAGCAAAAATAGACAAATGGGATCACATCAAGTCAAAAAGCTTCTGCACAGAAAAAAAAAATTAACAAAGTGAAGAGACAACACACAGAATGGGAGAAAATATTTGCAAATTATCCATCTGACAAGGAATTAATAACCAGAACATATAAGGAGCTTGAACAAATCTAGAGAAAAAAAAATCTCATCATCCCATTAAGAAATGGGCAAAAAATTTGAATAGACATTTCTCAAAAGAAGATACAAATGCAAATGCATATGAAAAGGTGCTCAACATCACTGGTCATCAGAGAAATGCAAATCAAAACTACAATGAGATATTATCTCGTTTCAGTTAAAATGGCTGATACCCAAAAGACAGGCAATAGCAAATGCTGGCAAGAATATGGAGAAAAGAGAACCCTCATAGACTGTTGGTGGGCATGTAAATTAGTGCAACCACTATGGAGAACAGTCTGAAGCTTCCTCCGAAAACTACCAATAGAGCCACCATTCCTAGGTATATACTCAAAAGAAAGGAAATCTGTATATTAAAGAGATGCCTGCACTCCAGTGTTGGTTGCAGCACTATTCACAATACCCAAGATTTGGAAGCAATCTGAGAGCCCATCAATAGATGAATAGATTTAAAAAATGTGAGGCAGAGGTTGCAGTGACCCGAGATCACACCACTGCACTCCAGCCTGGGTGACAGAGTGAGACTCCGTCTCAAAAAATAAAAAATTAAAAAATAACTAAAAGAGTATAATTGTATTGTGTGAAACACAAAGGACAAATACTTGAGGTGATGAATATCCTCTTTATCCTGATGTGGTTATTACACATTTCATGCCTGTATTAAAATATTTCATGTAACCTATAAATATATACGCCTACTATCTACCCACAAAAATTAAAAAAACATGGCGTGAACCCGGGAGGCAGAGCTTGCAGTGAGCCCAGATGGTGCCACTGCACACCGTCTCAAAAAAAAAAAAATATAAAAAACAAAATAATATAAAAAATAAAAAACAAAATTGTATGTCTATTAGTAATCTACTACTATGCAACAAGTTACCCCAAAACTCAGAGGCTTAAAGCAACAAACACTTATCATCTCACAGTTTCTGTTGGTCAGAAATCCAGGCATGGCTTATTCGGTCTTTTGGCGATTGATTCCCTCAAACAGCTGCAGTCAAGGTGTTGACCAGTGCCTTAAGGTTTTACTAGTGTGTATCTATTTCCAAGCCCCTTCACATGGTTGCTGGCATGATTCAGTTTCTCCTGTACTGTTGAACAGAGGGCCTCAGTTCCTCACTGGCTGTTGACTGGAGGTCACTCTCAGTTCCTTGCCATGTGGGCCTCCACAAAGGGCAGCTCACAACATGGCAGTTTGCTTTATCAAAACAAGCAAGAGAGAAGGCAAGAGAAAAGGTGCAAGTTACGGTCTTTTGTAACTTAACTCAGAGTAGCAGCCCATCACTTTTGCTATAGTCAATCCAATAGAAACAAGTCACTAGGTCTAGCCAATACTAAAGGGGAAAAGATTCCACAATAGATGTGACTATGACTACCAGATATAGTAGATTATTGGGATCCATATTTGAAGCTGTTAACCACAATCTTAGAGATATACTGAAAAAGTAGTAAGATTTTGAACATCCAATGGTTGGCATTTGTCAAGCTAGTATGCAGAAATCTCTGAAAGAAATGTGATTGGTGTGCTTAATGGATTCTCTAGCAAAGGATAAATATATATCTATTTCAATCTTGGGTCTACAGTTCTCCATAGGACATCGGTTTCCTTTTATCCTACTTAATCCTCCCTGTCTTCCTACCACTCTTTTAGCCCTCCCAATCTGCTTCTTGACTTCCTTTTCCTCAGAGAACCCCTCAGGAGGAGATTAATAAGCACGAAAATTGCCGTGTGCAAGTAGAATTTAAACTTAGTGCATTCAGAATTCTATTAGACATGTACTAACTGATACTTTTCAATTGATTCATCTTAATAAGCCAATCCATTGTCTTTTAAAATGGATAAATAGTGCAGGCTGGCTAGAAGCTGAAGGCAATCTAAAAAAACCCTAGTTCTCAATAACAGGAAAGGGCTGAATATAGCAAAGCAAGTTAGTAAATAACTTTTAAAGACTAAAACTTACCCCGTGCCAAAGATTGAACAAAAATTCCGTCCTATAAACAAGAAAAATAAGGAGTCTATTGATGACTACAGAAATCGACTTATACAGGTCTTCCAACACTATTCTGGAGTTAATGTAAAAAATGAGATCAAGGGAACTTTGTCCTGTCTTCATCAATGGACTAAAATCTGATATAGTAGATCTAATAGAAAAAGTAAATTAGAACAAAAGACTTCGGCATAAAAGAACCATGGAGTATTGCTGAATACTTTAAATGAGACCTAGAAAACAGACCAAAAAAAGAGGATTTACTAACATCATTTGAAATTACCAATCAATCTGCATCTTCCAGGCATACGGAATGAAAGATCATGATACCTGCAGATATTGCCAAGAAAAGGTCCATAGCAAAAGCCAGTGATCCACCTTATTCAAAAATAAAAAGAAAGTTTTCTTTAAAGATGACCAAATATGGTGCCCAAGGGAACTATTGGTATCACAGAGTTTCTTGTCTTCCATAATCCTCTCAAGGACTATTCAGCCTAATTGTTAAAGGAAAATCATGGAATTCCTTACAGACTCTGATGTAACTATATCTACTGTATAAATAAACAAAGAACACCCAAATGAGAAAAAAATATAGTCAATTTACTCAGAGCTTGCTGCAGCAAGGCAATCAGCCACCATCACTAGCATTCGGCAGAGATTCAAAGGCAGGCAGGAAAGGGTAAAGCTTTGCAATAAAAAACAGGAAAGGCTTCAAGTATGCTCTGATTAGAGGTTGTTGGCATGGAGAAGCTGGGCCAGCTAGAAACGAGGCATCTTATGTGTTTGGTTTGGGAAGTATATCTGGATTTCTCTGGGTGATCCCAAATTGGAAACAGGGACAAAAAATAGGGAAGCTGGCAGTTATTGACCATATTCCAACCATTCTAAAATGTTTTCAGCGTTTTAGAATGGTTTGGCTTCCCAGGCAGGTCGCTGCAGAGATTGTGTTTAGAAAAGTAATTGTTCTTGCAATACAAAGAGATTTTAGATTTTGTGTTTCCTACATGGGTATTCACAGTAATCTGTCTAGTGACAGGGAAACACATTTAATGGGAACTGCCCCCCAAGAATTTTGTAAGTTCTTGGCACTTACAAAAAAAAAAAAACTTCCTTGCCCTTATTACACTCAATATTCTAGGAAAGTAGAAAGGATAAAAGGATGACAAAATTGAAATTAGCCAAACTACTCATAAGAGACTAAATTGGTATATTTAGTCATATCACCAACAGGTTCAAGCTATTTTTCCACAACATAACTTTTCTCATCCATTGCTGAGATACTAAAGATTTCAAAGAAAGACTGTTTTTGAAGCTCATTGGAAAGAACATTACTGAATACCACTGAAAGCACACATTGGTCAAACTTCAAGTAACAACTTGGTCTTGTTTCAGAATTTCAAATATCCTGTTCTACTTGGAAATCTGAACATTTGGGTGATCTCAAGCTAAGCATATCCAGGCATCTTCCAGAAGTACATGACATCTTTCACAGATCTTCAGACAAACAGATGACTTCTTGCTCTAGACAGGTTCTTCCTAAGCCTCACAGAACAAGGTCCAGATGACTGAAACCATAAATAAACTCACATCCCATGTCCCATTTTTTAACCTGCACGCTCCTGTTTTTATTTTCCTAGCTATTTTCTTTATTTTCTCCCAGTTCAAGCTTCTAAATTGCTAACACACATTTGTTACTTTTAATTGATAACATTCCTTAATACTACTCTGTGCATCCCTAATCACTTCTTGGAATGAATCAACATCTAGCTACAATTCACTCATGATATGGCTAAATCACACAAACTAATTGTGTTTATAAACACTTTCCTTTGAGTAACACTTAGTGACTATTACTATCAGTCTCTGCTAATAAATAGTTGGTTTCCTCAAAATATAAATCAACTACTACCCAAATTTTTAGATGGCAAACACCATAACAGGTCAGACAACCAAAACTCAAAAACTCATTATCAGATCACACTTAGGATGAAAACCAGAACACCTTGCACAGGAGGTAGCCTTCACAAACTTTTCCAATATTAGAGTTTAGAAAAAGACAAAGAAATAAATAGTCCACAAGTAGAAGCTGACTCATTTTTACAGATCCCACAATAAGGGCTAACTACTAAGTTCAACTTAGTACTTGTACTATACATCTACTGTTTATCTACTTTTGATCTACTGTTGATTTCACTTTCTGATACCAAACCAATTTTTCTGAGTGGCACCACACCCCTGTGGCACAATTACACAATCCCATAGGGATATTTTGTCTGAAAGCAGATCATTAAATTGCCTCCAATGACATGCATTAGAATTGCAGTACAAAAGCTCATTGAGTACTACCTGCAAATTGGACGGTCATGTATTATCTCAGTAAACTCATGCCTGCCTTCCAGACAGCTCCTGACATCAACCTGGTTCTATTTGGCACATGAATTTTCCCTCATTAAAAAAATAGGCCAGGCACAGTGGCTCACGCCTATAATCCCAGCACTTTGGAAGGCCGAGGTGGGTGGATCACTTGAGGTCAAGAGTTCGAGACCAGCCTGGCCAACATGGTGAAACCCCATCTCTACTAAAAATACAAAAAGAAAAATTAGCTGGGCGTGGTAGCAGGTGCCTGTAATCCCAGCTACTCGGGAGGATGAGGCAGGAGAATAGCTTGAACCCAGGAGGCGAAGGTTGCAGTGAGCCAAGATCGTGCCACTGCACTCCAGCCTGGGCTACACAGTGAGACTCCATCTCAAAAAAAAAAAAATAAAAAGAGATGAGATGTTTAAATATAACTAAACTCAAGAAGGATAAAGACTGAGACTCAACTGGAGACTCAAAACTTTAACAACTGAGGGGAGATTCTATGCTTCCTTCTTCTGTCCTCAAGCATCTTAATTGTTTTATAGGCCTAAAAAATATGGTAAGTACTACACAATGGTTCAGAGATTGACGGAAGAGCTAGACAATGTCTCTGAGGCCATACAGCTCCACATCAGAGACATTTTGAGACTGGACAGGTTATGGTTCAAAACAAGATAGGCTTGTATATATTATTAGCCTCTCAAAGCACACATGTGCCATTTTAAGGAAAGACTTTGAACTTACATCTCTACAGACCATTTTGGAATCTTTAATATTACTATAAGGAATAGTAAACAAACAAATCAACAGTTTAGGTGATTTGGCTAACATACTCATATCTCATCCTGGGGGCTTTCTAGATTGGGAATGGGACCTGTTCTCTTGGTTTAATTTAGACTTGTTTTGTTCCAGGCTTAAAAGTGAATTACAAACTGTGCTGTATTCAAATGTGTGATCTCTACCTTAAATGCTGCCATGCATCCACTGTCTCATCAAATGATTCAACAAACAATTATGCAGCAGAAGCAACAAGGAAGAATAGCATTTGTTGAAACTGAAATGACTATCAATATGACAAAAGACATACAAACAAAAATGTATATCTGGATCGATCACCAAAATTATCAATCACAGAGCCTCAACCAGAGAATGATCGAAAGACAGTCTGAGAAATGCAAGTCAAACTAACAATCCTACCTATCAGAAGATTACCAATCCTGCAAAACAAGCAAGAACAAACCACACCATGGTCTGGAAAGAGAAGACCGCAAGTTTCAGAATTTAGATGAAAAGAGAAAGAAAAACACATAATGCCCCACTCTGTGCTCCCAAGCCAATTAAAAATGACTGCCTCCTACCCATTTAGCCCAATTCATTCCCCATTTCCAAAAGACTGCCCAGAGAAATCACCCAATTTATAATCCTAACACCAGATCTAGTCCTTTAAAAAAAAAACCCCTCTGTAACTTCTCTTTTGTGTACATTGTTGATGTTCTGCTCTTAATGAAGTTTTCCCTAGCTGGAGAGATTAATAATAGATGACTTTGTTTTTATATAAGCTTTCCTGATTATCTTTTTGAGGATTTTAATAGTTCCTGTTTAAGGCTAAGCCTCATGAGATCGCATCCCCTCTCTTCTATTCAAGAAAACCACTCCAGTATTCCTCCCTAATTTTCCTCCAATTCCTCTCCTCCCCAACCTATTGCTCCAGCTCCAATCTAGCTTCTCCAAAGCATTCTCTCTAAAACTGCTCTTTCCAAAGTCGCCAATGACTTGTATATTTCAGAATTCAAAGGTTAATTGTTAGGTCACATTTTGCTTGAGAGATCAGCATCATTTTACAAAGTCGGTAAATCCCTCTTCCTGGAAACAGTTTCTTTACATGGCTTCCAGGACATCATGGTCTTTTTATTTCCATCTACCTCACTGGTGCTCCAACCTCTTAACATCAGTAGTTCCCAAGTTTTAGTCTTGGACATCTCTTTTCTATCTATACCCACTTCCTTAGTAATTTTTATCAGTCTTATAGTTTCATTTATTTGGGGAGGCGCAGAGAGAGCAAGTTTATTTGGTAAAAGCTGACCAAACATTATCCAAGAAAGACAAGATGGGAAAGGTGCTGTGACAAAAGAGCCTAGAAAGCCTTCAGGCTAGATACGAAGTCTCACACAGGGAAAGGCACGGGCTCTGGGGAGACTGGGAAGGTCCTTAGCCATTTGGCACCCCATGGACAAGCTCTTCACAGTTGATGCAACCATTGCTGTCCTTATGCCCTGCACTAGCATCTTTACTTCTTCTTCTATCATCTTCTCACCCAGTGTGACAAGGACTTGCTAGATTTCAGTGCCCATGATGGTGCCATTCCCCTTCTTGTCAAATACCCAAAGTCCTTCAACATAATCCTCATAGGCTCTGGTCCCTGTTCTTGGCCACAGCCTGCAACATGGGCAGGAAGTGCCCAAAGTCCAGCACCGTCACATTCATCTCATCACTTTTGGGGATCTCCAGGACTTGCATCACCTCAGCATCGGTGGGGTTCTGACCCAGGACCCTCATCACATCCCCACACTGACTATACAGGATCTTACCATCACCTGTTCAGTCAAACAGCTAGAAAACCTCCTTGAATTCTGTGGTCTGGTCCTCAGTGAAGTCACACACCTTGACTGCTCAGCTCTGCAGCACCTTTTCCTACATTAATGGCCCAGTCTTACAGTTTTAAATATCATATTTAGTCTAAATACTCCCAAATATTTACCTCCAGTTTAGATTTTTCCCTTCACTTCCAGTCTCACATATATAACTGATCTAATCTAATCTATATATGGTTAGTTAACTATTAGTTAAACCTAATATATTAAAAATTAATAATAAAATATAAAAATATATTAATAAAAATTAATATTTTAACTATTTTAAAATTAGTTAAATCTAATATATTAGATTTTATATATATATATATCTCAAACTTAGCATGTTCAAAAATGAACTCTAAATATTACCCCCAGATCAACTTGCTTCACCCACAGTCTCCCCCAAATATCCTGGTGACAAGCTGTGACCCAGCAATTTTTTGTGGAAAAAAAAAAATCCTTGTCCTTATGGAGCATACATTCTAGTTTAGAACACAGGTTGCTAACAAATAAATAAAATAAAATATGCATGAATGATATCAGATAAGTGCTATGGGAAAAAATAAAGTAAAATTGTGAGTGCTGGAGTAACATTTTTAAATAGGGTACTTAGTGAAATACATTGAACATGGATCCCTAAAACTTGAGCAGACTCTAAGAATTCTCCTGAGGAATCTCAGGAATGCTGAAAATAGAGTGGGAAGGTGGCTGGGAGGTAGTACGTCTCTCCTAGAAATATGATTAATATGGAATAGTGAGAATACCGTGATCAAGGGTGAGAAAGTGAGGATAGGGAATGTGTTTATGAAAAGGTATAATAATGTGTAACAAAAATGTGACTCCTGAGTCTGAGAAGTTGATGTTGGGAACAAAAGGGCAAAAGAAGATGGGAAGGCAATGGATCTCCAGAGACACCCAGGACATGAATCTTGGAAGAAAATGATTTGGATTGGCAAATGCTCTTGTTGGGGATACTAAGAAGACCCAAAGCCTGTTGACTCACACAGCTAGGGACCTTGAAGTGAATGCTGCTGTCATGAGATGTTCTCCCATCCCTTTTTCTAGTTCCTTAGAAATATCCAGAAAATACTGAATTACAAGGACTCACTAAAAGAAATGAAATCCAAACTGTTGATACTTATTTGCATAAAAGTAATCCTTTATGCTGCATTCAATACAAGTTCATCTGAACATGATACTATGCTAATAAAATTTACTTCATCTCAGAAAAATGTAAATGAGATTAATGCTCTACTCTTCTTAACCTTTGCTGCACACTGGAATTATCTGGGGAGCTCTACAAGGCATAATTCTTGAGTCTCATATAAGAGATTCTGATTTAATTGCTTGGGCAAGACCTGGACATTGGGATATATTTTAATCTGTCAAGGTGATCCTCATGTACAGTCAAAATTGAGAATCTGAAAGTAATTTTCACCATAAGGCTTGTAATATCTAACTTTTTCCCAGAATTTTATAGAATACTAATAAGAGGCTGTGAAAAAAAAATGACCCTTTAAAAACTCATCCTTACTAATTGTTTTATACTGATATATAAAAATACATTAACTTTTGTGTCTTAACCTTACATCTAGCTACCTTTATAAATTAGCTTATTTTCCAATAATTTTTAGGTTGCTGGGATTTTCTAGGTAAACAATCATATTCTCTTAAAATAATGACAGTTTTGGTGATGGTTAATATTAAGTGTCAACTTGACTGGATTAAAGGATGTAAAATATTGTTTCTGGGTGTGTCTGCGAGGATGCTGCCAGAGGAGATTAACATTTGAGTCAGTGGACTGGGAGAGGAAGACCCACCCCCAATGTGGGTGGGCAGCATCCAATCGCTTGCCAGTGTCAGTAGAAAAAGCAGGCAGAAGAAGGTGGAATAAACTGGTTTGCTGAGTCTTCTGGCTTTCACCTTTCTCCCATGCTGGACGCTTCCTGCCCTTGAACATCAGACTCCAGGTTCTCTGGCCTTTGGACTCTTGGATTTACACCAGTGGTTTGCCAGGGGCTCTCCAGCCTTCAGCCACAGACTGAAGGCTGCACTGTCAGCTTCCCTACTTTTGAGGCTTTGGGACTGGGACGGAGCCACTACTGGCTTCCTTGCTCCTCAGCTTGCAGATGGCCTATCATGGGGCTTCACCTTGTGATCCTCTGAGTCAATTCTTCTTAATAAACTCCCTTTCATATATACATATATCCTATTAGTTCTGTCCCTCTGGAGAACCGTGACTAATAGTTTTATTTCTTCTTTTCCTTCAATTTATTTTTCTAATCTTATTTCTGTCTATCACTACTAGTATAATGCTGAATAGCAAAGGTGATAGTTGGCATTTCTGTCTTGTTCCTCAGTGTAAAGGAACAGCTTCTACCATTTCCTCACTTAGAATAATGTTTGTGATTTTTTTGTTGTGCCTATCAACTTAAAGGAAGCTCCTTTCCATTCTTGGTTTAGTTAAAAAAAAGTTAACACAAAGGACTAGTGAATCTCATCAAATGTTTGTTTTGTATTTTTCAGACAAGTATGTGTTTTTTAATGATAGCTTTATTTGGATAAAATTCAGATACCATAAAACCCACCCTTTTAAAATATACAGTTCAGTGGGTTTTATGTATTAATAGAGTTATGCAATAATCACCACTATTTAATTTTAGAAAATTTTCATGACCCAAAAAGAAATGCTATACCCATAAGCATTAATTATCCATTCCTCTTATCCACCAGCCCCTAGCAACCACTAATCTACTTTCTATCTCTATGGATTTGCCTGTTCTGGGCCTTTTATATAAGTGGAATGATATAATACATAGTCTTTTGTGACAGCATCTTTCACTTAGCATAATGTCTTCAAGGTTCATCTATGTACTTCATTCCTTTTTATGACTGGATAATATTCCATTGTATGGATATACCACCTTTTTTTTAGTCCATTCATCAGATGATGAACAGCTAGGTTGTTTCCACTTCTTGGCTGCTATGAATAACGTTGCCATGAATATTTGTGCACAAATTTTTGTATGGCTATGTATTTTCATTTCTCTTGGCTATATACCTATAAATGGAATTCCTGAGTTATAGGGTAACTCTGTATTTAACATTTTGAGGCACTGCCAAACTGTTTTCCACAGGGGCTCACTAGTTTATATTCCCACCAGTAATGAATGAGAATTCCAATCTCTCCAAATCTTCATCAGTATGCATTATTGTCTTTTTTCCTTTGGCCATCCTGGTGGGTGTGAAGTAGTACCTCATTGTGGTTTTGATTTGCATTTCCCTGATGATTAAGGTTGTTGACCATCTTTTCATGTGCTTATTGGCCATCTGGATATTTTCTTTGGAAAAATACCTATTAAAACCCTTTTGCCCTTTCTTACTTGTATTGTCTCTTTACTAGAGAGTTGTAAGAAGTCTTTATATATCTTGGATTCCAGTCCCTTATCAGATATATTATTTGCAAGTGTTTTCTACCATTCTATAATTCGTTCTTCACTTTCTTGATGGCGTCCTTTGAGGCACAAACGTTTTTAAAATTAAGTCCAATTTATCTATTTTGTTGTTTTTGCTTATGCTTTTGGTGTCATATCTAAGAAACGATTACCGATGGTTACAAAGATTTACTCCTATAAGTTTTCTTGTTAAGAGTTGCCTAGGTTTGGCCGAGCGCAGTGACTCACGCCTGTAATCCCAGCACTTTGGGAGGCCGAGGCGGGTGGATCACGAGGTCAGGAGATCGAGACCATCCTGGCTAACATGGTGAAACCCCGTCTCTACTAAAAATACAAAAAATTAGCCGGGCGTGGTGGCGGGCGCCTGTAGTCCCAGCTAGTCAGGAGGCTGAGGCAGGAGAATGGCGTGAAACCGGGAGGCGGAGCTTGCAGTGAGCCGAGATCGCGCCACTGCACTCCAGCCTGGGCGACAGAGCGAGACTCCGTCTCAAAAAAAAAAAAAAAAAAAAAAAAAAGAGTTGCTTACTTTTAGGTATTACACTTACGTCTATGATCCAAGTTCAGTCAATTTTTATATATGGTATGAAGTAAGAATCCAACATCAAGCCAGGCACAGTGGCTCACACCTGTAATCTTAGCATTTTGAAAGGATATCATGGGAGGATCATTTGAGCTCAGGAGTTCAAAACCAACCTGAGTAACACAATGAGACCCCATCTCTACAAAAAAAAAAAAAAAAGGAAACAATTAGCCAGCCATGGTGACATGAACCTGTGGTCCCAGCTACTTGGGAGGGAGGCTGAGGTGGTAGGATTGCTTCAGCCTAGGAGGTCGAGGCTGCAGTGAGCCATGACTGTGCCACTGCTCTCCAGCCTGGGCAACAGAGCAAGACCCTGACTCACAAAATAATAATAATAATAATAATAATAATAATAATAATCCAACTTCATTCTTTTGCATGTAAATATCCAGTTGATCCAGCACCATTTGGTGAAAAAACTTATTTTACCATTGAATTGTTTTGGCACCCTTGGCTAAAATCATTTGACCATAAATGTGAAGGTTTAATTCTGGACTTTCAATTCTGTTTCAGTGATTCGTATGTTATCTTTATGCCAGTACCACAGTGTCTTGATTATTGCAGTTTTCTAGTAAGTTTTTGAAACTGAGAAGTGTGAGTTCTCAAAATTTTTTTCTTCTTATTCGAAATTGTTTTGGTTACTATAGCTCTCTTACAATACTATATACATTTTAGAACCAGCTTGTCAATTTCTGCAACAACAAAAATAGCCAGCTGGGATTTACATAGGGATTGCATTGATCAATTTGGGGAGTATCGATATCTAAATATTACATCATTCCAATTCATGAACATCAGATATAGTTCCATTTATTTATGTCTTTTCTGATTTCTTTCAGCAATGCTATTTGGTGTTTTAGTGTTAAGTCTTGCACTTTTGTTAAATTTATTTCTAAATATTTTATTCTTTTTAATGCTACTGTAAAGGGAAGTGTTTTCTTAATTTTATTTTTGAATTGTTCATTGCTAGTGTACACGCATACAATTGATTTTTGTATACAGCTCTTGTATTCTGCAAGTAATTTTTTTTCTAAACCTTAGCATCCACCAGAGGAAATGTGTGAGTCTTTTATTAGTTACTGAAGCCATTTATTACTTTTAATGGCTTTTTAGTGTAGGTTCCTTAGGATTTTCTATAAACAAGATCACATAATCTACAAGTTAAGAGAATTTTATTTCTTCCTTCCTAATCTACATAACTTTTATTTCTTTTTCTTGCCTAATCATCCTGGCTAGAATTTCCAGTACGATCTTGAATAGAAGTGGCAGAGCAGATATCCTTGCCTTGTTCCTGACCTTAGGGGAAAAGCATTAGTCTTTCACCATTAAGAATATGCATTTTGTAGATACCTCCTATCAGGTTACAAAAGTTCCCCTCTGTATTAGTCCATTCTCATGCTGCTATAAAGAACTGCCCAAGACTGGGTAATTTATAAAGAAAAGAGGTTTAATTAACTCACAGTTCCACAAGTCTGGGGTGGGTGGCCTCAGAAAACCTACAATCATGGCAGAAGGGGAAGCAAACATGTCCTTCTTTACATGGTAGCAAGAAGGAGAAGAATGAGAGCTGAGTAAAAGGGGAAGCCCCTTACAAAACCATCAAATCTCATGAGAACTTACTTAATATCACAAGAAGAGTGTATTAGTCCATTTTCATACTGCTATAAAGAAATACCTAAGACTGGGTAATTTATAAAGAAAAATAGGTTTAATGGACTCACAGTTCCACATGGCTAGGGGGGGCTCAAAATCATGGCAGAAGGTGAAGGAGGAGCAAAGTCACATCTTACATGATGGCAGTCAAGAGTCGTGTGTAGGGGAACTGCCCTTTATAAAACCTTTCACTATCACAAGAATAGCATGTGAAAAACCCACCCTCCATGATTCAGTTACCTCCCTCCAGGTCCGTCCCATGACATGTAGGGATTATTGGAGCTACAATTCAATATAAGATTTGGGTGGGGACTCAGCCAAACCAAATCAAATAGCATGGGGGAAACTGCCGCCATGATTCAATTACCTCCCACCTGGTCCCTCCCACCACATGTGGGGATTATGGGAGCTACAGTTAAGAGATTTGGGTGGGGACACAGCAAAACCATATCACCTTTTATACCTGGTTTGTTGAATGGTTTTATCATAAAAGGGTGTTGTACCTTGTCAGATTTTTTTTTACATCTATTGAGATGATCATATGAATGTGTGCCCTTTATTTTATTAATATAGTATATTGCATTAATTTTCAGATGTTGAAACCACCTTGACCAAATTCATTAATGAAAATAAAAACTCAAAAAAGCCTACAGGCCTTAGCCTACTATCCCTGCATTAAAAATTTTGGTTGAGGTGACCTCGGAGCATAACTCAACCTCTGAACAACCTAAACTAAGACCTCACTAGTCTAAGCGGGTTAACACACATTGACCCAATAATTTGATCAACGGAATAAGTTACCCTAGGGATAACCACACAATCCTATTCTAGAGTCCATATTGACAATAGGGTTTACGACCTCGATGTTGGATCAGGACATCCTAATTGTACAGCCACTATTAAGGGTTCATTTGTTCAACGATTAAAGTCCTACATGATCTGAGTTCAGACCGGAGTAATGTGGGTTGGTTTCTATCTATTTAACATTTCTCCTACTACAAAAGAACAAGAGAGATAGGGCCCACTTCATAAAGTGCCCTCACCCCGTAGATGATGCTATCTCAATCTAACAAATCACCACACACCTTAACCAAGATCAGGGTTTGTTAAGATGGCAGAGCCCGGCAATTGCATAAAACTTAAAACTTTATAACTGGAGGTTCAACTCCTCTTCTTCTTCTTTTTTTTTTTTTTTTTGAGACAGAGTCTCATTCTGTCGCCCAGGCTGGAGTGCAGTGACCTGATCTCCACTCACTGCAAGCTCCGCCTCCTGGGTTCACACCATTCTCCTGCCTCAGCCTCCCAAGTAGCTGGGACTACAGGCACCCATCACCACGCCCGGCTAATTTTTTGTATTTTTAGTAGAAATGGGGTTTCACCGTGTTAGCCAAGATGGTCTCGATCTCCTGACCTAGTGATCCACCCACCTCGTCCTCCCAAAGTGCTGGGATTACAGGTGTGAGCCACCAGGCCCGGCCACCTCTTGTTAACAATATGCCTATAATTAACCTTCTCCTACTTATCATTCCAACTCTAATCGCTATAGCATTCCTTACAATCATTGAACGAAAAATCTTAGGCTATATACACCTACGCAAAGGACCTAACATTGTAGGTGCCTGCGGACTGCTTCAACCATTCGCTGACGCAATAAAACGTTTCATCCAAGAGCCCTTACAGACCTCAACATCTACATCTACTATCACCCTTTATATTATTGCTCCAACCCTGGCCCTTTCTATCACTCTTCTCTGTGAAGTCCCCTCCCTATACCAAATCCCCTAATTAATTTTAATACAGGCCTCCTATTTATACTAGCCACATCAAGCCTAGCCGTCTACTCTATTCTATGATCAGGATGAGCATCTAATTCAAATTATGCACTAATCGATGCATTACGAGCTGTGGCCCAGACAATTTCATATGAGGTCACCCTAGCCATTATCCTCCTATCAGTCCTACTGATAAGTGGCTCATTTAATTTATATGCACTCATCACAATGCAAGAATCCCTCTGACTGCTTCTACCATCACGGCCCCTAGCCATGATATGATTTATCTCCACATTAGCAGAAACTATCCGAGCCCCTTTTGATCTAACAGGAGAGTCAGAGTTAGTCTCAGGCTTCAACATTGAACATGCCACAGGTTCATTTGCTCTCTTCTTTATAGCAGAATATATGAATATTATCATAATAAATGCCCTAACTACTACTATTTTCCTAGGAGCACTGCACACTAGATATTCACCAGAACTCTATTCCACAAATTTCATTACCAAGACCCCCCTTTTAACCACCCTGCTTTTATGAATTCAAACAGCATACCCCCAATTCTGCTATGACCAACTCATATCTTCTACGAAAAAATTTCCTATCACTTACACTAGCATTTTGCATGTCATATATCTCAATGCCCGTCCTAATTTCCAGCATTCCACACCAAACATAGGAAATATGTCTGACAAAATAATTACTTTGATAGAGTAAACAATAGAAGTTAAAATCCTGTTATTTCTAGAACTATAGGAATTGAACCTACCCCTGAGAATTCAACATTCTCCATGCTACCTACTACACCACGTCCTAAACTAAGGTCAGCTATATATGCTATCGGGCCCACACTCCAAAAATGTTGGTTATATCTTTTCTGTACTAATTAATCCATTAGCTCAGCTTATTATCTCACTATTTTCACAGGAACTCTTATCACAATGCTAGCTTCACACCGATTTCTCATCCGAACAGGCCTAGAAATAAACATACTAGCTCCTACCCCAATCTTAATTTAAAAAATAAATCTCTGCTCTACAGAAGCAGCCACCAAATATTTCCTTACACAAGCAACCACATCTATAATTCTCATAATAGGTATCCTTTCCAATAACCTGGCCTCCGGACAGTGGACAATAAACACTATTCATCAATCTTCATCCTTAATAATAATAACGGCACTAGTAATAAAACTAGGAATAGCCCGCTTTCACTTCTGAGTCCCAGAAGTAACTCAAGGAACATCTCTGATGTCTGGCATACTTCTCCTCACATGACAAAAACTAGCCCCTATCTCAATCATGTATCAAATTTTCCCATCAATAAACACGAACATCCTTCTATCTGTCACATTCCTATCCATTATAGTAGGCGGCTGAGAAGGACTTAATCAAACACAACTGCATAAAATCATAGCCTACTCCTCAATTACTCACCTAAGTTGAATAGTAGAAGTAATAATTTGTAACCCAAACATTACCATTCTAAACCTGATTATTTAACAACTACCACATTTCTAGCACCCAACCTGAGTATAAGCACAACCCTGTCACTATCTCACACCTGAAACAAATTAACATATTTAACACCTGTAATTCCACTAATTTTACTATCCCTAGGAGGCTTACCCCTATTAACAGGATTTCTGCTTAAAGGAACCATCATTCAAGAATTTACAAAAAACAATAGTCTTATTACCCCTACCATTATAGCTATCATAACCCTACTCAACCTGTACTTTTACACAGGCCTAATTTATTCCATCTCAGTAGCAATATTCCCCACATCTAATAATATGAAAATAAAATGACAATTCGAAAATACAAAAACCATATTTCTCTCCCCCCTACTTATCATCTTTTCTACCCTCCTTTTACCTATCTCTCCACTGATACTGACTATAACGTAGAAATTTAGGTTACATAAGACCAAGGACCTTCAAAGCCCTTAGTAAGTAAATTGTATTTAACTTCTGTAACTGACCTAAGGACTGCCAGACTCTATTCTGCATCAGTTGAATGCAAATCAACCACTTTAACTAAGCTAAACCCTTGCTAGATTGGTGGAATTCAAACCCACGAAAATTTAGTTAACAGCTAAACACCCTAATCAACTGGCTTCAATCTACTTCTCCCGCCATTGCGAGCAGAAAGGCTGGAGAAGCCCCCCTCCCCTGGCAGGATTGAAGCTGCTCCTTCGAATTTGCAATTCAACGTGACAAATCACCTCCGGGCTGGTAAAAAGAGGCCTTGACCTCTGTCTTTAGATTTACAGTCTAATGCTTACTCAGCCATTTTACCTTTTTTTCCACTTATGTTCATCAATCGTTGATTGTTTTCAACTAACCATAAAGATACCGGAACATTCTACCTGCTATTGGGCGCATGAGCGGGGATTAGTGGGCACCGCCCTAAGCCTTCTCATTGGAGCAGAATTAGGCCAATCAGGAACTCTGCTAGGAGATGATCAGATGTAGAACGTTATTGTTACCGTCCACGCACTCATCATAATCTTTATGGTAATACCAATGATAACTGGGGGTTTGGCAACTGACTAGTCCCTCTGATAATTGGTGCACCCGATATGGTATGCCCCGGGATAAAAAATATAAGCTTCTGACTTCTCCCCTCCTCCCCTTTCCTACTCCTACTTGCATCATCAATAGCAGAAGACGGCGCGGGACCAGCTGAACAATAATACCCCGCCTTTAGCAGGAAGCCTAATAAATGCGGGAGCGTCTGTGCATCTAACCATTTTGTCAATCCACCTAGCAGGTGTTTCTTCTATTTTAGGGGCCATTAATTTTATTACCACAATTATCGGTATAAAACCCCGAGCCATATCCCAGTATCAAAGCACCCCTTTTCGTGTGATCAGTCCTCATTACGGCAATCCTTCTACTCCTTTCTCTCCCAGTCCTAGCCGCCAGCATTACCATACTATTAACTGACTGTAACCTCAACACTACTGTTTTTTGATCCTGCTGGTGGGGTTGACCCTATCTTATATCAACGTTTATTCTGATTCTTTGGTCACAAAGAATCAACAACCTTGTATTACTTGAGAAAATCCCACCTGTTTGCAGTATATGTTGCTGGATTCAGTTTGCTAGTATTCTGTTGAGGATTTTTGCATCTATATTCATAGGAGATATTGGTCTGTATTGCAATGTCTCTGGTTTTGTTATCAAGGTAAAACTGGCCTCATTGAATGAGTTGGAAAGCCTTCCTTCCTTTTGTATTTTTTGGAGGAGTTTACCAAAAATTGGTATTAATCCTGTAAATGTTTGGTGGAATTGACCAGTGAAGCCATCTGGTCCTGGACTTTTCTTTGAAGGAAATTTTTGTCTTTTAAATTAAAAATCCAGTATATTTTTGTAGGTCTATTCAGAACTTCTATTTCTTTTTGATTCAATTTTGGTAGTCTGTGAATCATATGGCTTTTATTCTTTATTATGTTGCTGGAGCAAATGGTGTTTATGTAGTCTTAATGGTAAGCTATCCCTGCTTTCCTGGGATAAACAAATTCATCATAATGTCTAATTGTTTCTACTAACTCTTGAATTCTGGTTTTAAATAATTTCATAACTTTTATTTTAAACATTTACTTCTATATTTATATGTTAAGTGGGCCTGTGCTTTTCATTTTTTGTTTATTTCTGTCTGGTTTTGGCATCAAAGTTATATTGACCTCAGAGTAAAGCTTAAAGAGTATCTGCCCTTTTTATTCCTATTCTCTGGAAGTGTTTGTTTAATATTAAGTTACAGTTTGGTAAAATTTCCATGCAAAAATACCTAAGCTTGTTTTCTATGTGAAAATATTTTAACTACTACTGTTTCAATTTATTAAATTAAATAAGTAGCCAGATTCTTATTCCTAAATCAGTGTTGGTAAATTGTATTTTTCTAGAAATTTTCAATTTCATCTAAGTTTTCAAATTTACTGAAGCAAAGTTATGTATAGTATTTTTTAAATATTTTAATATTTTCTATCTGTAGCTAAGGACATTCTGCATTCATATTATTTAGCATCTCTCTTTTATTCCTGATTTATTTTATCAGTGGTTTCTTAGTCTGCTCAGGATGCCATAACAAAATACCATGAACTGGGTAGCTTATAAACAACATAAATATATTTCTCACCGTTTTAGATGCTGCAAAGTCCAAGATCGAGGCACCAGCAGATTCGTCTGATGAGGGCCCACTTCCTTGTGGATAGACAGCTATCTTTTCCCAAAGGGCAAAGGAGCTCTCTAGGGTCTCTTTTACAAGGGCACTGTATTAGTCTGTTTTCACACTGCTGATAAAGACATACTCAAGACTAGGCAATTTACAAAAGAAAGAGGTTTAATTGGACTTACAGTTCCACGTGGCTGGGGAAGCCTCACAATCAAGGTGGAAGGCAAGGAAGAGCAAGTCACATAGTACCTGGATGGCAGCAGGCAAAGAGAGGAGCACTTGTGCAGTGAAACTCCCCTTTTTATAACCATCAGATCTCATGAGACTTATTCACTATCACGAGAACAGCATGGGAAAGACCTGTTCCCATGATTCAATTACCTCCCACTCATAACACGTGGGAATTCAAGATGCGATTTGGGTGGGGACACAGCTAAACCATATCAGGCACTAATCCCGTTCATGAAGGCTCTACCCTCAGGACCTGACAGCATCCCCAAAATCCCACCTCTAAATACCATCACATTGAGGATTAGGTTTCAATATACAAATTTTGGGGGGACACAAACATTCAGCCTATACCAAATGAGTTTTTTTTCTACTTTATTACTCTTTTCAAAGAACAAACTTTTGGTTTTTTCATATATATCAGTCAGAAAAACAACACACTTGAAGAAATAAATGAAAATTTCATAAATAATTTGTGAGTGCTTGGGAAGGATTAAAGGAATCAAAATCATTTGAAATTTTATTTATATTTCCCATTTATTTCTTCCATATCTTTATTATCTTGTTCCCTCTAGTCCTTAGTCCAAGGCCATTGAAAATTAACTTTTCAGTTTGAAATTTTGCAGATCACCCATGTTCTGCCTTGAACCCACAATTTATTTTATCAGTCCTATTCAGTTTAGCATTTAGAATGCTTCCAATTTTTCAGTTTTATAAATAACTGTGTGATGAACATCTTTGTAAAAGCAACTTTACATAGATCTTTAATAGAAATATATTTACAAAGCATAATTGCTATATCAAGATATATACGTGTGTTAAAATATGCTGCCAAATTATCCCTCAGAATATTATACCAATTAACGCATCCATCTTCAATGCATAAGAATATCCTTTCCCTGTATTCTCGTAAAACCATTATCTTTCATTTTTTAATCTTTGCTACCTGGATAAACACAAATGGTATTACAAAAAATAACTTTTTTATGACTAGTGAGAAATAACAATGTGTTTATAAACCATTTATATTGATTCATTTTTTTAATTGCCTCCAAAGCCTTTCTCATTTTTCTGTTGGAATGTTATGGTTCTTTTTAATAATTTTGTAACAATTAATAACTCCTTCTGGTTATATATGCTTAGCTGCAATTTTTTCCTCCATTTATCCATTGCTATGTAAATTTATATGCATGTTGCTTGTGACATAAAGTTTTAATTTTTTATGTGATCATATATGTTAATAATTTTTGGATGATTCTTGTCCTTGATAGCATAATTAGAAATTTCTTTCATACCCCAATAATTTATTCATCTATATTTTCTTTGAGCTTTTATGGTTTCATTGCTTACACTTTATTGTTTCCTTCAAATTTAGTAAAGATAATGTGAAGTAAAAATCTATATCTTACTATATCCTAAATGGTTAGCCACTTGTTTCAGCAGCATTTATTGAATAATCCTTTTTGAAAAGAAGACCACATGTATCACCTGCTAAATTTACATATTTATCTGGTGTTTCAATTCTATTTTCTTTATCTTTTAATTATTCTTTGCAAGTGCAAATATTTAAAATTATTTCTTCTAGGCCGGGCACGGTGGCTCAGGCCTGTAATCCCAGCACTTTGGGAGGCCAAGGCGGGTGGATCACGAGGTCAGGAGATCGAGACCATCCTGGCTAACATGTTGAAACCCCGTCTCTACTAAAAATACAAAAAAAAAAAAAAATTAGCCGGGCGCGGTGGCAGGCGCCTGTAGTCCCAGCTACTCTGGAGGCTGAGGCAGGAGAATGGCGTGAACCCGGGAGGCGGAGCTTGCAGTGAGCCGAGATAGCGCCACTGCACTCTAGCCTGGGCGAAAGAGCAAGACTCCGTCTCAAAAAAAAAAAATTATTTCTTGAAAATCCTGTCATTTCTGACAATATGAATGGACCTGAGGACATTATGCTAAGTGAAATAAGCCAAGCACAGAAAGACAAACACCTAATGATCTCACTTACATGTGGAATCTAAAACAATCAAACTCATAGAAGCAGAGTGTAGGATGATAGTTACCAGAGGCTGGGGGCGGGGTGGACGGAATCAGGAGATGTTGATCAAAGAGTAGATTGTTGCAGTTAAGTTACACAAGTGGAATAAATAAGTATTTAAGGTGATAGATATATTAATTAGCTTGATTCAATCATTCCACACTGTTTATATATAACATCACTATCACTGTGTACCCCATAATTTACATTATTATAATTTGTCAAAAGTAAAAATTATTTTTCCTAAATAGTAGTATGATAATAATATTAAGGATAAAAAATTACATCCATTATTATATACCGGGTACTCTTGTAAGCCCTTTACATCTATTAATTCATTTAATCTTCATGACAACCTATGAGGTATATACAGGCCTTCCTTCATAAAGTGATATATATGTTCTTGTAAAACTTTAAATTCTGCAAAATCATACACAAAATATGAGTGTATTTGGGGGTAGGACAGAATAAGGTTGGAAAAGACTATTGAAAACCGATGTAACTTTGTAACTAGAGCACTAACTGAAATAAAAAGAACCCTAATAAAAATCCTAGGATGATATATCTCTATAGCCTTTGCACTCAACATCTGTCAATCAATCATTCACAGCCTTTATACTGGAGCTTATTATAGATCTTTGAGGGAATTAATTTTTAGAGATTAATTTCACTACAATTAAAAATCTGAACCAGTGTAGGATGACTATAGTTAACAATAAGGTATTACATTGTTTCACATAGCTAGGAGGATATTGAATGTTCCCAACACAAAGAAATAATAAATGTTTGAGATGACAGATGTGCTCATTCCCCTGATGTGATCACAATACATTATGTGTATCAAAACATCACTAAGTACCCCATGAATATATACAATTACTATTTGTCAACTAAAAAAGGTAAAATTTAAAATCTGAACCAGAGTACAACTGTATCTATCAGTACACTTTTTAAAACACAGGAGGAATGTTTTTACTGCTGTTTAATCTTCACTCAGTTTCACCAAAAACTCAACAGATGTGTAGAATGTGGAAGTCCTTGAAGCCACTCCAGTAGCTTCCACTAAGGGAGATCACTGCAGCAATGTTTTCAGCTTCTTTCTTAAGATGCTCATCTATTGCTAAGGCCTTCTCTTTAATTGGGAGAAAGTTTACTCTGTTTCTTTTTTTTTTCTTTTTGAGATGGAGTCTCGTTCTATCGCCCAGGCTGGAGTGCAGTGGTGCAATCTCGGCTCACTGCAAGCTCCACCTCCTGGGTTCACGCCATTCTCCTGCCTCAGCCTCCCGAGTAGCTGGGACTACAGGTGCCTGCCACCACGCCCAGCTAATTTTTTTGTATTTTTAGTAGAGACGGGGTTTCACCGTGTTAGCCAGGATGGTCTCGATCTCCTGACCTCGTGGTCCTCCTGCCCCGGCCTCCCAAAGTGCTGGGATTACAGGCGTGAGCCACCGCACCCAGCCCCCTGTTTGTTTCTTTTGTATTCAATTGAAATGCTTAATTTTTCCTGTTTTCTTCACTGCATTCTAACAAATTCTGATGCACTGGCAGTTATTTGTGCTACTTTTTTTCCCTCCAGAGTCATCTCCAATTCTATGCCACATTGACTCCTTTAATTCATTTGTGAGTATTGACATCACAATCTCTCCAAATCCTTTAGTTTCAAGATTTTCTTTGATTGTTCAAATATTTCAGAATTTGCTCACTAACCTTATGATAATCAACCACTGAGCCTTCACTGACATTTTTAGAATTAACTCTCCATTTATAATTAATATAAAATATGTTCCTAGCCAGAAAAATATTTCTAAACTTTTCTTCTTGGTGTTACTTGAAAATAACAAAATATTTACTAGAATAAAATGTCATGAAAAATCTTGTTCTGTATTCTCCTGAGAAATGTCAATCTGATTCTTGATCTGTTCTTTCAAAATTTTGTAAAATTGCCTGTCTTCGATATTCTTAAATCTCTACAATGTGTTTAAGTGTGACGAATTCCTCCCACTTTATCTGTCTTCTTTGACACCCCTTGAGCCCTTTTAGTCTTTTTTCATCGTTAATGCAATTCTTGGTCATTAATTCTTCAAATATTTCATTCCTTGTGCTTATTTTTTCCATCTCCTTCTGGGGCTCCAATCACACCTATGAGTGTCCTTTTATTTCTGTGTGCCATATTGCTTTGCTTTTAAATTTCCCATCACTTTATTACTTTGCCATATCTCCTGCGAGAGTTCTAGAGCTGGCCTTCCAGTGCATCAATTCCACACCAGGAGCTGTACCCATTCTGCTGCTTAATTCAATGGTGGAATAATTTATTTCACCTAATTTAAAAGTGCATATTTCAGAAGCCAAAGGGAAACCAGGCTTTTCCTCACCCCAGGGCCTGTCAGCTAGGTTAGGCCTGTGATCTAGAATCAGCCAGCCAAAAATCCCACCCAGGATGGCTCGAAGAGACACAGTCTCAGAGGCAGTGGCAGTGTCAAGAACACAATGTTAACAGCTGAACAGGAGAGGTGGTGCCAGCATCAGTCCCTGTAGTGTGACTTGATTGTGTTCTTGTTTATTTAACCCCTCTTGGTTCCCATTCTGAGGTTGACTCTCCAGCCTTCTCCCTGGTTCTATAATCTAGCCAATTTCCTTTTGATAAGTGTACTTTCTCCTGAAGTCATATGAAGTTGTTTATAACTGATACCACAGGTGACAGGAGTTGGGATATGGGAGAAGTGCAGGACTGGTGAAGCACTAATTTCTTCCTCCTACATAATCGGGACTCTGTGGATACTGTCATAAGGCATGGTTCAAAAAAGCAGTGTAGAAAATATATTACTTACAATTGTAAAAGTAATGACTGTTAGAACAACAAAATAAAACTAATCAATTTAGGAGAGGAAAATGGATTAGGGGCAAAATGAGATAATCCCCAAACCTTGATGAATGGAACTCAAAGGCTACAGTTTAAAGCTGATAAAACAAGTAAGAGAGCCAAAATCTTACCATTCAGAGTCGTAAAAAATAACCACTAAAAGAACTAACACAAGTGATAAGATACCATTATATCCAGGCAGTGGGACTAATAATAGAAGGTGGGAGGGAAAAACGTTGCTGTTCATTTTCTACCTTTCTGTCCTGTTCAAATCGTTTTTAGCCATGCTCACATATCACATTTTTAACATTTCACGTCTCCTCTCGGCTACACCACCACAGAGCATATCACATAATTAAATGTAAGGCCATTAACATCTACACACACACACACACACACACACACACGCACACATGGATCCAGCTGCAACTCTAAGAATGCAAATTATAAAAGATTCAATTACATAGGAATCAATTCAAGAGTATATATTTGCCTTCCCATTTGTTTTCTTTGCTAAAACACAAAGCAGTCTCATACGCATCATAAGGTAAATTGTGTACAGAAAAAGAAGGAAATCAAATCCCAAAAGGTGATGTGGAAAATGCAATAATTTTTCCTGCTTTATTGAGGAATGATTGACAAAAATGGTATATATCTACAGTATGCAACATGATGTTTTGACATATGTATACACTGTGAAATGAGTACCACAATCAAGTTAATATATCCACCACCTCACAATTATCTTTGTTGTTGTTGTTAGTGAAAACATTTAACATCTACTCTCTTCACAAATTTCAAGTATATAATACGGTTCTATTAACTATAGTCACTATGCTGTACATTAGCTCTCCAGAGCTTATTCATTCTTCCTAACAGACACCAAACATCTCCCTATTTCCCCCACGTCCCAGGCCCTGGCAACCACCATCCTACTCTGCTTCTGTGAGTTTGGCTTTTTGAAATTCCACACATCTGTGAGATCTTACAGTATTTGTCTTTCTGTATGTGGCTTATTTCAGTTAGCATAATGGTCCTCCTGGTTCATCCACATTTTTTCAAATGACAAGATTTCCTTCTTTTTTAAAGCTGAATAATATTCCATTGTGTGTGTGTATACATATATACACATACATATGTATACTACATTTTTTTATCTGTTCAAATGTTCAAATGTGATATTTGAGCATGGCTAAAAACAATTTGAACAGTACAGAAAAGTAGAAAATGAAACAGATACACATACATGCATACACTACATTTTCCTTATCTGTTCATGTGTTGATGGACACTTAGGTTGATTCCATACCTTGTCACTAAGAAAAGCAGATCATAAACTTTGATCTGTTGTGATTTTGGATCTTAGCACCCAGGCATCCCATCAATACCAAATTTGAAAGATTAGTTGCTTATTGCATGTGTGTAAAAATACTCATAAACTTGAGGGAAGTTCCACAGGCTAATCCTAGTTTGAAGTCTTACAAGTATGAACAATGAGATACTTAGGATTTACTGGAAAGAGCACAAGACTCGGAGTCAAAAAATTTGGGTCTGCTCCATCTGCATTATTTACAAGTTCATGATCCTGGGCAAACCATCACTCCAGCCTGAGTTTTGTCACCTGTGAATTGGGGATAAAATTGGTTACTGCATAGAGTTGCTATTAAAATCAAATGAGATAATGGACTATATATGAGATTGTCTGGTAAAATGTAAAGCCCAATACAAATGTTAAATACTATTGTCACTATTACAACAATTGGTCACAAAGGACATCTGTAAAAAAAATAGAAATGGTATAATGAAAATTCATCCTACTAACAAAAATATAACCAAGCAGAAGCACCTTTCTATTTAAAAAGAATGAATATGATCCTTCCCAGGACATAAAATATGGTACTTGACCTCACACAACTCACAGTGACAGTGGAACCAATCTCCCCCTGTGTGATGACTAATATCCACATGTGCCTAGCATGTACCTCAATTCTCAGATTCAGGTAAGAAAAAGATATGTTTGAGAGAATAGATTAATGAAAGTAGATTAGTGTGATCCATAGGAAGTGAAAAAAAAATATTTAAGAATGCCAAGTGTTGTCCTTTGGATTTCAGATCCCCCTGGAACTGAAACAAAGAAGGCTAGAAAGAAGGAAGAGAATAAGTTGTGTAGAAGGGTCTGTAGAAAGAGGCATGGGGTTCCAAGGAGGGAAGGACATTAGGAAAGTAGCATGTTGTAAAGGAAAGAGCCCTGCACCAGGAGTCAAGAAACAGCTCTAGTCCCAGCACTGCCACAGGCTCTCTATGAAACCCAGGGCAGGCCACTGCCCCTCTCTGGGCATCAGTTTCTCTACCTACAATACAAAGGAGGCATTGTAAAACCAGTTAGCACAGCTATTCAGTCATTTACAAAATATTTATTAAGCGTTTATTATGCAATAGGCAGTGTTCTAGTCACAGAGACGTGGGAGAAAATAAAAACAGACACAGTTCCTACTGCCATGGATCTGGCATTCTAAATGATCTCCCTCCAACTCAAAGACCTGGCACACTAGAACTCTGACTGTAGGCTGTGGTGAGGCCACAGTAGACAGGCAAAATGGCTAAATGACTGAAGAGCAGACAGCGTGACCTCTTCAAAGGCAGTCTATTTTTTTTAAGCAGAATCAAGTGCCCCTCATTCTCATATTGCCCCACTTCAGTTCCTGGGCCTTGGAGCTTAATACAGATCATGGCATCCAACTGACTTTTATTCTGCTTTTTTTTTTTTTTTTGAGACGGCATCTCGCTCTGTTGCCCAGGCTGGAGTGCAGTGGCATGGTCTCGGCTCACTGCCATCTCCACCTCCTGGGTTCATGCCATTCTCCCGCCTCAGCCTCCCGAGTAGCTGGGACTACAGGTGCCCGCCAACACACCAGGCTAATTTTTTGTATTTTTAGTAGAGATGGGGTTTAATCATGTTAGCCAGGATGGTCTTGATCTCTTTTTTTTTTTTTTTTTGAGACGGAGTCCCGCTCTGTCGCCCAGGCCGGACTGCGGACTGCAGTGGCGCAATCTCGGCTCACTGCAAGCTCCGCTTCCCGGGTTCACGCCATTCTCCTGCCTCAGCCTCCCGAGTAGCTGGGACTACAGGCGCCCGCCACCGCGCCCGGCTAATTTGGTCTTGATCTCTTGACCTCGTGATCCGCCCGCCTCAGCCTCCCAAAGCGCTGGGATTACAGGCGTGAGCCTGATTTTTATTCTGAAAGCCAAGGCTAGGGCTCAAAGAAACTTCCAGAAATATAAAGATGTTTTGTTTTGTTTTTCAGTTAGATAATTAGATACATTACAGCAGAGAAATGGGGAAATTATTTGATACTTTTTAAAAAGCATATCTAAAATGACTAACATTAATGTATAGGTAAAATTTCATAAAAATTAATGATCACTATAATTGTTCCTAATCTCTGTTTTCTATACTAGGAAAAACACAATTTATATATGAATTTTTGCTATATGTAGACAGAATTGTTCCTAATCTCTGCTTTTTATAATAGGAAAAACACGATTTATATATGAATTATTTGCTATATGTAGAGAGAATATAATACCTCTTTTACCAAACATGAAGCCCTAGCCTTGATTTCTGTGGTACATTAAAAAAATATACTTTGCATTGCCAAAAGAGACATAGTATTGGGTTTTGATCCGTATTTTCTGTTGCTCATTCATTACATTGGTGTAAAAGAAGGAAAATCTTAAAAGACATGGAAAGCAGCTCCCTTATAGAGAGCTATCAAAAGAGCGTCCCAAGAGTGTCCTGACCACACTTTTCTTCCCAGATCATGGGCCCCAGCATCTCCGAGCACACACTGTCTTCCACAGGATCTTCTGACAAGTCTGCTTCACCCTAGGAATCCCCATGATCAATATGAGAGAATGAAGAGAAGGATAGGCTGCCATGAGTGTCTCCCAGATGAAGACACTGGTGAGATCAGGAGGATAAGTCTTGGAGGTGATGGAGAAGGGGCTGGCCATGATATAAACCAGGTGAAGTAAGAGGAAGCAGCCCAAGGACTTCAGCGCAGTGATGTGAGCCTTGGCCCGGACATCCCTCCTACCAGCTGAATGGACCTTCATCTTCTTGTGGTGTGTATACAAAGAGACAATCAGCATCCCAGAGGAAACAAGAAACACCACTAAAGGCAAATAACTTCCTGAATTGAGCTGAAATGCATACAGGTACTGCCAGCTTTCAAAGGGATACCGAATGCTGCTGTTTCCTTGGGGAGGATGATAGAATGTTAAGCCAATTTGGACTGTAAGTAACAAATTGATTATAAAGTAGCCCAGAAGGCACCAGAGACTCAGGTTATAGGCCCTCTGCTTCAGCCACAAGTAGGCCGGGCGATCGAAGGTCGTGATCTTCTTGCAATAGAAGACACTGAGGAAGGTGGCAAACCATAAGCTGGCCTGGCTTACCAGGACCCAGAAGATACTAAGATAGCGAAGCCAACGGCTGCTCTGGAAAAGTGGAAACAAGCTTAAGTCCAAAATGATCAGCCACTGCAGGAGAAATCGGCAGCCAGCCAGGCCCAGGATAATGAGGTTATATGAGGACCAGTTGAATTTTCTGATCCATTCTCTAAAACTCCAGACCACCAGGCTTCCATTTCCAATTAAACCGATGAGAAATTCAACCACTGCCACCAGCATCAGCAGTCCTAGGCCAGCGCTCAGCATGGCTGGGGAGAGGAGGCTCTCACTGCTCCTGGCTGAGGTCAGATCCCCTGGTAGTGATAACACACCAGGGTAAATTTTCACACCACAAAATCTGGATTTGGCCTCGTCCTTCCGTAATCTGTCTTCAAGCGAGACTGAACAGCTGTGATGAGGAACAGAGAGGTTGGAAGTTATGATACCATCTGTATTTGCATCTACATGAATGAACCCTGAGTGTAGAACCAGAGATTGCAAACAGTACCACAGACACCGGCTCTCCATCTCAAAGGTTTTGGGCCAAAGTCTAGACACCAGGGTATAACGTAACAAGGCCCCTCAACAAGAAAGACCAAATCAAAACATGCTCAGGTGCTATACAGTGCCAGTTATGAGCTCATATGCTATATAAAAAAAGAAATTTTATTTTCATGAAAAGAACACTGGGCCAGGCATGGTGGCTCACACCTGTAATCCCAACACTTTGAGAGGCCAAGGCGGGTGGATCACCTGAAGCCAGGAGTTCGAGACCACCCTGGCCAACATGGTGAAGCCCCATCTCTACTAAAAATACAAAAATTATCTGGGCGTGGTGGTGGCTGCCTGTAGTCCCAGCTACTCGGGAGGCTGAGGCAGGAGAACCACTTGAACCCAGGAGATGGAAGCTGCAGTGGGCCAAGATCGCGCCACTGCACTCCAGCCTGGGCGACAGAGCAAGACTCCATCTCAAAAAAAAAAAGTAAGCATGCTGAGAACTCTCTACGAAGCTGTAGGCAGGCAGGCCACTGCCCGTCTCTGGGCCTCAGTTGCTCTATTAATAACTGAATGGATTGTAGGATGAGATTTCCATTCCTTCGGACTAAATTTACAAAGTGCTTATTTTGTGTCAAACTACGGTGTACTAGGCACAGGGGACGGCGCCATTATAATACACAGTCCCTGCCTCCAGGTAGCATCCATTGTACATCATCTCCACCAAGCTGCAAGGCCTGGTACTCTAAAACTCTGGCTGTAGGCTATGGAGGGGCAGAGGTGGTCGCGATCTTCTACTGGACTAAAAATCTAGATGAGGCTTGAACTCGTCCAAAAACAGTGTTTCTTCAGTGACTTTCTGATAGAGACATAGTGCCTCTCTCTCCCCACCTGCCCCAATCTAGCCTGGCAGTGGAATTTGCCACCGATCCTGGTAGCCAACTGACACGTTTCCAGAAAGCTAGTCTGGCATCAAAAAAACCAAAGTATCCAGAAATATAAAGGTAGGTTTTTGACTACTTTACTACCGGTGTTGAGAGGCTAAACTACATAGAAAATTGAGATAATAATTTAGCTAATTCCCCTAAGAAAAGTGCTTGCCTAAAAAATATACAGGCTCACCTCTTTTTAAAATATATTATTTTCAAACTATAGCTATTTTCTACTTCCTTTTATCAAAAACATAGCATATTGGCAAAGAAAACTTGATTATCTGCAGTAATTTTTAAAAATGTGATACTTCCCATGCAAAATATGAAAACTCGGTTTTGACTTCTGTAGTTTATTAAAATGATGTGATTTGCATTGCTTAGAGAGCAATAAGCTCCAGTTTCTAGCCTGTTTTTCATGTTACCCTTTCATTTTGTTTCAAAATCAAAGAAGAAATGAGGAGAATTGAGAATAAAAATTTCATTTTTCTAAAATCTACAGTTATTTTTACTGTTGTCAGTGATACAGTTAAGGGCCTGATTAGATCCTTCTTCCAAGTCATGGCCTCTAGGATTTCCATGTACATATCATCTCCTACAGAATTCTCTGACAAGTCTGATTCCTCATAACCATTACAATAGACGGAAATGAAGTATAAACAGCCATGAGTGTTGCAGAGATGGCAAGAATGGTGAGATCAGAGGGAGATTAGAAGGTCATGGAAAAGTGTCTGGCCAAGGCAGAAACCATGTAAAGGGGGAAGTTCAGAGCGATGAGCACCTTGGTTTGAGCCTCCTCCTGACAGCTGTGTGGTCCTCCATCTTCCTGTGATGTCTTTACAAAAAGACAAGTGGAACAGAAACATCACAAATAGCAATCAGTCTCCTTCACTGGACAGCAATCTATAAAAATAACAGATTTAAAATGGGATGCAGGATGTTGCTGTTTCCTGTTAAGGGTTTTTAAAGGGTCCAGCCAACAAGAGCTGAGAAATAAAAAGTGATCTTGAAAGACACTAGCAAAAAACAAAAACCCAGTCTTTTCAGCTACAAGAAGTCAGCGGGACAAAGGTCATGATCTCCATGCAGCAGAAGCCACTGAAGAAAGTGGCAAACTACATGTTGGCCTGGCTTACCAGGACTCGAAGACATTAAGATAGTAAAGCCAACCACTGCTCTGGGAAAGTGGAAACAGACTTATGTCCAACATGATCGGCCTGAGTAGGAGAAAGTGGCTACTTACCAGAATCATGAGAATTTATAGGGACTCCTTACATTTTTTTGACCCATCCTCTAAAACTGCAGACCACAGGGACTCCATTTCCAACCAGGCCAATGAGAAATTCAGCCCCTGCAATGGGCATCAGCAATCCTAGGGCAGCCGCCAACATGGCTGGGGAGGGGAGGGTCTCTCTGCTGAATCAGGAGGTGCCCTGCTTCAGTGCTGATGAACACGTACTGCTGCTGGCTGTGTCAGAATCCCTGGGGACGGTATCAGTATTATGGCAGAGCATTTCACTTCTCACCACTCAGTTTTGTTACTGTCTGAAATCCCTTCTCTGGTAAAGATGTTACAGCTGTGACCAGAAGAAACGTTCTTGAAGGTAACGGTCCCACCGTCACTTACATCTACCTGACACTGGCCTGGGATCTGACATTAGGTACAGAGACACAATTACAGAATGGCCTTCCGAAGGAAAGAACTAAAATCCAGACAGCCTAGAGCACAGTCTCCTGAAATCCTACTTCCACCCGACCTAACTCCACAAAACCTAAGTAAGACAGTCTGAGAATTTAACAGTGGCAAATGCAAGGTACCTCATGTTATAAAAAGGGAAAGCATGGGCCGGGCGCGGTGGCTCACGCCTATAATCCCAGCACTTCGGGAGGCCGAGGCGGGTGGATCACTTGAGGTTAGAAATTCGAGACCAGCCTGGCCAACATGGTGAAACCCCATCTCTACTGAAAATACAAAAATTAGCCGGGCATGGTGGCACACACCTGTAGTCCCAGCTACTCAGGAGGCTGAGGCAGGAGAATCACTTGAACCCGAGAGGTGGAGATTGCAGTGAGCCGAGATCATGCCATTGCACTCTAGTCTGGGCAACAGAGAGAGACTCCGTCTCAAAAAAAAAAAAAAAAAAAAAAAAAGGGAAAGCATGACATTTATCAATTATTTAACCAATATTTATTAATGACTACTATGTGCCAGTCCACTGTTCCAAGCTCTTGGGATACAATGGAAAGAAACAAAGTTGCTGCTCTCATGCAGCTTATGTTCTGGTGGGTGAGGCAAATAATTAATGGTTTCAATATGTTTGAAATTTGAATATATAAACATGAGAGCCATATTTACACCTATGCAAAGGCTTACTGCAATGACAATGAAAACAAAGGGAAGGATAGGGTGAGCAAACAAGCAAAAACAAGGAGAAGACAGGATAAATATCAACTGCTGAATAATAAATTCTAGGAGAGGTGAGGCAGGAGAGAAATCTGTGAACCACGGCTGCTACTTCATCTCCACACAGAACTGTTCAGCCTATCGGCATCCACACCAAGAGCTGCAATGAAGGGGTGTATGTGGAGAGTAACAGCCTCAGTGCCATCCTCTTTACCAGAGTAACACTATGGTTTTTAATTTTGACACAACCAAAATGTGTCTGCCATAATACTACCATAATTCTTTCTACCAAAGTCTCTTGCATTCATGCTCCTATTCCCCACTGTTCTGAGCCCTCAGCTACTTTAGCAGTACCTGAACCAAGAAAAGAAAGCTGATGAAACATCAAGCGGGATGCAAGCATCCAAAGAGACGCTCATAGGGGCAAGTTATGGCTTTACACTCAGCGTCAACAGAGCAGTCTATAATAAGAATATTAAAAAGAATGAAACAAAGAACAAGCATTGGTTTCCAAAACCTGGCACTTTCCCCCAAAAAATCACCCTGTCCTGCTACCAGACTCAGTACAGTTCCATCTTCCATCCCCTATTCTACATCTCTCTTGCAAACCTGTATTCCTGTACTCAAGACTTTTTAAAATGCTTCTCAGAATTGTGCCTATATTGCCACTAGATGGCGTCAAGGCAACGCCTCTGTAGAAGCTGTTGACCTAAGTATACAAATTCCCTTAATGAGCTGAATTAGTTCAGATATTCAGAAACTGAACAGATCAAGCATGTTTTTAATAACCATGTGTAACAGGAACACAATTTATAAATGTACACAAATTCATAGTCTTGCCAGCTTCCTTCCTCACAAAATATGAGGAAGAGGAGTCTTGCTCACCAGTCATTGCGGCCTCTTTGGTGCCGCAATTTAGGCGTTCGGAGGGAGGAGGAAGCACAAACTACACCACTGAGGCTGGCTGCTGTGTGCAGCAAAGATCACAACCCCGAGGAAGAAAATGACCAGCATCGGCAACGTTATTCAGGGCAGGAAAGTGAATAGAGTAAAAGCGGGCTAGTGAGGGGACTGCAGATGAAAGAGGGGGAGTTATTTTTTTATTATTTTATTTATTTATTTATTTTGAGACGGAGTCTCGCTCTGTCGCCCAGGCTGGAGTGCAGTGGCGCGATCTCGGCTCACCTGCAAGCTCCGCCTCCCGGGTTCATGCCATTCTCCTGCCTCAGCCTCCCGAGTAGCTGGGACTACAGGTGCCCGCCACCACGCCCAGCTAAGTTTTTGTATTTTTTAGTAGAGACGGGGTTTCACGGTGTTAGCCAGGATGGTCTTGATCTCCTGACCTCGTGATCCACCCGCCTCGGCCTCCCAAAGTGCTGGGATTACAGGCTGAGCCATCGCGCCCGGCCCAGGGAGTTATTTTTGTGTGCTTTTATGAATACGAAATTTGGAGGGCTGAGAATTTTTAACTATAGCAGGCAAAATGTGGGGAACCCTCCAGGAGGTGCACATAATTTCCCTCCCTCTGAGTTTGTACTGGACATGACTTGCTCCCAAGGAACAAAGTGTGAAAATGGGGGAAAAAATAGTAACTTTACAATGTTCCTGGCAGACACCACCTTCACCGAGTGATCAAGGTTAACATCACCAGTGACCAGTGATGTTAATATCACAGAACTCCTAACGTGATGAGTAGGGCACTTTACCTCAGTCTAACAGAGAAAAATATCAGACAAACCCAAACTGAGGGACATTCTACAAAATGCCTGAATAGTAATCTTTAAAACTGGCAAGGTAATTTTAAATAGAGCTGAGAAACTGACACAGACTAGAGACACTAAATGCAACTGTACCATGGTTATGGTAAGATATAAATATTAGCAGAAACTGGGTGAGGATGATATTTGAACTCTCTATACTCATTCTGCAACTTTTCTATAAAATATTAGAAAATAAAATGAAATAAAACATTTTAAAAATTTAAATAAAACTCAGATATAATAATTACATTTTTAGCATTTAGCAATGAGAATTGTGCGTATCCAGAAGACACTGAGGTGTTCCCATAATATTGCAAAATCACGCTAAGGAAAGGGTCAAGCAGCACAGGCTACAGACGGGGCTTTCTGGGTGTCTGCCCATCCAAGGCAAAGAGTTCACATGTTCATGCTAGTACCAGCTCTCAATGGGACACAGGACTCAAGATTAGCTGTTAGATTAGCTTTCTGTTAGATAGCTTTCTGTTAGATAGCTTTCTGTTAGATAGCTTTCTGTTAGGCCTCAAGATTAGCTTTCTGTTAGATGTATTAATCAATGGGGCACTTGTGGCCATGCAGAGAAAGGCAATGTGTTTGAAGTTGGACAGATTTGGGGGTGCTCCCAACTCAACCACTTCTTGTCCTTAGACAAGCCAATTAACCCCTCTGAGCTTCAGTGTCCCCTCTATAAAATGATGATGATAATGTTACGTCACAGAGCTATCGTGATGATAAAACGAATGACCCAGCCTGTTGCTTCCCAAATAGTCTAATTACTGTTATTTTTCTTTCCTTCCCTGGTGATTTCTCTCCCTAACTACTACTTTCAATAAAGTCAGAAAGCACCTGAAGTCTGTTATTCACAGTATGCAAATCCAGGATGAACTGAGCTACTGATTCTAGACACAGGTGTCCAGTTCTGCACAATTCCAGAATGTCTGGAAAGCATGAATAAAGATGAGAGACTGATTAATCCAGACCTTTAAAACACATAGAAGTCAAAGATGTAAAGGGGTGGGTAGGAGTTAGGAGAGGTCTTTTCTGAGTAATATCAATGTTTAGCTATTTCTTCTCTTGAGGTACCTGGAGTTCAGATCATTATAACCACAGTCATTGTCCCATCTGTGAAAGCAGCAAAATTGAGACAAATAATTTTTCCATATTTAAAATAGGTCAGAAATGTTGTCAGGCCAATCAAGTATGCACCTGTGTTTAGATATCTCATTTGCAAGCTAGCTGTGCACACACTCAGTCATTTGCCCAGGGCTCCTGGCTCCTTCCTGCTGACTCAAGGCAGAGTTACAGTCACCCCATTTCCCAGACCCCATATATCCAAATAGACAACACAGAGGACAATCATACCGTGGTGAAGTGATGTTGACCTCACACCTCTGCCAGGCATGGGGAGGAGGGTGTACAGACTGCACCCCTCCTCCTGCTGTTGACCTTACCCTCATGTCTCCCCTTTCCTCTCCTCTTCTCCCACCCCCATTAACCCGTATCACTCTCTTGTTAATTTCTATGCCAGGCAAATTATTATACAAACATGGAATTTATTTTCACACTTTTTTCCTCATGGAGTAAAACTGGCCTTGGCTCTTCTCTTAGAAGGAGAAATAAATTTATACCTGTGCCTTCCCTTAGACCACAATATCCAAATCCCTAGGGAGTTTTGTCAAATTCCACTTCCCCCTTCCACTCCCACACCCAGAATGAATGAAGACACGTATATTTTAAATAGAGCTGAGAAACCCACACAGACTGTATATAAAATGTGAAAAATAAAAATTCCCAATGGACTCTGACATATTCTCACCCTCCCAGCGCTCTTTGAGAACCAGTGAACTAGAGTAGATGATCCATCTCCAGCTTTAACTTGTAAAAAAAAATTATATTATTGGAAAATTTATTTTAAATGCCTTCAGTAAGCTTCAGTTTCACCTGAAGACTGTAGCTTTTGATGCTACCTTAAAAGTTACATTCCGTTCATGCTTTAAAAGACTCCTTTCCAGTAATCTTTTCTCTTTTTTAAAAAATTGAAAATGGTTCATTAACAGAATGCAGGTAGCAATGATCAGGGAAACCTAAAGCCAGACATGTTTAGAAATGTTTAAGTGAAACTTAAGTGATATAAACAAGCTCTTAAAATCCTTGAAATTTTTAAGAATTTCATTTAGTTCTTATAGAAATTGTATCTACCTTTTCATTACATTTCTGTTGGCCTATTCCTTCCCAAGTAGCAACATTCAAAAGAAATCTAATAATTTTTTCTTCTTTAATGTTACTACTTTTTCACTTAAAAACATATCTCATATAAATCTCAAGGCCTAAAAGCCCAGAGTCTATGTGACACCATGACATTCATTTCAGCTAAGGAAACTAAGCACCCACAATAATTTCATACTTTCAGAGACTACACTGGGAGCTCTGGATCTATTCCTTCCTAGTTCTGCTATTATGAACCATTCATATGGCTTATTTGGGCCTTAATTTTCTCAACTATATAATGGAGACAATAATAGCTATCTTACCAAAGAGGTTATGACCAACTAAAATAATAACGTGGAAATGTAGCTCATACAGTATTGGGCATGTAGCAGTTAAAAGTTAAATGGCAATGACCCTGAGTTCTGGTTACCACGATGGGTGTTTCATGAGGTTGTACACTGTCCTGACACCTGCCCTCCACTTCAGAAAGTGACTTCTTAACAAAGAGTTTTTAACCTCCCTCTATGCTCTGCCTACTGCAGGAAAGGGAGGGGTATGCGGGATATTATTTTTATTAGAGAGCCTCTAAGTTATGTGTCTTGAAAAAATCAAACCAAAATCCAAATTGTTTTAAATCCTTGGTTAATAAGTACTTAGTGGTGGGTATTTAGCAGAGCATATCAGAACCAGCAAAACTCTAAACATACAGCATTCTTAAAAACTGTACCCAAGGGAGACTTTGGGCAAGTGCCTAAGCAAAGACTGAAGACTTTCTTCAAACAGCAAAAACAGTCCTAACACAAAGACAACACATCCAACCCAGAGAGGGGAAAATTGAAGACAGTGTAGGACAAACAGGAAACAAATTGGCAGAACTTTGCCAATACAATAAAAAGAATCCAGACAAAGCAAGACAATTCACTTACCTTTCTTAGCGAGGACAAACTCGATGTTGACCTCAGAACTCCCTCTCTGTCTTTTAGGTAAGTAGGGAGGGAGGGAGGGAGGGAGGGAGGTGAGTGGGTTGGTGGATGGATAGATAGATAGATAGATAGATAGATAGATAGATAGATAGATAGACCATATATACATTATATATTTAAAAATATTTTTTGATTATATAAAAATGTTCATTATAGAAAACTTGAAATACACAAAAAAATTTATTGATTCCTCCCACCTAAAATAATTACTGTTTACATTTTTATATATTTCCTTTTAGACTTTTCTTCATATGTACACATTTTTACCAAAAAAAATGGTATTATACCACATGTACAGGTTTTATTTCAATTTCACTTAGTAGGTCATATAAAAAGGTTCTTTGACTAATAAGATGGTAAATACATACTATTTCATCATAAAGATATATATTATTGTGTATATTTAAGGTATAGCATAGGTTATTTGACTAAGGTAACAGAGACCAAAACTCCAGCACCTGAAAGAATGGAGACACTGATTTCTCATCAACAGTCCTGGAGTTCAGGCTTGAGCAGTCCAGAGCTGGTGTTACAAGTCCACAGTGTGAAGAACCATGGAGCCAGCTCTAGGATGGAGAATTACTTCACTATCCCAAGCATTCACCTCATCTGCATTGTCCAAGATAGACAATCATGATGTCAGCATTCCAGCTCATGGAGGGAGTAACAAAGAAAAGATTAAAGAAGGGAAGGTAGGACTGCTCCGAAGTACCACCCAGAAATTATATACATCTTTTCTGCTCACATACATGGCAATAATGGAATTTGCTGCCAAAATTCTGAACAGCTAATGATTTGATTACTATGGAAGAGAGGAGAAAGAACAGATACTGAGGGACCAATGAGGGTTTCTGCCACTCATTTAGAGTTCTTAAGACATAGTATGCATTTAATCACTCTCAGTAATCCTTTTATCTCTCTTAGGATTTAACATGATGAATACCTCCAGGTTTCATAGCACAAAATATTGGCTTGGGTAATTTTTACTGAATATTGCAGTCAAGATTCTGGTGGCCAGAATGAGAAAAGTCATGTAATTTATAAAATTTTAAGATTTATTTGACATATGTAAATATTACATAAGCATTTTATGAACACCAAAAAAAACCTAAATAAATACAAATTATGATTCCCCAATTGACATTCCAAAACTTGTCAACATCCCATCTTCAGACTGTTGTTCTTTTGGAGCCACAGTCCAATGGTCCCAGCCACAGAAACAACATTCTGGAGAAGAACTGTGCTGTGTACAAATGTATAAGCAGATGAAATAAATTCACCACAAGTCAAGCACTCCCACCACCTGTCCAGTGCTTTTTTGGCTTTCCACTGAGTTCCATAGCCTATGGTGAAGTACAGTATTTTGTAAATTTGTACTCATATGGTGTTAATTTCATTATCTAGCACTTGCCTTTGACCTTAAGCTGGTTTCCCTGGATTTTAAGATTTTTGGAACCATTCTTGATTCAGTTTCTTAAATACTAATCACTTTCCTCTACTTACCAACTCTGGCAATATCCTCTTTTCCAGAACAAGCCTAGAAACCTTAGGGTTTCTTGCTAGGAATAGCACAGTTACTATTACCCAGCAAGTGTGAGGATACTTTTTCTGTCTTGTCCCAGAGTGTACGTCTATTTCTTTTTTTGAGACAGAGTCTTGCTCTGTCGCCCAGACTGGAGTGCAGTGGCGCGATCTCATCTCACTGCAAGCTCCGCCTCCTGGGTTGAAGCCATTCTCCTGCCTCAGCCTCCCGAGTAGCTGGGACTACAGGTGCCCGCCACCACGCCCAGCTAATTTTTTTGTATTTTTAGTAGAGACAGGGTTTCACCGTGTTAGCCAGGATGGTCTCGATCTCCTGACCTCACGATTCACCTGCCTCGGCCTCCCAAAGAGCTGGGATTACAAGCATGAGCCACCGCGCCTGGCCCAGTGTACGCCTATTTCTCTTCACCTTTCTCTTTCCTTCTTTTCTCTCTGAAACCTTCCTTTTTTCCTTTTCTCTTTGCACTGAACCCCCTTCCTCTGCTTTCGGTCAGTCCAGTGGCTCCCAGTGACCACCTATCCACTGCTGAGCCCTTACTCAGGGCTCCTCAGCTAAACCACAAATATCTAACTCATCACGTGCACCCCAATGTGTTCTCTAATTTGGAAGAATTTCCCATTATACTTCAATAGACAATGAAACAATGTGATGATTTCCATTATACATGGATTCAATGGCCATGCAAAATACATGACAAATAATGCCTCAAAAAAGTTTCTTACAGAATGTGCCTTATTTTAAAATACTTACATACCAAAAAAAAAAAATTACAGAATGAACTGAAATTCAGGCACTCAAAAGCCTATGATGTCAGATCAGCAATCACAAAACTGAATTCCCCAGATCACTGGGAAAACTGCAAACAGAAAATCTTGCCCCCAAACCATCAGGTAAATCTAGGTATTGTTTACTGAAATTCCACTATTTTTTGAAACAAAGAATCTTCTTTGCTGTTGTTTTCAGTTTAGGATGTGTGATAATAATGAGAACAGAATGTCCTGGAGAGTAAAGGGTGGCAAAAATCAGACAAATGGATTTGGTCCCCATATCCATCCCTGCATAAAAGGGGAGATACTGGACCAGGGTAGCAACTGAATATGGAATGTAGAGGATGAGGAAATAGACCATCAGCTTCATAGCACCTACATGAGCTTCCGTCTGGGGATTCCAGAAACCAGTGGCATTTTTCTGCATCTTCTGTATATGTCTCCTCAAGGAGTGTATTAGCAAGGAAGCAGAAGTCACATTAATGATGAACTGGAGAGATGAGCTCAAGACCAAAGAAACCACTAAAGACAAGATGCCCTCACTGATATTAAATGATGTGTTATTTCTCGTAGTCACAAGTTCAGGAAAAGGTGATGCCTGGCTAAGCGTGATGTACAGGCAAGTGGTGAAAGCAGAAATCAGCACACAGGCCAGCAGCAGCCTGGGGATCTTTGGGGAGATATTCCGCTTCAGCAGGAGAAACACTGAGTGTTGGAAGTTAGTAATCTTCACACAGTACAAGATATTGAGCAAGGTCACAAACCAGACACTGCTCGAGTCCAAAAACATGAAACACAACACAAAAAAAGCAGACAGGTAGACTGACCTTTCCGTATTTGAAGAGACGAAGTAGATGGTGTTCACCAGAAATAGTCCCAGCATAAGAAACCTGGTGATGCCCAGGCTGAACAGAATCCTATCAGAAGAGGAGATTCTATGGCTTTTGACCCAAGTTTTGCAATTGACCACTGTAATAAACAGATTCATAATGATTCCTACAAAATTTAAAATAACTGAGGCAATAATAGCAGAGAAATAGAATAACCGAAGCATCTTTACTCATTGAGGATTCAGCAGTTGTGGTGCTGATAGTGGAGGCAGAAGAAATACCAAAATGTATAAGCAGACACCAGTATCCAGCCAGGAAGGACATCTCCTTTTTAATTTTTCCCAGCATGGCAAATGAGCCATTCATGATCAAGGGCCACCTGATTTTACTGAGATGCAAATCTTCCAAGGATTACATTACTATTTCTTCATTAGTATCCTGTTCTCCTTAGAAATGCCTAATTACAGCAAGCCTAGGTGATGCTGGGAGTCCACTCCTCCAAGAGCAGGAGGGCGAGAGGGAAGAGTCACAGCAGGCTCCAAAAACTTAGAATCCAAACCAGAGAGCTTGAGTCCAGCAATGTTTCTGTCAATGTTTTACGGTAAAGTTTTTCTTCATAAAAATGCCAGAATATGGTGGAAATCCTAATTCCTCACTCCTACCCACCCACCTCCTAGCCACATATTCATGGATGACCAGAATCCAATTTCTCTCTCCCCTCTAATCTGTTGCTGCCACAACAAGTTTCACCAATTGGCCATGCCAATGCCACTCTTTCAACCTCAGTGATTCACCTATAGCGATTTACAGTGATCTAATAGATCAAGTTCAAAGACCCAATACCTCCTTGAGAAAACCTTTCTCAATTAATCCCATTCTTTCTGATGCCCTTTGCTTTGCCTTCTCTATCTACATACATAGATTTGTGCCATAACCATTTGCTATGTTCTGGTTTTCCTTAGAAAAAATTAAGTCAGCCCTTGTAGGTGTTTCCTTTATAAATCTGGGTTTATGTTTAGATCATATGTGGCTATTTTCTCTTAGGCATTTAACTGTCAATCCAGGTACCCTGGAATGAGATACACAGTAATGCATTAGTTGTAGTTTTGTGAGCCAAACAGCTAGGCATCTCATTGCTGGATTTCTCTGTACTTGCTCAGATGGGAAATGGCAAAATATCCCTGGCAAATGATATTATGGAGGCCCATAGGTGAATGTAAGAGTATGGCATCTCTTATCTTCTCTAGCAGCTGAATGAAACCAAGGTGCAATCCTGGATGCAGCCACAGATGTTACCAAAGTAGCATCAAGGTACAGCACAAAGTCCTACTGCCAAGTCCAAATAGAAACAGACAAGAAAAAGGAGCTAAGATTTAATAATAATCAGGTCCAGAAGAGGGGAATACATTCATGAGGCCCTTTAAGACAGATGACAGGAAGCCTAGCCTGGAGAAATTCTCTGACCTGGTGCCCAGGTGCTTACAGAAGCTTTTTATTCAAAACTAACAGGCACTGATAGAGGCATGCCCACATCAGGTAAGCAGGCAAACAGAATGAGCCAGGAAGACTATGACTAAAAGGAAAATTATAGCACAGATTTCCAATTACTTATCCATAGATGGCTGCATTAAAGTGGTGAAGTTGAAATATTACTAACATCACATTTAAATAGAATAAATGATATAGAGTAAGCCATAACAGATAAATGTGGCCAAAAGAGCAGGAATCCCAGAATTAGATAGTAACAAACTCTATCTAGAATGTACTATACCAAATTGTTGGGTTCTCTGTAGGAGGAAGTGCTATAATTAAGATGTGATAAGGTTGGCTAGCACAATCAATGAATGAGCTCATTCAGTTAGAAGTTATTTCCACAAGGGTCAGTATAGGAAAAGTGTTAGCAGAACCCTTTCTCCCTATGCATGAGAATTTGACCTATGGTTAAACTTCCTAGCTGTTTTCCTTATCATGATGATAAGGATGATAAGGATAATCTTATCCTTATATGATAAGGGTAAGAACATCAACTATGTTTCTAGAACAAAAAAAAAAAAGACTCTTGATTGGAAAATTGCATCTTGACTGGAAGGAACTATAAGTGAACTGTAATAAGTATCTTATGGAGTCTACATGCATTGGGCTTCCTTCCCATGTACCTGTACCTTGACTCAACCCTAGAAGCTTTGTCTACAAAATTACCACAAAATAAATTGGATCTTTTGGGACACGAAGCTTTTAATTTGCAGCAGCTCCCACCCTTACCCTACTGTGGGTCTCTTATTACTGTACCTGAACTGTATGGCCTGCACCAAAAACTCTGCAAAAGAGGAAGGCCTGACACTGCCCTGCTGGTAAATCGGGTCCCTCAACTATATCCATCTGAGTAGGCTGGTACCACAGTAGCCTAAGATAGTCTTATAAGTTTGATTATTTACTAGAGCCCAAGAAGACCAACCAGCAGGCACTGCAGTCATGGATCCAAACTCTGCTTCTTGACAGGTCTGTAAGAAAGGCTTTAGGGCAAATAGTCAAAGCAAATGAATGGCACTTAACTTATTTGATGATGGCTCTGAAGAATGAGGTCAGTCATGAAGAAACAGGAATTTAGAAGTTTGAAATTTTTTCAGGTGGAGCCAACATGGCCGAATAGGAACAGCTCCAGTCTACAGCTCCCAGCATGAGTGACGCAGAAGACGGGTGATTTCTGCATTTCCAACTGAGGTACCAGGTTCATCTCACTGGGGAGTGTCAGACAGTGGGTGCAGGACAGTGGGTGCAGCGCACCGAATGTGAGCCGAAGCAGGGCGAGGCATCGCCTCACCCGGGAAGTGCAAGGGGTCAGGGGATCCCCTTTCCTAGTCAAAGAAAGGGGTGACAGACGGCACCTGGAATATCAGGTCACTCCCACTCCAATACTGTGCTTTTCCAACAGTCTTAGCAAACGGCACACCAGGAGATTATATCCCGCGCCTGGCTCGGAGGGTCCTTTGCCCACAGAGCCTCACTCATTGCTAGCACAGCAGTCTGAGATCAAACTGCAAGGCAGCAGTGAGGCTGGGGGAGGGTCACCCACCATTGCCGAGGCTTGGGTAGGTAAACAAAGTGGCTGGGAAGCTAGAACTGGGTGGAGCCCACTGCAGCTCAAGGAGGCCTGCCTGCCTCTGTAGACTCCACCTCTAGGGGCAGGGCATAGCCAAACAAAAGGCAGCAGAAACCTCTGCAGACTTAAATGTCCCTGTCTGACAGCTTTGAAGAGAGTAGTGGTTCTCCCAGCATGCAGCTGGAGATCTGAGAACGGACAGACTGCCTCTTCAAGTGGGTCCCTGACCCCTGAGTAGCCTAATTAGGAGGCACCCCCCAGTAGGGGCAGACTGACACCTCACACGGCTGGGTACTCCTCTGAGACAAAACTTCCAGAGGAATGATCAGGCAGCAACATTTGCTGTTCACCAATATCCACTGTTCAGCAGCCTCTGATGCTGATATCCAGGCAAACAGGGTCTGGAGTGGACCTCCAGCAAACTCCAACAGACCTGTAGCTGAGGGTCCTGACTGTTAGAAGGAAAACTGACAAACAGAAAGGACATCCACACCAAAACCCCATCTGTACGTCACCATCATCAAAGACCAAAGGTAGATAAAACCACAAAGATGGTGAAGAAACAGAGCAGAAAAACTGGAAACTCTAAAACTCAGAGTGCCTCTCCTCCTCCAAAGGAATGCAGCACCTCACCAGCAATGGAACAAAGCTGGACGGAGAATGACTTTGACGAGTTGAGAGAAGAAGCCTTCAGATGATCAAACTACTCCGAGCTAAAGGAGGAAGTTCGAACCCATGGCAAAGAAGTTAAAAACCTTGAACAAAAATTAGACGAATGGCTAACTAGAATAACCAATGCAGAGAAGTCCTTAAAGGACCTGATGGAGCTGAAAACCAAGGCACAAGAACTACGTGACAAATGCACAAGCCTCAGTAGCCGATTCGATCAACTGGAAGAAAGGGTATCAGTGATGGAAGATCAAATGAATGAAATGAAGCGAGAAGAGAAGTTTAGAGAAAAAAGAATAAAAAGAAACAAACAAAGCCTCCAAGAAATATGGGACTATGTGAAAAGACCAAATCTATGTCTGATTGGTGTACCTGAAAGTGACAGGGAGAATGGAACCAAGTTGGAAAACACTCTGCAGGATATTCTCCAGGAGAACTTCCCCAATCTAGCAAGGCAGGCCAACATTCACATTCAGGAAATACAGAGAACGCCACAAAGATACTCCTCGAGAAGAGCAACTCCAAGACACATAATTGTCAGATTCACCAAAGTTGAAATGAAGGAAAAAATGTTAAGGGCAGCCAGAGAGAAAGGTCAGGTTACCCACAAATGGAAGCCCATCAGACTAACAGCTGATCTCTCGGCAGAAACTCTACAAGCCAGAAGAGAGTGGGGGCCAATATTCAACATTCTTAAAGAAAAGAATTTTCAACCCAGAATTTCATATCCAGCCAAACTAAGCTTCATAGGTGAAGGAGAAATAAAATCCTTTACAGACAAGCAATTGCTGAGAGATTTTGTCACCACCAGGCCTGCGCTAAAAGAGCTCCTAAAGGAAGCACTAAACATGGAAAGGAACAACCAGTACCAGCCACTGCAAAACCATGCCAAATTGTAAAGACCATGAAGGCTAGGAAGCAACTGCATCAACTAACGAGCAAAATAACCAGCTAACATCATAATGACAGGATCAAATTCACACATAACAATATTAACCTTAAATGTAAATGGGCTAAATGCTCCAATTAAAACACACAGACTGGCAAACTGGATAAAGAGTCAAGACCCATCAGTGTGCTGTATTCAGGAAACCCATCTCATGTGCAGAGACACACATAGGCTCAAAATAAAGGGATGGAGGAAGATCTGCCAAGCAAATGGAAAACAAAAAAGGCAGGGGTTGCAATCCTAGTCTCTGATAAAATGGACTTTAAACCAACAAAGATCAAAACAGACAAAGAAGGCCATTACATAATGGTAAAGGGATCAATTCAACAAGAAGAGCTAACTATCCTAAATATATATGCACCCAATACAGGAGCACCCAGATTCATAAGGCAAGTCCTCAGAGACCTACAAAGAGACTGAGACTCCCATACAATAATAATGGGAGACTTTAACACCCCACTGTCAACATTAGACAGATCAACGAGACAGAAAGTTAACAAGGATATCCAGGAATTGAACTCAGCTCTGCACCAAGCAGACCTAATAGACATCTACAGAACTCTCCACCCCAAATCAACAGAATATACACTCTTTTCAGCACCACACCACACCTATTCCAAAATTGACCATATAGTTGGAAGTAAAGCACTCCTCAGCAAATGCAGAAGAAAAGAAATTATAAGAAACTGTCTCCCAGACCACAGTGCAATCAAACTAGAACTCAGGATTAAGAAACTCACCCAAAACCACTCAACTACATGGAAACTGAACAACCTGCTCCTGAATGACTACTGGGTACATAACGAAATGATGGCAGAAATAAAGATGTTCTTTGAAACCAACGAGAACAAAGACACAACATACCAGAATCTCTGGGACACATTCAAAGCAGTGTGTAGAGGGAAATTTATAGCACTAAATGCCCACAGGAGAAAGCAGGAAAGATCTAAAATTAACACCCTAACATCACATTAAAAGAACTAGAGAAGCAAGAGCAAACACATTCAAAAGCTAGCAGAAGGCAAGAAATAACTAAGATCAGAGCAGAACTGAAGGAAATAGACACAAAAAAACCCTTCAAAAAATCAATGAATCCAGGAGCTGGTTTTTTGAAAAGATCAACAAAATTGATAGACTGCTAGCAAGACTAATAAAGAAGAAAAGAGAGAAGAATCAAATAGACACAATAAAAAATGATAAAGGGGATATCACCACCAATCCCACAGAAATACAAACTACCATCAGAGAATACTATAAACACCTCTACGCAAATAAACTAGAAAATCTAGAAGAAATGGATAAATTCCTTGACACATACACCCTCCCAAGACTAAACCAGGAAGAAGTTGAATCTCTGAATAGACCAATAACAGGCTCTGAAATTGAGGCAATAATTAATAGCTTACCAACCAAAAAAAGTCCAGGACCAGATGGATTCACAGCCGAATTCTACCAGAGGTACAAGGAGGAGCTGGTACCATTCCTTCTGAAACTATTCCAATCAATAGAAAAAGAGGGAATCCTCCCTAACTCATTTTATGAGGCCAGCATCATTCTGATACCAAAGCTGGGCAGAGACACAACCAAAAAAGAGAATTTTAGACAAATATCCTTGATGAACATTGATGCAAAAATCCTCAATTAAATACTGGCAAACTGAATCCAGCAGCACATCAAAAAGCTTATCCACCATGATCAAGCAGGCTTCATCCCTGGGATGCAAGGCTGGTTCGACATATGAAAGTCAATAAACGTAATCCAGCATATAAACAGAACCAATGACAAAAACCACATGATTATCTCAATAGATGCAGAAAAGGCCTTTGACAAAATTCAACAACGCTTCAAGCTAAAAACGCTCAATAAATTAGGTATTGATGGGACGTATCTCAAAGTAATAAGAGCTATCTATGACAAACCCACAGCTCATATCATACTGAATGGGCAAAAACTGGAAGCATTTCCCTTTGAAAAGTGGCACAAGACAGGGATGCCCTCTCTCACCACTCCTATTCAACATAGTGTTGGAAGTTCTGGCCAGGGCAATCAGGCAGGAGAAGGAAATAAAGGGTATTCAATTAGGAAAAGAGGAAGTCAAATTGTCCCTGTTTGCAGATGACATGATTGTATATCTAGAAAACCCCATCGTCTAAGCCCAAAATCTCCTTAAGCTGATAGGCAACTTCAGCCAAGTCTCAGCATACAAAATCAATGTGCAAAAATCACAAGCATTCTTATATACCAATAACAGACAGAGAGCCAAATCATGAGTGAACTCCCATTCACAATTGCTTCAAAGAGGATAAAATACCTAGGAATCCAACTTACAAAGGACATGAAGGACCTCTTCAAGGAGAACTACAAACCACTGCTCAATGAAATAACAAATGGAAGAACATTCCATGCTCATGGATAGGAAGTATCAATATGGTGAAAATGGCCATACTACCCAAGGTAATTTATAGATTCAATGCCATCCCCATCAAGCTACCAATGACTTTCTTCACAGAATTGGAAAAAACTACTTTAAAGTTCATATGGAACCAAAAAAGAGCCCGCATTGCCAAGTCAATCCTAAGCCAAAAGAACAAAGCCAGAGGCATCACGCTACCTGACTTCAAACTATACTACAAGGCTACAGTAACAAAAACAGCATGGTACTGGTACCAAAACAGAGATATAGACCAATGGAACAGAACAGAGCCCTCAGAAATAATACTGCATATCTGCAACCATCTGATCTTTGACAAACCTGACAAAAACAAGAAATGGAGAAAGGATTCCCTATTGAATAAATGGTGCTGGGAAAACTGGCTAGCCATATGTAGAAAGCTGAAACTGGATCCCTTCCTTACACCTTATACAAAAATTAATTCAAGATGGATTAAAGACTTAAATGTTAGATCTAAAACCATAAAAACCCTAGAAGAAAACCTAGGCAATACCATTCAGGACATAAGCACGGGCAAGGACTTCATGTCTAAAACACCAAAAGCAATGGCAACAAAAGCCAAAATTGACAAATGGGATCTAATTAAACTAAAGAGCTTCTGCACAGCAAAAGAAACTACCATCAGAGTGAACAGGCAACATACAGAATGGGAGAAAAGTTTTGCAATCGACTCATCTGACAAAGGGCTAATATCCAGAATCTACAATGAACTCAAACAAATTTACAAGAAAAAAACAACCACATCAACAAGTGGGCGAAGGATATGAACAGACACTTCTCAAAAGAAGACATTTATGCAGCCAAAAGACACATGAAAAAATGCTCATCATCACTGGCCATCAGAGAAATGCAAATCAAAACCACAATGAGATACCATCTCACACCATTTAGAATGGCGATCATTAAAAAGTCAGGAAACAACAGGTGCTGGAGAGGATGTGGAGAAATAGGAACACTTTTACACTGTTGGTGGGACTGTAAACCAGTTCAACCATTGTGGAAGACAGTGTGGCAATTCCTCAGGGATGTAGAACTAGAAATACCATTTGACCCAGCCATCCCATCACTGGGTACATATCCAAAGGATTATAAATCATGCTGCTATAAAGACACATGCACACATATGTTTATTGCGGCACTATTCACAATAGCAAAGACTTGGAACCAAGCCAAATGTCCAACAATGATAGGCTCAATTAAGAAAATGTGGCACATATACACCATGGAATACTATGCAGCCATAAAAAATGATGAATGCATGTCCTTTGTAGGGACATGGATGAAGCTGGAAACCATCATTCTCAGCAGACTATCACAAGGACAAAAAACCAAACACCGCATGTTCTCACTCATAGGTGGGAATTCAACAACGAGAACCCATGAACACAGGAAGGGGAACATCACACACTGGGGCCTGTTGTGGGTTGGGGGCAGGGGGGAGAGATAGCATTAGGAGATATACCTAATGTTAAATGATGAGTTAATGGGTGCAGCACACCAACATGGCACATGTATACATATGTAACAAACCTGCACGTTGTGCACATGTACCCTAAAACTTAAAGTATAATAAAAAAAAAAGTTGGGGCAAAAAAACATACACCCTACCTTAAGCTTTTTGTAGCAATGATTTCTATAAATGAGACTTTTTAAGGAGACCCTACGTTAAAAGTTATTGATAATCTAAAATCAAAATTGGCATGAAGATTCTTTTATTAGCTAATATTTCAGAAGTTTTAAGAAAGTAATGTAAACATTTTCAGATTTGTTACTTTTATTTTTTTAAATTATCTTCAAAGAAATTCAGTCTTCTGTCAATATTAATTTATATGAAATAGTAGCTAAACATCTCCTTCTCAGTTTCCAGATGGAAGGTGATTAAATTTAAAATAAGAAAAAAAAAATTTTTTTCAAAAAAGTATAGATGGCACTTAAGAGAAAGAAGAAAACTTCCATTACTTGTGGTTTTTTAAATGCTTGCTATGTTCCCAGCAGTGCATCAGGCATCCTAGGAGGAGTATATGGTTATCCCTATTTATGAGTGAGGAAAATGAAGATCAGGGAAAATAAGTGACTGCCTAATACCAGAGCAAATGCCTTAGCCCATTTTCTGCTGCTATAACAGAATACCACATATTGGGTAATTTATAAAGAAAAGAAGTCTAGTTGGCTCACAGTTCTGAAAGCTGGGAAGTCCAAGAGCATGGTGCTGGCATCAACTCAGCATCTAATGAGGGCCTACTTAGTACTTCATAACATGGCAGAGGGCAAGAATGTGTACATGAGAACAAGACAGGAAAAGGGGGCCAAACTCCCGCAATAACAAACCCACTCCTGCATTAATCCATTCATGAGGGCAAAGCCCTCATGACCGAATCACCTCTTAAAGGCCCTACCTCTCAACACTGTTACAAGGACACAATTACATTCTGTCATGAGTTTTGGAAGGGACATCCAAACCACAGCAGCAAAGAAGTGGCTAAGCTGAAAGGTCTGAGACTGAGCTCTTTCTACTACACTAGACTTCCCCTCACTGGTTCTTTCATTCTATAAACTGTTATCATCAGCCAGACACTGTTAGGTGCTAGGGAAATAGAGAAGAATCACCCACAGCACATCCTCCCTTCAAAGAATATACAACATGGTAAAAAAGACAGATGAATAGACTATTAGAGTTGAGAGTTTTAGACGCCATAATAAGGAAACACAAGGAGCGCAATAGGAGTGTTCAGGAGGCGCACTTGATCCAGTTTTGGCAGTTCAGGAACTGAGAAGACATATAAATTAAGTCTTAAAGGATGCAAAGAGATTATCCAAAAAAAAGCTAAGGTAGGGAGAAAGAAGGATATTGGAAGCAGAGAACTCTACATGCAGACTAAGAGGTGACAGTGTGTGGTGGGTTCAGAAAACAGAGGAGGGGAGGGGTACAAGGACAGGAAGAGAAGTAGTGGGAGATGAAACTGGAAAGATAAATCACGAAGTATCTATGCCATAGTAGGTACAGAATTTGGGCATAATTATTATACTAATGTGATCAGAGGCATGTACAACATTAGAAAAACACAAAGAATAAGTGCTTAGCGTCACCTGAAAGAGTCAGAGAAAGTTTCCCAGAGGAGGAAGGTGTTGAAGAATAAGAGAAGTTGACACAGCTGATAAGAAAGATAATTCTAGGCATAGAAAGCAGCACATGGAAAAGCATAGTAGCAAGAAGAGTATGGCATATTTGGGAACTAGAAATAGTTCAAAGTTCTTTTGGAAAAGCAAGGAACGAGAAGATGAAACTAAAAAGAAGAAAACAGAGACCAAATGAAGACTGACTTTATGCTGTAAACTAAGTAGTTTGGACTTTACCCAAAGCAATGGAGAGCCATTGCAAGACTTTCAAGAGGGTAGCATTACTTTCATATTTTCACTGTATGAAGAACACAATCCAAGTAATAAGGAAAGGCTTTGCTGGAAGGGGATGGAGCTGGAAGCAGGAAACTAGTTAGAATCCTGTTGTAATCACTCTGATGGGCTGAAAAGAGTGGAGATGGAGACCAGGGAACATTTGAGGGAAATGTTTTGAAGTACAACCAAAGGGATCTGGCAACTAAATGGATATTGAGGCTGTAGAAGAAGGCAGAATCTGGAATGATTTCTAGAATTCTGGTGCACTTAGAACACACACACACACACATATGCACATACACTTATATGTCTTTTAGTGAGTATCTTTATCATCTGCACTAGCTTTTTAATACAGAGATTACTTATATGAGAGGTCTGCCAAGAGGCAGAGGCTTAAAAAAGATTAGATGTGCAAGAGATGTTAGGTGGGTGGGAGCCAGAAGAAGTGAGCAGAGTATTCAGAGAGCAATGTAGGTCTGACAGCTATAAAAGGGGGGGAGAGGTAAAGGGGGGTATGGAATAATTGGGTAGAGAGAGTTCTAAAGTGCAGTAGAGGTCCAAGAAAACTTCGACCAAGCTGATGCAGAGTCCTTGGCCAAAATTGCCTGTTAGAGGAGTCGCATGTCTCAGCAAAACAGACCTGCCTTAGTACTCCACAGTGCTCCACCACTGGCTGGGAGAAGCCTGCAGGAGATGTGGCCTCAAGGTAGTGGATCTCCAAAGCTGGAGCCATCAGCCAATTGTGCCTCCACAGCAGAGATCCGAGCGCACATTTTCAAGGCTGCCACAAAAGGGGTCTAGACACAAAGATCACCTGCATCAGGACCCTCAAGATCGGATGATCCCTTTATTGTACCTGAAGCACGTGTTTCAGTGATGCAGCAATTAAATACTTGTTTCTGTGTCTATATTACGCACTAAGTAATGTTTTTGAGAACAGAACAGTGTTCAAGGAACAAGCGTCTCGTGCAGTGCTTGGTCTCGTACAGTGCTTGGTGCACAATAAGTGTTAAATAAATGTTTGTGGCAGGAAGGAATGAACTGGAATCAAGGTTGGCCAGAATCAAAATGAAGTGAACCATGTATTCATTCCTGGAATATTACAGCAACATCCAGAAGCTAGGCAGAACTCATCCCTTTCTCAAGGGGATCTGCTAGCTGGGCAATAAGGGGAGAAGCCTGAAAAGCCAAGGACAATTCAGAAATCTTTCCTCTCTGGCTATGAATACACTGTCTGGCCACAAATGGAAATTGACACCAGACAGAACATAGCCAAGAAACTCCACTCATCAACTCCTGAAAATATGTATTTCAGAGTTAACCTGGAAATCTTGCTCAGACCGTTGGCCAAGCTCCACCAAGTCACAATGACAATTTAATGATAGTGGGGCTAACAAAATTTACTCACTCTACAAGCTCAAATGTGATGAAAACAAGTCAGTTCTTTATTTTATCTATCAGTAATATGGTTTTTCTCCTGAACCCTCACTTGCTGGTTGTGGAGGTGTTTAATCCAATGGGATAATGCAAACTGTGCAGACCAAAGGAAATTTTATTCCCATCATTTTAGGAATTAACATATAAATCCCAGAACAACCCTAATGTCAATTTCTGGTTACATATGACCAAATGTCCAGTAATGTAATGGACATTCATGCTATGTCCAAATATACTCCTTTTTATTATGTCAAAGTATGCTCCTTTTCACAAAATAACAACAACGATAGCAGTTTTATTGTGTGTTTGTTCCATGTAGAACTCTAAGCACTTCCCATGTGTTAATTCACTCATTCCTTCCAACAACTTTATCCCAACACACACACACACACACACACACACACACACACACACACACACACAAATTACTATTTCTATTTTACAGGTGAAGAAAGTTAAATAGAGACTGGTTAAGAAGTTTCCCCAAGGTCACCCAGTTCAAAAGGGCCAAAGCCAGATTTAAACACAGATTGTCTAATTTCAGGGTCTACATTCTTAGCCACAACAGTCCACTTCTGAGAGTCCCATTAGGGCTAGAAATACACATTTCTGAATAATGCCATGTGTATTAACTGAATATGTTTACAAATTTGAGAATTCTTCAGGATATTAAGCAATATCTTTTCATTGACATGTCAAAATTGTAAATAACAGGAAGTAAATCAATGCCTATATACTTCTATTTAAATAAAAGTGATTAAACTTACAAAATTCACTTATATTACATTTGATAAAACTGTAATTTTAAAACCAGGTAGGCATCTTGGTCAAAAATAAAAACAAAACTACTTGGTCTTTTGCCCAATCTACAAAATAATTACTTGAAAATGTACTTTAGCAAAATGATCATGAAATGCAAGATTGAATTGGAATCTAGAATCTAAAGGTCTTGATTTTCTTTCCACTGTTTTCATCATTACACAATGTGTTTGTGGGAACTGGAATCATATGGAAATTGCTGTTGCTGCACAATCCAATATTAGCGCAATAATAGCCTTCACTTACTGAGTACTGTACACAACACACTGTGCTAAAATGGCCAGTAGGGATCAGAAGAGGGAATCAGACAGGTAATTAAAGTAACTCACCAGAGGCCAAAAATCTTGGCCAGAATCAGAATTCAAACCCACATCTATAGGACTGCAAAGCTTTTGCTCTTTCCTTCAAGTCTACTATGTAATTTTATGTTTATCACTGTTAGTATCTAATTTAAGTTGAAACTAGTAATCAGACTCATTATGTCGAGCTGATGATTATTAAAATACAGCACCATATGTTTATAGTGAGAGTGTTCTTACGACATGGTCATTTCCAAGACTACTACTCCTGCACCCTCCCCACCTCCGCAACCACCATACAGAGAGAGGCTGTGAGAAGCGTGGCTTTCACCTTGGAACAAGTGCCCAGGGACCAGGGGCAAAGCAGTCAGTGTTTCTCTCCTACTGATGTTATGGAACTGGTAACATAGGAAGGTCAGGAAGAGTCCTGTAGTCTTGAGCCAGGCCAAAAGGCTCAAGGGCTCCACCCCATGCCCTCTGTTACTCTAAGAGAAAATGGGTCCCTTGGATCCAGGCTTCAGATGACCAGACTCACACCGGAGCATCACTACAAATGTCTGCTTCAGCTTACTGTTCCCCAGAATGAGAATAAATGAGTGGCCAGCAGGATAAAACATTGTCATTACTTCGCCAATCATCTTAGCCATCTTGGTTTTTGGTAGGAAATTACCAAATGATGCAATTAAGAAAGCAAGAAAGTAAAGTAAGAAGAGAAAGAAGAAGGAAAGGATGATTCTGATGGCCCTCTTGTGGGCCTCAGTGGTTGGATCTCTGGAGCTTGTCCCATTTTGCAGCATCTGCCGTGTGTGCCTCCCCAGGGAGAAGATGAGCAAAGAGTAGGAGGCCAGGGACACAATTAAGGGAGGCAGGTACCACAGAGTCCCAAGAACATGGATCAGATAATACTCACTCCTCTTCTTTCTGAAGTGTTCAGTCACATTCCTGGTGGCCTCAATTCCCCTAAAGACAGAATAGAGCTTAAACTCATTGATCAGAGATGCGGTACTACCACAGGATAAGAGCAGTGCACCCAACAGCATCCATACCATCACCCTAGAAACTCTCCACTTGAGCCAGAGGAATGTGGGGTGAGAGAAACTGGCGATTTTCAGGCAGTAGAGGACACCAAGACAGGTGGCAAGCCAAATGCTCAGATGGTTTGTAAATGTCCAGGAAACATCAATAATTTGCATTATTATCCCTGAATCATGTGTGTTGGGAGAGAATTCTATTAAAAAACTATCAGTCAAGATAATACACAGCAGAATGATCCTCAAGAGTGCCAGGGTGGTGATGATGAAGTCAGACAAAGACATTCTCTTGGTCTTGAACCAGCTGCTACCATTGACCAACTCAATGAAACAATTGACCAGAATTCCCAGTGTGAACTGAGTGCCAGACAGAATCAGGAACACCCCCTCGGTGAGTCCCATCATGTCAGCAATTAGGCAGCCCTGATCTTTGTTCTTTCTGTTGATACATAGAATCTCCTCACTGATGTGATATTTTTCTCGTTAATCTACTCCTCTACCTGTTGCTTCACTGTACCTGTCTCTTGTCTCTGCCCAATTTAGTCTGTCGTAGAGCACAATTTAGGAAATCCTCTCTGGCTCTTTCAGGTTAGTCTGTCCTCTTCACAGATGATATGGATTGTCATATTCCATCAATGAACCTAAACTTTGCAGCTCTTTGCTAAAATGCAAATGAGTAGTGTCCAGTGTCACATAGAGAAGGAAGAGATCTAGGTCACAAAGATGATGGAGGACTTGGACTCAGTTTCAAAGGGTGTAGGGCTCTGAGTTACCCAAAACAGAAAGATGAGCGGCACCAAATGGAGGCGGCTCAGAATTACTCAGAAGAGTAAAAAGTCTCATTCCTCAGGAGGGAGGACTCAGAGATACAGAAAAGGAATTCCACTAGGAGCCACTATCCACCTGGAGTGAGGTTTAAGTGCATAAAATTGTAAAAGTTCAGTGCCATTGATCATGGATTAGAATTAAAAGGCATGCCCCTTGGAGCCTGGCTTACATGCAGAGAGATGGCTGTAAGCTATAAGCTAGCAAGAGAAGCCTCACCAGAAAGTGGCCAAGCTTACATCCCGAACTTGGACTTGCAGTGGGAAGTCTCAGACCCACTCTGGATTGCTAGTCTGCTATAATACTGTCCAGGGAGGCATAAGAACAATACTTCTGTTCTTAACCTAAGAGCTCCTCTATTTAACAAGCGGCTATTAATTAAGGATCTTCATTCAGGACTATATGCAGAATTAAGCAGTACGTAGTTTGTATTAAAGTATGCTTATGTTGACTCTTTTTAAAGCTAATTGCTAAGGTTTGTATACTTTTTATGTCCTACTCCCTTCCCTAAATTTAATGAGACATTAGTTTAAAACCTAAAGGATTGTGGGAATAAAGAAAAGATTTTACTTCTACTTGCCGTGAAAGGTCATGTAAGAGAAAGATAAGAGTAAAGAGTTGCTCATGTATACGGAGATAAAGTCAACAATATATGAATAAGAAAGAATTAGGTTTAAGTACACAACACAAGTAAATGGCTTAGAGGAGAGGTATATTTTTGTCTCCCAAAGCAGTCCAGAGGCAAACTGTCCAGGCTGGTATGGTGGTTGCATAGTGATTGCAGATCCCAGCTTCTTCTACCTTCCATTCTGAAGACTGCCTCATGGTCCAAGATGGCAACTGGAAATCCAGCCATGAAATGTCCACATTTCAGACAAAAAAGAAAATGCTGTAGGACGAGAGTCTGGGGAAGCACACAGGATACGCCTCCCAAGAGTAACTCATATAGAAAGTTCCCTGAGAGCATCACCAAGTGACTTCTGCCTATAGCCCCTTGGCAACCCCTAACTGAAAAGAACAGGAATGCAGTACATGTGCTGTGCACCCTGTCACATCTGGGTTCTATAAATACAGAAGGGACAATAGATACTGGGTAGTGCATTAATCATGTTTATTTTCTGTATTTTATGCTTTGACACTTTTGGGCCTTGCAGACCCAGAGAGGGCATGCCCTCCCAAGGTTAGCTAATTCCTGGAGTTAGCCAACTTGCCTGAGAAAACTCCTTTGATAAGCAAACCAGCCAATCCTGAATCCACACTGCCCCTCCCATCTACCTCCTTTGCTTAGGTAGAAAACGAGCCCAGGACACTATGACCTTGCCTTCAATCACCCCAGGGCCAGGCACCTGATAACTAGGGACCATCTTGAGAACCTGCAGCCTGCTGAAATTATTCAAACTACCCAATCCTAACCTTGCTTAGCTTTCCACTGGTGCCTTACTCATTGCTTCCCTATGAAAAACACAACAAAGCCTCTGGCTTATGTTTTCCCCCCTCCTTCTTCCTCCTGACCAACTCCAGTGCATCCCTGAGTGGCCTTGCATGGCATAGCATGCAACCTCCTATTGGGAACTGTGAAATAAAAGACTCTTCTTTCAAAGCAGTTGTCTGTGTGACATGATTAAAGCAGCTGTCTCCGTGACATGATTAAAGCAGTTGTCTCCTACCATACATGATTAAGGCAAGTCCCAGGTACATCTTAAAACAGGTAGGCAACTGGAAATCTTTTCCACAATACGGTTTTCTATAACAGAAAGCTAGAATCTACAATAGAAAGCTAGAATGCTTTAAAGTTATCTCACAGCCAGGCATGGTAGCTCATGCTTATCATCCCAGCGACCCAGGAGGCCAAGGTGAGAGCATCACTTGCAACCATGAGTTTGAGGCTGCAGTGAGCTATGATCGCACCACTGCACTCCAGCCTGGGCGACACAGCGAGACTCCAACATACATACATATGTTATAAATAAAGGATAAATAAAATTTAAAAATAAAAAACAAAAAAGTTATCTCATAAACCATTTATAATGTGTTTAGCAGAAGAAAAAGAATAATCACTCCTGCCTCAACTTCTCCTCGGAGCTCCAGACTAATATAATTAATACCCTGCCAAGGAGCCATTAGAAAGTCTACAGATAAACCATATTCAAAACTAAGCTCATTATCTTTCCCCCTCTCAACTCTGCTCCCACATCCATGTTCCATAAACTCAGAAATGAAGTGCTACTATCCACACATCTCCATGCAGGAACCTCAGAACCACCTCTGAATTGCATTTCCTCTTAGCAATAGTGGTTGTGTCACCACTAGATCTTGGGCAGAAGCTATAAGTGATTCTCTGCAGTATCTCTAACACAGAGCCTAGCACAGGGTCCAGCACAAAATTGGTACACAATTACTATTTGTCAAATCAACTTGAATCCCAAACGCCCCTCAAGTCACCTCTCATCCCCATTCTTGCTAACCTTTCTAGGCTTATTAGAGCTTCCTAACTGCCTCTAGGCTTTCTCCTTCTAGCCCTTCACTCTGTCTTTGTTGTTCTCCTAACGCACAATTCTGATAAGATGTCCTTGTTTTCAAACCTTCTATTGCTCCCCATTGCCAAAGTTCTCTGAAAGCTTTCAAGGCCCTTTACTATCTAGCCCCAACCCACTTTCCATGCCTCACCTTTGTTTCATAAACTTTTGTTTCTGGATCTTTGCTCATGCTGTTTCCTCTGCTGAAAGCTCACCTATCCATTCTCTTCTAAGCTACTCCTCACACCCTATCACAGTTAGCTATAAAAGTTTCTGCTTATCCTCCCTAACCCCTCATAAGCTTAATTGTGAATTCCTTCAGTGCAGGAATCCTGTTATATACATCCCTACATTCAGGTCCTATATGGGTGCATGATATATAGAAGATGCCCAACTGAACCTTATATTTAAGAGAAGGAGAGCATAATGGTTTGGAAAATGTGCAGCCTGACCATGTGGTAGAAAAGAAAAACCAACTTTCTGAGGAGGAATTCAAGCTGGCTGAAGAAATTTGCATAAGTAACAAGGAGCCGAATGTTAATAGTCAAGACAATGGGGAAAATGTCTCTAGGGCATGTCAAAGACCTTCTTGGCAGCCCCTCCTATCACAGGCCCAGAGGTCTTGGAGAGAAAAATGGTTTCCTGGGCCAGACCCAGGGCCCAACTGCTCTGTGCAACCTCGGGACTTGGTTCCATGCATCCCAGTGGATCCAGCACCAGCCACGGCTAAAAGGAGCCCTCAAGGAGAACTTCTGCTATGGCAGTGTGGAAGGAAAATGTGGAGTTGTAGCCCCTGCACAGGGTCCCCACTGGGGCATTGCCTAGTGGAGCTGTGAGAAGGGGGCACCCATCCTCCAGACCCCAGAAAGGTAGATACACTGACAGCTTGCACCAAGTGCCTAGAAATGCTGCAGGCATTCAACACCAGCCCATGAAAGTGGACACAGGGGCTGTACCTTGCTGAGCCACAGGAACGCAGGGGCAGCTGCCCAAGACCAAGATTGTTGGAGCCCACCTCTTGCATCAGCATGCCCTGGGGTGGCCTACATGTGAGACGTGGAATCAAAGGAGATGATTTCAGAGCTTTAAGATTTAACGACTGCTCTGCCGGGTTTTCAGACCTGCATGAGGCCTGTAGCCCCTTTATTTTGGTCAATTTCTCCCATTTGGACTGGAAACATTTGCCCAATGCCTGTACCCTCATGGTATCTTAGAAGTAACTAATTTTATTTTACAGGCTCATAGGTGGAAGGGACTTGGCTTGTCTTAGATGAGACTTCGGACTTGGACTTTTGAGTTAATGCTGGAATGAGTTAAGACTTTGGGGGACTGTTGAGAAGGTATGATTGGTTTTTAAATGTGAAAAGGACATGAGATTTGGGAGGGGCTGGGGCAGGATGATATGGTTTGGTTATGTCCCCACCCAAATCTCATCTCAAATTGTAATCCCCACGTGTCAAGGTAGGGACCTGGTAGGTGACTGGATCATGGGGGTGGTTTCCCCTGTGCTGTTGTCCTGATAGTGAGGGAATTCTCCCCAGATCTGATGGTTTTAAAAGTAGCAGTTTCCCCTGTGCCCTCTCTCTCCTGCTGCCTTGTGAAGAAGGTGCCTGCTTCCCCTTCACCTTTTGCCACGACCATAAATTTCCTGAAGCCTCCCCAGCCATGCGGAACTGTGAGTTAATTAAACCTCTCGTTTATAAATTACCCAGTCTCACGTAGTATCTTCATAGCAGTGTGAAAACAGACAAATACAGTTGGTTGCGGGAATCTGTGGATACGGAGGGCCAGTGGAGAATGAATGCAAGTGGAGGCAGGCATTGGGCAGAAAGCAAAATGCAAACTTCACATACCTGAGTTCAACCTCCAGGTGTGCATCCTGGAAGATGCATGACTTTGACAAGTTATTTAACCTCTCCCAGTTTTGGGTTTCCTCACCTGTAAAATGGGATTATTGTACCTTCTTCTTAGGATAATGGCTAAATGAGACAATGATAAAAAGTACTTAGCTTAGCTCGGTACATAGTAACCAGAAGAGAAATGACAGTCATTAATATGATTATTGTTACATCTTTAAGAGATTTCCCTGTAATTCATTAACCTTGGACTTGCCTCTCATTTTCCACAACGATTTTCTTGCTGTTACTCCCACAAATCTTCACAGAATATTATGCAAACTCTAACAGAAAAATAGCAAGGTGATCCTGCCCTCATTTTCTTTTCAAGTCCCACCTAACCGAATGACAAACATTTATCAATCTCCATGTCACTGTGTGAGGCTGAGTTAGATTGGGGAAAAAGGGTGGTTTTAGTAAAAGAAAACCCTGCCTTCAAGAATTGCCATGATCTCATTAGGGAACAAAGGGAAAACAGCACTAATTTCTCCTAACTTGGCTGCAAAAGTTAGGCTGTAATCCACATTGCAATGACAAGTAATTCCTAAAGAAATGTATACTCTATTGCCAAAACTGCCACAGAAATATATCTTTGGTGTTTTTGGATCATCTTTGAATAAAATGTCCAGTGTGTTTTAAGAAATGATTGATTCTTTGAGAACTGTAAAGGCAGCAAACAGTAGATCTCATATAGGTTGGTTTTTTTGTTTGTTTGTTCGTTTTGTTTTTGAGATGGAGTCTGGCTCTGCCGCCCAGGCTGGAGTACAGTGGTGTGATCTCGGCTCACTGCAAGCTCCGCCTCCTGGGTTCATGCCATTCTCCCACCTCAGCCTCCCCAGTAGCTGGGACTACAGGCGCCCACCACCACACCCAGCTAATTTTTTGTATTTTCAGTAGAGACGGGGTTTCACCATGTTAGCCAGGATGGTCTCGATCTCCCGACCTCGTGATCCACCCGCCTTGGCCTCCCAAAGTGCTGGGATTACAGGCATGAGCCACTGCGCCTGGCTAGGTTGGTATTCAAAGTAAATCATTTTGGGCTGTGTACACGTATTAACAGATGAATGAATTATAAAAGCATGAGATGCTAAAATACAGATAGTGGGGGAAAATATATAAAAGATTTTCTCATTCATATCCAGTAAAGTGGTACTCACTAAAAGTGAATGAGTAAATTAGTCTGGCTCAGAAATAATGGAAAGGTTTTTTTCCCCAGATAAAAAGTTTTATTTTTTTATTATAAAAGTAATATATGTTCAATGCTAAAATATATATTTAAAAAACTGTAAAGAAACAAGGAAAATCACGCATAATCACCCTCTCTAGAGATAATAACATCCTCATGTTTCTCCCTCCAGACATTAAGCCTATCTTCATTACAACTTCTTTTTCAAAAATGGGATACCCCAGACATACTGTTTGAAACTTTTTCTCCCATTCTTCTAGGTATACTATTCATCTTACCATTTAACAGGAAACTCCAAATCGAGGTCACAGTGCAGTTTTCTGAGGTTTATTCCCTGACACTATCACATCAAAAAGGGAAATGCAAGACCCAAAACTTGGGTTAGAAGACCCCTAGTCTTTTACTGCTATTTACTGCTATCATATTTCCAAATGCGCTCTTCCTAGACCAGCTAGGGAGCAGGAGAAAGTTTCTCAGCAGATAGGGCTTCCCAGGGGTAGGCAAAGTTTCCCTAGCAAGTCTGACTGACTTGAGGCGAGAATCATTCTGCTAGAATCATACGCATGCTGAAGACTGCATGCTACACACCTAAGTCTGATAAAGCACCACTGCTTCAGCTCCACAGCCTTTCAGAGGCATGGAGAGAAGAGGCAACCTCCAGGGGAGAGTTTAAAGCAGAGCCCCTCGGCTCACAATGATCCAGCACAGCATCCTCTTCCACCCCTGCATTCAGGGCTGAGAAACTGCTCCAGGTTGGTAATTAAGCTCTTCTGTTCACCATGTCATTTTCCCAAAGCAGAGATTTATTACCCTGCTTAAACAGGACTGTTAATCTGCATAATTTCTCACAACACTTAAGGAGTATAAAAGCTGCTGTGCTGATAGAAGAAAGAGTTGCTAAAAAGATAAATTTTATATACTGCCCAATTTTGCTTAAGGAATGTGGCATGAAGGAATAAAGACTACATCACCAGGCAGTTTTAATGTGTGAACTTAAGAGAGCAGAGTTAATATGCTGATTAACTGTCCCAGCTGCAGGAAAAAGAAAGATGGCTGGCAGGAGAAAACAGCAATGAATTTTCTACTGTTCCTGAGCAAGGAGAGGATAAAGCTAAAAAATTCCATCTTTCCTCAACCAAAATGCATTGTAGGTATAAAAAAAGCTACTCAAGTGTGCAGAAAATACCTTAAAACAAAAAAGTCACAGACCTATAACATAGCTTGGGAATTCTGAACCTAATAAAGTCCAATATGACCTAAGCTACAGTTAGCACTGTACTCGTACTCTCAGGCAGAGAGGACAGAACATGTAGGCTGGGAAGCAAATATATAGGCTGGGTCAGAGGCCAAACTGGAGACAGAGTGGCCTAGACAGTACGAGAGACTTCTACCATTTGAACAAAACAACCTGCACAGTGGCAGCCAACCTCTGGGATACAGCAGCAAACTGGCAGGCAGACCTCGGGAGGGCTGATGTAAACTTTAAAGAGCAAAAGATGCACTGAAAAACTGAGTTACTATTTCATCTTTATTGGCAAATTATTAGTATTCTAAAATTTCCTGAATCTTGTAATAAAAAGTAAGATTACATGATGTACATAATGATTCATGTGGAAAAATAAAAGGAAAATGTAGGACCTAAGGCTCTAAGGGAGGCACTGACAGAGGTTGTTAAGAGGATCCTCTTCTACCTTCCCCAAGAGTTCTGAAGAAGACTCTAAAAGGATAGATAAGAGGGGCAGAGAAAGATAGAATAGAACCACAGCTCCTGTGGCATCACCTGGAGATGAACGATTTCATCTCTAGTTATATTTCAGGTCCTTATTGCTGGTAAACTATGTTTCATCAATGCTAGTAATGAAACTGTCCAAAAACAAAAGATATGAAGAAGGTAGGTTAGTCTTAAAGATGTTTAGGTTAGACACTAACCACTGCTCAGCAACCCCCTTCAATTTGAACTGAAGCTTAGAATCCCATTGGGATGATTCATCTATCAATGCCCCATCCACAGGTGTGGAGGGGCAGGCCACCCCTTCACCTGGTGCCCAACGTGGGTGCTTTTCTCTAGGGTGAAGGTACGCTCGAGCGTGGTCATTGAGGACAAGTCAATGAGAGATTCCCAAGTACGTCTACAGTCAGCCTTGCGGTAAGCTTGCGCGCTTGGAAAAAGCCAGGGTAACAATGGGGCAAACTAAAAGTAAATATGCCTCTCATCTCAATTCTATTAAAATTCTTTAAAAAAAAAGGGGGGGAGTTAGAGTTTCTACAAAAAAATCTAATCACACTATTTCAAACAATAGAAAATTTTGCCCATGGTTTCTAGAACAGGGAACTTTATATCTAAAAGACTGGGAAAAAATTGGCAAAGAATTAAAACAAGCAAGTAGGGAGGGTAAAATCATCCCACTTACAGTATGGAATGACTGGGTCATTATTAAAGTAGCTTTAGAACCGTTTCAAACAGAAGAAGATAGTGTTTCAGTTTCTGATGCCCCTGAAAGCTGTTTAATAGATTGTAAAGAAGAGGCAGAGATAAAATCCCGGAAAGGAACGGAAAGTTTACATTGTGAGTATGTAGCAGAGCCGGTAATGGCTCAGTCAATGCAAAATGTTGACTATAATCAATTACAGGAGGTGATATATCCTGAAACGTTAAAATTAGAAGAAAAAGGTCCAGAATTAGCAGGGCCATCAGAGTCTAAACCACGAGGGCCAACTCCTCTTCCAGCAGTTCAGATGCCTGTAACATTACAACCTCAAATGCAGGTTAGGCAAGTACAAACCCCAAGAGAATATCAAATAGAGAAAGATAGAGTCTCTGTCACGGCAATGCCAATCCAAATACAGTATCCACAATATCAGCCGGTAGAAAATAAGACCCAACTGCCAGTAGCCTATCAATACTGGCTGCCAGCCGAACTTAAGTGTCGGCCACCCCCGGAAAATCAGTATGGACAGCCAGGAATGTTCCCAGCCCCACAGGACAGGGCGCCATACCCTCAGCCACCCACTATGAGACTTAATCCTACAGCACCACCTAGTGAGCAGGGTAGTGTATTACATAAAATTATTGATGAGGCAAGAAAACAAAGAGATATTGAGGCATGGCAATTCCCAGTAATATTAGAACCAATACCACCTGGAGAAGGGGCCCAAGAGGGAGAGCCTCCCCTAGCTGAGGCCAGATATGAGTCTTTTTCTATAAAAATGCTAAAAGATATGAAAGAGGGAGTAAAACAGTATGGACCCAACTCCCCTTATATGAGGACATTATTAGATTCCATTGCTCATGGACATAGACTCATTCCTTATGATTGGGAGGTTCTGGCCAAATTGTCTCTCTCACCCTCTCAATTTTAACAATTTAAGACTTGGTGGATTGATGGGGCACAACAACAGGTCGGTCTGAAGAAACAGGGCTGCCAATCCTCCAGTTAACATAGATGCAGATCAACTATTAGGAACAGGTCAAAATTGAAGCACTACTAGTCAACAAGTGTTAATGCAAAATGAGGCCATTGAGCAAGTTAGAGCTATCTGCCTTAGGGCCTCGGAAAAAATCCAAGACCCAGGAACCGCCTGCCCCTCATTCAATACAATAAGACAAGGCTCTAAAGAGCCCTACCCTGATTTTGTGGCAAGGCTCCAAGATGTTGCTCAAAAGTCAATTACCGATGAGAATGCTTGTAAGGTCATAGTGGAGTTGATGGCATATGAAAACGCCAATCCTGAGTGTCAATCAGCCATTAAGCCATTAAAAGGTAAGGTTCCCACAGAATCAAATGTAATCTGAGTATGTAAAAGCCTGTGATGGAGGAGGAGCTATGCATAAAGCTATGTTTATGGCTCAAGCAATAATGGGAGTTGCTTTAGGAAGACAAGTTAGAACATTTGGGGGGAAATGTTATAATTGTGGTCAAGTTGGTCATCTAAAAAAGAATTGCCCAGTCTCAAATAAACAAAATATAACTATTCAAGCTACTACAACAACAGATAAAGAGCCACCTGACTTATGTCCAAGATGTCGAAAAGGAAAACACTGGGCTGGTCAATGTCATTCTAAATTTGATAGAAATGGGCAACCATTGTTGGGAAATGAGAAGAGGGGCCCGCCTCAGGCCCCACAAAAAACTGGGGCATTCCCAATTCAGCCCTTTGCTCCTCAGGGATTTCAGGGACAACAACCCCCACTGTCCCAAGTGCCTCAGGGAATGAGCCAGTTACCACAATACAACAATTGTCCCCCACCACAAGTGGCAGTGCAGCAGTAGATTTATGTACTATACAAGCAGTCTCTCTGCTTCCAGGGGAACCCCCACAAAAAAACCCCACAGGGATATATGGCCCACTGCCTGAAGGGACTGTAGGACTAATCTTAGGAAGCTCAAGTCTAAATCTAAAGGGAGTTCAAATTCATAGTGGTATGGTTGATTCAGACTATAAAGGCGAAATTCAATTGGTTATTAGCTCTTCAATTCCTTGGAGTGCCAGTCCAGGAGACAGGATTGCTCAATTATTACTCCTGCCTTATATTATGGTTGGAAACAGATAAAAACAGGAGGGTTTGGAAGCACTGATCCGACAGGAAAGGCCGCATATTGGGCAAGTCAGGTCTCAGACAGCAGACCTGTGTGTAAGGCCATTATTCAAGGAAAACAGTTTGAAGGGTTAGTAGACACTAGAGCAGATGTCTCTATCATTGCTTTAAATCAGTGGCCAAAAAATTGGCCTAAACAAAAGGCTGTTACAGGACTTCTCGGCATAGGAACAGCCTCAGAAGTGCATCAAAGTACTATGATTTTACACTGTTTAGGGCCAGATAATCAAGAAAGTACTGTTCAGCCAATGATTACTTCAATTCCTGTTAATATGCGGGGTCGAGATTTATTACAACAATGGGGTGCGGAAATCACTATGCCCGCTCCATTATACAGCCCCACGAGTCAAAAAATCATGACTAAGATGGGATATATACCAGGAAAAGGACTAGGAAAAAATGAAAATGGCATTAAAGTCCCAATTGAGACTGAAAGAAATCAAGAAAGAAAAGGAATAGGGTATCCTTTTTAGGGGTGGCCACTGCAGAGCCTCCTAAACTTACCATTCCATTAAGTTGGAAAACAGAAAAACCCGTATTGGTAAATCAGTGGCCGCTACCAAAATAAAAACTGGAGGCTTTACATTTATTAGCAAATGAACAATTAGAAAAGGGACATATTGAGCCTTCATTCTCGCCTTGGAATTCTCCTGTGTTTGTAATTCAGAAAAGATCCAGCAGATGGCGTATGTTAACGGACTTAAGGGCCATAAATGCCGTAATTCAACCCATGCGACCTATCCAAACCGGGTTGCCCTCTCCGGCCATGATCCCAAACGCCGGGCCTTTAATTATAATTGATCTGAAGGACTACGTTTTTACCATTCCTCTGGCGGAGCAGGATTGTGAAAAATTTGCCTTTACTATACCAGCCATAAATAATAACCAGCCACCAGGTTTCAGTGGAAAGTGTTACCTCAGGGAATGCTTAATAGTCCAACTATTTGTCAGACTTTCATAGGTCGAGCTCTTCAACCAGTTAGAGACAAGTTTTCAGACTGTTATATCATTCATTATGCTGATGATATTTTATGTGCTACAGAAACAAGACAAATTAATTGACTTACACATTTCTGTAAGCAGAGGTTGCCAACGCAGGACTGGCAATAGTATCTGATAAGATTCAAACCTCTACTCCTTTTCATTATGTAGGGATGCAGATAGAAAATAGAAAAATTAAGCCACAAAAAATAGAAATAAAAAAAGACATTAAAAACATTAAATGATTTTCAAAAATTGCTAGGCGATATTAATTGGATTCGGCCAACTTTAGGCATTCCTACTTATGCCATGTCAAATTTGCTCTCTATCTTAAGAGGAGAACCAGACTTAAAAGAATATTAACCCCAGAGGCAACAAAAGAAATTAAATTAGTGGAAGAAAAAATTCAGTCAGCGCAAATAAATAGAATAGATCCCTTAGCCCCAGGTTGGGCGCCAGATGAAGGGGTGGCCTGCCCCTCCACACCTGTGGCTGTTTCTCGTCAGGTGGAACGAGAGACTTGAGAAAACAAAGAGACACAGAGACAAAGTACAGAGAAAGAAAAGTGGGCCCAGGGGACCAGCGCTCAGCATACGGAGGACCCGTGCCAGCACTGGTCTCCGAGTTCCCTCAGTATTTATTGATCATTACCTCTACCATCTCGGAGAGGGGGATGTGGCAGGACAACAGGGTAATAGTGGAGAGAGGGTCAGCAGCAAAACATGTGAACAAATGTCTCTGCATCATAAACAAGGTAAAGAAAAAGGTGCTGTGCTTTTGATGTGCACATATGTAAACACCTCAATGCCTTAAAGAGCAGTATTGCCGCCAGCATGTCTCACCTCCAGCCCTAAGGCGGTTTTCTCCTATCTCAGTAGATGGAATATACAATCAGGTTTTACACTGAGACATTCCATTGCCCAGGGACGAGCAGGAGACAGATGCCTTCCTCTTATCTCAACTGCAAAGAGGCCTTCTTCTTTTACTAATCCTCCTCAGCACAGACCCTTTACAGGTGGCGGGCTGGGGGATGGTCAGGTCTTTCCCTTCCCACGAGGCCATATTTCAGACTATCACATGGGGAGAAACCTTGGACAATACCTGGCTTTCCTAGGGAGAGGTCCCTGCGGCCTTCTGCAGTGTTTTGTGTCTCTTGGTACTTGAGATTAAGGAGTGGTGATGACTTTTAACAAGCATTCTGCCTTCAAGCATTTGTTTAACAAAGCACATCCTACATAGCCCTAAATCCATTAAACCTTGAGTCGACACAGCACACAGCACTTGTTTCTACGAGCACAGGGTTGGGGGTAGGGTTACAGATTAACAGCATCTCAAGGCAAAAGAATTTTTCTTAGTACAGAACAAAATGGAGTCTCTCATGTCTACTTCTTTCTACATAGACACTGTAACAGTCTGATCTCTCTTTCTTTTCCCCACAGATAACAGGGGCAGAGAAAGAACAGAACTACAGCTCCTGTGGCATCACCTGGAGATGAACGATTTCATCTCTAATTATTCAGGTCCTTATTGCTGGTAAACTATGTTTCATCAATGCTACTAATGAAACTGTCCAAAAACAAAAGATATGAAGAAGGTAGGTTAGTCTTAAAGATGTTTAGGTTAGACACTAACCACTGCTCAGCAACTCCCTTCAATTTGAGCTGAAGCTTAGAATCCCATTGGGATGATTCATCTATCAATGCTTACTGAGTGGCTATTCTATGTAAAGCATGGTTTAAAGTGCAGGCAAACAGAAGATTCAGTCCTTGCCTTCATGTCTACAGAGCAAAACGTTAAGAAAATCAATATTTACAAATATGGGATAAATGTCTCACATACAGTGATGCTCAGTAAATTCACTGATTGGACAAATCAATATTGTAATAAAAGTGTATACAAAAACCAGGAGACCTTCCCAAAGCATATTTATCCCTTTGCCATAACACAAATGAGCCTGAAAGTTTACTATTTTGTATACCTGTACATAGAAACCACCCTTAGAAGAATAAACAACTAGTAAATGCCATAACAGATAGTAGCTACCAAGATTATACCACAAAAAGGAGAGCGAGAACGACAGTCAGAAAAAAGATTATTACTCATTTTACGTAAAAGAGTATTTTAATTCTTGTCCTTGGAAGCCATAAAGATTATACATGACTTGGAAATGAGACTGTACCAAATGATGGCCAAAGAAGAATCATCCTTTCTACTCCTTCTCTTTCGTCTGGTCACTCAGAAATATAATATTATCTGTAAAAAAGCCAAAATGTAAATATTAATTTCAGAACTCTTTCTCCATCTCATTCAATAATTCTCCTCTAATACATATAACTTTAGTGCTGTTCATTAAAAGGATTTTAGCCATCTTTTCAAAATATTAAATCACTTGCTATGCTCACGAGAGGTATATATACAGTTGGCATAAGTGGAGCTACAAGTTAGGCACTGGCTGCTTTTCGAACAATTCAGATCTTGTTAGAAGAGGTGGGATATTTCTTGTCTTCCAGTCTTCTCAGAAACAATTTCCTGCAAAAGAACTGGTCACAAAATTGGATGCTTGCAATGGTCAGGCAGATTCCACGACACTAGGCAGCACATCCTCAGAGAAAAGGACAAAAGTGTATCACATTCTACACTCTGGGGGTCTAGAGGAAAGAGTAAGAGTCCATATGTGGCCCTGTTAGCAATGACAGGATTTACTTACGTTTTTAACTTTAAAAATTCAAATAGAAGAAATTTTATTTTTAAATTACAATACAGAATAACTTTTTGTTTTTCCTTTGGAGATGGAGTCTCTGTCACCCAGGCTGGAGTGAAGTGGTGCAATCTCAGCTTACTGCAACCTCTGCCTCCTGGGTTCAAGCGATTCTCCTGCCTCAGCCTCTCCAGTAGCTGGGATTATAGGTGTGCACCACCATGCCTGGCTAACTTTTGTATTTTTAATAGAGACAGGGTTTCACCATGTTGGCCAGGCTGGTCTTGAACTCCTGACCTCAAGTGATCTGCCCGCCTTGGCCTCCCAAAGTGCTGGGATTACAGGCATGAGCACCGCACCTGGCCCAGAATAATTTTAATATACCAATTCTTGGGAACATTTTATGAATCAACATCACAGAGTTAGCATTTTTATCCAAAAATATCAGACGTTGCTCTTAAAATGCTGTTCCAGAGGGAGTTAGCTAAAAATAAACAAAAGAACAGAGGCAAGTAGTAGTCATCCTTCAGTATCCATTGGGGGACTGGTTCCAGGACCCCTATAGATACCAAAATCCACAATGCTCAAGTCCCTGATATAAAATGGTATAGTAATCACATATAACCTATGTACTTCCTCTTATATACTTTAAATCATCTTTAGATTACTTACAATATCTAATACAAGGTAAATGCTATGTTAACAGCTGTTACACTGTATTGTTTCACTTGTATTTTTGTTGTTGTTGTATTATTTTTATTGGTTTCTTTTTTTCACATATATTCAATCTGTGCTTGGTTGAATCCACAGATGCAGAAACAAGGGACATGGAGGAATGACTGCATTTCCTTTATAATTCCAAAAGATTCTTGTAACTATAAAATTATCCACCAAGGACTGAATATTTGTTCATGACCATAGTCTTCCAAAAACTAGAATGTTTTGGTCCAGAACGGTTACTTCAGAACAAACTACTCGAATTAATATCACTGTGGAAAAAGCCAAGAGTGCCATCCACTGGTGGTGGTTTTTTAGTTACAGATAGGATCCCTAGGAGAAAAAAAAATCACCAATAAAACAGATCAACCAATAAACTCTATTTTCTTCAATTCAAATGTCACTGAAGAGCTCTTCAATTTTACCATTAGACATAAACCTAAAGTAAACTGACTGTGCTAGTGGAACCTAGTGACAAGGAAAAAAAACAAAACAGCATATCATCTGAAATGCTTCCGTTTGGCTTATTAGTAACAACTCAATAATCCGAACAATCTAAAGTTTGCCCACACTTGTGGTTTATATTGGGACCCACAGGAGGGTAGGAAAATACCTACACTGCTTTTCAAGGTTAATACACTTTCAAAGAAACTTAGCAGTAAGAAACCATGTGAGCATTCTATACAAATTATAAATTATTAATAAGGTATGGTGGTTAAGACATGAACTCTGGAGCAAAGGAAAGAAGAAAGATAAAAGGCAAATCTAAGAGACTTAAGGTAGAAATCATGTAATATAATGTATGAATGTTTATGAAGTTATCAAGGAAATTTGAACACTACGATATTTAGTAAAAAAATTAACAGTAATTTATTAATATTAGGTGTGATAATAGCACGGTAGTTACATTTTCAAAAAGACACCTTATCTTTTAGAGATCCCTATGGAAATTTATGAATAAACTTATGTCTAGAATCTGTTTCAAAATAATCCAGGTGTAGGTCAAGTCGCTGGAGGCATGGATATAACACTGTCCATCAGCTGACACTGAAGCGAAATGGTAGGAGTTCATTTTACCATTTTTTCTGCTCTTATACATGTTTGACATTTTCCATAGTAAAAAAAAAAAAATTTTTTTTTTTTTTTTTTTTTTGAGAGAGTCTTCCTCTATTGCCCAGGCTGGAGTGCAGTGGTGTGATCTCAATTCGCTACAAACACTGCCTCCTGGGTTCAAGCAATTCTCATGACTCAGCCTCCTGAGTAGCTGGGACTACAGACACGCATTACTAGACCCGGCTACTTTTTGCATTTTGTGTAGAGACAGGGTTTCACCATGTTCCCAGGCTGGTCTTGAACTCTTGACTTCAAATGATCCACCCACCTCAGCCTCCCAAAGGCCTGGGATTACAGGCGTGAGCCACTGCATCCAGCCCAAAAATCAATTTTTAAAAAATATTATCTAGCCGGGCACGGTGGCTCACGCCTGTAATCCCAGCACTTTGGGAGGCTGAAGTGGGCAGATCACGAGGTCAGGAGTTCGAGACCAGCCTGGCCAATATGGTGAAACCCCATCTCTACTACAAATACAAAAATTAGCTGGGCGTGGTGGCGCGTGCCTGTAGTCCCAGCTACTCAGGAGGCTGAGGCAGGAGAATCGCTTGAACCCGGGAGGCGAAGGTTGCAGTGAGCCAGGATCGTGTCACTGTACTCTAGCCGGGGCAACAGAGTGAGACGCTGTCTCAAAAAAAAAAAAAAAAAAAAAAAATCTAATTTGGGCATATCTCAGAAGTTCATAAACACAGAAACATTAATATAGTAAAATTTAGTTTATTGCCATGTATTTATTTTAAAAAGCTTTCTTAGTATTTATGTCCATAAAAGCAAACAAAAGCACAAAATTCACAATGTCTAATTTTAGCAATTTACTCAAGAAGTGAAAAAAGCACCATCTATCTCATTTAAAGACATATTTCCAATATAATTTAAATACATTAAAATTGTTTTGATCAATTAGGTACTAAAAACAACTTTAATGATAAGTCAATTGAGAAGAATTTGTCATAGAATTCTTTTAAATATTTTAAAGTTTCTTTTATGCATGCATTTTTGTTACAAACAGGGTAATAAAAAGTTCTTAACTATACCATATACTATTAAGATACACTTCTGAGGGGAAAATAAAAACAGTAAAACAAGTTCAAAGAAAAAAGAATAATGGAAAATTTCCAAATGCTGAACTGGTATTTTTTTACAGGATAGTAGGTATCACATTGCTATGCTATTTAGATTCCATTGATACATTTAAAAATAACACAATTTTGTATTGAAAAAAATTTCTTAATGTCGCTTGCAGACATCCAGAGGGGTATATTATTTTCAAAATTCTTATAGCATTTTCAAAAGTTTAAAAACTCTTTCCTAAGGGATATCTTCTTAATCTTCTTTAACCTTTACGTGTACATCTTTTCTATGTTGTACTGTATTTTGTTTAAAGAGAATATTAGGCCGGGCATAATGGCTCATGCCTGTAATTCCAGTATTTGGGGAGGCTAAGGTGGGAGGATCATTTGAGCCCAGCAGTTTGAGACCAGCCTGGGCAACATGGTGAAACCTCATCTCTACAAAAAAATTGACAAATTAGCCAGGCATGATGGTGTACACCTGTTGTCCCAGCTACTTGGGAGAAGGCTGAGGTGGGAAGATCACCTGAGCCTGGGGAGGTAGAGGCTGCAGTAAGCTGTGATCACACCATTGCACTCCAGCCTGGTTGACAGAGGGAGACCCTGTCTCAAAACAAAAACAAAAAAAGAGAAAATTAAAAACTTCTTGGCTGGGCACAGTGGCTCATGCCTGTAATCTCACAACTTTGGGAGGCCGAGGTGGATGGATCACCTGAGGTCAGGAGTTCAAGACCAGCCTGACCAACATGGTGAAACCCCGCCTCTACGAAAATTACAAAAATTAGCCAGGTGGTGTGGCACGCACCTATAATCCTAGCTACTCAGGAGGCTGAGGCAGGAGAATCACTTGAATCCAGGAGACAGAGGTTGCAATGAGCCGAGATTGTGCCATTGCACTCCAGCCTGGGTGACAGAGTGAGATTCTGGCTCAAAAAAAATAAAATTAAAAAAATCTTAATTTCAAATAGAAATTTCACATACTAAGTACCAAAGAGGTTCCGAATAAATCTGCACACTCACATTAGTGTAATTCTTATCTTGGCATACGCTTCTTCCTGGTTAGGGCTAGATCCTTCCAAAAGACAATACATTCAGAGTTTTTGTAATTCTCAACAATAAGTACTGGGATGGATAATTCAGTTTTAGGCTTTATTCAAAAGTTACTTGTGACTAAAACTGTAAGTATAAAAATAATTTTTTAAAGGAAGGGATAAATGTACAAACTCTTAGCAAGTAGAGAAATAAGAGTTATGGACATCTTCTAGTGAGTTGCCTTAACTCATAAGTACTGGTACTCTTAACCCTAGTTAGTTACAGTGTAGCCAAGCTTTTAAAAAAGAAAAGGAGAAAAAGAAAAAAACAGCTATTTTCACAAGCTTCTTACCAGCTATGATTGTTGTTGCTTGTCGCCTCACATTATTTTTATCCATGTATTCACCATAGTCTATTTTCCCTTCCAAATAAATTCGAGACCTGATATAAATAAAATGTACAGTTTTTAGTTGAGATCTTAATATGCTTTATAAGAGTCAGGTCAGGGTGGTACTGAGTATATGACAAGGATGAAATATATAATCATATATAAGCTAATTTTTGCTACCACTTCTCAAGGTTCAGGATTAGGAGTACTGAAACAGAGTGTCCAAACAGACTTGGTAACATCTAGGTAAAACAGACAATGTTTTCATCTGTCAGCTATTTCTCTTACGGAAGTTAAAAAATAAAACAAAACAGTTCAAAGGGAAATTTAGTGGCAACATTTAAATCTCTAGGAATAATTTCCAATGTATCATTTTCCTTGACCTTTGATTTTGGAGTCCCTAACAGACTTGATTTTCACTTATTTATCAATTATTTTCTATGACCTTAGAAACTTAGATGATTAAAATTCAAAATATGGATTTGTAGTTAGTTTAGTATAATATTACCCTGAGTTAATTACTAAGACTATTTCTACACTGTATCAGCTTAGTATACCACTTAGAGGTAATTACTAAGACTATTTCTACACTATCTAGAGGCTAAACTAGATAACAAACCTAATCGTGATTTTCAAGAGTGGAAAGATGACAATAGTACCAGTTTTGAGAGTCTACCACCACCAAAAAAGTACAACACAGAAAGATTAGTGAAACATCAGGTGCTCCCCACCCCACACACACACCCATCAATCAGTAAGTGGGAGTGCAGACACTTCCCTTGAAATACCTTATATGTGTTTGTGTGTGTATGTGCACATATTCATAAACATACATAAAGGGCAATGAAGATACATAGGAAGAAAAGCTATACAGTTATTGAAAAGAAAAATTTTAGTGATTGCTAAATTATTTTTCATAAAATATGTTTTCTTTCTACAAAACAAGTACATTTCTAAACATATTAACTATCAATACAACTGCTGTTACACACACCGTTTTGTCCTTCTATGAGTTTGGAAAACATACTTTTTATACATACTCAATCCAAGCCTTCCAAAAGGGAACTATTAAGCCTACAGAAAATCATCAAATATAAAATAACTGCCACGAAGATGAAGTTGGCATGTCAGGCTTCAGACATTCCAGATCCTCTGCTGGAAATACCATGTGGCAGCCAACAGGCAAGAAGCCACCCTCAGCATCCCCGGCCACAGAGGCACAGGAATTCCTCAAAGCAGATGTTTGACTTGCTCAAATGCCACTTGATACACTTTGCCTTCTCTCCTGCCTCATCTATTTCTATTTATGTACACACCCTGTTTGCCCTAAACTGTAAGTTCTTAGAAAGCTAAAACTATGTTTTATATATCTTCAAATTAGTCACACATGGCAACATGCCATGCATATAGTATCAAGGACTTAGTAAATACCTCTTAAATTAATACAGTCATTAGTAGTACTCAGGGATTTAAGAGACTACACACTCCTTGCCATGAGAACACTTCTTATCGGTTCTTTAAATCATTCAATTCATAAGATCCTTCCCTCTTCAACTTACCCCTTTTTCACATATTGATATGCCACGTCTCTGAGGCCTGGCCGGAATACTGATATTCTGTGCCATGTTGTCTTTTGACTGACATCACCTAAATCATAAAAATAGGAAATTGGTTACAAATGCCAACAGACAACATGCCCAGGAAAACCAATGTCACGATTTCTAAGAGAACAAACAGAATGAAAGACAGATCTTGTTTAAAGTGGTTTATCTCTAAATTAGATAACTGGCAATAAATAATATCTATTTATTGCTGATAAAATTAAAACCCCAGTCTTTTGTACTCACCCAGTTGGTAAACTTCACTATCCCCTGATCGCCACATCTCATTAGTTGCTAGAGAAAATATTGTGACTGGATTTTTTCCTTCCACCTGTCTCAAGACAGGGTCCTGACCCACTCGCCCAAGTAAGTGCACACGATTCAGGGCTGAAACACAACATCAAGACCAAATGAGACAACCTGCTATAGACTGAATAGTTGTGCCCCTTCCCCCAAAATTTGTATGTTGAAGCTCTAACCCTCAATGTAATGGTATTTGGAAGTGGGATCCTTAAAAGGTAATTAGGCTTAGATGACGTCATGAGGGTGAGGTGTCCCTATAGGAACAGGAAGAGTTCAGAACTTTCTGTCTCTACCATATGAAGACACGGTGAGAAGGCAACCATCTGCAAGCCAGGAAGACAGCCCTCGCCAAGAGCTCAATCATACTGGCACACGAATCTTGGATTTTTAGCCTCTAGAACTGTGAGAAATAAATGCTGTTGGTGAAGCCACCTGGTCTATGGTATTTTTTTATAGCAGCCTCTAAGCTGACCATTAAAGAAATCCACACCTGGCTGGGCGCGGTGGCTCACGCCTGTAATCCCAGCACTTTGGGAGGCCAAGGCGGGCGGATCACAAGGTCAGGAGAGAGAGACCATGCTGGCTAACACGGTGAAACCCCATCTCTACTAAAATACAAAAAATTAGCTGGGCGTGGTGGCGGGCGCCTGTAGTCCCAGCTACTTGGAAGGCTGAGGCAGGAGAATGGCATGAACCCGGGAGGCAGAGTTTGCAGTGAGCGGAGACCGCGCCACTGCACTCCAGCCTGGGCGACAGAGCAAGACTCAGTCTCAAAAAAAAAGAAATCCACACTCAAGACTGAGAGAAATGTCCAGAAGAAATGCTATAAATATGACTTCAACTTCAATCTCTGCATTAAGTAAAACCCAAGTTCTGGAAGATCAGAAAATAAGTTAAGGAATGAATAAGGAGAGGTTGCGAGAGAAGAGAGTTGGCAAGAAAGAAGAAAATAGTCATAGAGAAAGCAGCCCCACAAAACAAACTGTAAGCTCTAGATCTTAAATTCTTTAAGATATCTTTTTTAACTGACTGTGGAGCTAAAAGAACAAATCTGAGATCTGAAAATCTTTATAAACACAAGGGAATATTTCTGTGAAGAAACAATATCTTTTACAATCTCAGCCTAATACAACATAACCCGGGAAGACTCAGATAACCAAATATGACTCAAGGAAATTCTTATGCAGGACAGTGTTGACAAGAATGAGTAGTAACTGGCTGATAAGGAGAACAGGGGCTCAGTTTATACTATGTCTCCACAGCCTGATGTGTCAAGGCTAAGATCTGAAGAGCAAACATGAGCTAAAAGCACAATGGCAACATGGTTAACCCAAGCAGCATACCTCTTCTACAACACATTTGAGATTGGCAAATTACTAAAAATAACATTTTAAACTTGGAAATTAGCTACTTACATCTTTCAAGAACCAAACTGGTAGTTGTTTCGGACTCATGTCTTACAAACTGACGAAGTACCTAAAGAAGAACAAATGAATAACATGGCTTTAATTTTTTAGGAAAGGCAAATGCAAACAGAAGAATTACTCACGTTCATTCACCATATAGTCAGTAGTTCCTGAAAATTCCAGAAGAGAAGAGAAGCTCTTCTCATGTTCTCCCAACAGAGTGCCAGAAGGCCCCGGCAAACACTTCAAGAGCAGCCTAATGCAGAAGCCCAAAGGTAGAAGGAAGGTACTAGAAGGCATGCTCAAAGTTAAGTTATAGTACTCCCATTTATTTTGCGACATCTCCTTGATTATGGCACTTCTGTGTTTGCACACAAAAGGAAAAATCAAAATAGTATCACTTTAACATTACAGAGTATGATAATATTTGTAAATCCAACCTGTACCTAAGAGTTGCTGCCAAGTATTTTCAAAATCCAGCTTTCATTAGCTGGAAAGACAAAAAGAGACAAAAAGTACTACATATATTCAATATATACATCCTCTAATTTTTTTTTTTAGTATAAACAACTGGTATATTACTACTGTATTTTGGTTACAGTAGACTTTAGAAATTAAGAAATTTAGATCCAACATGGGTACTGATTTAATCCATCATTAGACCAAAGGAGAGTTAAAAGAGATGCTTTATAATTAATAATTTAATAAGTAGATTCATTAATAACATATGCAATGATCAAACAAGTGTCAGGAGGTGTGGAATAAATGCAAAGCCTTACTCTCAGGCATAACGAACAGCCAGTTAGAGGAGAGTCCCCAACCTCCAGGGCTGAGGACTAGTAGAGTTCTGTGGCCTGTTAGGAACCTGGCTGCACAGCAGGAGGTGAGCAGCAAGCAGCGAGCAAGCATTACTGACCAAGATCCGCCTCCTGTCAGATCAGCAGTGGCATTAGATTCTCACAGGAGCAGAACCCCATTATAAACCGCTCATGCGAGGGATCTAGGGTGTGCACTCCTTATGAGAATCTAACTAATGCCTGATGATCTGAGGTGGAACAGTTTCATCTTGAAACCATCCCCACGGCACCCCCCTCCTCCATGGAAAAATTGTCTTCCATGAAACCAGTTATCAGTGCCAAAAAGGTTGGGGTCTGCTGGTTTAGAGAACGAGAGATAGGTTACATTCCAACAAAACAATACATTCTAAAACTAATCACATGAATGACTTTCTGACACAGCAACAGGAACATATTCCAAAGTCAGATTCCCTGTGTCTATGAAACTGCCTTCCCCTGGTTGCTCCTTCAGACCTTAAAAGGAATTAGGATACCTAATATGACTAATCTAAAGTGTTTCATTTTAAAATAAGCAAAAATTATGATACATAATACCTACTTCACAAGGCTATTGCAAAAATTAAACAGCTTCAGTAGTGAGCTTAGCCTAATACAGTTTTTATAAATATTTCATAGGAAATTTCCTGTTTTTAGTGCATCAAAAAAGGTCTAATAAATTTGGTTCTTTGATTAAACACAAAGACTCGACTGTCCAAGTCAAAGTCACATCACTGTCAGCAAAGGTAGTCACTACCACATAATAGCAGCAATCATTACTGAATATCAGCTAAGGGATTTATCTATTATCAATTCTAAAACTAAATCTACAAGTTATGTAAAATTATTCCCATTTAGGGCTGAGAAAACACCTCAGAGAGACTGCATCACCTGCCCAAGCTCCTGCAGGAAGTATGTGGCAAGTGATCTCAAGGACCCAGGGCCCTTGACACCAATGCTACTGCTTTCCCGAAGCCCTCTGCTGCCTCCTTAATTTCAAGAGCTCCTGTAAAGATGGGAGTACACATCACTGAATTCAGAGCTCAGAGAGCTAGCCATTCTATCAGAGAAACATTTTTGAAGTGGCAGTACTGTTAATATAAAAAGCAGAAGTCCACCAATCAAATAAACACCAATCCCCAGGGTGCTGTTGGCTATCTAATCCTATCACTAAACTTAGGAGCAGAGGGCAGATAAGAAAATAAAGATATGAGTACAACATACTATAGAATCAAACTGCTAATGAGAACCTGTGTCATGATTCTGGAAATGTCATTTGAGTGCTCAGACAAGCTAGACCTCATAAATCTTACACAGAGATTTATAATAACAATGTCTCATTTGGGGCACACAAAAATCTACTGGAGAAGATTAGGAAAGGATTATTTAACTTGGATAATTTTTTAAATTAAACTTTTAACTCTTATTTAAAGACATTTTAATACTGTAACGTTAGTGTTAAGAAGCAATAACTTTTTCATGTTTCACATTTCAATACAGAAAAAAATAGATTAAAGATACATACAGGTTAAAGTGGGGATCCAAGAATATAGGATTAAGGTGGGGAAAATGACAGAGTCATGGAGGAACTGGTTCTTCATTGGTCTTCACAGGAGGATGGGGAGTAGGAGAGCCAAAGAAGAATCTACAGGAGCTGGTGCCCGAATGTGGTAAGTGAGGAAAAATGGTAGTCTAAGCTGGCTCAAGGTGGGCTAGTGTCTGGAAAAGTGAGGACCCATACTAAGTGGAATGAGAAGGCATTTTCTACATAGTGAAATCTCTGGTGACCACTGAGACTTGAGATGCTCTCTTCAGTGTGGAAAGATGGGGGAAGAGGAACGTTTAGCAACACAGGAGGTAGATGGTCAAAAAAGCAACTACATGCCTTAAGAAAAAAGTTGGAACAATGATTCCTACAGTCTTTAGGTCACTAAAGACCTTTAATGTCCTCTCACTGGTTAAATTCAAGCAACACACACACATTTTAAAAATTAATGATTCCTATTACGTGTGAATAAACCTGAACTTTTTTTTTGTTTTAGTGAACATAATTTACACTGGCAAAATCGTCCCCAATCCTCCATATCAAATGAGTATAGAGGTGGGTGGGTGAGCTCAAAGGTCTTTTGCCCCTGTAGTTAAAAGCCTAAAGAAGTCTTCTGATCACTGTGGCTGATAGTAATACATCTCAGTATTAATACAGACAAGTGACTACCTGTAATACAGGTCTTCGAAACATGGCTTCTATTTTCTTTTCTTACAGTCTAATCTTTAGGCTTTTCCTGAAGGAAAAAAACAAAATAAGAAAAAAACATTACCTCTTATGGCAAAAGTACAACTCACCAGTCCTAAATTCCTAACTATATTCATAATTTTTATGCACTCCAATTTTGTGACCACAACGTACCAACATTCCTGCACATCTGATGAGGATTCCTTCCTCCCTCCCAAATAAACTCACACCTGTATGTCTTTTTGGTCCCAAATAACTTCCTCTTCCTCCAACCCATCGACAAAATTTTGATTCTGAGTTAATCCCACTTCCAATCCACTGTCTTCTCAAATTTCATTACTATGCAAGCTCCCTTAGAGCAGAGATTTGTATCTGCTTTATTCACTGCCATTTTCTAAACTTCTAAAAAAGTTCTTAATGCATAGTAAGGCCTCCATAAATATTAGCATCACCAAGGGACTTATATCTGAAACCTGTTACTGAAAAATTACTGCCTTCATCTCCGTTAACAAAGACCAAGCAGCGTAGAGACCCCCGGGCTAGCCAGCCACACCATAGGGAGAGGTGGACACCCTTTACCGAAGATGGCGCCACCACCTGAAAACCGAGGAGAACTGGAAGGAAATCACGCGGTCCTCCGCACGACTGATGAAAGGGCCAGACACCTACACAGAAACACCTCCCGACCCACGCAGGATCACGCGCAGCCAAAACACACGACTCCAGCACTTCCTTCGCGCTGGCTATCCCTTCCTCCCTCACCTGACGATCTAACCCGAGCAGCCCAGCCACGCAGGGGATCACTTCCGGCGCACAGGGAACGCAAAGCTCGCCAGAGGAAAAAGGAAACAGAAACTCCGCAACTTGCGCCTTGGAAATACTGCCGGCTAGCGCTGCGGGAAACGGCTCCCCTTAACTCTGAAGTTCCGCGATCTTCTCTTTGTGCGCGGGCGGATGGATCAACGCCGCCAAGTGGTGAGTTTGGAAGGTTTCAAGTTTAGAAGGTTTCAAGTTTAGAAGGTTTCAAGTTTGGAAAGAAATGAAATTATGTGATGAGGTTTCTAACTGGGCCCAGGAGGGGGCGAGGTAGGCAAAACAGAGACTAGCTCTGCCTGGAGGGAAAAAAAAGCAACATTTGTGACCAGCCTAGGCGACATAGTGAGACCTGTCTCTACAAAAAATATATAATTAGCTGGGCGTGGTGGCGCGCGCCTGTGGTCCAAGCTTCTCCGGAGGCTGAGGTCGGGGGATCGCCTGAGCCCTGGAGGTCGTTGCTGCATTGAGCCGTGAACGCACCACTGCATTCCAGCCTGGGCAACAGAGCGAACTCTATCTCAAAACAAAACAAAACAAAACAAGAAAAAGAAAAAAAGAAGAAAATTAAAAAAAAAAAGAAAGAAAAAGAACGTCCCAGGTCTGTTGAAGCACTAAGAAAAGCAGAAAAAGAAAGGGGAGCCAGGGAAGGGCTGGCAGGCTGTGCAATTTAAGGGAGCACCAGAAAAACTGGCAATCAAATAATATATTAATGTAATATTTTAAAAAGTAAAAATTAATGCAGGAAATCCGGGAGGAACAAAATAAGAGTCATGTGTACCTTAACAACAGGGTAAGGTCTGAGGATTGCGTCATTAGGCGATTTTGTTGCTGTACGAACACCACAGAATGTACTTTGACGACCTAGATGGTGGAGCCTGGACACACCTCGGCTCTGTGGTGTGGCCTGCTGCTTCCAGGCTGCAAACCTGACAGCATGGGGCTGTACTGAATACCGCAGACCATTGTAATTCATGGTAAGTATCTGTGTGTCTAAACATATGTAAACATGGAAAAGGTACAGTACAAATGCGGTATAAAAGATAAAAATGGCACACCTGTATGGGGCGCTTACCATGAATGGAGCTTGCGGAACTGGAAGTTGCTGTGGGTGAGTAAATGAGTGAGTGGTGGCCCAACATGAAGGTCTAGGACATTATTGTACCCACTAAACACTTCATAAACACTGTACACTTAGGCTACACTCAGTTTATAAAAAATACTTTTCTTCCTTTAATAAACTTTCACTCACTATAACTTTATAAATCTTCCAAATTTTTTTACGTTTTAACTGTTTTGTAATAACAATTAGCTTAAAACACACACTGTACCACTGTACAAAAATATTTTTCTTATATCCTTATTCTACAAGCTTTTTTCTACCTTTGCTTTTTTTCTTTTTTTTTTTAACTTTTTAGCCATTTTTTAAAAAAACTAAGACATAAACACACACATTAGCCTAGGCCTACACAGGGTCATTATGATCAATCTCAGCCTTCCACTTCCACATCTTGTCCCACTGGAAGGTTTTCAGAAGCAGTGACACACAGGGAGCTGTCATCTCCTATAACAGTGTCTTCTTCTGGAATCCCTCCTGAAGGACCTGCCTGAGGCTGTTTTACAGTTAACTTTTAAAAAATAAGTTAAATAATAATATAATAAAAAGTATAGTAAATACATAAACCAGTGACATAGTCATTATTAATATCAAGTAACACATGAGTAATACATTGCATTCTGATGTTTTAGCAGGTATGATGTCACTAGACGATAGGAATTTTTCAACTCCATTGTAATCTTATGGGACCACCTTTGTATATGCACTGTTGTATATGCAGTCTTTTTCCAAAACATCATTATGAAGTGCATGACTGTATTAAAATTTTAACTGAATACAGGATCCAAGCCAGACTGGAGCCTGAGGCACAAGGAAGAATATGCACCCCTGTGTATATGTGTACTTATGTATTTTTAAAAATTGGGGCTAGGAAGGTTAGTGGGGGGCTGGAGGGAAGGTGGGGATGGTTAATGGGTACAAAAAAATAGAACGAATAAGACCTACTATTTTCGATGGCACAATAGGTTGACTATAGTCAATAATTACTTAACTGTACATTTTAAAATAAGAGTGTTATTGGATTGTGTGTAACTCAAAGGATAAATTAAGATGATACCCCATCCCCCATGATGTGCTTATTTGACGTTGCATACCTGTATCAAAATATCTCATGTACTCCATAAATATATACACTTCCTTTGAACCCACAAAAATTAAAAATAAAGACAAAAACAAAAAAAAATGTTTAATTAAAAAAATTTTGGCCAGGTCCAGTAGCTCATGTTTGTAATCCCAGCACTTTGGGAGGTTGAGGGGGTGGATCACTTGAGCCCAGGAGTTCAAGATCAGCTTGAGCAACATGGCAAAACCCTGTCTCTGTAAAAAATACAAAAATTAGCCAGGCAGCCGGGCGCCGTGGCTCACGCCCATAATCCCAGCACTTTGGGAGGCCAAGGCGGGCCGATCACGAGGTCAGGAGATCGAGACCATCCCGGCTAACACGGTGAAACCCCGTCTCTACCTAAAAATACAAAAAATTAGCTGGGCGTGGTAGTGGGTGCCTGTAGTCCCAACTACTAGGGAGGCTGAGGCAGGAGAATGTCGAGAGCCCGGGAGACGGAGCTTGCAGTGAGCTGAGATCGTGCCCCTGCACTCCAGCCTGGGCAACAGTGCGAGACTCCGTCTCAAAAAAAAAAAAAAAAAATTAGCCAGGCATAGTGGTATGTGCTTATAATCCCAGCTACTGAAGTGGGAGGATCGCTTGAGCCTGGGAAGTTGAGGCTTCAGTGAGCCATGATCACACCACTGCACTCCAGCCTGTGCAACAGAGTGAGAGACCCTGTCTCAAAAAATATATATATGTGTGTATATATATATGTGTATATATATCAATATGTATGAATGAAATATGTGTGTATATATATCTCAATATATATACACATATATATTTTTGAGACGGTATATATATATCATCACACAAAATATATGTATGTATATATGTGTATATATATCAATATATATGTATATGTGTTATATATCAATATATATACACATATATTTCCAGAACATTAAAGTAGTTGAAGAAGTATTGAAAATTTTTAAAGTAGATATTGTAACAAGAAAAACCCAGAATTGCATTAATAAAAACCTTCCCCCAAACTGAGAGGAAGCCGAGAAACCAAAGATTGACCCAGACAAGTCCAGCTTGGCGAGTAGAGGAGTTTATCAGGACTTACATACAAGGCACTCCTGGATGGCAGCATGACAGCTGTAGAGATCCGCCTGGCCTCCCATCCCTAAGCTACTTGTAAGCTAATTTTCTGGCTTTTAGCCTACTGTGTGTGATGGAGCTGTTTTCTTTGGTAGGTTCTCAGATATTCTCTGGGATGTTTGGCTTCTCAAACAGCTGCTCTTTGGCTGGTCACCTTGGCCTTGCCACATGGCCTTCAGGATTCAGGCAGTGGACATACACTCTTTAGTAACCCGGGTGGGGGGGACCTGTTACACTACAGGTGTATTAAAATTCACAACATTGTTTTAAGTTTAAATATTTTATTTATGCCAAGATGGATGTAATATAACTTTACTTTTAATGGAAGTAAACTGATCAGTAATGTGTTCAAATCTGCTTTGCTTGTTTTGAGAGAATTGCCATGCCTTCACAATTTTTCTTGACCAAGTAACAACCTTAAATAATTTTAATTAACTTCAGCTTACTGATCTTGTCTTTATTTAAAATTTTGGTATTTTATTCATCATGAATTTTTTTCATTAGTTTTAATATTTTAAGAATATTTCATTAAAGTATCACAAATCTTGATTGCTGAGTTCCTTGGTGCCCCTTAAATTCCTTCTCATTTACGCTAACCCTGGGCCTAGTGGGAAAAAGGATGTATGGAGCCCCATAAATTGCAGAACCCACACCAGCGGGGGCTGCCCCTTCCACTCCTTCTCCTGGTCCTGGCACTGTCCAGACTGTGGAGAAAGAAGGTACCCACCATATTGTTCTAACAGGCAAATCACCTCCTCAGGCCTCTACCTAAAACCTTTCATCTGCCCATTTTTGCCATTTAGGGATAAAATCTTAAGATAGCTTCCAACACACACACTTTAACGCACTCCTGAAGGTCTTGCTCACCAGTTGGTAAACTGTATTTCTAGATGCTTACCTCCATTTTACTGGCACCTTCACAATGTTGAGCTCCTAAAACATACCATGTTATACTGCCTTCAAGCCTTGCACAGGAATTAGTAATCCCACACCCCACCTGCTATGTTACTACTGTCAATGACTTCCAATGATTTTCTCTTTAAAAATCCTGCTTCCACTTGAGGGGTAGAGTCAAATGAAAAACAATTCACCCTTTTGCCCAAAGTCAGTTTCTCCCTTCTAAGCTCCTTGTTTAATGGTACCAAGATTCTCCCAGACTTGAACTTTGTAATCAGCTTCATCTCTCTCTGACCACCAACATCCATTCACCTGTATCCAATCACTTGGCCCTAAAATTTCTTTCTTCATGATGCCACTAATATCTCCCTTTCTATTTGCATACTTTGGAGTAAGGAGTGTGGGAGAAGTTGTATAAAGAAAAATACAGAAAGCACCATGCAAATTGAAAACAGACAACCTGGAGCAAACTCTTACAACTTTATAAATAACATCTTAGTGGAGAGTCTGGAGTACTCTGAATTCTCAGACAGGAATTGCCAATACACATTCTCCCGAGATTGCTGGCTGGAGAGAGTCACAGTGCTGCTACTTCAGTTGTTTTTTCTTTGACAAAGAAAAGCATGATAAAATGTACACAGTTTTTTGATGTAAAATGTCATGGAGAAATTAAAGCATTTTCTTCTGTTATCAAATGGATCCCTCTTCCTAACACAACAAATGCTTCTGTTGCATTGCTCCATCCTCAGGATCTGAACTGCACTCCCCTCACACACTTTCAGACTTCTTCACTCAAACGGTCCTTCCTTTCTGTTCTCCCATTTCATTTTCTTTCCTCACTCAGTCCATCTTATAACAAATGATCACAAAGGTACCTCATCCCTCCTGTTAACTGTGAGCTCTTAGAGGTCAAGGAACTTGTGAATATCCAGTTCACAGTATACTTTAAAACAAGGACAGGCTAGTAGGGCCCAGGCCACAGGCCAGGGTATGGAAATAAGAATCCAGAAGGGATGCTCAAATAAGCATTCTTATTTCTGGGAAGAACCCAGAAGGATGCTCAAAGAGCCCTAAAATTATTATTTTTTTAATCGAGGACTTAGAATAGTGACTCCAATGTATTTTTGTATCAGAGATACCCTTTCAGAAACCTAGATTTTGCATTTTGATGAGGAAGCCCTGAAACCTCTCCATAGGATACACATAAACACACTTTGTGTAGTTCATCCATGGACCCAGAGATGGCCTTCCCAATGCTGTGAAGTGGTGACAGGTAGCATTATGGCTTTAATCAGCTTTAATGCCTGGCAGTAGTATACTGACACAGGGCTTTTTATCATTTGCAAAGATGAATGAGAAAGAAATGTGTATCATAAATGCCCAGGGGTGCAAAGTCACCTTTGGCCTGACTTGTTTCTCCCTAAATTAAAAAGGTTCCAGCTATAGGCATCCATTGGTAGAGACCAAGACTGGCAATACTTTATCATAAATAGGAAGCCTTGGACAGTTTTGCTGTAAATTATCCATTTTTAAAGAAATGTTAATCAGGTTTTTACTTTGATTTTAAATCAGCTTACCTAAAGCCTCATAACTACTGAAAAATTGCAGCACTTATTACCTACACTGATTACTTGCATATATTTTAGAATGGTTTGAAAGCAATTTTAGTAATACTTAGTAGTTATTATGGCTATTTTTTAATTTAAAGAAAAACCTGACAATTTTTATCTAATTCAAGATTGAAAATATGGTTCATCTAGAGATAAAAAGCCTTAGTCGTTCAGGCTGAAAGGGTCATACCTTTCAATATTCATCTTTCTACAACTTTCAGTAAATGGATTCTCTAAACTGGTACATGTGTTAGAGCTTATTAGACCAGTAGAGCGCAATAGTGTTCCTCTAGATCTCAAGAGTATCTGTTGGTACCTTAATGTCAGTGTTGACATTTAGAATACATCCATAGAGAAGTAACATATTTTCTAAAGTATTTTAATTTAACTTCTTTAATGTTACCAGCCCAATGATGTTAATAAAATAATTGTGATAATTAGTTTCCAAGTTATATAATGATCTCTGTGCAAAAACAAAACTTACTGAGGTAAGAAATAAGCGTCTAACTGAAATGGAAGGGATGAAACGCTAAGGCCAGTGAAGACGCAGTCCCTCACACTCAGTAGTATCTATGCAGATACATACTATTTTGGTGACATCCTGCTGCTGCAGATCCAGAGAGACAGAGAGAGAGCCAGAGAGAGAGCGAGAGCGAGAGAGAGAGAGAGAGCGAGAGAGCGAGAGAGAGAGCGAGAGAGAGAGCGAGAGAGAGAGCGAGAGAGAGAGCGAGAGAGAGAGCGAGAGAGAGAGCGAGAGAGAGAGCGAGAGAGAGAGAGAGAAAGCGAGCCAGAGCGAGCACGAGTAGGCCAGAGAGGACCCGAGCGGGCTAGAGCGAGAGTGAGAGCGAGAGCGAGAGCCAGAGAGCCGGAGCCAGAGAGCCAGAGTCAGAGCCAATGGAACTGGCACCAGGTGCGAAGCTAGGCTGAGGAACACAGTAGAGAAGAGGCTGTAGACCCAAACAGTCATAGTTATCAATGCCTGAGAAGACTAATATAACCAAACAATTCTCATCTATACACTGGATGTACTTAATAATTTCCCTGTTTCTAAATCAGAAATTGTGGTTGACCTTGTACTATACTACAAGGAACATGGCCTGGTGTGTGTGTGTTGAGGGGGAGGTGGCAAGAGATAAACTAACCCCATTTTATAATTTTGAACAGAGCCTAGTAAAGAAAAATGGCAATGGGCTATAGGAAGACCAACACCACACTTAATTGCATGGAAAGAACTGCTACTCCAAAGCAGAACAAAGAATAGTATTAGGGTTTATTCAATTAAAAAAACTTAATTAGCTTTTAAAAATGAGGAAAAGAAGAAAATCAAGCAGCGAAAAAGCCATTATCATTAACAGGTTGCATTCACTAAGATGACACAAACAGAGCTTATCAAATACCTTTATGACCAACATAATTTTCTAGCAGATCCTGACCATCATTAACTGTTGGAACTGTGAAGCTGAGACTTGCCACCAAGACCTGTTACTACTGACCCACTCAATTCTCTTACCCTTTTATTCATAAAATGTTCTCCGACATAAATTTCTCATTCTTTGTTAGTTACATTTTACAAAGGATATTTTACCTGTAATTAGGCTTTGGACAAGATAAAAACCTTTATTTAAAAATACAGTATTCTCTTCCTTTAAAAATGTGTACAGAAAAAGGATTTAGATAAAATATGATTTTAAAAAACAGGAAACAAAGCCAAATTCTCACAAAAATCAAGAGAAATTGGTGAGACCCAGAATATCAAACCAACCAGAACAGCAAGAGAGGCAGGGCAAATAGATGGAGAACAACCACAGGCACATCAAGTTTTCCCTGAAGCCTCTCCCCACAGCATTTTTGTTCTGCAAGTTAACAACCAGCTCAGAGATGTCCAAGTTGCATGCAGTCTAACTTTTACCCACCTCACATAATGGTGAAACCATTTATTTAATAAATACAATATCAGAAAGGGTATACATTAGGAGACCCACTTCCTCAAAGAAGCTGGGAATTCTCTCTTAGGAACAGCATCATATAACCTGGGAAGCGCTGTGGAAATCCAGGCACATTTTCTGTAAGCTGTGACTTCAACTCTAAACTAAATTCTATTCCTTTCTATGTACAACGAGTCCCTGGGATCTTTGGTGGGGAATCAGCAACAGCAACCTCGTAATCCATAGGCCAAACCAAGGGCTGTTTTCCTTTTCTTCCTTTAATGCAGAGGCTCACGCTCTCCTGCTGTTCATCAAAAGTGTGAGAAGTAAATAAGTTATTGATCAGTGGCATTAGGAATATAACAATAGAGAAGAGAAATGGCTTCCAATTATTGTGTCTGGGACCCTTGAGAAGACAAAGCCTTACTAGCTTTAGGATCTTGGCTATAAATGGTAAATTAGTAGTAGCTTTTGAAATCCTTGGGCATTCAAGTTGGCTAATTTTTTCATTTTATAAGAGGAAGGTTGGGACAGCTGATATCTATTTACAGAGGTTCTACAGTAAAAGGTTGGCTGGTGCAGAATGAGTTTTTTTTTTTTTTTTTTTTTTAGATACAGAGTCTCGCTCTGTTGCCCAGGCTGGAGTGCAGTGGTGTGATCTCAGCTCACTGCAAGCTCCACCTCCCGGGTTCAAGCGATTCTCCTTCCTCAGCCTCCTGAGTAGCTGGGATTATAGGCGCCTGCCACCTCGCCCTGCTAATTTTTTGTATTTTTAGTAGAGATGGGGTTTCACCGTGTTAGCCAGGATGGTTTCGATCTCCTGACCTCATGATCCACCTGCCTTGGCCTCCCAAAGTGTTGGGATTACAGGCGTGAGCCACCACGCCCGGCTGCAAAATGAGTTCTTAAGGGGAAGATTACTCACAGGTAAAGCTTGAAGACCTTGCACTCTTTCCTCCCACCAGGCGTTTTGTGCTTCTTGATCCTGTGTGGGTCCCAGAGACCCCAGTGTCACCATGATGGGTATATCCCTGGGGTGACTGGGCCTGCTGGGCTTCTCTCAGTTCCCTGAAGTGCGAGGGAGAAAAAGCAAAGGCTACTTGATCTCCAGTCAGAGATATGTATGATCAAAACTAATATATAAATGTTTTTCTTCTTGTTTCAGTATTTACAGAAACGAAAAGCCTGAGCTATGTACAGAATAGAAAATTCAGTTACTATGGTTGTCATAAAAAATGGTTGACACACACATGTCATACAACATGGCAGGTTTAGCTCCCCAGGCTCTGCTGATTGGAGTATAAGTGATCTTTAAAATGCTTTAAATTAAGTGAACAGCTCTTCAGGCTACATATGAAAGGTACCAGGGTCAATAAACCACAACTTCTGAGTCAAATCTGGCCTATCACCTGTATTTATAAATAAAGTCTTATTGGAACACAGCCACTCATTTATAGTGTAAAAACAGCCATTGACAACATATAACAGCAGAGCTGAAATCATTCCAGCAGAAAGCATATGGCCCACAAAGCATAAAATATTTACTCTCTAGCCCGTCACAGAACAAGTTTTCCAACACTTGGTCTAGACCAGCGGTCCCCAACCTTTTTGGAACCAGGGACTGATTTCGAGGAAGACAGTTTTTCCATGGGTGGGGAGTCGGGGGAGGAGATGGTTTCAGGATGAAACTGTTCACCTCAGATCATCAGGTATTAGATTCTTGAAGGAGTACACAACCTAGATCCCTCACATGCACAGTTTACAATAGGGTTTGTACTATAAGAATTTAATGCTACCACTGATCTGATGGGAGGCAGAACTCAGGCGGTAGTGCTCACTCACCCACTGCTCACCTCCTGCCATGCAGTCCGGTTCCTAACAGGCCACAGACTGGTACTGGTCCATGGCCCAGGGGCTGGGGACCCCTGGTCTAGACAATTTCAAGATGCTGTCTGCCCCATCTCTATGATAGGTGCCCATCACTGGTACTGGCTGATGATAGTCACCTGTGTCTCCATAGCTGGCTTCCCAGAATGTATACACCACACCTTAAGAGGTACTTATATTCTTGTGAATAACATATGTAAGTATAGTACTTTGTACTTTCTTTATTAGCTGGGACAATGGAATTCAAAACTAGAACAGAAAAATATTAAGAGGCTTATTAGGAAGATTTACCTGACTAAAGGCCAAGAGTCTCTACAAGTTATTATTAATACTAAGAAATCAGGTTAGGGATGCTTCAAAGCTAATCTTTCCAAGATGGATGACTGTATATCCAAGAGAAGCTGGACTTCTAAGCTTATTTTAAGCAAGGACAATTTTTCATTTTCTTCTTTTGTATTTTCAACAGTGTACAGTATATGTAATAATTACTCAAAAATGCCTTCAGAACACTGCTCATCTCCAACCCCACCCCATCAAATTCCTATTTTTTTGTTTCCGTTTTTCAGGGGAAAGCGCGAATGCAGTCCCCCACTACAACAAATTATGCAGTCGAGTTTTCCACATTTGGGAATATCACAGGGGTCAGCACATCCGGAGTGCAATCGATGAGCCCCACGCTGGGAAAAACCACCTTCGTGATCATGGTATCTTCCCTGCCAGGTAAGTATTTGAATTCCCATTTATTGAAGGAATGGATTAACAAGTAAATATATGCATGAATACAAGCCCACATGAGTAGGGGAACAGATCGTTTTCTTTGCTCAGAAAAATAATCCTTCCTCCAAATGTGTACCAGGACAGTATGTCTACCTGCCTGCCCCTGAAATTTATGGGTTTCTAAAATAGGTCTTACCCATCTTACCTGTGGTTATCTTATATTAGGTGATCACCAACCAGTTACTAAGATACCTGCTGTCACTTAGAATCCTAAGTTTTCTTTACTGGTATTTCCTTATATTCCTCACTCTTGCTTCCTTTGTTTGCGTTAACTGGAATTTTCTCTCTCAAGCAACCTAATCACAGAGCCTCCCAGCCCGATGCTACAAAGAGCCGCATGCTGCCAGTTTCCTTGTGGGCAGGGACCTATGTATTATAATGGTGAATATATTTATACTTGAATCCACAGAGAAGACACAGTAGACTAGTCATACCATTGTGAGTAGTGCTCAGATTCTTTCTTGACCCCCCATCATCCAAAAATATACCTTTCCAGTGTGGCAGTCTTGAACTTTTCCAAATTCAGCTGCTGTTGGAGCTCTTCTGTTTTTCCCAGGGAAGGCCGGAGAACTGTATTTCTGGCCAGAGCTGCTGCAGAAGGTCTCTGTTCGGCATCAGGTTGGATCATGTTCTGATGATATAGGACCAAGAGGAAAGAAACAGAAGCTTCACTATTGGGAAAAATCTTCCCATTCAAGCCAACTCCAACCCAGCTTCTCCTGGTGGATTTTGTAAGACATTGCTTCTGCTTTGTGCAGAGGAAAGAAATGAAAACTGAGCTCCACCTGGGGCAGGAGGATTGTCCATGTCTGGTAGCACCAGTTGTCCACACCTTTGATTTGTTTTTAATCATATTTTGGAGCTGGCTGGCTAACTAGTCTATTGCCTTAGTTTTAAAGCAGAAAAAACTAAGACTCTCGATAAAAATTATCCAAATTACTGGAATGGACAAGACCAAAACCCAGTTTGCCCAACTCTTACTCCAGTTTACTTTCTACCACATCATGTTGCTTTTTCACTTAGTATTAATAACCCAACATGACAGTATTCCTGAAGCATTTATTTTAAGGTAGACGATGTAACCTATCATGATTTGAATATAGTAGAAAATACCTAATTATATACAGCAACTGAAACTGTCATATAATGAAGAAAACACTGAACCAAATTCAGACCAAATTCAGAGCCAACTCCACCATTTGTTGTATAAACTTTGCTGAAGCTCCATTTCCCTTACCTGAAATTTGGGATAATTATATTCACTTTCTTGAACTATTTTTAGAATTTAACAAAATTAATATATGTCTTATCTAGTACAGGGCCAGCATTTAGGTACTGAAATATCAACTAAATGCAAAAGTGGTTTACATATGGAAATAGGTGATTAGACTGAACAAAAGGAAGGAGGAAGAGTTTGCCTCCTTTCAGGAAAGCAAAAGAAGTCAGGAAGAAGGACAGATTTGTAAATACATTTGAAGTTTGCAGGTAAACTGTGAAACTAATCTCCCACACCTGCAGTCCAGCTACTCAGGAAGCTGAGGCAGGAGGATTGCTCGAGCCCAGGAGTTCAAGGCTGCAGTAAGCTATGATTGTGCCACTGCACTCCAGTCTAGGCAACAGAATGAGACCCTGTCCCAAAAAATAAAAAATAAAAATAAAAATAAAAAAAATCTAATCTCCAAGGAAGTAGATATTTCTAAGGCTGTTTTGGGAATCCTAGCCAATCCTGTTCCTTAAGACATGATTTAAAGTCATATATACACTTTTCTTGACATGATTAAGCTTCTTGACAGTATAAGCTTTTTGTTTCTATTTCAACATAGTATCTTCCTTTTCTTGTCCCCACACTACTCAGATGTCATTAAGAACAAGTAAAACATAGATTTTTGAATTGACATTATGCCTTTTTTCTAATAGCTCAAATAATTGGTATTATCAATTATCAATAAAGTAGTCTTATACCTTCTTACATATAATAGAAATTCATTCTTTTAGTACTATCACTGTTATCACTAACAATAGTTAAAACCCTGAAGTAGGAGCTAAAGGACCAGATTTGATTTTGGAGTTAGCCAGTCATTCATTGTGACTACAGGTGTCAAGGAGCTGCTCTGAGCCATGGTTTCCTCAACTGCAGGATAAGATGCCACCTGTCTACCTTATAGGGTTGTTAGAAGGGACAAATGAAAAAATGTTTGTAACAGGATTTTTAAACTAAGCATGAAAAGATTTTACAATATCCTCCGAGTTTCCTTAAGAAATTCTCGATCCACGCCCCCTCCGCTGCCTGCTTTTTTTTTTTTTTTTTTTGAGACGGAGTCTCGCTCTGTCGCCCAGGCTGGAGTGCAGTGGCACGGTCTTGGCTCACTGCAAGCTCTGTCTCCTGGGTTCAAGACATTCTCCTGTCTCAGCCACCCAAGTAGCTGGGACTACAGGTGCCTGCCACCATGCCCGGCTAATTTTTTGTATTTTTAGTAGAGACGGGGTTTCACCGTGTTAGCCAGGATGGTCTCATCTTCTGACCTTGTGGTCCACCCTCCTCGGCCTCCCAAAGTGCTGAGATTACAGGTGTGAGCCACCATGCCTGGACCCGCCCCTTATTTTTTCTGGACTTCTAGTCACGTTCCTTTTTCTGTTAGTGACACTACTAGCATCTCCATTTTTCTTTGCCCAACTAGTTGCCATCGCACTAAAAAAATAGATATTGCATCTTCTGTTCATCTCGTAAGAGCTATCACCTTGAGCAGACTGGAAAAGCTTTCTGAGAGCTCCTGAGGAACGTCCGGAAAGTTACCCTTGCGGATATGGTGCCATGCAGCACCATTGGTGGGCAATGACTCTGCTCCTGCAGCCACTGCAATTGTTAATCCCAAGGCAAATATGTCTGCTTTGGGAAGGTGCCGGTAATCCTTCAAAACAGAAGACAGGAAGGCCAGTTACTATGCCAAGCAGGGTGAGTCTAGATTAAAATATAACTGGTAGGAAAGGTTCATTCGAGTGCATATAAGGTTTAAACAGACACGACGGTCAAAGATACATTCGCTGTAGTTAGTGATTTCTAGAGAAGAGAGAACACGAATCTACCTGATTAACACTGCTGTGCCCTGAGGAGTCCAAGGCAGAAACTTACTGCCATTTTGCTGTCAGGCTCAGAAAGGCTTGCTACATAACTTGGCTGATCACAGGAAGGGAATACTCATTTTTACTTGATTATCACCCAGGAAGAAGTTATATCCTTCCTAGGCCTGACTCAACAGACATTGGAGAAGATGGGCAATGACTAAACATCATTTCAATAACCAAAACTGGTGGTGCTATCAGAAGGATAATGGCATGATAGATTGATTGGACCAATGTGGGCTTGAGGAAAAGGCTTCCTTCTTAGTAGGCAATCCATGAGGTTAGGAAGTCTAAGAAATATTGGGAAACAGTAAAGGACATTTAGAAAGAATAGTCTGAATACTGATTCATCCTTGACTGAGCCAGCTTTCCTCACTTTTTTGGAAGAGTTTCTCTCCTATCTTTGGTCTCCATTCTGAATGGGAAGAGCGGTACTATAATGATAAATATACAGTTTTAATTTTTTGCACTGAGATCCTCCATTTGAGAGTCAAAGGTTCAACAGATTATAAAATACCCTCCATTTCCCTAATCTATACCTCTTGCAAAATCTCATTAGCCAGGAAGCGACTATCTCCTTCTTCCACTTTGGGTTTGTTTATTGATGTTGCGTGGCCCAGGTCACCTAAAAAAAAGAAAAAGGAAAAAAGAATAAAATCGAACAAAAGAGCTTTAAAAGCATGTCTTTCTTAAAATGAATAAATTGAGTCATCACTATAAATTTTATAGGATAATGGTAACTGGTAAGGCTATAAGGCAGACTAACCAATTTTATACATCACATTGGCAGAGAGAAACCAATCAGCTTCATTTTCAACTTCTTCTATGACTCCAGAGGATTCACTTTGCATCTTGTGACAAATGAATATATTACCTGAAAAAAAAATGACAGGATAGATGTAAGTAATGACTTCTAAGCTTTTTCCTCTCAAAGATTCTTTTCTGTATTTGACAATTCAGCTTCTCTCCTTTCTTCTTTTGTGTGGACATAGACTACTAAGGTTTTTTTTTTGTATGAAATCTCACATCGCTTCTGAACAGCTAGTGATTGATAATACCTATTTAAGTTCAACTGATCTCATATATTCTCCATTCTCTGATGGGACTGGTATCAGAGTACTATTGTCCCCAAAATAAAAAAATAGTAAGAACTTGTCCTTGGGTTTCACATTAATGAGTGACAGTTACTCATTTCTCTTTAATCAGTGCAGAGTTAGAATGAGTATAGCCCTAGTCATAAACATAATCAGAATGTAGCTGATATGCTGTCACTTGCCTTTGTAGTAAATTAAATACCTAATTTTACTTTTTTGGCCTTACTACTATATGGGTAAGAGTCTTTTTTTCTATGTCTGTTGGGCCTAGGGGAGAATAAAACTATTTAACTGATTTTTTTTAAGGAACACAAATGGAAGAAAGGGGTTCTGCCAGCAAACACCGTCCTTGACACTTGATAGACATACAGACCTAGATTTTGATGATAGCATAGAAAGAACAAAATACGGTAGAAGTGGCAGAAGGGAATCACACTGACTAGGTTTGATGTCCAGGTGTACCATGCTAGAGTTGTGGATGTAATTAAGGCCAAGGGAAATCTGTAGAAGGATGTCCTTGAGTTTTGGCTCTTCAAAATGATTGCCAGACTTAGTGTTTTCAGATATAGCAGCTTGCAAACTCCCACCTGGGAAAGAACAACAGAGAACAGCCCCACAGTATGAGTCTTATAGATGAAAGCATAGTAAATACAATTGGCCTCCTATATCTTCAGGGTATTAGTTCCAGGACCTCCTGCAGATATCAAAGCCCCAAATGCCCAAGAGCCTTGTATAAAATGGCATAGTACTCTGATCAATACATTCCTCATGAATGCCTTCAGTCCAACGAATAGATTACTTCGGTGTCAGTACAAAGCATAATATCTGCCCTATTTATACCACAGACATGTTGGAAAGGAGAATTACAGGGCTTTCAAAGAGGAAAAGAAAATGCCAGTATCTCAGGTATCCAGTATATGGCCCCATTGATTCAAATATGTACCAGCTAACATTTTAAAAGTTTTACCTAATTATTAACTAGAAGATCAATCAGGCATAGTCGTATAGCTACTATTGGTGTCAATGATTAGCTCCATGTCAGTGTCAGGCTAGTAGTTATAGGCCATCAGTAATTTTAATTAATGGAGTCTAAGTCTAATTTCATTAGAAATAGATCATAAAATATTTAATGACTGCCAACCCAAGGAGAATATAGAAGCTGCACATACACCTAAATCTTATTTGAGCCACAGTATTTGTACATCAACTGTACTCGATTTATTGTTATCAATTAAATAAAAGGCCTGGATTCATATAGCTATCTGATCTTGATTCTAAGGTATTAGAATGCTTCTGAACACTTTTTCTTTTTTTTTGAGACGGAGTCTCACTCTGTCACCCAGGCTGGAGTACAATGGCATGGTCTCGGCTCGCTGCAACCTCCGCCTCCCGGGTTCAAGCGATTCTCCTGCCTCAGCATCCCCAGTAGCTGGGACTAAAGGTGCATGCCACCACACCTGGCTAATTTTTGTATTTTTAGAAGAGACGGGGTTTCACTATATTTGGCCAGGCTCGTCTCGAACTTCTGACCTCGTGATCTGCCCGCCTCGGCCTCCCAAAGTGCTGGGATTACAGGCATGAGCCATTGCGCCCGGCCTCTGAACACTATTAATTAGTGTTCATTGGCAGGTTCTTCAAATTATAGAGACCCAGCTCTAACTGGCAGTTACAAAAACCATAGCTCCACTCATTGAGCTCTGAGATAGTCATGGAATTTGAGGGAAATAATATTTAAATGCATTCTGTGTAAAATTGAATTTAAAGAATTATTTTAGCATGACATGTAAGTTCAGAAGGGAGAAAAATTTAGCTCGTTTCGGAAACACAAGGAGGGCTACAGTAAAGTTTTTTATTTTTTGCAAGTATTCTTAGAATTTATACACTATATATGACGTATTAATTAGAAACAATAAGTAAGGAAAGAGCGTTTTGGAGCTTGTTAAAAATGAAGTCACTCGGCTAGATGCAGTGGCTCACGCCTGTAATCCCAGCACTTTGGGAGGCCGAGGCAGGTGGATCACCTGAGGTCAGGAGTTCAAGACCAGCATGACCAACATGGGGAAACCCCGCCTCTATTAAAAAAAAATACAAAAAATTAGCCAGGCATGGTGGCAGGTGTCTGTAATCCCAGCTACTTGGGAGACTGAGGCAGGAGAATTGCTTGAACCCAGGAGGTGGAGGTTGCGGTGAGCCGAGATCACACCATTGCACTCCAGCCTAGGCAACAAGAGAAAAACTCCATCTCAAAGAAAAAAAAAATGAAGTCACTCCAAGACAAAGTGTGTAGGTGAGGTCATGAGGTGCTACCAACAAGGAGGAGGGCTGCAGCCACCAAAGCTCTGGTTTCTCTACCAGCCTGGATGTTGCTTAAGGGGAGGGAGCACATCTAACTCATCTTCACTTGCCCAAGGCCTAGCATGGAATAAATATTTTCTGAACTGAATGATTATCCTGACAACAGAAGGGAAAGAAAGAATAAGTCGAGGACCCCTTTAAGAGGAAGAGAAGCTCTGTGCTTCCAAGCAAGACTATAATATATAGTACAGACTTTTTAGGTATATCTGCTATCCGTGGAATGAACTATGAGGAGGAGGGAAAGTTTATTTCTGAAGGCTTATAAAGTTCATCTCCCTCTTCGTAGTTATTCATCTATATACTACTTACCATTGCAGTATTCATTCTGAATGATCATGTGGTCATCTTCTGCCCATGAGGAATAGTAACGTACCACATGGGGGTGATGCCCAAGCACTGCGTGAGCATAAACTTCATGCAAAGCCGAATTCCTATGAGACAGAAAAGCATTGAGGAATAAAAACATCAATCAAGATAATGCACACAAAAATGTTTCTTAAAAATATGAGGCTTTACTAGCAATGGCAGAATATTTATTGAGAGCTCACTGCTTGCTTACTATTTTATCTCATTGAATCTTAATAATCATTTGGTAATATACAGTGGAAACAATGAAGGCTGTTGAAAGTAAGTGGCCCAAAGTCGAACTGGTAATAGCAGACTTAAGAGCAGAACCTTGGTCAGCCTGGTGCCAAAGTCCATTGTTTTTTTTTTATTTTAACATGGCATATGTAAAGAGGAGCTTTAAGTGGTTATGCCTCAATGGCAGATGTGCATCAGGTCTTCATTTCATCCTATCACAATCAAAACATTTTAATGGGCTTAACGAGAAGGCCACTGTACACCAGATTGTGGATATTGCAATGGGCCTTTGATTCATCTCTATAAAGGCTAGGCAGTCATTAGAGTGAATGTTAGCCTCAGCCAATATGATATACTCACAGGAATAGCCTTGGGGAGAGATATTCCTTATGGAATAGAAAATCCCAACACAAATTAAGCAAAATAGAGTACTTGATGAATCTCAGTATAAAAATGAAGAACTAGCCAGGTGTGGTGGCACATGCCTGTAGTCCCAGCTACTTGGGAGGCTAAGGCAGGAGAATCACTTCAACCTGGGAGGCAGAGGTTGCAGTGAGCCAAGATGGTGCCACTGCATTCCAGCCTGGGCAACAGAGCTAGATTCCATCTCAAAAAAAAAAAAAAAAAAAAAAAAAAAAAAAAGAGGAATTCTAAAACCTGTATAAAACCTGCAATTCTAGATTCTGCATGTTAAGTATATCCTCACAGTTCATAAAAAGCCTTGGCTGATCTGAAAATATGTGTTTTCCTTGTGATTAAGGAAGAACTTTTGAACAGTTCTGGGAATCAAACAAACTTTCATTTTCCCTTGCATGTAGTCTCTGAAACTTTACTATTGAATTCATTGTTAATGTAAAGTAAAGATAAACCAGTGACTTTATAATAACTTTCTATTTGGTAATATTTCTGATAAATGAAACAGACACCAGAGGACAATTCCACAAATCTATTCATTTTTTAAAAAGTCAGAAAGACCAGCAGTAGAAAGTAAAAGCCACAAAAAAACAAAACAAAACAAAACACCACATCATGATTGGCCAGGTGCAGTGGCTCACGCCTGTAATCCCAGCACTTTGGGAGGCCACGGCAGGCAGATCACAAGGTCAAGAGATCAAGACCATCCTGGCCAACATGGTGAAACCCTGTCTCTACTAAAAATACAAAAATTAGCCAGGTGTAGTGGTGCGCGCCTGTAGTCCCAGCTACTCAGGAGGCTGAAGCAGGAGAATCACTTGAACCCAGGAGGTGGAGATTGCAGTGAGCCAAGATCACACCACTGCACTCTAGCCTGGTGACAGAAAACAAACAAACAAACAAAAACACATCATGATCTAAAATGATCGTGTTGTATTTTAGGAAGTAACATCTCTGAGCTGGAAAACTCAGAAAGGTTATGAATATGAGATAACATATAATGTGGGGTGATTTTAAAACACAAATGATTTTTAATGACATCGGTGCTTTAATTTAAAATAATTTGACAAGAAACAACTCTCCAAATCTAAGTTTATATTTTTAGTGCATTTCAAAGGTACTCACTCATTTGATAATTCTGTAAAAGTTTTCATAGAGCGCTTTATTGCATAAACACATCCATCCAGCCTCTTAATGCACTTGTAGACTGTACCAAATTCGCCAACCCCAATTTTTTCAACCTCCAAGAATTCTTTTTCATAGCGGGAAGCCATGTTGGTTTCTCGTAAAACACATCTCTAAAGTATTTTAATAAAAAGGAAATTAGAGTAATTCTACCATGTTGTAAGCAATAAAATTAAACAGTATTACAGTCCTAAGTTGCTCCAAGTTTTCAAAAAGACTTTTGAGGTGACTGCAATGAATTCTACTTGGGTCAATATTCATGGTAGCAAGAATCTCCCCAATTGCTGACTATCTTCTTTGTTTTCTTTGTAACCTTCTGTACAACCCTATACTGACAATTCTCACTTATTTTTCAATATTCTTTTCTCTATCTGGGCATACTGTTCTTTTCTACATGTTCCTAAGGGGACACAACTTCTCACTCCCAGAGCTACTGTCCTTAGTTCAAAGAATAACTGGGACCTGGGTGGAGCAAATTAAAAGAAATGAAAGACCCCCCTTCTTTATGTGTCTTAAAGTCTGAATGCTAATGTTTCCATCTCAAGCTGAATAAGCATACTTGTTTTCTGTTTCTTTTCCCAAAAATACCAGCCTGGAGAAATGATTTTGTCAAAATTGTCAAACTTTGACAATTTTGGTTAGTTCAGACTATGTGCTCAGGTCTAGCAACCACTCCCGCTACTGGCCAACTAGCAACATCATTCATTGCCCAGGTAGTAAATAACCCCAGGCCAATCTGAACTCCTTTCAGTTTTCCTATCTGTAGGATGAAGATCATGGCAACACTCTTCAGGGTTCTTTTAAATATTACATGAGAATATACAGTATTACATATATTGTAATATATCTTAGGATAGTGTCAAGTACATAGTAAATTCTCATTAAACTATTATGACCAAAAATCTCCATAAATTTATATGAATCTAAATCCAAGCTGATTTATCTCCCAAAGTCATCTTTTCTCAGTGTCCCAATCCTGAAGAATTTTTCTCCAACTTTATGAGTTTGAAAAATCTTGGGTTTTACTACTTCCTCATTTTCAACATCTAATTCTGGTCACTTTCATCAGCAAGATCTCTTAATTTTCATTACCCTTAGCCAGTCTCAAGCTCTGTTCCCTTCTTGTCTGGATTGGCTACAGCTACCAGCCCTCTCTTTAACTCTTCTAATAGTAAGAATTATTTTTGCAAAATGATACCACAGAATCAGAGATGCCTAATTGTTTCCCATGAGAAATTCAAACTCTTGATAAGAAAGCCTCAAGACCTTCTACCAACTGCGCACTCACTACTTGACTACCCTCCCCCTAGATACCAATGAAGCCAGTATACCATCTGCATCTATCCCTGACCACTCCCCACCCACCATACCCCTCTTACACCTGAACTCTGTTCTCCTGCCTTGATAGCATTAAAAGTTATTTACTTCCTTAGCCTAAAATTATCTTAATATACAATCTCTTCCTACCCAAGCTCTATTTCATAGAAGTATTTACTAACCACTTCTAGATTTTAAAGATATACACGCATATGTATATTCACATTGCACATATGTACATACACATATACACAAATACATATATCTCATAGCTTCTAATTTACATATAGATTGTTTTGAAATTTCAAAGGTTTTAACTCCTGTTTGGCCAGATGTTTTTCCTTAAAGGGTGTAACTAAATACAATGCTTTGCACTTATTTAATGTTCAATAAATATTAGAATTTCTATCTGAAATCAAGAGATAAATTATAAAATAAGTGAGGAATAAAATCCAACAGTAAAATAATGGAGGCATAAGTCAGAAACATTTGCATTTGAAGGAACACCTGTGCCAGTGGCCGCCTTTTCTGTGATGTTTACAATAGCCAAGTGCTAACATTTTAACATATTAACATATTTATTTACGCAAATAAAACTTGCTTCAGAAAACTTTAAAAATTTAAAGGAAAAACAAATATGAAGTTTCCACCATTCAAAAATGTTGAAATAGCAGTGGTTATAGCTCCATTTCATTCTCCCTGTGATTAATGTGCAATAGATAGTTATGGTCATTCAGCGTATAAAATTTTGAGTCTTTTGCACACTAAACATTAACATACGCATGTTTTCAAGGTGTTATAAACATCTTAATGGCAATTTAGTATTTCACTGACTTAAAACTGTAATTAGCTTAGCCATTTTTCTATTATCAGGCATTTGGTCTCCCCCCTTTTTTGCTGTTACAATAAACATCTCTAAGGATAATGTTTGCAGTATTATTTTCTTAGGTTAGATTATCAAATGAGGGATGGATCAAAGATTGTGAACATTATAAAATCAAATATTGATACATTTAAGAGCTAAAATTTTACATATAAATCTCTGGCTCTATGCCCCTTTTTTCCATTATCTTTTTCTATTTTGAGACCAAAAATATCTTAATTTTCCCTTCACTTCTCTACCCCATGAGTGTAGAGTTTTTCTCCAGATTAAAATAGTAGCAGAAATATGTAATTTTAAAATTACTCTAAAGTAATGATCCAGCATATACATATCAGACACTGCCTGGCAGAGTTACAACTAGCTGAGAACACAGACCCTGACTAGGGTCCAGATAAATTCAGCTGCAAAGCACATTTACAAAGCTAGCGTGTGAGATGGGGTGAGATGGGGAGGGGAGGAGAGAAGGAGAGTAGGAGAAAGGAGGGGAGGAGGGGAGATGGGGAAGAGAGGGCAGAAGGAGAAGGGCAGAAGGAGAGGGTAGAAGAAGGGGAGGGAGGGTGCAGGGTGAAGGAGAGGAGGGGAGGGTGAGGAAGGAGAAAAGGGAGGGTAGGGAAGAAGGGAGGAGGGAGGAGAGAGAGGGAGAAGGGGAGGGGAAGAAGAGAAAGAATAGGATAAACTGCCTATATTGTGGCCGCTGGGACAAAGAACTACGCTTACCTTGGCAGGCAGCCCTCCCTTGCCTTCCTCTGGACCAGCTTCCTCACTTAAAAAAGAAAAAAAAAGTTTATCAATATATAATTAATATTTATTGAGGCCGAACTATGCTAGGTTCTAGGGATGTAAGAGTAAATAAGACAATTCATTTCTCTTCGGTTTATATGTGGAGGCAGGGATAACCAGGAAATTTCAATACAAGAACCTAGAACTGGATAAGATAACAAGGATACCATGGACAGCACTCAATTATTTCAAGAGTGAAAAGCTTTCCCAGAAGAGAGAATATATAAGCCAAGATTCTGGGAACGAGTAGGAACTAGCTAAGGGAAAAGAGTGAGGTTTTCAGCAGGTAAAACACCATGTGCTGGAGCAAGAGAGCACAGAACATATGTGCAACTGTTAAATGGGTATCTTTATCCCCAAACTAGGAAACCAAGACAGAGAGAGGTTAAATAACTCTAGGTCAAACAATTAGCAAGTGGCAGAACTGGGACTTGGAGCCAGGTCTGACACCAAAGCATTTGCTCCTCACTGCCACACCACACTCTCTTTCCGACACCCACCCCTCCCCTAGAATCTGGCTTTGTAATCGGTTCACAGGTAGACTGCAAGTAGGGCAGAATCTGCTCTAACCCGGGATGAGATATTTTCAATTACTCTTCGATAAGCTAAGTGACCAGCAGACATCCTCTTTGCCATGCATACTTGTATTCTGGATCCTTAAGCAAGATTTCAACTAGCTATAGATTTTTCTTTTGGAGAAACACAAGGTAGAAATGGCAAATGGAAGGCACTACATTCATGGAAATAAATCAATGCTTGGTATTTGTGATTTAGTACCACATTGTAATACTTTATGAAGTGTTTATAAATTATAAAAATAAGGAAAAATACTCTCTTAGAAGCACCAAATGACGCTACAAAAGTGTCAGGATTTCATATTAGCTGTCTTTGTTGCTGGCTTCGGTGAGAGTATAATGATTTACAGAGACTCCTTAAGAACTAAAACCAATCGAATTCTTGGTAGCCAAAGTAGGTGGGTGGACTTGTGCTGAAGTCCTGTTTATTTAAGTAAGAAGGAGATAGTGTTGAGAGAACCTATTCTGGTCAAAGACTGATTAACACATACTCATTGACTCCAAAGAAACAACTTGACATAGCACATTAAATGCTCTGCAAAGTTTACATTGTTAGCTGTCCATTTATTTCGCTGAGTACATATGAACATAAATGACTGCCCCACTTTGGAGGCGATTCCATTCTATAAAAAAGCCTTGGAGAGACATAGTAATGTTCCTGAGTAATATGCACAATCCTTATTTGGATGATTTCTGTCATTCAGGGCCCTTTATGGAATAGTACAGTTTGGCTTTCTATTCTTTAGCAGCTCTGAAAGCAATGCTTTTTTGCTTCAGCCAATCTTCCATCACCCACAGAGAAGTTCAAATCCTTGCTCTATAGCTTTCATCACTAGTCACACAAGACTCAAAGCAGCAACGTACTCTTTGAAGTTTGAGCTACACGTTCCCCAACTGCCAGCCTCATATTAACCAGAGGGGACCCCTTGAATGCAATTCCATAGCCCACTCAACTTCCTAATAGAAGCCAGAGATCTATTGCTTATTCTGTCTTATCCTTTTATAGAGAAAGCATCTACAGTACATATCAGAATGGAAAGATGTTGGAATCTCTGTGATAAAGCAGGTAAAACCAGCATTGATATCTAGGAAGGGGAGAATATGTAAGCATATACATTTCATTCAAATAGAGTTCTCGTTCCTAATCTTACTTTAACACTCACTTCTTACTACTTGACTGTAGTAGGGTCAGTTCTCAAAAGTCATAAGTAATAGAGCACTTACAGATCTCCTCTTATTTTCCTCTTGCCACCAGATTGAAGAAATAATTTTTTATAGGACTCTGGAGTGAAGGGATTAATATTGACCAGAGCCAATGAGGTCATCTCATCCTTGAGGGGAGCAGGTGTGAGCTTCAAATGCTTAGGGCCTCTGGAAGGAAGCTTCCCTGTTGGAGAAATCACCAACCGGCTCAGCATGGTCTGAATGAGGATGACAAAAGGCAAGTCATAATAGCATTAGTAAAGACATTCCTTATCAGTTAGCTAGTTAATATTTGAATCTAAGAATGCTTTTGCTGAAGGGGCCTTAGAAATTATCTGGTTCCATGTGAACTGGTTGCATTGTAACTGCTCCTCTTATGAAAACTATAGAATCCCAGTCTCTACCTCTAGATATTCTGATTCATGAAGTCAACACAGGAATCTGTACTTTAGTCAAGCTCCAACCCCTTCCCCTGGGCAATTCTGTTAGCTAGCTATGAAAACCAGTTGTAGTCCTATCTCCAGTTTTTAAAGACATGGACATTAAGTTTAGACAAATAAAAATGACTATATTCTCAGAGCTTATGCTTTAACTTCCCCTCAATTATTCATCCAAATATTTGTTTGGTGCCTACTATGTAGCAGATGCTGGGTTAGATGCCAAGTGGTACAGAAGTGAATTCTAAATCTTAAGGAATATATAGTTCATTATTCAGCAGTTCATCAGTGTTTCAGAAATAATCACCTTGTAAGGAAAAGATTTCATAGACTATTTAAACATGAAAAAAGTTTTTAATTTCACTTAAAATAAAGCACTAACTGAGAAGTGCTTCATGAAGTGCGGTAATGAGATTGAAAATTAGTACTCTAAGCCCTTAAGATTCAGATCTTTGCAGTGGCTACAACCAGCTACCAACAAATAGGTCAATGTGCAGGACTTACCACTCCAAGTGGCATACAAGAAGAGAACATCAGCCTAAACCTAACCAGAATGAAACCAAAGGGCGAAGGGAAAAGCCAAAGAATTCCAAGGCAGAATGCTGACCTGATGTCAGGGGCCAGAGGAGTAGCTGTGTTATGGATCTTCAGGAGTATGGCAGCACACACAGGGGCCACAGTATAAGCATTGCACTGTGAGGCTCTTTCTAAAAGACTTCTACAGTTCTGATCATCTCTGCCCATGATATTTTAGTGTAGAAGCAGAAGCCAGATTGCGTGATTCATTAAAGAATGTGAGGCTACCAAAAATGAATATTGGATCTATTGTAAATACTAAATAAATGATTGAATAAGCAGGAATGAAGGAAGCTATAGAATTTACATAGTAACCTAGCCTTTTTTTTAAGTGAAGAAAAATGACGTCATTGCCAGAGTCAAGTGTTTCTCCTATCTTGGAGTTCATAGGGCTGCTTGAAGAATCCAGGAGGCAGACAAGCCCTCGCTGACAGACTCACAGCTTTCCTGCGTGTTTATCATGAAGACTGAGGATTGGTTCAAAATAAGTGAAACTATAATGATATTTCTCAGTTATCAATGTGATTTGCAAAATGAACCTAGCATTTTGTAGTAAGTCATTCTGAGAATTCGTTTTTTGTAATGCTGATTATCATATGGAAAGTAAAACACATCTATTACATATGAAACAGTGGGTAGCCACACCTGGAATGCAGCACATAGTTCTAGTTGTCACATCTCAAAGAAAGTATAAGGGGCCTAGAAAATATTCAGATAAAAATTATTCATATCAGGGAAGACAATATTAGAATTTCTAGTCAGGAAATATGAGGGCCAAGAGAATTTGTGAGCACCACTTATGATGTAGGGAAGAATATTATGTTAATATAGTCGTTATTGCTGGAATAATAGAATTATGAGTAACCCTTTCAAAATCTCAAATAACATAGTTTGAGATAAGACATATGAAAAGAACTTCTGCTTGGAAGCAGAGGAATTTGAAAATTTATTGAAAGATGACACAGGTTGAGAGTATAAATGTGCTCTAGAGAGGGCAAATAATTCCATAAGGAATAGCTGTAGCACAGATGATTGAGGGAGATAAGGGAAATTTGGGGGATAGCTACTTGACTTATGAAGATGGTGAGAAGAGAAGGCAACCTCTCACAAAAACACAAACATAGTATCTTGGGACAGAGAAGGATTTTAAAGGCCCAGTCAACATGATTAGTCCCTTGATGCTTGAATCCTGATATTATTGGGATGTTTGGATGTTTTAAAGGCCCAGTCAATATGATGAGTCCCCTGATGCTTGAATCCTGGTATTATTGGGATGTTTGGATGTTTTAAAGGCCCAGTCAATATGATGAGTCCCCTGATGCTTGAATCCTGGTATCATTTGGATATCATGTTGAAATATAATCCCCAGTGCTGGAGGTAGGGCCTGGTGGGTGGCATTTGGATTACAGAGGTAGATTCCTTGGTGCCATCCTCATGGTAATGAACCAGTTCTCACTTTGTTAGTTCACACCAGATCTGGTTGTTTAAAATGAGCCTGACACTTCCTTCCTGTCTTGCTTCCACTGTCTCACTTTTTCTCTCACCATGTAACAAGCTGCCTTGTTTCTGTCCACCTTCTGCCATGACTGTCAACTTCCTGAGGCCCTCACCAGAAGCAGATACAGGCAATATGCTTACTGTACAGCCTGCAGAACTGTAAGCCAAATAAACCTCTTTTCTTTATAATTTACCCAGTCTCAGGTATTCCTTTGTAGCAAGGCAAACAGACTAACAAATCCCTTCTGCAGTATTTCTACCAAGTGGTCGGTCATCAATGAGTGTTCTATGCTTTTAGCCACAGGGAGCTTACACCTCCTAAGCATGCTCTTCTATCTCTAGATGATTCTGTCAGGAAGTCCTTACAGTGAACTGAATTTCACATGATTTTTGGTTCCATCCCTTGGACAAGACTGACTAAGCCAATCCTCCTTTCCCATGCAGCTTTGTCTTCTGCATAACAATGATCAGCCATCAAGCCTCTTTCCTCTAACGCAAACTGTGTTTTCATAAAGTATGTACTTTCCCAGTTGCATTTCAGTTTTGCTCCCAAGCCCTGTTCTCTGCCTCTCCCTTAAATGCATTATCCAAGATTTCTAACTGGGCCACTTCTCTCCTTACTCTGGCACTCAGGCTATGTGACCTTATCTCCACCCATGGCCTCAACTACTTCCTAAATGCTGTAGATATCCAAATACGGATTTCCAATTTTCATTGTTTTCTTGTGCCCCATACCCAGTTATCCAACTTTTTATACCACATCTCTGCTTTTCTCCAAACCCATATATCCCTTAGTGTCATCTATCTTGATTCTGTCTACTGAACCAAGCAAGAAACCTCAGTCATCAGATTGTTTTCGTTTTCCCTCGACCTCTCCATCAAGTCATCTCTGAATTTTTCACTGTCCTAGTCCAGGCTCTTCTTTGTTCAACAGGGCTATTCTGAATACTGCTCTACCTCCAGGCTCTCTCATGCTCCATCCCACAATACATACAAAGGTCATGATTTTTCCAAAAAAATCCCTCTACTCAAAACCATGGTAATGGCTCTCTCAACACTCTCAGGATTAAAATCTTGATCTAGCTTCTGCCCACCTACACTGGCCTCATCTCTTGCACTCTCTCACACACAGGCCCGTCACACTGAATAACATGCTGTTTTCCAAGTGTAGCAGCTCCTTCCCCTCCATAACTTGGTGGATGCTTTTCCCTTTGCCTAGAATTCCTATTCCCCTCTTTGCCTGGCTAACTCCAAATATCCTTTAAGACATCTCTCAAACATTACTTTCTTTGGAAAGTCTTCCCTGATAGAGATGTAATTCCTAATTCCTTCTCATCATGCTCAACCATTCCTCTAGTACACGTTTTGAACTTTATTGTTTCATTTGTTTAATCTTTATTCATTTTGTGGGCTCTTTTTGAAGGCAGTGAATGGGTTTTGCCAGCAGAGGGTCTGCTAACACATCAAGGTGTTCAGTTAAGCTGTGAATGATCAAATGAATGTCATGTTTTCTTCTCTGTGTACTCTTACTCAAAGCCACATTCTCTCAGCCCATTCTCCCCCATATATCAAAACTGGACCAACTTTCATTGCCCTTCCTATACCTTTCTTTCTTTCCTGATCACCACACTGAGAATCTGTCCAGCGGGTTCTGACCACACTTATCACATAGTGCCTTTTGGCATAACTACTCTCTCTCTGCTAGACTGTAAGCTCTTTGAGGGCAGAGACTGTATTATATGCTCCTTACCTATAGGGAATTCTCAAAGAATAAATGGGTGATTAATTGGCTGGTGCTGTGACCACTGAAAAACCCAGAGATAGACATCGGAGCATATTAGTTTTTCTACAATTCAAACAAGCAGCTTAGAATTTCCTGGTATACATGGTACCCACACCCAGCAGGTACTAAAGAGACCTGCTGATAGCAACTGTGTCGCAGTCAGGATCACAGATGTTATTATGATGATCTTAAGTGCCTCAGGCTGAACCAGCAGGAAGCCGAGCTAATACCAATCCTAGGACTCACACACCATGGCACCAGAGTTGATTAGAGGCAACCCTGCCCCAACTATGGCTTTAATAACATGAACGATGCAACAGGACACCAATCACAACAAGAATAAAGGAATATGCTACTAGGGACTCTTGCTTATTTGCCATCCTCAGCTTATGAAGAAGTATCAACAAGTTTCCTCTTTGCTGACATATACTAGAAGAACCTGGAGGTTCTTCTATTAGACCAAGGAGGGGAGAGGAGTTGTTTCTGGGAGGAGCAGCAGCAAAGAGATATGACTATGTTCAAACAGTGAGTGTGGACGTTCTTATATTAGAAAGTATTAGTAAATAATCACACAAAAATAGAGCCAGTTGGCGTAATGGAAAGAACAATAGACTAGGCCAAAAAGATCAGGTTTCTAGTCCTGTCTGTAACATTGGCTGAGCTGTGAGACAGTTTCTGTCTTGGGCCCTTCATTTTCTCATATGTAAACTGCACAGCTGGAGCTCTAAATCTCAATATTCCTTCCAGTTCCAATATTCTTTAACTAGGGACTTTTTTCTACCCAAGATTTGTTTGTGGCCAATAGCCAACAGTTACTGGCACCAGTGGTTTTGAGAAGACAACTGGCAAACCATTTAATTCTGTCCATTTTCTGGTAATTTTAATTTCTTCATTTTCATCAATAAATGTGTAATTGAGGATATACACAGCCTGGAGGTGACTGTCATACACACATGAATCCACTCTATCAGCTAAACTACAGGAAAGCAGAGCTTGGCGACCTGCGTCCCTTTTTCCCCCACCCCTTACTTACTTTGGGAGTAGAGGGGCTGTCACTGGGCAGCAGCTTGCTCCTGCTGTCTGGTTGGGCTGGTGTCTCAGGACATTTGAGAGGGTGTGACACTGGAGTCCTCAAAATCTGATCTGGACTTTCTTTGTCTTTTTCCGAAGATGTGTCGAGCTCATGCACGTTGCTAAGGGGAGTCCAAGGTGGTGTACCCTTTGCCTCTGAATCCTGCACTTCACCCTTCTCTGGGGTTTGGCTCGAAGCCTCCCTGCTTTCTTCTACTTTCTTCTGCCCTTCAATCTCAGTCTCCTCACAATAGGAAAAGTTTAATTTCTGCCTTAGTTCTTTGTCAATATCTTTGTCATCCATCTCAGCCAAAGAGCTTTACAACACAGACAAAAAGCTCTATCAGAAGGGAACGCTGTGAACCTACAGAAGCAGGGAGGAGAAAATAACTTAACCTGCAGGTTTCGCGACGGTAGCCTGAATTTCCCTCTACCAACTAACAGCTACAAAACACGGTGTTAATTTTCTGCCTTAAGTACCACCAATCTATAAGACCTCAGCTTATCCTGATTTCCATTCTGATTAAAGAAAGCTCCAGTGACTCTCGGAGCAATTAAATGCAGTTCATGTACAGAACTCTTCTGGATATGACACATAGTCTCCCATGTGTTACCAAATACTAGTGAGAAAATTGAATTCCTTTAATTTAGCATGGCTTTAAAAATACCCATTAGCCAATTTGGGAATAAGCTAATATTGAAAAGAAATTATTTTCACTCCTTACACCTGCCATTTATAAATATCACCCTCTCCTCCCTTCTCCTCCCCACCCACCCAATAGCTAACAGCAGGTAATTACAATTTAGCATCACCTGGCTATCATAATGATCCTTAAACAGCCTCTAACATATCTTGACTGGAGTTTGTATCCCTGACAGAGACACAGCTTAGCTCTGTGCCAAACACACCTGCCCTAATTCAGGCATCTCCCTCCTGCAGCTGTTAGCTGTTAGCAGTTAAAGCTTCTAGGGAATTGAACAAAAATTTAAACTGACAAAAGAAAGGCTAGAAAGATCAACAAACCATAGAAACAGATATTGATCACTGGAAAACAGCAATGGCTTCTGCCAAAAATGCCTTATATTGTAAAATGCTTTTTAATATCTTTAGTACACATTATTTAATTTCTTTCTCAGAGAAGCCCCTATGAGAAGGATGGAAAACTCTTTGAAGAAAAAAACAACTATTATACAATCAAGCTGTCCCTCTTCTCTTCCAGTTATATAGCCAAAGGAAATAAAATCACTATCTCAAAAAAATACCAACACACCCATATTCATTGCAGCATTATCCTCAACAGCCAAGATATGGAAACCACCTAAATAGCCATGGACAGATGAATAAAGAAAATGTGGTGAATACACACACACACACACACACACACACACACACACACACAATAGAATATTACTCAGTCATAAAAAAGGAAAGGCTGCCATTTGTGATAACATGGATGAACCAGGGGGATATTAAGTGAAATAAGCCAGGCACAGAAAGACAGATACTACATGATCTTACTTATATGTGGAATCAAAAACAGTTGATCTCCTAGAGGGAGGGAGTAGAATGGTGGTTACCAGGATCTGGAAAGGCAGGGGAAATGGGGAGATGCTGATCAAAGGGTACACACTTTCAGGTATAAGATGAACAATTCTGGGGACCTGATGTACAGCATGGGTGCATATGGGTGTGGTAAATTTTTGGTAATCATTACACAATGTATAGGTATATCAAAGGAAAAAGGCCTCACTGATATCACATTATAGAAGAAAACTATGTGAGAGGCAGTCCATGAAAAAGGAAAATGATACACTCATGCCCCTCAAGGAGGCTTCAGAGGGACTGCAAATAGGGAATTATTTACATGATAAACATGGGCCCAAAGAGAGACAGGAACCAAGGCCAGCTTGATGAGTTTGAAACAAATGTTATTTCCCTTCTCTTTATAGTCTTTGCTACCTGTCACCCCTCTTCCATTTCCCTCTTTTCACAGATCTCTCCACCACTTTCTCCTAATTCCTTCCCCATTCCCAGCCAGAACTCCTGAGGAGGGTAATCCAAATGAAAACTAACTGGGGAGACTTCAAAGTGTTTTTTCAGCTCAAAGCCTTCTCATGCTCCAGCCCTTTGTAGGTGGGCACACCAATTCATCCTTCCTTGGCCCTTCCCTACAGCCTCCCACCCACACAAACTATCCCAGATAATTCAACAGGGGGTAAAATATTGCTCACAAAATGCAGTAACTCACTGCCCACCTTTGTCAGAGATTCAGTATCCTACAGGGGCCAGTAAAAACAGAATCATCAAAGAAAAAGGAGAACTCATAGGTTACCAGTAATGCAATTATTATCAACTGGGATTCTCAGCCTAGGAGTGTCTTGTTTACAAATCAGCAAGCCAGATGATAGATTTCTTTTCTATAGCCTTGGTGTTGATGAATTTCCCCTCACATGCCATGGCTTGTCATTCCTGCCTCTCCAGGCAGCTAGAGGCTGGCTTTGCTCTCAGTAAAACAGGACTGACTCAAAACACTGGCTATATTATTGTCCTGTAGACAGGGCACAGGGGCTGGTTTATTAGGTATTACCCAAGTAGACCAGGTTTTCTTTTTTTTTTTCTATCACCTGCTGCTTTTTCTCTCTCCCTTGCTATAATTCTTGATTACCCTTATTTATGACTACATTGTTTGCCTAGGGAGGCAGCTATGCCATTGCAATGGTTGAGGTCTTATGTTATCGGCAGTAATACTGTTAGAAACTTGCACCATTCACCTTTTCATGTATTGTTACTCAGAAGATAATGATTGTGGCTAAGTCTTCAGAATAAGAAAGGTGTAACAATGAGTACAAAAAAGATATCCCAAATTTGGACAACTAAATAATAAGAATTGCATAGTTGCTGATCTGGATGACCCAAGGGAATCCCTAGAGGTGCTACCTATGGCCTCTGGCCCATGGCCTCACTATTTTTTTGGTCACATTGTAGCCTTTTCTTCATTTTTAGCCTCTTTCCATTATGAAAAATTTCATCTCTGCTTCAGTATATGTTAATCCCACAGGCATCCATCCCAGCATAAAGCTTCAGGTGATAGTTGAGATGATGTGTCAAAAGGGGGACCCATGTAATCTGTGGCAATAAGAGGAAAAGGGGAGGGTTTCCCCCTTAATGCCTAACATATAGTAGGTGTTCAATAAATTGTTTTTGGATGAATTTGGGGAAATAAATTAATATATTTCAATCATGTTTAAAATACTCCATATTTGACTTTTTAAAAAAAATTTGAATTTTTTTCTTAATGTGTCAGGAGTTGCTGCACAGGGGGAAAGCGAAGTTCCCAGGAGTAAGATGTGCAAGAAGCGGGCAGCCTTGCATCTCAGGGCTGAGTTCCCTCAACTGTGTGCTTGAGGGAAGTTCTCCCCTTGCAGACACACTGCTGAGTGATAAGGAAGCACCTAGACTCCACTCTGACCAGACTTGGTTCTGAGGCCTATGAAATGTTGATGGGAAGAACAGAAGCAGGAAAATCTATCTATTCAAATTTGCAAGACGTGGAAACTTTTATTCACCTTCCTGGTTAGACTGTTCCTTTGTCAAAGTAAAGCTAAGGCCATGGAAAATGAGCTATTTGAGAGTTTGTCGCTCCAAGGAAGAACATGCTGGCCTAATTGTCCCCCAAGTCAGGAGAGAGAATTGTAAAAAACACTTAAACAGGCCTAAGTAAAGGTCCAGCACATTATTTATTTAAGACTGAATTAGAACTGAGTCATTCCGACTCTGAAAAAAGAGTGTTGTTGGATTCTTATGTATTTAATGGGTCTGCCCTATTGAAAACCATTGTGAAGTATGGTTTCCCAAGCAAGAAATGACACTTTCACTGTCAGTCTTTCTAGGAGTCTGGCAGAATCCAGGACCGGGATTACCCTTATTTATGAAGCGACCTTAGACTAACAGTGGCTCTCTGGGTCTCCAGACAATTGGCCAGGGACTCTAAAAACCAGAAACAAAGTTGAGAGAACTCCATGCTGGTGGAGAAAAACAGCTGGCCTTTATCACCAGAATGTGCCCCATAGAAGCAGCAAAGCAGCAAGCGACGTTCTTAAACAAGGGCCTGTGGGCCTCGTCAAGATCTGGAGGAATCATCTACGACTCACTGCTGAGTGAGAGGGCTAGGCAGTGTCTTTAAGGTCCTGCCAGCTTTAACATTGTATGCTTTTTCTTTTGTTCAATCTCTCACCACAACTGGAAGTGTTGCCTCAACTACACAGGAGAAAGTTTGCAGTAACTTAGAGAAAACATTATTTTAATCACCAGTGTATGTTCTCCTGCTCCCTGGACAAATCCATCAGCAGCGGCAACACTGACCAGGTCCAGATTGGGGCCGCTGCGGTGGATGTGAATCCATTGAAACTAGGGGTCTCCAGTGCTCCTGACTCCTCACAGCTCTGTTCCTATGACAAGGATGGTCAGCAAAGCCAGCAACCTTGAAGGGGGACCTTCTTCTAATCTCCTCCCTGCCTGCTGAGAGAGTGTACAGAAGCAGCCACTTGTCAGCTGCGATGAATCCAATGATAATTACATAAATCATTAACAATACTTGATATTTGCCCATCACATTTCTCATTTCAAAGTGCTCATAAAATTGTATCTCATGGGTGGCACTGCCGGCACAACAGAATTCCAAGGAAGGATTACGGGCTAAGTAAATAAAGCCTGGAGGCTGCTTTAAAGCCTAGGAGTCTGTTATTAACCCTTTCCTCCTTTTTGTTTAACTTTTTCTCATGGAAATGTTCAAACATACCAAAAATAGAGAAAATACTATAATGAGTCCTTATGTATCCATAACCTAGCTTCAAAAATTATGTATGGCTTTACAGTCTTGTTTAGTTCATAACTGCAACTTCATTGAGGGTGAGTGCTGGGGTATTGTGAAGCAAATCAGTGACAACATATTTTACCCATGGATACTTTAGTGCCATTAATAAAAACCCCTAGGTTATTCTATTAATTTGAAATCTACTATAAATCTATCTGATGAATAAATCAAACAGATTTTAACAAATTGCTTCTCTTGCCAAAGTTTCCCATTTGCTAGAACTAGAGATTATTCATCAAAATAGCTGTGACAGTAGAAACATACCACTTGTCTACACACACAACACATAGCATACTTAGAATAGGAATAGATCTCTGATTTGATGTCCCAGTAATTTAGAGATTGATGATATCCTACCGATACTTTAAGGAGCAGACATTTTAAAACGATGGTACAGACCCACTAGTCTGACCTTTTCTCTGTTAGTCACAGTTGGGCTGTGGTCATTCCCGGAGTCCCTAAGATTAGAACAGGTAATGGGTCACCTGTGTGACCTGCACCAAGGCCAGCCCCACCGCCCCCGGCCACAGAAATAAGATCTCTCTCTCTCTCTGTCTGTCTCTGTGTGTGTATGTATGTGTGTATGTCTGTTTCTGCCTCTCCCACATCACATACATACATACACACACACACACACACACACACAGTGCCTCACTGGGAAGAAATGAGCAGGTATGGAGGAGACATTCTCAGAGATGGATCTCTACTGTGCTCCGTCTTGACTTATTTGCTGTCAGTGCTCCAAGGGATGAGCTCTGGAGGTCATCAGTAACTTGGTCAAACATCCACAGCTACTTCTTCATCCTTCTGATCCAATCAAGAGATTCCTATGCTGAAGTTTTACCTTTCAGGAAAGGCTGAACTAAATATGTAAATAATGAAAGTAGACCCTGTTCTTGGGGGTAAAATGCTGCATAAGTACATTCTTTATTGTTATATCATAGATTTTAGATTAGAAGTGGCAGCCTAGGGCAGTCATTGATTATCTTCTTAGGGATAGGGGTTAAATCACATTATCATTGCAGTGCTGACGTGTAGGACACGGAGGTTCATAAACATCCCGTGGAGTAGCACCCAGCACATAGCTCTACTGGGTCCTTTTGCGAACAGGCAAACCATGGAGCCTTGCTGAACCCTGGATGAACTGTGTACCTCCTTCTCTTGCCACCTCCTTCTTTCTATTTTAATAGCTATTCCTATTTTTATACACATCTCCTCTTAAAGAGTTACTTAGCTGCTAGATTTACCTCAAGGATTGAGGCATGTAAAATTTATTTTTAAATATAAAATGGGGGTTCACAGAAAACCCCTAATCCATTTCCAAAGCCATCAGCTTTAGAGCTGACTTTCCTCTTTCTCCCCTGAGCAACTTCCTTTTCCTGATCTTCTGAGGGAATATCCCTCGTCCCACAAATGCTCCAGCACCTCCTAATTTAATACCCTCAAGTTGTATATATACCAGGAAATAAACTCATAATCTCCATCCTAATCAGTTTGTAATATAAAAGGAAGAACAAAATTCCCAAACTTTAACCCTATGGCCTTTTCAGTGTTTATTGATGAGTATATTGCAAACACCTGGGTAGCCAGAGCACCTCTGCTTCACTCCTCTGCTTAGAAGCAGCTTCTGCCACACATCCAGGATTATGTAATACATATCTGTCACGGTCCACAGGACCAGCGGACTTTAAAAAATAATGGTGACATAAAAACTCACAGTGGTAGCTATACCACGGAACCCTAGGTGAGAAGGCACCTCCACCCGCACACAGGTGTATGGACGCAAGGATGAACGTTCCGGCCGCACGCGTCCCACACACGGACGTGCACACGGGCGCCTCCGAATAGGCTCGCGGTTCCCGAAGCCGGCTCCGCGGACGCCTGCTCTGGCTCCGTGGGAAAGGCGCCTCCGCGGCGGGGCCCCGGGCAGCGCCAGACCCGGCGGGCGGCGGCGGCGTTGGCGCGGCCAGGCGAGGGGGGTTCCCGCAGCCCGCCCGCCCCGCCCCTCGCGCCCGCGGCTCCGCCTCGCCTAGCCATGGTGGAGCAGGGAGACGCGGCGCCGCTGCTGCGCTGGGCCGAGGGCCCCGCCGTCTCCCTGCCGCAGGCCCCGCAGCCGCAGGCGGGAGGCTGGGGCCGGGGCGGCGGCGGGGGCGCCCGGCCGGCCGCGGAGCCGCCCCGGAGGCGGGAGCCCGAGGAGCCGGCCGCCCCGGAGGTGCTGCTGCAGCCCGGGCGCCTGGAGCTGGGCGACGTGGAGGAGGACCAGGTGGTGGCCGTGTTCGTGGTCACCTTCGACCCCCGCTCGGGTGAGGGCCGCGCCGGGGCCAGGCGCGTGGGGAGGGTCGGGGTGCCCCCGAGCTTTGGGGGCGCGGGGGAGGGGCTCGCTGCGCGCGCACCTGCCCTCCCGGCCCCGCACCCCGCACCAGGGCCGGCCCCGGGCTCCCGGGCTTGGGGAAGGGCGGGGGTCGGCCAGTCCTCAGCTCTCTCCCTCGGGGCGCAGCTGGGTGCTGGCGCGCGGCCTCTCGGAGCGGCCCCGAGGGCTTTGTTCCAGCCCCGCCGACCTCCTCTCCCCTCCCCTCCTCTCCTCTGAGTCCCAGCCCCACAGTGGTGTTCGCACTTCAGTGACAGGGCATCCGGTTTGTGGCCACGTTGGGTTTTGTTTTCTTTTCTTGGGGGCTAGAAGATTTTTCACGTTGTGCGGAGGAAACCCCCCGGGCGAGCGCCCTGAGCTCCCCGCTCGCCCCCCATCCCGTCCCCCGCTCCCCGCTCGCCCCCCACCCCGTCCCCCGCTCCCCGCTCGCCCCCCACCCCGTCCCCCGCTCCCCGCTCGCCCTAGCTCCCCGTCGCTTCCTCTGGGGTAACTTTCCTAGCGGCCAAGTTCACTTTCTCTGACTGCATTATTTTGAGGAATTAACGCCGGGAGCATTAAGGGATGGGGCTGAGGGATTCAGCTGAAGGCTGATTAAAGGAGAAGCCTCCCCGGATAGGCTGTCTTTCGGAGATGCTTGGAGAATTAAAGTCTTATCCCACATAATCTTAGCCTAACCACCCGGCAGGGGGGTGTGCGTTTTCCAGGTGAGAGTCCACGGGGGACAGAAGGTGGAAGAACGACCCTGCGCGCCCAGGAAGCCTTGGAGGGTCAGCTAGGGACTTCTGACTCTGAGAGTGGCTCTGCTGTTCGGGGTTGGGGGAAGGAGGTGTCATCGCAGGAGTCGTGGTGTCAGGGCTTAAGGAAACCCAGGTGTGACTGTCAATGTCTCCAGGGCAGCTGCTGGAGTGTGGAGTGCCTGTTCGTGCGGGAAAATATTGGCTGCTTTCTGGGATGAGGTGGGATGGAGTGGAGAAAAAAAGGGGTTAGGATCTGGAGAAGGGGAATCTGGTATGGCAGCTGATGATGGGTTCCAGGCCGGTAATTTTGGGGTTCTCAGCTGTAGGACACAGGAAGAATGTGGGATTCACTGTGGAGCTCCATTTGCAGGGACAGAGTTTGTGGGGACAATTCAGGCCTTTGTGACTTCTGCTTGTTTCTTTGCCACATTCCATGGCTTTCAAACTCTTTTGACTGATCTATCATGTGAAGTTAATTTTACATCACAACCAATATGCTCACATACACGTACAGTACTTATGTAACTGAAATAGACATTTCATGAAGTAGTGCTGACTCCTTCTACATGTAATGCATTCTTTTTTCTCTCTCTTTTTTTTTTTTTTCAGACAGTGTCTCACTCTGTCGCCTAGGCTGGAATGCAGTGGCTCTTTTCTCTTTTTTTTAAGTGTTCATCACACATGCTGGTTGACTCGCATTTGAGATTCCTAGATACCAGTAGTTTGAAAAGTATTGGTCTTTTTTGACCAAAGTTACCCGTAATGCTAGACAAAAACCAATACTTTGTAACTAATCATATTGCTTATACTGTACCCCATCATTTACAGGTAAACAGCTACCAGCATTTGACTTATCCTGGGAAATATTTCAGAGTAACTAGAAGGAATAGAAAGGGCACATTCACACGGTCTGATTTAGTATTGGTAGCTCCAGTGGTAGAGTCTTAGGGAAGGGAAAGAGAAAAGAAGTTTTATACTAATTACAGACAGATAGGGTGGATAATACTGATAATTGATCAATTATTGATATTGGCCAATTGATATCTATCAATTGATAAAAGCGCCAGAGGGCTAGTACCTGCCCCCATTCCTTGTCAGTCACAGGCAGTGAGCATGGCTTTGTGAATTTGTGTATACGGAGTGTGTGTGTGTGTGTGTGTGTGTGTGAGTGATGGTTTTCAGACTAAGGCTACTGTGCAAAGAAGGGATTGTAACACATTTAGACATTTTGTGCAGGCATTTTACTATAATGCTGTTTGATTTATTCTGATCACTGCTCTGTAATTTGATGATCATTTATACCCAATTTGTAAATGAGGGAACATACCAGGGATGGTTAGGTAATTTGGGAATATTAAGTAGCCAATAAATACTTGACTGTAAGTCCCATTGTCTTTCTAGTATACTATGCTGCCTGAACCCCTGCTCCCTGGCACCTGATCCTTACTTATCCAGGGATGGAGGAGAAAGGAGGGAGGAAGAGAGAGCGCAGTGTGAGAGGGAGCACTTGTAACTTGTGTTTTTTTTGTGTTTTTTTGTGGGGGGAAAGCAGTCCTTTACTGACCATAAATGTGTTTGTCTCTTTTGTCATCTATCCTAGTCCTAAATGGCACTTTGCTTCCTGTAAAAATACTCTGATAGACCTTGTACCATATAATTTTATTTTATATATATCTTAAAAGTAGGAGATGTAGTGAATGAATGCTACTGAGCTTCTGAGGGCCTCAAGGTTAGCACTAGGACAGGGCCCTCAGAGAGTGCCTGATGTACCCCTTGTGTGATGGTTCCGGTGGAGTGAGGCCCATAGTGGCACAGTGAGCTGGACCATCACTGGCCCAGCATCTTCCCCCCTTTACTGCTGAGGCAGATCTGCTATTTGTTCCTATTTAATATTGGCCCACCCAGACTTTTGCCCCTCCTTCGCCTGTGTTGCCAAAAGCGATAAAGTGAATATTGACTTCTTTACCAAAATTAGAGCATATTTTAGAAGTTCTTACATAGGTGTGATTTGTCTGCTGTTTAGTTTCTCTCGCTGGCCTGCCTGCTTAGCCACTTCCCCATGTCTCTCCCACCTGTGTCCTCAGTTTCCACTCCTAGGAGATCCTTCCTCCCCCCACCCCACACCCACCTCAACCCTCCGCCACCCCCATCACTTACTGCCCAGGCCATGGCATTATGTGCATCTTCCCATGTAATGTGGGTAACTGTTGGCATGTGTCCAAATCAGTGTGTGTGCCTGAGAGAGAGGGAGAGTGAAAGAGGAAGAAGAGAATTCATAGCTGTACATTCATTAGGTAGTAGAGTAAGAGGGAAAAGGAGGGGTGGATCCTTGTTAGAAAGGGTGTGTGTGTGTGTGTTTGAGCAGGAATATATGCAGTGATTCTCTAAGGTGTGGAAATAAGAGTAATCCTTTTGCACTTTTAGATACAAGTTTTGGAAAGCTAGGCTGGCCATCTGTGGGAAGAATCAGAGAAAGAGTCTTAAAGCTTATTTCCATCAGACTCATGGATTGAAAATTATGGTTGCTGAGTCTACAGGTGACTTAAGAACTAGGGGCTTCAGGTTCAAAGTGAGGCTTACACATACACTCAGTCCTCATCTGGAGCAGGGGGCCCTAGGATGGTGGTGCTGATCATCTGGGCCACAAAGCTGCTATTGAAACCAGACCCAGATGCTAACTCTGCAAGCTGGGTGGAAGATGTTGGAAGCCAGAATATTGCTGTTTCATTTTGTTCAACCCCATGATTTAGAGCCTTGATTTTAATTTTACTTCATTATTTGGGCTTCTAGTAAAATGTTCTTAGTCTGCTTAATTAAAGGAGAGGATATTGTCACACTTGGGGAGCACCCCTGCCCCCAGATGGTGGCAAGAGCGGTATCACCGTGTGGCTGAGGACTTGTGTGTGGGCAGGATGGAGGCCGATGAAGCTTTGAACATACAATGTCTGGACATCTTTGCATCTGCCTCATTAGACTGTTTCTTTATAAGAGATTCACTTTACACTGCTGCGTTTAGAGTTTTATTGTGGGTGTCTGGGAGAAATTCCTGTGCTCCCTGTGTTTGTACTGGGGCAGCTTGCAAGAGGAGGGGTAAGGTGAGAGGCAGATCACCTGCTGAGGTTTTCAAGATGTTTCTCCCTTTCTTCTTGGGAATGAATTTCTACCTGTTCCTCAGCCTCTAGCCAGTGCCCAGATTACATCTAAACACCTATTTAATTTAATGTATCCGAGCGCTTCTATGTTTATGTCACATGAGTACATTTAAAATCACACACACTAATTTTAATCTCTGTAGATTCCCTGTATAGTCTATGAAACATAAGCATTTTTTTTTTAAACAATGGAGATGATGGAGGCCCAGTGAGAATAGGGCTAGGTCTGGTGTCTGAGGCACCACTTGGAGCGCTGCCCAGGTCATCTGACTCGTGGCAAATAATAAATGGCTCTAGCAATGGGTGGGAAAGTGACAAAGTAGAATGTGAATGGAAAATTTGGAGGACAATTTTAAGATGCAAAGAGCAGTCGTAAGCATGGACAGCTCAAATGCAGGCAAAGAAAAAGCCTGTTCTGATATCCGGCCAGAACGTCTCGCAGGAAGAGAAACTCTGTCATGTCGCCATCCTTCCCCTGTATTTCCACCTAATGCCAGTGGAATACAATTGTGGTTCATTTGCTTAATCCCACCCGGGTAGAATCTTTCCCAGGCTGTTGGTGATTCACCTGCTTGTGGTTTTCAGGGAGAAATCAGTTTGTAGCCATCTGCTGTGAAGTCAGTTTCTTCTCTTGAAAATTGAGGAGGGGAAAATAAAAATGGTAATTGTAATACCCACCACCTCCTGAGTGCCTGCTGTGTGCCAAGGACTGTGCCACATGTTTCAGTGACCTGCCTCTGATCCTCCCAACAGACTACACCATCATCATGAGAAAAACAGGTGCACAGAGCCATTAAGTTGTCTAAAGTTAGGGCCAGAGCCCAAGTCTACCTGCACCCCTTATCCACACCACACTACCACCCAGTGGAGAATGATATGGGATCTGTGAAATGGAAGGTCTTTCTTTGTAAAGTGAATGCATTGGAATTCAGCCATGGATTGGCATATAGCTGACTTTAAATCAGCAGGATTAGCTTCTTCCTGACTCAGGATTCTTTATCCTGATGCTTTTCTCTTTGCTTTGGATGTGCTCTCAGACTAGGTGGTTTTAAGACTGTTTCAAACCATGTAAGACCCAAAGTCAACTCACCTGGGTTATTTACTTTTCTGATGTTAGGGTCTGAACCAAATACTCTTTGGAGGTTTCCACCTGTGGGATCTGATGGCCCCTTTAGGTGGTTATGTGAAGGGAATGTATTGTTGGGACCTAGAATACTCTTTGATTCATGCCTTTATTCCTGAAACAGGATTTGTTTTGACTTCCTGATTACAATCAGGGCATATGTATACACAGATGGGAAGAGAACCGTGGAAAGAGTAAAACCTCAGGCACGTGCTGGGGTGGGAGTTCCACTCCTGAGGTCAGAGGAGCTGGAAGAGGATCTCCAGCTGAGGCAGTCTCTGGATAGGAAATGAAGAGCTCAGGAGGAAGTGCTTGCTTGGGAACCATCTAACAGAGGAGGAAGAAGAAATTCACATATTTCCTATTAAAAAGAGATTGTTTTGGTTCAAGATCATTGCTTTCTCTATTTTAAATATTTTGAGGTGAACTTTCTAGCAGACAGCAGTTACTGCAGTTAATGTCCAATCTCCCTAGGAAATAGTGATGAATTTTAAGACAGCTGGGGGTTTGGTCATTTCTCATTTAAACAGAACTAGTTTTGGAAGACAGAGGCAGTGGTCAACCTAGATAGGACAGCCTACCTCTGGCCTAGCCCATGGGCTTATAAAACCCCAGCTCTGGGAGGCCCTGGTGCACAGAGCTGTCAGGCTGACCTTTGGAGCTGTGAAGTGGCAGGGTTCAGACCATCTGTACATCCTCAGCCAGGCGCGACACTGACCTTCTGGCTTTGCCTGGGTAACTGAGCTGCCAGCCTCGTAGTCGGTTAGTCCAAGTTCCTTTAAACAGAGACATATTTGCCTTTGCATGAGCTCAGCACCTGGCAGGCACCGTGCTGCCAAGTTGTGCTCCACCAATATTTGTTCAATGACCAGCTGAATGTACACAATGCATATTGCCACATTTGTGCCTCCCGTGGTCATGTGAATCCCTCCTCAGAAGTTGTCTTTGCAGTAGAGGCTAGGAAGTGCCTGTAAGTACCTGTAATAGGTCCAAGTCATGGTCCAAGATGAGAAAGGACACAGAGATGGAAAGAGAGCAAGTTAGGGGAGAAAAAGGCACTTGTCACTGGCACCTCCTCTCTTTGATGGACTAGCCATGAGATGACCTCTTTTGTTGAATCTTCCAGGCCCCAGCTCCCTGGCTGAGTTCTTAATACAGTGAGGATATCTGGAAAACCTAAAAGCATGGAATGTGAAGACTGAGCCTGGGATAAGTAGCAGTCAGGATGAGTTTCTTTCTGGTATTAAATGGCATCCCATAAGGATTACTAATTATGCAAAATCACTTTCCATTAAGTCTCCTCAAATTCCATATGTAAGCTGGTTTTCATTTGTAATGTTTCTGTAGGATAACTTCAAGCCCTGATAGCGCTTCATTCCCTATTAGTGTGGTGCATTGCCTCAATTATTTTTGGCTTTTGCAAAGTCCTTTATGCTCTCCTTTTTTTCACATTGCTATTATTTCAATTATTTTCCCCAATTTGTAAGTTGAAATGTTTTGAAAAGTTGAAAGAATAGTGCAGTGAAAACCTGTATGTCTTTCACTTAGAGTCCCCGTTTATTGACATTTTGCCCCATTTGCTTTATTCTTACATAGTCATATCCCCTATAACATGAAATATATGTTCCAAAAATCACTGTGCGGCAAAAAAAAATCATGAAGTAAAAATCACAGGGCTTATGAGAAAAACTTTGTCAGTGGCACATTTTTTTTAAAAAAAAGATAGGAACCTACCAAAAACTATAGGACAGTTTTGCATATGATAAATGGTTAAGAAATACATACTTAGTAAATGTGGAACTGTACCTTTAAAAGACCTGGTGTTTGTATCTGGAGGTGAGTGCTGAAAGGATTGAGCCTGTGAATTACTATGTGTGGTGGGAGGGGGGCTGTCTGAAATCAGAGGCAAAACTGTGACGCTAGAGGTGCATGGCATGGCCCAGAACGAGGTGACCTGAGGTAGCAGGAGAAGCTTAAGGTGGGTGTGTTTTGTATATTCCGACATGGCTTGATTCAGCTGGGTGTAGTTTTCCACATTGACTTTGTGTTTTTCATGATTGAAATCACACATAAGCAAATGTCAAATTCCCTAATACATTGATTGCTTTGGAACAGATTCAACAAGCATTATAGCAGAACTGACTGTGTGTGGAGATATAAATAGACTTTTCTTTTTTTTGCTGAACTATTTGAAAGTAAGTTGTGGATGTCATGGCATTTCATTTCTAAATTTTTCAGTATGGGCTGGGCGTGAATACATATACTAACGCCTGTAATACCAACACTTTGGAAGACAGAGGTGGAAGGATTTCTTGAGGCCAGGAGTTCAAGACCAGCCTGGGCAACATGGCGAGACCTCATCTCTATAAAAATTTAAAAAATTAGCCCGGCATGGTGGCGCATACCTGTAGTCCCAGCTGTTTGGGAGGTTGAGATGGGCGGATCATTTGAGCCCTGGAGTTAGAGGTTATAGTGAGCTATGATTGGGCCACTGCACTCCAGCCTGGGCAATCCTGTCTCTTAATAAAATAAAATAAAATACTTCAGTATAAATCTCCTAAGAATAAGGCTATTTTTCTACATCACCATAGTATCATTGCCACTCTTAGGGCAGTTAATTTAGGTTAATTCATCAATTAGGTTTTTTTAAATAATTAATGTATTTTATTTTTTAGAGCAATTTTAGTTTTACAGAAAAATTGAGCAGAAAGTACAGAGTTCCCATATACTACCTCCCCCTCACTCATACACATATAATTTCCCTTTATTAACATCTTTCATTAGTGTGGTATATTTGTTATAATTGATGAACTAATATTGATACATTATTGTTTATTTAAATCCATAGTTTGCATTAAGGTTCACTGTTGTACAGTTCAATGGGTTTTGAAACATGCACGATGTTATGTATCCACCATAACAGTATCATACAGAATAGTTTCACTGCCCTAAAGATCCTATGCTTGACCTATTCATCCCTCCCTTCCTATTGATCTTTTTATTGTCTCTATAATTTTGCCTTTCCCAGAATGTCACATAGTTGAAATCATATAGTATGTAGCCTTTTCAGGCTGGCTTCTCTTATTTAGCTACATGCATTTAAAGTTCCTCCATGTCTCTTCATGGCTTGATAGCTCATTTTTCTGTATTGCTATAGAGTATTTCCTTGTATGGATATCTCACGTTTTATTTATCCATTCACCTATGAAGGACATCATGGTTGTTTTCCAGTTTTGGGCCATTGTGAATAAAGCTGCTGCAAACATCTGTGTGCAGGTTTTGTGTGGATGTAAGTTTTCAGCTCATTTGGATAAATACAAAGGTGCATCGTTGCTGGGTCATTTGATAATAACATGTTAGTTTTGTAAAAAACTGCCAAACTGTCTTTCAAAGTGGTTGTGCCATTTTATATTCCCACCAGCAATGAATTCCTGCTGTCCCACATCCTCATCAGCATTTGGTGTTTTGAATGTTAGCCATTCTGATATGTGTGTCATGATATCTCATTGTTATTTTAATTTGCAATTGCGTAATGAGCATATGAAAAAATAGTCAACATCATGTCATTTGCCATCTGTGTATCTTCCTTGATCAGTTGTCTGTTCAGATCTTTTACCCTTTTAAAAAGTTGGATTGTTTTCTTATTGTTGAGTTTTATGAATTCTTCGTATATTTTAGATAACAGTCCTTTATCAGATATGTGTTTTGCAAATATCTTCTCTCAGTCTGTGGCTTGTCTTTTCGTTCCCTTAATAGTGTCTCTCATAGATCAGAAGTTTTAAATTTTAATGAAGTCCAATATATCCATTTTTCCTTCATGAATTGTGCTGTTAGTATTATATCTAGAAACTCATTGCTAAACCCAAAGTCACCCAGATTTTTCTCCTGTGTTATCTTCTAGAAATTTTATAATTCTGCATTTTACATTTTGGTTTACATATTTTAAAAAATTATTATTATTTTAGAGACAGGGTCTCACTCTTTTGCCTGGGTTGGGATGCAGTGGAGTGAGCACAGCTCCTTGTAGCCTTGAACTCCTGGGCTCAAGTGATCCTCCCACCCCAGCCTCCCAGGTAGCTAGCACGACAGGCACACACCACCATGCCTGGCTAATTTTTTTTTTTAATTTTTTGTAGAGACAGGGTCTCGCTATGTTGCCTAGGCTAGCTACTTTCCATATTGAATAAATTTTTGTGAAAGGGGTAAAGTAGGTGTCTAGTTTCATTGCTTTGCATGTAGATGTCCACTTGTTTCAGCACCATTTATTGTAAAGACTGTCTTTTCTCCATTATATTGCCTTTGTTCCTTTGGCAAAGATTATGTGATTGATTTGTGTGGGTCTGTTTCAAGGCTCTCTATTCTGTTCCATTAATCTATTTGTCTGATATTTCACCAATACCTACTCTCTTGATTAATTTTATATAAGTCTCGAAGTTGGGTGCATTGTTCGTCTTCCAATTTTATTGTTCTTCAGTATTATGTTGGCTATTTGGGGTCTCTTGCCTTTCCATGTAAGCTTTGGAATTAACTTGTCGATATCCGCAAAATAATTTGCTGGGATTTTGATTGGGATTGCATTGAGTCTATAGCATAAGTGAATATGAAATTCCCTGTGCTCAAATTGCTCTCAAGTACATCTGTTGCATTGACACAAATCCAGTAAGTGATAAAAGTAGAACTGACTATATACAGATATGGATATGCCTTTTTTTCCTGAACCATTTGAAAGTAAGTCACAGATATGATAATATGTCACTCCTAAACGTTTGAGTATAAACCTTCTAAGGATAAGAACATTTTCCTATGTAACTACAATATTATTACTATTGCTAAGGTAATTAACACTAATTCATCAGTTTTTTTAAACACATGCGTGCCCTTAATAAATCTGTTTTTTTTTAAATACCCATTCTGTCCTGTGCAAGGCATGATACTATATAGAAATGTGAAGACAAGGAAAATTCTCACCTTGTAAAAGTTAACAGACTCCTGCAGAGACAGACGTCAAAGACATGATTATCATATGTAGAGATAAGGGCCATAGTAGCTCTACCTACTTCCCTTTCATTCAAGGAGTTGTCAGCAGGAATGTGCTTGCCATGGGATAAGGATACCTCTCCCCAGAGTGGTGTTCTGGAGCCTGTGCCCTGTTCTTTGATTTGCCAGCCTCTAATGGACCTTTCTTCCCAACCCAGATGGGCTTATGTCCACCTAGGAGTGAAGGATGTAACTAACAGTATGTCATTCGCTCCCTCTGTTCCTTTCCATTTCTGTGCAATTAGATTTGGTAGGCACAGAGGAGCAAGGAAGAGGGTTTGAGAACCAGGCTAAGGAATGGGGACTTTATCTTCTAGGTCAGCTGTACTAAGTAGGACATAGGCTGGACATGAATACTAGAAGCCCAAATCAACAGTGGCATAATCAAGATAGGAGTCTATTTCTTTTTCATGTAACGATCAGGTGATAGCAGCCTGGGGCTAGAATACTGGCCCAAATCTCCAGGGTCATCCAGGGACCTAGACCCACGTTGACCAATGGCTCCAGCATCCCCTCTGTGATACGATGCTACATCCACATTCCAGGTAGCAGGGTGGAGAAAGGGGCAATGTGCTCCTTGCCTTTCAGGCACCTTCTGGAAGTGATGCACCTCATTTCTGTCCACATGACACTGACCAGAATTCACTCATGAAGGTACTGAGAAACATAGCCTTCATTTGGAAGGCCATGCACCAAGCTAAAAATAACAGGTTCTGATTCATATAAGAAGAGAAGAGTGGATATGGAAGGACAGCTTGCACACCTGATATACCTGTATTTCTTTTTTTTTTTAAAAAGTGCCTTCTATAAAATTAGTCTCTTAAGATACTCCTTTTAAAAAGATTTAAGATACTCCTTTAAAAAAGATAATTTGGGGAAACATTAAGCACTGTATTGATCTCACGGAGATTCACGATGCAGAGTGGCATATTAAAGGCTCTGAGAAGTACTTCAATAAAGGAATGTGTCTAGCTTTGTTTAAGCTAAGATAATTTGGCCAAAAACACACACATTTCACAAAATTTTGTTTTCTTTTTTGCAGAAGCCCTATTAACCTAAGCTTGGGAAATACTACTTTGGGAATCATTGAAAGTGTCTTAGTTTGCAGTGACGCAAACATTTTTAAAGCAATTCTATTCCTAGGGATGTAGTCAGTAGAAATGTGCATATTGTGTTGGTCAAAGTTCAATCAGAGGAACCGAAAAACTAGGAGATACATAAAGGAATTTGTTGCAGGGATTTGGTTTTATGCAACTGTGGGAGCTGTTAGACAATCTATATAAGGCTGTTCTTTGTATCTGATGTTGGAGTTTGAAGTCTACTGGGCAGACAGTTATGAAGGAAGAGAGTAAACTTCTGAACAAGAGGAGGAGGAGGAGGAAAAGGAAGAGTAAGAAGCTGAAACTCATGAAGATAGGTGGGAACGCGGATCAGGCTGTTACTGTATCCAGCTTTGGTGATGTGGGTGTCCTAAGGAGAAGCCGATGCCCTTTATTATGGAACTAAACATACACCTGGCTTAGGAGTCAGAGAAACTGAAGGAAGATCAAGGGATGGTGGCTGCAGCATCATCAGGGCTGGCTGCTGCCCCTCACCACTCTAGTAAGCCTGCAGAGAAGCAGCTATGCAGTGGACCTTCTGCACTGACCTTACAGATGCAAACATAACGTGGCTACTGATTCACTTCCAAATCTCAGCTGGAAACATACAAAGAAGGGAATTCTGAGAAGGATAGTTCAGCCCAACCAGGTCAATGCATTACAATGCCACTTTACGCTATTTCAGCAGATGGCAAATACAGGATTGTTTACAGCAGTGCCCGTTGCTGTAACTTCAAATTGGAAGTAACCTAAATGTGCATCACCAGTTAAGCAGGTAAACTGCTACATGCATATGATAGAAGTAATAGATGAACAAACTGTTGCTACACATATCAGCATGGATGACATAAAAGACATAAAAGCAAACTATAATTACATTTTGTAGAAACTCAGAAGAGGCTAAGCTAATTCATGAGAGAGGGTTAATGACTTGGAGCTGCTATGAGGGAGGTTTCTGTTGTACAAATAATGTTCTTTCAGCTTCTTGATCTGGGTGCTACTTACACAAATATGTTTACTTTGGGAAAATCCATTGAGTTGTACTTTGTGCACTTTTTTTAAAAGTTTAAGTTCCAGGATACATGTGCAGGATGTGCAGGTTTGTTACATAGGTAAACATGTGCCATGGTGGTTTGCTGCACCTCTCAACCCATCACCTAGGTATTAAGCCCTGCATGTGTTAGCTATTTATTCTGATGCTTTTTCTTCCCCTTCCCTGCTGACAGGACCTGGTGTGTGTTGTTCCCTTCCCTGTGTCCATGTGTTCTCATTGTTCAGCTCCCACTTATGAGTGAGAACATGCTGTGTTTGGGTTTCTGTTCCCATGTTAGTTTGCTGAGGATAATGGCTTCCAGCTCCATCCATGTCCCTGCAAAGGACATGATCTCATTCCTTTTTATGGCTGCATAGTATTCTACGGTGTATATGTACCGCATTTTCTTTATCCGGTCTACCATTGATAGGCATTTGGGTTGATTCCATGTCTTTGCTATTGTGAATAGTGCTGCAATAAACATCTTTGCACTTTTCTATACTTATGCTATACTTCAATATAACATTTGGGTAAATAAAGTTTTAAGACACTGAGTAGTCATGGGCAGGCTGGGTTGGAGGAAAGAAGCTAAATTTGAGCTAGCTGAACCCCGTAATGTGTGGCGTGTGGGTAAACAAGGCAGTAAGTATTAGAAGAAGCAGGTTGGTTGAGTATGAGGAGGACAGAGCCTATCGAGGGTCATTGTAGCTCTGTCCCAGACAGTCCCTTTCCTCTGCTGACCATATACTGCCACTGTTAAGCGTTAGGAGCGTGTATACAGAGGCCCAAGCAGGGGCTCTTATTGCTGGCATGCATCAGCAGAATCACCCTGTGGCAGGGCAGGGAAGATGGTGATTCTATAGACCTAGGGTAGCCCCTGGCACCTTTTAAAGCTCCCTAGCTGTCCTGATGCATTCCACAGGAAAAAAACGACTGGACTGTGAAGGTAATAGACATGGATGGTAGGGGAAAATATAGGAAAGCGTGGGGGAACTTGGTGCTTAAAAAACTCGTCTTATCCCCAAGGTCACCCCTCTTTCTTTCTGAGTGCTTTTTCTTATCTTTGACCCTGACAAACATAACATTGTTCGAGGCTTTCTGCTTTATGAACTCTTAATTCCTTTTTCATGCTTTTCACTTTAGTGAATTGACTAAATGATCAGAATCATAATTCCTCTTTTGAAAATAAACTATTTGAAAGTGACTTGGGCTGTTGAGTGTGAGATTCGACAATGCTCTATGATATCTACCATGTCCTGAGACTAGATTGTGTATTCCCTGATGCCCTGAACAATTATCTGAAAGCGTTGTTTGGCTGGGATCATTGATGGTTTTTCTAATGCCTAGCAAATTAGGATTTGGAGTGTTAATAAGAAGTTTGTTCTGAAATGAAATCTCACAAATAGCTTAGTGTTTTGCTTTAAACCCTTTTGAATATGCATGAAAACAACAGGGAGTATTCTATAGTGTTCTCTCAAGACTCTAGATAACACTGCTATTGTGTAGTTCCCTGATTCCCGCAGCCCGAGGCATGCTTGTACTTTTAAAATCCTACTTTGGCCTAGAGCGGTGGCTCACACCTGTAATCCCAACACTTTGGGAGGCCGAGGCAGGTGGATCACCTGAGGTCAGGAGTTGAAGACCAGCCTGGGCAACTTGGTGAAACCCCATCTCTACTAAAAATACAAAAAAAATAGCTGGGCATGGCCGGGTGCGGTGGCTCACGCCTGTAATCCCAGCACTTTGGGAGGCTGAGGTGGGCGGATCACAAGGTCAGGAGATTGAGACCATCCTGGCTAACATGGTGAAACCCCGTCTCCACTAAAAATACAAAAAATTAGCCGGGCCTGGTGGCAGGTGCCTGTAGTCCCAGCTACTGGGGAGGCTGAGGCGGGAGAATGGCATGAACCTGGGAGGCGGAGCTTGCATTGAGCCGAGATCGCGCCACTGCACTCCAGCCTGGGTGACAAGAGCAAGACTCTGTCTCAAAAAAAAAAAAAAAAAAAATTAGCCGAGTGTGCTGGTATGCGCCTGTAATCCCAGCTACGTGGGAGGCTGAGGCAGGAGAATCGCCTTGAACCTGGGAGGTGGAGCTTGCAGTGACCCGAGATTGTGCCACTGCACTCCAGCCTGGGCGACAAAGTGAAACTCAGTCTCGAGAAAAAAAAAAAAAAATCGCACCTTATCCTCTGTCATAACATTGATCCCACTGCACTGTAACTGCTGATCTCCTCTAGCTCTCCTCATTTCTCTCTGGAATCTAATCTCACTGAGGTCAGGGACTTTGTATCTCCAGCATCTAGCTCAGGAGAAACTGAATAATCAATGATGAGTGAATGAGTCCCAAAATTCTGGAAGCAAATATCATTGTCCCTTGAAGAAGGACCTCACTTAGAGAGGAGAGAGAGAGGAGGGGAAACAGAGTTACATTGGTCAGAGAGGTAGGAAAAGCACTAAAATAGTATTCTATCATGAAAATCCAGGAAAAAGAGGAGAAATGTTTGAGGAATTAGCAAATGCTACCTAGAGGTAAACGAGAATGAGAATTTAAAAAATGTTTTGGGATTTTTTCCCAGTCATTAGTGGCTATAGATAGAATCAAGATCTCAAGGGATTAAGGGGAGAACACAAGATAAGGAAATGAGGGTGGAAGGTTAAAAAAACATGCAGAGAAGTGAGGCTACAAAAAGCAGATTTGGAAGTGGTTGAGCAGAATGACAGAAGCAAACGCAGCATCCTCATGAGGGAGGAGAACAGTGTTTGAGGGCAGAAATGGGAGGTTCTTTTAGTGTCCACCTCCACGTCCTCCGGCGTCACCCCTGCCAGTGATGGAGGGGCTGAGCTCTGAGCATCTCGCTGGTCTGTCTGAGGCTGAGTCAGCAGTCGGTTTATTGAAAAGCCATGTGTGCTAAGCCCTGTACTAACCCATTTTCTTTGAATGATGTTGTTTCTTTTAACTTGCATCTTCCTTTTCCTGCAGGAAACATGGTAGAATGGTGCTTACCTCAAGATATTGACCTTGAAGGTGTTGAGTTCAAGTCTATGGCCAGTGGGTCCCATAAAATCCAATCTGATTTCATGTAAGTACTTCTGAACTGGAGTCATCTTCGTACCATTCCCCCCACCTCCACACTTTCCCCAAAGCTGAAGGGCTCTTATTAGGAGGTCTTCGTGTGCTGTGTGTAAATGCCTTGAAAATACATGGATAGTTTTGTGTTTACATCATTTTTCTAGTGAGATGTCTAGCTTTCATCAGATTCTCAATGGGCTTCATGACCTGCAAATCTTAAGAATCCCTGCCTGTAGAGGTTCTCTCACTTTCTCAGAAATTACATGGACCTCACTTGAGGTTTGGTTTTAATGAAAGTGCACAGTTTCAGCCCCGTGTGAGTTAACTGAGGATATCTATGTGTTCAACCTTGAAATTTCAGCTTTAAGTAAGGCCATTTTTTAGTCCTGTGTAGTGGGGCATTCAGAGAGTTTTGCGAGAAGGAACAATGGAAAGAGCTTAAGGGTAATGAAGTGGCTTTAATCTCCTCATGGGGCTTAATTCATGATTGATACAAGTGTGAGAAGAGGAGGAAATAAAATGGCAGCTCAGTGAAAAATATCAGAGCCTCAGGAAGTAAGGGAAGAATCACTGTGGTTTATGCTACGAAAGAGAGTCCAAGTTCCAGAGGAGCCTGAAGAGGAATGTTGGTTCTGCTTCACCCATCCAAGTCATTAGTCGTGGTGCAGGAGAGAAGAGATGTGTCCATGATTGTGGGCAGCTGAGCGGCAGGCTTGCCACGGACTAAGTCCCAGCTCCAGCCAAGTGACCCTTGGCAAGTTATGTAATCTCTTCAAGCTCATCAGTGAGGTCATGTGGCTTGGCCCGCTTGTTTTCTTGAGGCTGAGCTTTGTCATTGACAGCCCCGAACACAGTTCATTTGTTTTGTTTAGGATTGCATCTCAAAATTCCTCTCTGATCTTGAGCCACACTACGTATTTGGTCTCTTCTAGCTATTTCCGAAAGGGGCCCTTCTTCGGCCTGGCCTGCTTTGCCAACATGCCCGTGGAGAGCGAGCTGGAACGTGGCGCGCGGATGAAGTCTGTGGGCATCCTCTCTCCCTCCTACACACTGCTTTACCGCTACATGCACTTCTTGGAGAACCAGGTTCGGTACGTGGCTTCCGTACATGTGCAGGGAGGCAGCAGGATCCACCAGCTGGTGCATATGGCACGAGCCCTCGGAGACAGCATTTGCGTGCCAGAGCAGCAGATGTCTTTCCAAGAACATCCATGGCGATGTTTCACGCCTCGGGTGGTGTCCTTTCGTTTCAGCCAACGTCCTGCATGATGAGTCTTCACTCTATAATGAAAGCTGGGGTATATTCTGCCTTCAGTTTGGATTTAATACTACCATCACTTTTTAAAATTAAGTCATTTTTTGACAGGTACATGATCTTTGTTTATGCAAAGCCGCAATAGTTACCTCCTTGCCCCAAGTAGGCAAAGAAATCCTAAACTTTCTTAAAGCCTACTTCTTTTATTATTGGGATTCTTACTATGATTGGGATAATAGAAAGAGAACTTAAAAATATATATATATATATATATATATATATATTTTTTTTTTTTTTTTTTGGTAGAGACAGGCTCTTACTATATTGCCCAGGCTGGTCCTGAACTCCTGCAGTCAAGTGATCCTCCTGCCTCAGCCTGCCAAAGAGCTGAGATTATAGGCATGAGCCAAGGTGCCTGGCATAGGAAGAGAATTTTTAACAGAAGCAGCAAAACGATTAGTTACTTTACATTTTTTTCATCATGCAGGTAACCTAATTACATTTCAGATTTTGAGGGGAAAATTTATCCCTAATCCCTGAAGCACTGACAAAATGTTACCACTTCTTTTCTGTGTATGTGTGTACGTTTAAAATATATATTTGGCATCATACAATATATATCCTCTTTTATAGTCTATACTTTTAAAATTTATCACTACGTAAACATTTTTATGCAACATAATTGTGATCTTCAGCTTTGAACCCATGAACTTGTTTGTGGAAAACACGTTTATTATTTAAAAATTTATATGAAAGTACAGAGGATTTTTAAAAATCCTCTCATATATTAACACTCACAGATATCCATTGACAATATTCCATGAATGCAATTCTAGAATACAAATATCTTTACAAAAATAGGATTAATATTTTATGAATTTAATTTTCTCAAATAGCAGGCTGTGTTAATGAAATATATTAAACATAATTTGACTTATAACTTCAAGTAAATGTTTTTTCACAGTAAGATATACTATTCCTTGAAATATTCCTCCAAAATTAAGAAAAACAATTATGAAAAACGTGACAATATGGTGTCAGTACTTTACTGGGAAACAATATATAAACATTAAAATTGATCAGGAATGGTGGCTCACGCCTGTAATCCCAGCACTTTAGGAGGCCAAGGAGGATCAATTTAGGAGGATCAGTTGAAGCCAGGAATTCAAGACCAGCCTGGGCAACAAAGCAAGATTCCAACTCTACAAAAACAAAAAAATTAGCCAGGCATGGTGGTGTGCACCTGTAGTCCTAGCTACTTAGGAGGCTGAGGTGAGAGGATGGCTTGAGCCCAGAAGTTCAATGCTGCAGTGAGCTATGATTGCACCACTGCACACCAGCCTGAGTGATAGAGCAAGACCCTGTTTAAAAAATAAAAAAATAAAAATCCTTAATGGTTGAATTTTACCATCAAGCACTTTTCTTTCTTTGAAAGGATCTTGCATGATTAATACTATTGGCCTGTTCCCTTTATCCTCAGCTGGTTGTACAATTCTTGAATGCTTTCTTCTTCCCCTGAGGATGCTATAGATATTGTTCTACTGTTATCTGAAATTAGTCGTTTTGGAGAAGTTTCTCCATCCAGATACCTATAGAGTCTGTCTTTGTCTGTGCTGTTTCTGAACTTGCCAAATGTTTTGTTTTGTTTTGTTGTTGTTGTTTTTGTTTGTTGAGATGGAGTCTCACTCTGTCGCCCAGGCTGGAGGGCAGTGGTGTGATCTTGGCTCACTGCAACCTCCGCCTCCTGGGTTCAAGCAATTCTCCTGCCTCAGCCTCCTGAGTAGCTGGGATTACAGGGGCCCGCCACCACAGCCGGCTAATTTATTTATTTTTTTTTAGTAGAGACGGGGTTTCACCATGTTGGTCAGGCTAGTCTCGAACTCCTGACCTCGTGATCTGCCCACCTCGGCCTCCCAGAGTTCTGGGATTACCGGCATGAGCCACTGAGCCTGGCCTGAACTTGCCAAATATTTATTAGTTCATATCAGTATGTTCTGGGATAGTTTGTCCCCTTTGCTCAATAGATAGTTCTTTTATTTTTAATTTTAGGAACTTTTTCTTCTTTAATAAAATATTTAACTTTTGCATTCTGTTTTTTTCTTCTCCAGGAATACCCATGATGCATATGTTTTTCTCCCATTGTCTTCCCTGTTTGTCATTTTGATGCTTATTTTAATAGCTCTTCAATGCTGGAGCTGTCCTATACATTTACTTGGTTATTCTCTGTGGCTGAACATGCAGCATGTTTCTATTTACTGTTTATTTTTTTAGCTGCTCCTCTACCTTTTGGAGCTGTGGAAAATACATTTGCACATATGTCTTTTTCTGTACTCAAAATATTTCCTCAGTTTTTTTTTTTTTTGTCTCAGAAGTAATATTATGAAGTTCTAAAAAAGACCATTTTATTGGGATTTTGACACTTTTAAAACAATATTATTCCTTTTAAAAAGCTAATTCTCCAAGTAGGCAATACAGTTTCATGGTTCAAAATCCAAAAATTTTAAGGTGGTATTATATTGGATAGGGTCCTGGCTAAAAGGCAAGAACAGAGGCCCAAAATTACTATGGCCGGATTACGATAAAAGATTATTGCTCATGTCATAGCGTAGAGGTAGGCAGGTGGTCAAGTTGGGTAGCCTGCTCTGTTCCATACAATTGTTCAGGGACCCACATTCATCTCTTGTTATTCCACCGTATCCTAAGAATGGTTTTGTATTGTAAGGTGCTCTTTCCCAAATGTTAAAAGCTGCTCACTACTATTATGTTTGCATTTCAGCCCATAGGGAAGAAGGAAAGACTAGAATTTACATATCTCACTTCTCATATTCCATTGTCAAGTCCTCAATCACAGAGACACACCCAACAGCAAAGTAGCCTGGGAAGCATCACTACTAGGTGGGTGACCCTGTGACCAGTTAGAACTCTGGGGCATTGGTTACAAACAGGAAGAAGGGAAGACTTGACTTTGAGAAAAAGTTAGCAGCTTCTGCTTCAGTTTGCCCCTCTGGCCACTCAGGTATCCATGTATACTCTTCTTCCCCCTTGTAGAGGCCATTCCTCCCACCCCAAAGGAGACATCACAGAGTCTCATTCAGTTCATGCTTCCAGTCTAAAATCTAGGATTTCTCTGTAGTGCGCAGTAGTCCTTTACGTTAGGCCAGGGCATGGTTCTTCTTACCCTGAAAACTTATAAAAGAATAGACAAGTCCCTCTACTCCCTACCTCCCAAATGCAATATAGGAGGTAAAGTAGGAACCACAATACAAGCTTCTGTTTGGAAAAGGGAAGAATGAGAAATACGGATGGTCACTAGTTCATAACAACAGTGAAATTCTGCTGAGCAAGAATTGCAGAGTCAGTATGCTCTTGGCTCAACTTTGGTTCTGTTGTGTAGAATCCCTTGTCCATTGTCCTCCATGGCACTTGGCTTTGTCTTCTAGAAGATTCTTTCTTCATTTTCCTCCATAACCACATCTACAGTGGGCATTGGAGAACATGCCTTTCTTGAGGCTGTACAGCTTTAGAACACCTTTCCTGCTGGTATAGATTTGGAGGTCTAGTGGTTTCTTAAGGGGTCAAGAAGTCACAGGCTTTTATAAGCCAAGCATGTGACAATACATGTCTCTCAAAAACTAAATTGACTTCTCGTTTGTTTGCTTCCAGTCAGTTCCAGGTAAAATATCCATGGCCAAAGATCTTCTTTGGGTCATTGTTTTTAATTAGCAGACTAGATTATAGTTACTGGCCTCTCTTTTTGGCCCATCCCTTTCTCCCTCATTTTCATAATAACTTCCTTGAGGTGATTCCCTAAATCTGATCTTTGTAAATAAGCTGACTCCCTTGTCTGCCCAAGAATACTAAACTGGAGACTTTCATAGATGCCCTGAGAGAGACTCCTGTCTCCTGCTTTTGGTGTACAGTAGCATTGGCTTTTCCAGCCCTGTGGGGTCCCAAATTGTTGGAATCTCAGTGGATTTATATTGCCAAATTTAGAACACATGACCCTTAGTAGGCTGTATTTTATTCCGTTTTTCCTTGCAAACCAGCCAGTTCTTGTTTGTTTTTATCTTATTCTTACAGTAGCTCACTAAAAGCATACAAGGGGCAGTCAACACACACCAGCATTCTACTGCCAACTGCTTCCCATAAAGCTACAAATTCAGATGACACAGGGTCTCCCAAGTTATTGAAGTTTTAGCAGATGTTTTGCTACAAGTGTAACAAGGGTTGCCAGCTTTCTAGTCTGCAATATCTATTTTCTCACCACCCTCCCCTTCCAGCAACAAAGCCAGTGTCTCTATATGGTTTTTGATACTGTAGTAACTCATTTCCAGGTATCGTTTTTGGCTTTTAGAGTATAGGCTAAGTTGCTATAATGAAGAAGAGACCCCCAATACAGTGACACAGTAAGATAGAATTACAGCTTTTCCAGCATGGCAGTCGTAGTAGTTCATTGTGGGTAGGTGGTTCTGTTCCACTGGTCATTCTTGGACCTGAGTCATTCAGTCTTACATTATGTCATTTTCTAGAGTTGTTGTCCTCATCCACATGGTAGAAGCTGTCTCCCCATTACATTGTCATTTTCTAGCATGTAGGAAGAGGGAAAGACCTTGGCTCCATGGAATGTGAGCAGAGGTGCTGTGTTCAACTTCTGGGATCTGGAACTTGAGTGATCTGGAAGTTGAACACACCACCTCTGTTCACATTCCATTGACCAGTTCTTGGTTACTAGGCACACATAGTAGCAAGGCAATCTGGGAAATGTGGCCTTTAGCTGGGCGTCCGTGTGTCCATCTAAAATTTGGAAGGTTCTGTTACTAAAGGAAGAAGAGTATGGCAGACTACCACTCACATAAAGTGAAAAATCTTCACCCAGTTCCCATATCCATCCAAATAATCTCAGTAATCACAGTTCATTTCTCATGTATCATCCCAAAGTGTGTGTGTGTGTATATATACAAATACAAATGTATATTCTTACTGTCTCCCTTTTCTTGCAAAAGATAGCATGTTATTTGTGTTGTTTTGCACCTAGCCTTTTTCATTCAACAGCATGAAAGATCTCATATCAGTAGGTTGAGAGTTTCTTCCTTGTTTTCAGCTGTGTCATATGCCTTCTATAGAATTATAGCATTTATCAAGTTCATTATTAATAGACATTTGGTTGTTTCCAGTCCATTTCCTGCTACAAATGATGCTGCATTGAATATCATGCATTTCACACGTGAGGGGTATATCTGTATATTAAATTGTCAGAAATGAAATTGATGGCTCAAAGGATATATGTATGTAATTTTAATAGATTCTGTCAAATTGCTTCCCATAGAGGTTGTGCCATTTGCATGCCCAGTAGTAATGCAAGAGAATGCCTGTTTCACCTCAACGTTGCCAACACAAAATGAAAGTTTGAACATTCTAACCTGATGGATAAAAGAACAGTACATCAGTATAGTTTTAATTTGTATTTTTCTTATAAGTGAGGTTAAGCACCTTTATGTATGTTTGAGTCATTTGTATTTCTTTTTCTGTGAACCATTTCTAGCCTTTGCTACATTTTGTTGTTTACCTTTTCTTATTAATTTCTTTTACTTTTTTTTTTTTTTTTTAAAGTTTCGCTCTTGTGTCCCAGGCTGGAGTGCAATGGTGTGATCTCAGCTCATTGCAACCTCCGCCTCCCAGGTTCAAGCGATTCTCCTGCCTCAGCCTCCAGAGTAGCTGGGATTACAGGCATGTGTCACCACGCCTGGCTAATTCTGTATTTTTAGTAGAGGTGGGGTTTCTCCATGTTGGTCAGAGTGGTCTCTAACTCCCGACCTTGGGTGATCTACCCGCCTCAGCCTCCCAAAGTGCTGGGATTACAGGCATGAGCCACCACACCCAGCCTTTTCTTATTAATTTCTAGGAGTTTGTACAATAGGGAAATTTTTTCTTTGTTTCTTTGTATAAATTGAAAATATTTTACCACTTTTTCATTTGTCTTTTAACATTGCCTTCTTGTCATGTAGGTGTTTTTCTTTGAATTCATGCATCTTTTTATGGCTTCTAGATTTTGAGTCATAGCTAGAAAGGTTTTGCAGCTTGGTGGTTAAAGAGGGCTATAGGTAACATAAGAGAAGAGACTTGTATGACAGAGTATGAGGAAAAGAAAGAAGCACAGTTAGATAAGCTTAGGTCTAGCTTAGGATAATACTTGAATACAGCAGCAACTTTTACATAAATTCACTAGTCTTCATTTCTGCAACACTTAATCTGTGTTTTATATTTCTTCTGACTTCTGATGTTCCAAACCTATTTACTTGTATTTCATCTACAATTTTTGCCCTCAGTATCTCTCTAAAGAGTCTTTTTAATGATTATTTCTTAATCAGAAGATATTGGAGAACTATTTCATAATTTAAAAAATTAAATTAGAGGCAAGAGGGACTGTTATTGAATAAAGGGACCTACGACTCATAACCACATTTTACCTTGCTCAGATCTCAATTCAAACAAACCAACGGTAAAATAGCATTTGGGGGACAGTGGCTGTATTTTGAATGTGGACTAGATATTTATATTAAGGCATTATTATTGTTAAATGAGATAATGGCATGGTGATTATGTGTTACGTTATTTAAACAGACTTTATCAGTTAGAGATGCCTTACAAAGCACTTATCAATGAAATGTTATGAGGTGGGATTTTCTTTAAGACATTCTAGGAAAAAAGTGGTAATGGTAGGGTATAGGGTATAGATATAACCATATGGATCAAATATTATTGAAGCTAGATGATAAATACATGGGGTTCATTCTCTTCTTTCTACATTTTGTGTATATGTTTGAAAATGTTCATAGTGAAAAGTTTAAAATGACTAAGTATAAAATTAAGAAATAGTTATTATAGGAAACTTTAAAAAATAGAGAAAAGCTCAAAGAAAAAAATGATCTCACCAGCCAGACATATCTACTGTTAACATTTCGTTTTATACCATTCTAGTCTTTTCCCATGTGCAAATATATATTATACATACACGTTTTATTTTATTTTATTTCTTTTAAAAAGGATTATTGGCCGGGCGCAGTGGCTCACGCCTGTAATCCTAGCACTTTGGGAGGCCGAGGCAGGCAGATTGCCTGAGCTCAGGAGTTCGAGACCAGCCTGAGCAACAACGGTGAAACCCCGTCTCTACTAAAATACAAAAACTTAGCTGGGCGTGGCAGTGTGCACCTGTAGTCCCAGCTACTCGGGAAGCTGAGGCAGGAGAATCGCTTGAACCCAGAGGTGGAGGTTGCGGTGAGCTGAGATTGCACCACTGCACTCCAGCCTGGGCAACAGAGCGAGACTCCATTTCCAAAAGAAAAAAAAAAAAAGATTATTGAGGTCATTCAGTATGTAAATTTTGTAACTTGGTATATTAACCTTTCCGGTGTATCATGAATTATGTCCTCAACATTATTGTGGTTTCACAGCATTTCAGTATATAGATACATCACAATTTATTTAACTGTTTCACTGTTATTGGGCTTTTAGGGTGTTCCTTGTTTTTTTCACCCCTGTGAACATCAGCATCCTTGTGAGTAAATGACTGTTCATGTCTAGAAATAGTTCTTTAGGCCTCACTCCGAGAAGGAGAATCATTAGATCAGAGGATGTGTACAATGTACAATTTAATACAAGCTGTAAGTTACCCTTCAGAAGGTGGTGTCACAGTATCCCTGCACCCGCAGTAAATGGGAGTGCTTAGTTTTCTGCATTTGCAAAGCCAGGAGCTAGAAGACGATTTGTTCAGACAGATATATATATATATATACATATATATATATATATACACACACACACACACATATAAATATATATAAATATATATACACATATGTAAATACACACACACACACACATATATATGTGTATATATATATATATATATATTTTTTTTTTTTTGAGACAAGAGTCTCGCTCTGTCACCCAGGCTGGATGCAATGGCGTGATCTCTCTCGGTTCACTGCAACCTCCGCCTCCTGGGTTCAAGCAATTCTCGTGCCTCAGCCTCCCGAGTAGCTGGGATATTTATTAGAGACAGGTTTCACCATGTTGGCCAGGCTGGTCTCGAACTTCTGGCCCCAAGCGATCCGCCCACCTCAGCCTCCCAAAGTGCTGGGATTACAGGCGTGAGCCACCACGCCCGGCCTGTTCAGACCAATAATTAACACACCAGAGTGATGAAGTGTAATTGTCGCACAAAGGCATCTCTGATTCTGATCGTGGATGAATTATTGCCAGTGTGGTAGGGACAGGCAGGGTCAGTTGCACTGGGCATCTGCATGGCCACATATGGCTGTGTTTTATCAGTGAAGGAGCTGTGGGCTTAAGGAGAATCCCAGTGTCTCTGGCCCAGCAGCCTATGGCTTCTGATTAATAATATATATTGAGCCGGTTATTCTCTAGTTTTTACAGTGTCACGGCTCTTGGACAGTTTCCATAGGTGGTTTGGCATGCATTTCGGTGTGGTGGTTTCTCAATTTCTGCATTCTTGTAGGTAAGTTCACCAGGAAGGGCTGCTTTGACATCATCTTTGAAGACTAACTTATCATCCAGCACTCTGAGCCTTGTGTCAGTACTTTTTGGTTTTTCTTGATATTGTAGTTTGACAATCTTGTTTGTTGCAAAATCTGTAGTGTGTTTAAATTTTGAGTCTTTCATACAGCAGTTGCTTAACATTCATCCAGGAACTGCCAATTTGTATTTTTGTCTATGTTCAGATTCCATATTATTGCCTTGTTCTGTCCCATCAGTCAGTAATATCTGAGGCAATCAAAGGACAGAATCCTCATATTAGTTCTTTGTCTAAAGGACTCTAACTTTTGTACTGAACTTTTCTTTAGAATCGTGGTTCAAGTATAGAGTTTAATGTAGTCAAACAGAAAAGACAACTGAGCAGCAAATCAGCAAACAATAAACCTAGAAAATGAAAAAATATTTCCCTTGACACAGCCCCCTTTAACACAGAAAATGTAGTATTAAAAATATAATAAAATGATTCTCAGTATTCTTTTTAGGGAAATTTGATACTAATGAAACAACTTTGAATGAAAAAATATAAATTACCCTTGACACAGCCCCCTATAACACAGAAAATGTAGTATTAAAATATGATAAAATGATTCTCAGTGTTCTTTTTAGGGAAATTCCATCCTAATAAAAACACCTTTGAACATAATTGCCTTTGTATGATTTTCTGTGAATCAGACTTTCGTCAGTTTGACAAACTTCCCTAAAAAGTATCTGAAATCTGCCATCTTCTCAGAATAGTCAGACACAGCTTAGACCATGGGTTTCCTGTCTAGCTCATGAACATTTGTAAAAGTGAACTAAGTGACTACAAGCAACCTCCTCCCAACTAGTTATTTGTTATAGGAGGACTATATTTGTTATAGTAGGACTACCTCCTTGTCAAAACTTAAAATGCATAGGAGCCCTGAAATTGGCGCTATCATCCATCTTACATTAGTAATCATTATATGAATATAGTGATGATTTTTTTCCTTTTTAAAATATAAATTTGTCTGAAGGTCTCTTGTCATCACTTTGACATAAGAGCTGTAAATCACTCTGGAGTAGAGATGGTTGGAGAATAGAAGGCTATAGTTGGTTGATGAAAATCTTGACTCAACAGTTTGTGTCATAGTTTGGGGTAAGCCACCGTGGCAGTTTGCAGAGGCGGTGTGGCAGCGGGGAGTGCCTATTTTTAATCACTGCTGTTCCAGGGCCAACCATAATTAGGGATGTTTCCCTTGCTCAGTGAAGCTATATTTTGCTTTTTGTTCATTGATTGATGGAAATTGTAGGACACTGAGAAAATAAAGATGGGCTAAGAGGGTTTTGTCGCTTTTTATTCCTCCCTCAATTAGGGCTTTTCCGGGGCTGCATAACAAAGTGCCAAAACTGAGTGGCTTAAAACAGCAGAAACATACTGTCTCACTGTTCTAGAGGCTGGAAGCCCAAAGTCAAGGTCTCAGCAGTGTGAGTTCCCTCTGGGGCTATGCAGGAGAATCCGTTCCAGGACTCTCCCTGAGCTGCTGGTGGATGCTGGCAATCTTTGGGGTTCCTTGGCTTGTAGATGCATCATCCCAGTCTCTGTCGTCACGTTCACCTGCTGTTTGCTGTATGTGTGTGTCTATGTGTCCAAAAGTCCCCTTTCTATAAGGACAGCATTCATACTGGACCAGGGCCCACTCCAGTAACTTCATTTTAACTTGATTACCTATGTAAAGATGCTATCCAAAAAAGTCCCATTCTGAGTGAGGTGCTGGGGCCCCATCTTTTTTGTGGGGACAAAATTCAACCTATAACATCCCCATTAAATATAGTGACAAACAGTCCTCACAGTGCTCCTGCGCTCCACTGGGGGGCAGGATTCTCCACTGTTGAAATGGCCCAGGGCTTCGGTGCTGCCTTCTGGGTTCTGGGGTCTGGGGTTGGCCAGCAGGGCCAGCCACAGCCAGGCTCTGTGACCCGAGCTGGTGGAGCGGGCAGAGAAGAGATTCTGATGCTTTTTATTTCTTTATTATTATACTTGATGCAGAAATTATGAGCCCTGATGACATCCAATAATAATTGTTTTCCCTTATTTGAGACATTTGGGGTAAGCTCCGTATTCTTCCATAACAACAAAGCAAGCAGGCAAGCGTGAGTTCTCTAAACAAAGAGCGGCTTTAAGCAGGGAATTTTAGGCTTCCAAGCTGGCCCTTCTCACAGGAAGCAGCCATTCTCTGGGAAGTGGCACCCAGTCTCCGGCGTACCTTGCTCAAGAACAATAGACATTAGTCATAGTCTGTTAATTCTGTCTGTTTCCCATGAGAAAAAGAATGTGTTCCATGGTGTTGTCAGGGAGTTTCAGGCCCATGTTTGAACTTTTCCTAAGGATCTTCTGTAACATCAAAGGAGGTGACCTAAGCAACCTCCAAATGGGGATCTTTGGAGTATGTCAGGGCCTTTGCCCCTGAGTGTTACAGCCCCTTGAGGTGGGCGGAGGGTAGGAGTGGTAGCAGAGCTGTGACCAGGGCTGTTCTCACTGTGTGTGTGTGTGTGTGTGTGTGTGTGTTTTTCTGCAGGCACCAGTTGGAGATGCCAGGACATTACTCTCATCTGGCTGCCTTCTATGAGGACAAAAAGGGGGTGCTCCATGCTGGTCCCGGCAGAGGCAGCAGCCTGCCCCCTGTCTACTGGCTGCCTTCCATCCACCGATACATGTACCCTGAGATGAAGGTGAGGTTAGCCCTGCTTTTCTTACACTATACTGGATCTGTATCTGGGAATAGTAGCTGTTGATTACTTTTTAATGAATAAAAAATTTATGTCTTTGGATCATACAAAATGTCTACTTTTGATAGAACAGAGTTGCAACATAAGCATTTGGTTTTTTTAAAACATAAGGCAAGTTATCTTAAACAATATGCTTTCTAGACACTTCTGTAATCATAGTATAAAGGCGTGTGTGATAGGCCAGTTGTGAAAAGATAGATTTAATTCTGTTGATTGCTTCTGATATTTTAACACTAGACATTTGAACTAAAGATGAAGAGTCTGATGAAGAAGTATGACATTTCTTAGTTAAGACACTTCTGATGTTACTTCGTTCTGTATTTGTTCCTGAAGTACTTTGGCTTTGGTACTAGAATATGCCTATTTACAGTTAGCAAAACACCCAGCAAAGCGTTAGGTGTTGGAAGGGTGCAAATATGACTAAGAACATGAATCTCCTCTTTCTCTTCCCTCTCTGTCTCCTGTGGTTGGTCACAGGATATTTCCATGGAAACCTAGGGCTCCCCTGGTAGAGAAATTATGCCAAGAGTCCAAGGGAGAACTCTGGGAAGATGCCTTAGGAGAGGACGCAGTCCCTGAGTATTTGGCTAGGTGGAAAGTGAGGAATGCTGATTCCAGAACCAGGAAAGGTGTGAGCAGCAGTGAGAACCATGGTCTGTCACTTTCTCAGCACCTTCTGGGAGTTATGCATTGTGCCAGCTATTTATCTGTACCTGTTGCAGCATTCTCTAAAATAAAAGTAAATGTTTTTTGTTTTTTTTTTTTTATTCCTTGTTTTCCAGCGAAAACAACCGAGGCTTATAAAGGGCTAGTGACTTGCTTTAGGTCTTATAGCTAATAGGAGTTAGAGCTAAGATTTAAACAGAGGTCTAGTGCCACAGCCAGTGCATGTTTCCTGCCCCACTTCATTGCCTTTGCAGAGATGTGGACACGGAAAAATGCAAGACAAGTTCATGAGACATGAGCAAACTAGTTTGGCTGGGATTAAATGTTTGTCAGCTGGCATGAGGGAAGTGATTGGAGAAATAGGCTGAAATTAGATTGTAGAGAGCTTTAAATAGTAGACCCTGGAGCTTGAATCCTAATAAGTACCAATTAGGGGCTTACCGGGTAAAGAGACCATGTAGGTATTTCAAACTAATTTAAGACAGGAAATCAGTAATATAGGAGTTGGAAGGCTGAAGGAGTAAAAAAGGAATAGGTAACCCATATTTAGTAATTATAGATAATAGCCTGACTAACACCCTATATTAGTGATTTATTGCTGTGGAACAAATCCCCAAATTAATGGTTTAAAACAGTACATATTTATTATTTCACAGCTTCTGTAAGTCAGGAATCCCAGCATGGCTTAACCAGATTCTCTATGTCACAATCTCTCATGAGATGGTTTCAGCCAGGGTTAGGGGCTCATCTGAAGGTTTGACTGGGGAGGTATCCACCTCTAAGATCAGGTGGGTGTTGGCAGGATCGAATTTCTTGAGGGATGTTTTGAACTGAAGGCCTCAGTACCTTGCTGGCTGTTAGTTGGGGGCTCCCCTCAGTTCTTAGCCATGTGGGTCTCTCCACTATGTGAGCTTGCTTTATCTAAGCCAGTAAGAGAGTATACTAGCAGGATGGAAGTCAGAACCCTTTGTAACCTAACCATGGAAGTGACAGCCCTGCAATGTCACCATATTTTCTTAGAAGCAAATTACTCAAGAGCAAGAGGGGATTGCATAAGGCTGTAAATACCAAGAGGTGGGGATCACTGGGGACTATCTTAGAGGCTGCCTGCCACCCTTCCTTAGGGCTAGGGTAACAAAGCAAGAGAAGCAGAATGAGCAAAACCATGGGAGCCTGCAGGAGGGGTCCCTGCACAGCCAGTGCTCAGATCGCTGAGGGAGGCACTGCGCATCTGTGCTGGGACCTCTCAGGAGGTGTGGCTCCACGTGTGCTGTGCATGCTAAGGAAAGCTGGAGGCTGGAGTCATAGGTGTCTTCTGCTCCTGGAGAAATACTAGCTGGAGCAAGAAACAGAAGAGATTTCCTTCTGCCTTTCAATCTACAGTCCATGCTCTCCATTGAAGAACTCTAACAGGAAGCCAATTGGCGTATGAGTTTAGGAATTGTCATTTGCAGGTTTCCCAACCCCGTGGCGTAGGCTGAGAGACAATCATTAAGAAATCGTTAGAGGGCCATTAGAGGTACTCTGGGCTTGCACTGACCTGAGTCCTGTTCTCTTTCTGTCTGCTCATAACTTAGACCCATTTTTTCCTTCAGAGTCCAATTTCTGTTGGAATTATCTCCAAATCCACAGGGAGGTGACCAGCATCTGACCTAAATGTACTCGTATTCTTCCCCATAAGAGTCCAGGGATGAGGGACTAAGAGAGAAAAAAGAAAATGGCCCATGCTTTTGAGGACAGCTCATTAACATAACTGTTAGACCCTAGGAGATGCAGGGAAGAGGGTACCGTTATGGTTGCAGATACAAATAACAGTGGAGTGTCTTCTTTTTACAAAACAATATGTCAGCACATCAAAATAAAAAACGGCCAGGCATGGTGGCTCACGCCTGTAATCCCAACACTTTGGGAGGCCAAGGCGGGCAGATCACTTGAGGTCGAGAGTTTGAGACCAGCCTGGCCAACATGGTGAAACCCCATCTCTACTAAAAATACAAAAATTAGCTAGGCTTGGTGGTGGGTGCCTATAATCCCACATACTTGGGAGGCTGAGGCAGGAGAACTGCTTGAACCCGGGAGGCAGAAGTTGCAGTGAGCCAACATCGCACCACTGCACTCCAACCTGGGCAACAGAGTGAGACTTCTCTAAATAAATAAATAAATAAAACATGTGCCTTTTGTTTCAGCAACCTTACTCCTCAGGATCTATCCATCAGAATGACGTATGTGTAACAATATTTAATTCAACATTGTTCACAGTGGTAGAAAACTAGAAAGCCATAGTGAGTAGTGAATTAGAGCATAAGAAGGTGACATGGAAGGATCACCAGATCTCATTTGTGTGAGAATAGCAACGTGCAGAAAACTCATCATTCCTTGGTATTTGCAGGGCCTTGGTTCTAGGCACCCTCCCTCAGATACCCAAATCTGCAGATGCTCACGTTCCCATGTAGTAGGGTGTAGTATGTGCATATAACCTATGCAGTTCCTCCCATATACAGATACTCCTCAACTTACTGTGGGGTTACACCCCCATAAGCCTATTGTAAGTTGAAAACATTGTAAGTCAAAAGTGCATTTAATGCTGGCAACCCAGCCAACAGTCCTTGACTTACGACGGGTCCACTTAATGTATGATTTTTCGACCTTATGATGGTGCGGAAGCAATTCACATTCAGTAGAAGCCATAATCCCATCAAAGTCTTAAGGAGCTTCTTGACTTAACGTGGGGCTACATCCTAATAAACCCATCATACAGTTGAAAACTTGGTGAGTTGAATCATGGTAAATCAGGGACCTTCTGTGCTTTAAATCATTTCTAGGTTACTTATAATACCTCATACAATGGAAATGCTACGCACATAGTTGTTATACTATGTTGGTTTTTACATGTATTAAATTTTCTTATTGTTATTCTTTATTCTTCCAAATATTTTTGATCTGCATGCAGTTGGTTGAATCTGAGAATATGGTATTAGGGGATACAGAGGGCCAGCCGACTGTACATGTGATATGATTACACTGTTGTTAAACAATCACAGTGTCTGTCTAGATAGAGACACACACACACCCAGACATAAACATGGAAAGTATTGATGGGTGTATATGAGCTTATTAAGTTATGTATTCCCTGGATGAGGTAAAGTATGGGATGCGGTAGGGCAAGGCTTACATGTACAAAAAAGGCAGGGACCAGGAAAAAAAAATGACAGTACTTAAAAATAGCATGTATGAGGCCGGGCGCGGTGGCTCACGCCTGTAATCCCAGCACTTTGGGAGGCCGAGGCGGGCGGATCACGAGGTCAGGAGATCGAGACCATCCTGGCTAACACGGTGAAACCCCGTCTCTACTAAAAATACAAAAAATTAGCCGGGCGAGGTGGCGGGCGCCTGTAGTCCCAGCTACTCGGGAGGCTGAGGCAGGAGAATGGCGTGAACCCCAGGGGGCGGAGCCTGCAGTGAGCCGAGATTGCGCCACTGCACTCCAGCCTGGGCGACAGCGAGACTCCGTCTCAAAAAAAAAAAAAAAAAAAATAGCATGTATGATATAATAATACTTGTCATGGATGGAAAATAATGTAATATATCTGTCAGTTTTTATTGAAATATAACATTTTATAGGAATAAGTTCAAAAATAGTATATATGATACAATACTTGTCATGTATGGAAAATAATATATATATATCTTTAAGCTTTTTATTGAAATATAAAACTTTATAGAAATAAGTTCAAAAATCATACGTATATAATTCAATGAATTTTTACAACATGAACACACGTATAAAGAAAAGCTTTAGTCTGAGCACGGCGGCTCATGCCTGTAATCCCAGCACTTTGGGAGGCCAAGGCAGGTGGATCATGAGATCAGGAATTCAAAACCAGCCTAGCCAACATGGTGAAACCCCATCTCTACTAAAAATGGAAAAATTAGCCAGGCATGGTAGCATGCGCCTGTAATCCCAGCTACTTGGGAGGCTGAGGCAGGATAATTGCATGAACCCAGGAGGCGGAGGTTGCAGTGAGCTGAGATAGCGCCACTGCACTCCAGCCTGGGCCACACAGGGCAAGACTCCCTCTCAAAAAAAAAAAAAAAAAAACTTTAAAGAAGTAAGCTTTTAATGTAGGAGTCAGATATAGGAATGTTTCAGAGGGAAAAAAATAAACTGGAAAGGAAGCAGAGGGAAGAGGAAGACCTCTCTGAGAGGTCCAGATGTGGCTGCTAAATGCTCCCCTTAGGAAAATGGGGGAGTGGGAGAGGGATACAGGGGAGGGGGGCTGGGCCCCGGGAGTGGAGGGCTTCCCTAGTGGCAGGCATGGGTCTATCAGAGCCTGCTATGGACACTGAACTGACAGTGGTTAGGGAGTAAAAAGAAATTGGAGTGAAAAGAGGATGGAGTATGGACTTGAAAGGTTGGAGGGAAAACATGAAGGTACGCACTGGAGACATCAAGAAAAGAGATTTCTCTGTAAAAGCCAGAGAAACAAGGCTGGAAAAAGGGAAAGAGATTTCAATGAAAGCAGGAGGAATTTCTGTTGCATGTGCAGGTGAGAAGGGGTGAGAAGTCTCTAGAGCTGACCCTTTTAGAAGAAAGGAGGTGGCCCTGTGGGCAGTGCTTCCCTGGCATGGGCCTGGGCACAGGGCCTGAACTACTTGCAGGTCCCAAGAAGGGCCATGTTGCCTCTTACCTGCAGGCCTTTGTATGTGAACACCTTCCCTCAGATTCATCTGTTTTTGTTTGTTGTTTGTTTGTTTGTTTTGAGACAGTCTCGCATTGTTGCCCAGGCTGGAGGGCAGTGGTGTGATCTCAACTGACTGCAACCTCTGCCTCCCAGATTCAAGCAATTCTTCTGCCTCAGCCTCCCAAGTAGCTGGGATTACAGGCACGCGACACCACACCCAGCTAATTTTTTGTATTTTTAGTAGAGATGGGGTTTCACCATGTTGACCAGGCTGGTCTTGAACTCCTGACCTTGTGATCCACCCACCTCGGCCTCCCAAAGTGCTGGGATTACAGGCATGAGTCACAGCACCCGGCCTCAGATTCATCTTTATGTCGAAGCTTCAACATCACTTCCCCCAGGAAGTCTTTTCTGTCTCTCCTAGAGTGGGATCAGGCACCCTCCAGTTTGCTCCACCATGCCCCATTCTTCTCCCATCATGGCTCTGTCAGGCTATATTTTAATCGCTTTCTCCCACTAGCCTATAAAATATACATTGGGCAAGCCCCACCTGGCCTCTGTGTGGTGGAAGAACAAGTTGGGAGCTTGAAGATAACCAGTGGGAAAGCTGGGAGGAACCGGCACGTGCTTTGGCACCCTTTCCTATCTGGTTGCTGTTAGACTTTGAAGAGAAATAGCGATTGGAGGGATGCAACCAGCCTTGGTCACTTGGTGCCTCTCCTCCTCATGATTTGGGTTGCGGTGGCAGAGGAGTAGGCGTGGGTGGCAAACAGGACATGTTCAGTTCAGGGTCGCCTTTATCCTGGCATGGGGTAGGGGAATGGTATCAGTGCAGGAGTGATGCCTTGGAAAGGGAAATCCTCTCCGGGTAGTGCAGACACAGCTTCGGAGGGTCCAGGACAGCCCTGGCTTGGACAGGCAGAGTGCAGAGGCTGCCCTGAGGCTCGGGTATAGGTGCCTCTGAAGGCTGGTGGTTGTTAAACCCTAGCACGCAGCCCGAGAGTCGGTGCCTCTCTCAGAAGTGCTCTTGCCTGCCTCCCTGATGGGTGATGAGCTCTTTCTTCTGGCACTTTGGCATGGAAATGACCTTTCACAAAGCTCACAAGGCCCAGGGTTTGAAGCCTTTCTGTTTTTCAAAGCAACAGTAGTGGCCACCCCATATTGGCTATTTTTATGTGCTATTTCATGTTTTGTCTCAGGCGGTCCTTAAAGTAACCCTACGAGGTAGGTGATGATTCCGTATTTCACAGTTAAGGATAGTGAACCGGAAACATTAGCTAACTTTCCCCAGATCTCCCTGTTAGTAAATGGCAGGGCCAGGATTGGAATTCAGCTCTTCCTGGGATCAGAGCTTATGCTCTTAACCCCTATGATACTCCTTGGCTCAGTGTTCCTAGAAGGCAATTCAGGGGTTGCCAGTTAGTGACAGAAGGAAGAGTGGGGCCAGTCGTGGTGGCTCACGCCTGTAATCCCAGCACTTTGGGAGGCCAAGGTGGGCGAATCAGTTGAGGTCAGGAGTTCAAAGCCAGCCTGGCCAACATGGTGAAACCCTGTCTGTACTAAAAATACAAAAATTAGCCGGGCATGGTGGTGCATGCCTGTAATTCCAGCTACTTGGGAGGCTGAGGTAGGAAAATCAAACCCAGGAGGTAGAGGTTGCAGTGAGCCAAGATCACGCCACAGCACTCCAACCTGGGTGACAGAGTGAGTCAGACTCCATCTCAAAAAAAGAAGGAAGAGTGGTCAGAGGTGAAGTGCAGCAGGGGTTATGCCAGGGGCTCCTTCCTACCTGTGACTTCTGCAGACACCTCACTTTGCACAGTAGCAGCCCCCATAGATTTGGGATCTGACTGGGGACTGTTTGCTCATCATGTTATTACTTAACAGTGCTTAGTAATGTTTTCGAGTTGAGTTTTCTTATTGAAGCAGATGCTTTTATTCTGGTTTTTTTAAATTTAAATTTAGCTTTGTTTCCTTTGCATTGTTCTCCTGAGTAAAATAATGATCACTCAACTCAAACATCAGTGTATCAGGGAGCTGTTGTATTATAGAAATCCAGTTTAAAGGTAAGACTTTTAAAGTGAAAAACATCATTGTGTGTGGAAATAAGCATCCTTTAATGTATCTGTTTGGATGGACTTTAGAATTTCAGAGAAGGAGATTAGATACCTTTTGCTATATTTCTAAGAAGCTGTTCCTCACTCTTTCTCCTCCCTATTCCCCTCAATTTTTTCAGATCACACACCCAGCTGGCTGCATGTCTCAGTTTATAAAGTTCTTTGGAGAACAGATCCTCATCCTCTGGAAATTTGCCTTACTTCGAAAGCGCATTTTGATATTTTCTCCCCCACCTGTGGGCGTGGTGTGCTATAGAGGTAACCAGAAGCCAGAGTCAGGAGTGCTGCTTAAATCCCTGGAGCAGAAACTGCTTGAGTCTTTCTGTCACTGACCAAGTTTGGAAGAGCTTGGGCCACATCCAGGGGATGGGGTTTTAAGCCCGGGAGTGAACTGATTGGCTGTGAACACTGTTGACAATGTAGAAGATGGGTTGGATGACACATCAGTGGCCTGGCCAAAGATTAGGGCTGGATTAAAGCAGAGAAGATGCATTCTAGATGGATTTAAGAGAAACTGGACAAAACTTGTTGTCTGATTGGGTTGTAAAGGTTCTGATGTGTGTGAGGTTGCAGTGGAAGCAGAGTCTAGGATAACAAGGGTGGTGGGGCCACCAGATGGGGGACGGAGGAGGAGCCGGGGGCTGGCTTGATAAGGTTAGTGTGGGATGTGATGAGGGTGTGCTGCCTTGAGACCTTCACAGCAGGGGTGTCTGCCCACCCTGCCTAGCTGGGTCGGGACCTGTGGGCGTTTGAGCTGGAGATAAAGATTTGAGGGTGGTAGATTATTTCTGCACTCATATCCAGGATGGACAGCGTTACCTGGGGAAAGTACAAGTGTGGAGGGGTGTTCCAGGCACAGGAAGTGGACCAGAAAGGTGGAAGGACAGAAAGGACTAGGGAGGGACAGGCAGAAGGGGGAACCGGAAGACACAAGGGTTACAGAGGCCGGAGTTCTGACAAGGTCAAATTCTAAGCAAGACCAGCTAGAGAAAGACTGAGAAATGTTTATTGGGTTTGGGAAGCACGTTGTTGACGTCACCTTGAGGGGTCAGTTTCTGCCATGGCACCCCAAAAGGCTTGCCACCTCCAGTCTCCTCAGAACGCCAGGACCACCTGGATCCTGAAGCACCAGATAGCCTGGAGCAGAGGTGTTGAGCCGCAGGCTCCGAGGGAGGAAGGGCTGTGGAGGGGCAGACCCTCCCCGCTCACCTCCTCTATCCCCACAGTGTACTGCTGCTGCTGCTTGGCCAACGTTTCACTGCCTGGCATCGGGGGCACCATTCCTGAGTCCAAACCTTTCTTCTACGTGAACGTGGCTGACATCGAGAGCCTGGAGGTAGAGGTGTCCTATGTGGCCTGTGAGTACGGGGCCCTCCCCTCATCTTGCCCTCAGGTCCCAGCCCTGCTCCTCCCAGACACAGGGCTCCTGGGCGCCTTGTTTCCCAGTGGGGTCGGGTGGGTTCCCACCTCTCTAACCCCGGGTTCCACAGGCACCACAGAGAAGATATTCGAGGAGAAGCGGGAGCTGTATGACGTCTACGTGGATAACCAGAATGTGAAGACACACCACGACCACCTGCAGCCGCTGCTGAAGATCAACAGTGCTGACAGGGAGAAGTACCGCCGGCTCAACGAGCAGAGGTAGTGGCAGCTAAGGGGAGAACCAGGGGCTCCACCCTCCTCAGGGCAGCTCCAGCATGGGGGTCTCTGCAAAGCCTGTCTTCTGCCCCTTCCCTGACACATTTCTCCCAGTCTCCATGCTGCCTGGGATGGAGATGGAAATGAAGGGAAGCCCCGCAGTAGAAGAGGCCAGGCTCCCTGTATGCTGCCCTGATAGGAGGGGAGTAGATCCACGGTGCTGGTTTATTTCTTCTCATGGACTTTGGAATCTGTGGAAATTACCTTAGCTGCCAGCTGCTCTCCACGTGACCTTTAGATGTACCTGTGTGTGCGGCTTAGAAGCACCTTGACTGAGCACCTTCATTGTGTTGGTCGCCGTATTAGAAGCTTGCTTATATGTATCTGATGTCATTGTCAATAATCTGGTGATCCTGTGAAATAAGTATCATCATCATCATCATCCCCTTCTGATAGACAACTAGGAGATTGTTACTTGCCTAAGATTACCAGGGGCAGAACTGGCCCTGGACCCCAGGGATTTTGAGTCCAAACCCTGTTGATCCCTTTCCTGGCTGGTGCTGCTTCCTGGGAGGTGGTGGCCCATTGAAGATGCCTGGCTGAGGCCTCACCTGTGACTGCGGTCCTGGTACCTGCACCAGAGTCTCACGGTGATCTTCCCAACAGGCAGATGCTGTTGTACTCCCAGGAAGTAGAAGAAGACTACAACCCTTGTGAAGAGGACCTCTTCGTGCTGTGAGTCCTGGGGCCGTGGATGTGGAGTCTCCCTGAGGATCCCTTCGGCACTGAGTGACCTGCATCCCTCCCATGTCATTCACTGCGGGCCAGGGATGCCGTTTATTGCTGCCAAGGGCACTTAGAGCCGGGCTCCTTACAGAGGCAAACCTGAGCCCTGAAATGCCATTAGGGGGAACCCAGAAGACTTAGGGAAAGAAGCAGGTCCCTTAAGAGAAAACAGGAGTCTTAGTGTTTCTTTCCTTGTTGGGCTTTTACATCGAGGATGTCCACTGCCTGGAAGCTCTGTCTGTCCCTCAGGACTCAGGGACTTCTCATTTCCATTGCCTCCTTTGAATAGAGTAGTTCCTTGCGCTGAATATTATGGGATAATCTGAAATTTTAATTCTTGAATCAAATGAAATCTCTTTGCCCCGTAGGTGCAGAAGCCAGGGCCTTTCCACCTCACAGTACTGATTTCATTCCTAGACAGCTGGGTGAAGTAGCCTTCTGTGGCATCAACTGAATTCTCCCAGCTTCCTGTTTGGTCTTCCAGGGGTGAGGTTGTGGTTTGATGCTGAAAACTTAATGTGGGCATTTCTACAAAGGTGTAGCACCTTGATTCTAATAGTGGACTTCTAAAACCTACATCCTGTTTAGGTGGAAAGTATCTGAGACTTGAGCACAGCCATAGTCTCATCCAGGTATGACATGTGCCACTGTGTCTGAAATTCCTGAGCACCGAGGGCCGCTTCAGGCACCAGGCACTTTGCCAACCTGAGAGCTGTATGGGGCTGGACTGTCTAGTCTAACTAGGCAGTGAACCCTGTCCTGAACAGAGCTTGTTTGTTCATAAAGCACTCTAAAGCAGTGACTTTTAAATCTTGATCTGTGCATAATCTCACTCCTCCCAAAGAGTCATCAAGGGAGAGCAAACACCCAAGGGTAACGTTGGCTCACGTTCATTTTGTTGTTGTTGTTGAATTTTTGCTTCCTCCTATGACTAAGCAGAAAGAGAGAAAAGCAGTGTTTGGGGGCCTCTTCTCAGGCTGTGTTTAAACCCAGGTCACTTCCCTCAACAGGAAAATGGATTTTGACAGGCCATCTTGCTTAGAGATTTCCCTAATCACACCATAATTAATGCCAAATGGTTTCTTTGCTAACCTTAGTAGCACTTGAATAATTAACTTTTACTCTTTTCTTTTTTTAAAAGATACCTGCGAATCCACTGAAAAGTACATTAAACAAAACAGTATAGTTTTGGTTCCCCATATGTGGATTATCTGGTGAGCTTTTTATTCCCCCCCGCTTCCTTTCCTGTGTCTTGTCTTCCAAATGCAGGTTTTTCCTAGAACAAAACAACCGGATATTTCAGACTTTGTTGGAGGTGTCTGCCAGTCAAGACAAAACTCTGACAGCAGAGCATGCCCGGGGCATGGGCCTAGACCCCCAAGGAGACCGGAGCTTTCTCCTGGACCTGCTGGAGGCCTATGGCATTGATGTCATGCTGGTTATCGACAACCCCTGTTGCCCGTAGGAGGAGCCAACAGGACTGGGAGCCACTTCACGTGGGATGTCAGCAGCCCGGAGTTCACCCCAGGGCCCCAGAGGGCCTCATTTTTTATTAAGTTGACACAAAGGAATATTGTTTATACTTTCCAACAAACATAATTTTTGCAATTTCCTTTCTGCCCTTTTCCCTAGAGATAAGGTGAGATCACCTTGGTTTTGTGTCCTGCCATGTTAGGATATTGGAATCTGCCACTTTCTCCCAGAGCTGCTGGTCCTCTGGGCTTGGTCATGGGAGTTGTATCACTAGGAGTAGGCTGAGCTCTGGAAACATTGGGATGGACTGTTCAGAAAGTCTGTGTGGTCTTTGTCCCTTGATGTATTTGAGAATAAGACAACCACCTGTCCCCTGTGGCCTTAGATGTTCATCTGCCTAAAGGCAGAAACTAGACCAGATGATCTTTTAAGGTTTTTAGTAGTTCTAGGAGTCTATAGTCTTGGGATCAAATCCCTTTTCTTGTTCATTAGGGCAACTTTATGTCTTCTCTGTTTACTTGAGTAGGGACCACAAAGAGGGAAAAAAGGATGTTTCTGACACCAAATATGAGCTTATCTTATGGTCAGAATGAAAGAGGTTGCTTATCAGTGAGCTGAAAACTAAAATTATAGAATGAAGCCTGGAAACCTTCCTCAAAGTAACTTGATGGTGGCCATGCAATGTAATGTTCCTCTTTGTCTGAACCTTCCTCTTCTTGGGATGAATTGGTGAATTGCTAAGGGCCAATGCTGGCCTTGGAGCTTGCAAGCAAATTAATTTTCCAGTTTAGTCTCTTAAGGGTTCAATAATGCTCTTGGAGTAAGTTGGGTATTTTTAAAGGCTGAAGTTTGGACTACCGGAGGATAGAGCAATTGAAGTTCGAGCAGGATGGAGAAGCCACTCTAAGTCTCTTCATCTGGACACGAATTCTCTGGAGGCATTAGCAGCAGCACCTCTGGGTCAACACAGATTTACTGGATTCCAAAATCTAGCAAGGATCTGAGCTGGTTAACTCAGAGGGTGGAGCATGATGCTAACAAGACGGTTTATCATTTTGGACCCCTCACAAACACACTTCTCTTTAGCAGAGGTGACATTCCTTAGGCTAAATAATTGGATCCAGGGACATAACAGATTTGTTGAGAGAAAATGTGGCAGTGCCTTCACCCGGGACAGTGGTCAGGAAGCCCTGAGCATCCCTGATGGATTTATCCATCCTCTTCTGAAGTGCTCTGCTCTAGGCTGGGTCCTGTTGCCACCTGCCTGTTCTCTGGTTGGCTTTTGCAGGAGGGCAGCTTACGTGTTTGTCAACCAGTTAGAAAGCCAGTTCCTGTGGGTCGAGTTTAGGCCTTTTTGGCCATAGTTGAGAATTTTGACTTGGGATACTGGGTTGTTGGTGACAAATAATGTCTTCCTTTTCCCCCTTCCCGCCTGGCTCGGTTATGGGAATAGCCGTCAGTGCATCCATGTCTGTGACCAACACCCAGCCAGACTAATGTACACAGCAGGGAGAAATAACATTCAAATGGTGGTTCACACATCTCATCTCAAGATAAGATTCTTAGGGTTCACTGCTTTATTCAAAAGTGTTTTCACTGTAGCTCCTTCATATGGAATATCAAAACTGAAGAAATTCACATGTGGAAATGCAAATAGACATTGATTAATCAAGGTAGCATCTTTATGTAAATATATAAATAAGTTTGGGCATTGAAATGTAAACTGTACAGCTAATAGACTTTTCTCCTCTGCAATGTGGGTTGCTGTCATTTCAGTAATGTGTATGTTTACAAAAGAAAAAAAAATCTGTGTTTCGAGGTTGAAGCCTCACCTTTTATTCTCCTTTACATGCAACCCTCTCTTCTTGCCTCTCAAGGGTTGAGGGGTCCTTTCTGTCAAGTAATGGTTATTTTTCGTGGTATCCTGAGGTTCAGGGTGTTTTAAGCTGGGGGTAGGTGGTTAGAGGCAGGAGTAGAAGTGAAAGGAAAGGTCTGATTCTCCTAGAGGACACAAGAAGACCTCCTTTTTCTGGAATTAGGGAATCTGCCGGAAGGAGCTGTTTGAGGCATTTCTGCTCTGAGCCTTCTATATGCAAACACTGCAGTTTTAACTGCAAGCTCAGAAGTGCTGGTGTAAACATAGCAGGGTGAGAATGAAGTTCCTGTTTTTTCCTTTGAATGGTGAGTCAGGGCTTCTGGGTTCCCTTAACTTTGTGCTTGTCTCGGTAGCTTTCTGTCTCACATCTCCACGTGTCCACCCTCCTGCTCATGCAGAGGGCCAGGGTATGGGTGGCCCCAGAGGAGAACGTGCCAGTGAGGCAGTGCCATGTTTCAGGTCATAGGGGCCTTGGGCTCAGCTGACCCCAATGCAGAACTTCTCCCTTTAAGAGAGATTCCAATAAATTGGTCCTTCCCTACCTTGCCAGCTTCTTCATAGGACCAGAAATCTTGTGCAGAGCCTCTGCTTGGCTGAACAGCGTGTGCTTTATCTCTTCAGTTACCTTTGCCACTGTTGAGCATCCTCAGAGTATGTCTTGCCTGGGCTATGAAGTGGAGCCTGTGGCTTCGGAAATCACCTTTCGAAGCCTTGCTCTATGCCAGATTCTGCTCCCCAACATGACAGATTAACAGGCACAACCTAGGATCCTTTGCTACCAGTTCTCTACTAGGGAATTCCACAGTGGCAGCAGAAGCTAGGAGCCATGTGGACCTGCTTTTCTGCCAGTCTTGAAATATTTTCTGAGAAACCATCTGCTTTTGTTCAGAAGAAAGTGCTGAACATCGTTCACAGACTTCTAGGTCTGTAAGCTCTTTAGGGGCGGGCATTATGATGACCACCGGCCTCCTGGAGGAGGGTTGGATACCTGTGGTGTGACACCTTCTGCCACCATCTCCTGCCGGGCCTCAGCCCTCGCCTGCCTGAGCAGGCCTAGTTCTCCTGTGAAGCTGTCAGCCTGATCTCATGCCACACTGTGAAATGAACTATGTGCCAGTTTGGAAATGATTGCTGACCTGAGATGCTGGCTGGGCTGCCCTGTTGTTCCTGAATAAGTCAGAAGAAGTTCCAGGTGGGAGTGGAATTCAGGTTTGGGGCTCGTTGGTATCCATGCAAAATATGACAAAGGCCTGTTCAAGAGGGCATTTTCAATTCTGTAGGCTCAGCAGATGATACTGCCCAGCCTTTGGGAAAATGTCCAGTTGGCCCCTGGCTTAGGACTCTCCACAAGGAGTTTGAAATGGTAGGGCTTATCCCCTACCAGACTAAAAGTATGGCCCAAATTATGTGTTTAGAATTTGCTTGGCCTTTAAACACGAACCATTCCCTATGCCTGGTAGAGACCATTCCAGTGTCAGTGTCCCACCTGGGACCTGTACAGTCCTCAGTAAATTATGATTGCAATGAATTAGAAGGCTTTTGCCTTCCATATCCATCATCCATTATAGCATCTGTGCTTCCACCTGGTTAGGGGGAGGGAAGCTGAAATCATTGATGTATCAATAGAAGTAATTTAGCTTAGGAACTTGCATCTATAACTTACCTTGTTTTGTTCCACTTTAAAGTCAAGACAAGAAAGTTAAGATAGCACACAGGTGCACATGCTTCCAGATGCCACATGTGAACATTTGTTGATCATGTGACTACCGATGACACTTTAGCTAGAAGATAAATTAAATCTTAGCTAAATCATTGTTTTTCCTTCTGGTGGCTATGAGGATGAATTTGCTCTCAGTCTTGATGCACTGAAAGCCCTTCAAACACAGTAAAAGATGAAATCACTCATCTTTAAACTGAGGCCTTCAGGGAAGCTTTTGTAAAGGACAGTAATGAATTAGGCTTTCAGTTTTAGGACATCAACCCTCCGAGAAAAGGCAGAAACCCGAGGGACCATTTATTTCCCTTCGAAACTGTATAGCCCAGGGAATGGATTGAGATGCTTTCTCCAGACCCTGTATAGGTCAACCTTGCAGAGGTAAAGGAGGAGGGGCAGGTGGATGAATAAAATAGGATAATGCTCAGCTTGGCAGTGGACTTGCCTTAGTGTGATGACAGGTCTAACATGGGCAAGACAATTAGAATGGGGACCAATATGCCAGGCATGGGCTTTTATCTCCCTAGTAGATCCCAAGCTAGTAGGCTTGGATTCTGCCAAATGGCCAGCCCTCCTGTCTTCTCCCCGTACCTTGTAGTTAGACCGAGGTGAGAATCCTGCTGACCCCAGTCCCATCCCCTCTCATTTCAGGAAAACCCTTTTGTGATTCAGGTAGGGGGAGAGGAGGAGTTAAGGGCTCCGTTTACTCCCAAGTCATGGATTTTTAATATTCCATTTTTATCACTAATATACCTCTCTTCCTAGAAGCTACTGGAGTATTGAGTGTTGTGGGAAAAGGCTAACTGTGAATTAAGTTAATGTTTTTCTTATAAGAAATGGAAGTTTATTTTTTTATTGATATTACTATGTGATGAACTGAGTATGCATATACTGAAATGGAAGGAAATTTTAAAACTATTATTCTAGAAGAAATGGGCAGTTTTGTAATTTGGTGGTGGCTGAGACCCCATAGAAGTTTTACTATGTAAATAATTTGGAGAGTGAATAAGGAGATTGTGCTATGAAATCCTGACAGCGCTCTTTAGGAGGCAGACTTGACAGTCCTAGGAAGGTTGACATAAAAATACCAACCTTCAGTAAAGCTCTAGTACAAAAAAGGGTAAATGTCATCATTCTTATTTTTAGGCCTCTTTCTTGAGAGAGGTGGGAGTGGGAGGTAGTGTTATAACTGGCACTTTAATTTGTTTTTGGAACTAGAATTTAGGGGCAGTTGGATGAAATTGCAAATTTAGAAGGGGAATAAGAATTTTCTAGTGCTATATAAAGAAATGATGATGGAGACAAAAGCCTTGCTTTCCTCTTTTTAGAATTTATTTTCGATTTTTAGCATACTGTGGGGCTTTTAGAGCTAATATGATCTAAATTCAGAAAATTTAATTTTCATAGTAGGCCAGGTGTGAATTACTTATGTTTGCTATAGAATGCTTATTTAGACTAACAATAAATTTACTTTGCTTTCTAAGGCCAGTCAGCGAATGTGGGGATGAGGCAGGATGTTTTAAATGAGCCAGAGATGATCCACAAAGTGAACAGTCGACACAGAGGTCTTTGAGTTGGATGGTTGCAAATATATTGACATTAGAGTGAAAACTCCTTCCTTTGGGTAAACTAAAGAAAGATAAAGTATACTAAAAAATTTTAAGATGGTGTTATACAAAAAAAAGTTTGGGTCTAACGTGTCCACAAAGACTGTCAAGTGAAGAATGGTGGAGATTCTTGGTGTTTGAGCAGCCAACCTGGATGAGTGACTTCAGGGACAGAGCAGAGGAAAGCAAAATGAATTTCCTTTATTTACCCAAAACTTGTTGACTGAATTTTTGTATAGGTCCGGGAAAATAAGCCTAAACAAATAGTTGTAGCCTTAGAAAAACTGTTTTCCCATTTCTTTCTGAGTTAGAATCAGCATAGCCTCCCTGTCGCCTTAAATGTAAAAATCCTATTTTGATTAATACCCCAGCCTAAGAGTTATAGCAATACGAGAGACTGAATCTATTTTTGTTTCGGGTCTTTACCTCATAGTATGAAATTAGTAAGACACTGCATAGATTTTGCCCTGAATACTGGTGTGCCCAGGTATGCCGTGCTCTCTCTCTGTTTCCAGTGGTGGTAATTTTAAGGCCTAAAGAAAGCTGGGGTTAATCCTGAAGCTAAAAGTAAATGTTTCTTGAATTGATTTTGTTCTGTGGTACAAATAACATCTATGAATATCATATCTGTATATATCTGAACCAAGTTGTGTGCAGAGAGGTTGATATAACTATATTTACAGAAAATGATTTTTACAATTAAAGTTCACATTTTAACATGAACGTGCGTGCTGCAATCCCTTCTCCAGTCCGAGAAATGTGGTTTGTGGTAGGAAGGAATGGTGGCCTACTCCATGAGCAGAGCCTGTGGGGGCTGAACCTGACTTCACTTACAGTGATGATGGAGGAGATTGGGGAGCTGCTACCTGTCCTTCTAGAAGCCACGGTCTGGACAAACTTTCTCCAGGTAATGGGAAACAAAGTTGGGAATAACTGCGCCACCCAGAAGAGCCAGGGCTGTGTACCCTTAATTACATCAGGAAACTTCTAGAATCCCACAGAGACCACCACCCTTTTACTTTACAAACTCTCTTATCAAAGTTCAGTTTAAAACTTTATGTACTTGATATATATTTGGTATATGTGTATATTCTAAACTTTTATTTCATTTTTAACCTCTTGGGGAGTTACAGTATGTATTTAGAACCGGTATAGAGTACATTGCTATCGGTGGCTCTGTAAATCAAATGGCCTGGATTCAAAGTCAGGTTCCTATTTTCTGTGCTATGTAACCATATATTATTACAGGCTGAGTATCCCTTATTCGAAATGCTTGGGACTTAGAAGTATTTTCAGATTTCAGATGTTTTAGGATTTTAGAATCTTTGCATTATAAATCCAAAATCCAAAATGTTCCACTGGGCACTTCCTTTAAGGATCATGGTGGCACTCAAAAACTTTCGGATTTTGGAGCATTTCAGATTTCGCCTTTTCAGATTAGGGATGCTCAACCTGTAGCTACTTCCTAGGGTTGTTGTGAGAACTGATGCATCAGTTACATATGTGAAGCACTGGCACTTAGGAAATATAACTGCATCCAGATATGTGCAAAACAGCTGTGAGGGAAAGGAAAAAAGCTTTATTTAAAACCCTATCTTAATAGAAAGCAACTACGGTTTTTTTTTTTTTTTTTTTTTTTTGAGACGGAGTCTTGCTCTGTCACCCAGGCTGGAGTGCAGAGTGGTGCGATCCCGGCTCACTGCAACCTCTGCCTCCCGGGTTCAAGCGATTCTCCTGCCTCAGCCTCCAGAGTAGCTGGGACTACAGGCACATGCCACCATGCCCAGCTAATTTTTGTATTTTTAGTAGAGATGGGATTTCACCACGTTGGCCAGGCTGGTCTCGAGCTCCTGACCTCAGGTGATCCACCTTCCTTGGCCTCCCAAAGTGCTGGGATTAATCTTTGCATTTGAGTGAAATTAATCTGTCAAAAAGTTTGTACTAAACAATCACCTGGGAAGGGTGGCCGACTTCCCAATGCAGATTCCTGGGCCCCATCCCCAAATTGGGTTATTAGGATCTCCTCCAGATAGCTCAGCATTCCAGCTTTGGCTGACAAGCCTCACTCAGCTGACTCTCTTTTAGTTGCACTATTAAACGTCTTCCATGCAGGCTTTATAGGGAAGGACAAGGCAAAGAACAAAGCAGTCAACAATAAGGAAACCAAGCCCTCACAGGAAAGAAAGCCTGAATCAAGAAAACAAAGTTTGAAACAAGGCATATTTATATTTAAAAATGAATAAGATTCTAAAGTGGCTTCCATATCCTTCCCTAATTATATGTACCATTATGATTAGAACCACAAAATGAGCACACATAAACACACACTGGTAGCCTATCAGAAAAGAAAGCCAGATTCTGCACTGGTCCTTGATATTGTTACAGAACCACGATATGCTAAATGCTCTCAGCTCAGGTGAAAACTTTTGTTTTCATATACTACAGCATCCTTCCTCCCTACCTGTGGGTGGTATGGGATGAGTGATCTTTATGCTGATGTTTGGAACCGTCTGTTATGTTTTTGCCAAAAGCAGAAATTTTACCACCCTGAAGAATACAGTATGAAATAAGAAAGCCTTCCTTTTTGTGATCTTCATTCATGGACTTTTCATAGCTGTTCTGTAATCTACTAAAGCATTGGTCTCTCTCCATGGGATGTGTGGGCATGGTGTATGTATCTTAAAAGGGATCTGCCTGAGAGAGAGCCTGTAGCTAAGGCCTGCCAGCTCTGCTTCCTCCCCTTCCCCCTCGCAATCCTCCCTCATTGATCTATCTTCCTGTGGTGCACTGCCCCCTAGAGTGTAAGAACCTCAGGGCCACTGAACAAAGGAAAATGTCAGCGATAGTAAAAGTAAATGGTGCTAATGACTGGCTGGCAAAGCCATGGTAAATCAGGTGGATTTCAGTTCTCTGCTTTCAACAGACTAAAGGAGAATCTAATCAAGTTGTTTGTTAGTTGATAGATCATCATTAATAATTCTTGATGATAGAGCACTGTGATCTTTGTCAAAATGCCAAAGGAATCCAAAGAACTGTAAAAACATTGTTAACGTAATTCTATTCCATCGAATTTATGTGCTTACATCTATACAGAAACAAGGAATACAGCTGAGGTTGAACCCCATCTCAGCTGTAAATCACATTCATGTATTCTTGGATAAATGAACTAATTAGGATAAAGAACATTCTAATAAAAAAACTTTTAATCATCCAAGAATTAATACCGTTTTCATTATATACCAATAATTAATTACGATAATATTGGTTCTGGACTGAGATAACAAACAAACACTTAAAGCAAGAGCTAAAAAAAAAATTTCCATTTATATTTTTTGTTGACAAGAAGTAATGGGGTGAATGATTAAAAGATGTCGGGCATAATAGATTACATTATGATAGGATTCTTGGCTGAAAAGTGGTATGGAAATACAGAAGGAGAAAAGCCAATTTGAAATGTTTAACTACTAAAGAACTAGCTCATTTATTTTTATAAATGAATGAAGGGTGTCAAATTGTTGTGATATTTAAATTGTACTGGATATGTTTAAAATAGTGATGTAACAGTTTTTATTTTAAAATACCAATATTTACACGACACCAGCAAATACATACTTTGTCAACTATTTAACTTCCCATGAAAAATTTTAGATACCAACTTAGATAAAATTTTAGATATCAACTTAGATGGGTGAGGGTATACATGATTTTTCAAAATACTTTTGGGGGCACATGAGCAGAATACTTTGTGGACTACTGCTTTAAAACACGATTTCTCCAAGTACAGTTGAGGGACAACTTACAGAATCACCTGGGAAGGGCAGATGACTTTTTAAAAATGCATATTCCTGGGCCCCATCCCCAAATTTGGGTTATTAGGTTTGGGGTAGACCCCAAATAAGTTTTCAACATGTACCCCAGGTGGCTCTCATGCAAACCATTTAGGAAGCACTACTTAAAAAAATAAATAAAAACTAGCATTTTCCGGTATTGTAGCCGTGGCTGAAGAGGGAAACAACCTCACATATGTTTCTGGACTGAGGTTAGAACTGAAATAAAAGCTAAACAGGAGCCGGAGCTCACAAAATAGCAGCACCTGTGGAGGAGCCTAGACATAGGAAAAGGTCACCAGGGCAGGAATGCACTTTCCTGGAATTCCTAGCACGGTCAAAGAAGAGAAATGGAAGGGCCTAGGCAGGCTAAGCCCACCGTGGGCTCTCCACTGTGGTTGCACTTTGGAAGAAAACAGAAGAAAGTCCTTTTCCGTCTTGAACCAGCCTGAGGAAAGTCCGTGTTTAGGAGGGCCAACCGTCACACCAAAATAAAACATGCGCTAATGGAAGCCGATTGCAAAGCAGGTGACAGAGCACACTTTGGGAAGCACTGCTGGAGTGGGGGCAGAGGGGTACTTGCCATGAAAATGCCCTGGGGACCCTCTGACGACACTGTTGGGATGGCTGAGGCACCTGTTCCCTTTTGGTCCCACCGGTGGCCTAAAGTGTGGTCTCAGAGTGCTTGTCTTCTGCTGCTCACTGGGTGGGGCTTGTGAGCATCTGTTCTCTCTTCCTAGGATCACAGAAGAACTGCAGCTTCCTGGGGAGCAGTTTCACCTCCACAGGCATCGCTTCATACTCCTCACTGTCAATGCTAAAAGAGCCCCCTGCTCCCTGGGGAGAAGAGAATATTCAGAACAGCTCAAACACATCAGTGGCCTACTGGAGTTGGAGGTCTCACAGCAGCACCAGAAGAAGTTCATTATGGAAAACAACATCCTCTCTTGAGGAGCTATCCTAATGTTCTTTTACAAAAAAAAATTCAGTGCCTACTACGATGGGCACAGTGCTGGTTCTGGAAACATCCTAATTCTACCATCCATGAAAAAGGATTTATTTTCTTTTTTTGGCCCCTATCTCCTCCCAGAGTATTTTGGGATTTGAACAACATGGTTATAATTTTCAAATATGTATTAAAAGGCAAGGGTCCTGCCATGTCTTAAGGAACTCATATACATAGTCTTTCTATATTATGCTAATCCTTCTCAAATAAAAATAAAGACAGCTAATTCTCTTATGACATGCTATTGTATCTGCTGGATCATTTTCATTATTCTCTAAGACTTGTTTAGCTTGATATACCCAAGGTGTATCAACATTAATATCATTACAGTCTATGAAACCCTTCCATAACTCATGCATTTAATTCAATATTTATATCGAAACTGTGACGCCAGTCACTATGGGGATACCTTCTGTTTACCTATAGTCTTGTCTGAATACAGTAATATATGGCCACATGTCTTCAAAGGCTATATGAAGAGCCTCCTTTTTTTCCGTATTGACAATTGAATAACCTCCCAATTCCAGATTCTATTTCCAATTTTTTTCACTTACATAGGTTATTCTAAGCATGGCATTTCATAATACAGAAAAATTCAGTGTTGAACTGAAAACTGCTTCCAGATCCTTTATAAAAAATGTTAAAGTAAAAGCCACTATTAACATTTGCCAGCTAGACAATTCTCTATGTGTCTTAATGTAGTAACCTTCTGCATTATTTACATATGGAAAAATAAAAGGAGACCTAAAACTCACTTTAGGGAAGAACCTTGGTTCGAAAACGATGGGAGTCTTCAGAAGTCCAACTCTAAATCCATGACTCCCAAGGAGATTCTGCCATCCTTTTCAGCTCCCCGCTAATATGACCCAGAGCCTGGCAAAATGCTTGGCACACAATATGTGCCTAAGTCTAGGTCAGCTAACAGAGAGGAAGGATGGGACACCACAGAGGGGCAGGCCGATGACGAACGAATCAAATGCTGTGACTACCGACCCCTTCCCCACTCACCTCCGGGATAAGCAAAGTGCACTGGCTGGCTTGGAGACACTCCGTGCCCTCCACGTGCAGCTTGGGGTTTCTCACCTTTCGACTTCTGTGAGCACAGGAAAAAGCAAGCTTAAGACCAGTGATGGCAACTGCACTAGGTTGCAACAATGTAGCAACTTCTTTCCCCCTTTTTATGAGCTTACATAAGTGGACAGATGGTCTATTAAGCCATAGAATTCTGTAAATAATTTTTCCAACAGTGATTCTTGCTTAGCCTTGTGATACATTCTAGACTGAAAGTAGAGAACTGGGCATGAAGTTATGACTTTCTCTGAAATGCTCTTAATTTGATTTAAAAATTGATTGATTTAAAAATAATCATTCCACATGTACCTAATTCTTAGATTGTTAGTCTCAAATTTAAAAATTAGAATGAAATTCTTTAGGAAAAGTACTAAACGTCTGGTATTTGGTACTTCTTGTGATTACTTGAAGGATAAAATATTTTTACTTTAATGTAGATATTTCTTTTATGTATATGAACAACTAGTCTTAGAAGTTCTCTGATAACCCTTCCTATCTGTGGGTCCCACTCCCGTGGATTCAACCAACTGAGGATAGAGAATACATATTTTTGCACCTGTACTGAATCCGTACAGACTATCTTATCCCCTAGAGAATACAGGACAGCAACCATCCACATAGCATTTACATTATATTGAGTATTATAAGTAATCTAGAGATGATTTAGTGTGCATAGGGAGGACGTGCCTAAGTCTATGCAAATACCGTGCCACTATATAGAAGGGGCTTGACAACCTGTGGATTTTGGTATCTGAGGGAGGTCCTGGAACCAATACCCCAAGGATACCGTGGGATGACTGTATTTATAACGCGGTCTACTTGGCATACAATATCTACCTTGACTGAGTGACTATGGAGTAAAATTTCCAGCGCATATACAGACACACACTCCACCTCATGCAGATGTATCTTTTAGGCAGTGGAAATACAGTAAAAGCTAATCTAAGTAAATCAGTCCATTTATCATTTATTAACAACAGTAACTCTACAAAACGGTATCAGAGTTTTCTAACGCAGCTTCACTATGTTCTCTTCAGATATCCAGAGGAAACAGACATTACTTGATTTCACTTCCTGTAGAGAACAGAAGGACACTGGCTGCCACTGGTGCTAACAATGCAGAACATAGTGGCTTCGCCTAACCTTAGCAATAGAATTGGGGTCTCTATTTCTGGATACCAGTATCATAAAGGAGATTTGAATATTGCTGGTCTCACTGGCCAGACTGTCAATGAAGATTGTGTGATTTCTGGACATTCTGTAGAAGGAACAGGATTTTCCCTTCTTATAGATACAGCAAGAAAATCAAAGGCTGCAGAATCAGCTATTCAGTCTCTGAAGAATTTATGCCAAAGGCAAGAACAACAAACTTATGTGCCTGTGTAGATAATGAAGTAGCCATGGAGACCAGGCCGCTGCAGCAGAAATGTGTGATCCCTAAATGGGCACGAGAGGGAGCTCTGAGACAAAGCACAGAAAAGCGGAGCTGAGCAGATTACCAGTTGGCATGGGAACACACCAGCTCCTCAGATGCCCTGAAGGAGGATTTATAGTGTTCTTTACCAATAAAATTCTGGCAGAGGTAGGACTTAACAAATCACAGAACTTGGAAGGGTATTCTGTATTGGAAAAGGGAAAAAGGCCTGGGAAATGTCCAAGGTACTCAATACCTTTTCCAGTTTTTCATGAAGGCCCTGGGAATAGGAGGACATGGTGAACTGACATAAATAGTAATGGATACTGTGAAGTGCTTCAAAATATAAAAAGGCTTGACACACATTCTCTTACTCAAGGCTGAAAGCCAGTCCTGAGATCGGCAGAGATGATTATTTCATTCTGTAGACGGAAAGAATTCAGAGATGCTAAATGATCCGAGTCATGACGTCGGGTAAGTGGCAGAATCAAAATTTGCATTCAGCTCTTTGACCCTGAAACCAAAGTTCTTGACGCTGTGTCATGCTCCATTGAATTCTTTGGTTTCAATTGAAAAACAAAGACTGCTCTTACATTCTGATCCCCACAAAATGAACAGTGATGGCCAGCATAGGAGAGGGGCACTCTACATGTCAGCCCATAGGAAAGAAATAACATCGAAATTCCCAAACAAGACAAGGCTTTGGCTGGATTTCTGTCTTAGACTTCATGGGGCACTCTGAATAGTAAAATCTGAGAAAATCACAAGCCTCATTTCCTGTGAACCCCAGTCCACTTACCCTATAGTTATAAAGTCTCCTTTGCTGATGGTGTCAGGTTCAATGCAGATATTCAGAAAATCTTCTTTGCTCTAAAAAGGTTAAGAACACTAACGTCATTACTCTTAAAATTTGGCTAATGCAGCCTGTTGTCATCCTCAGCTTTGATGGTTCATAGTTTGAAGCTATATATAGATAGGGGACTCTACTTGTAGTGATTTAATTCCAAACCTATTTTCAATCTTTTTTTTTTTTTTTTTCACAAAGAGCTTTACTGAGGTATAATTTATAGAAAATTCATCTCCATTGCTTGGCTTTTTTTTTTACTACATAAGCAAACAAAACTCAGAGTGGGAGGTTCTGGACGTTCTGTCACTCACTAGTAATTATTAGCCGTTCTAGTCTCTAGGATTACTTCCCTTGCAGGCCAAGCTTTCAGCCCATCCCAGCAATCTCAGTGTTCACTGTACATGAGCTTCACATGACAGCATGGAATCGGCTGCTTGGTGTGGAGAGCCCAAGTGCCTGTGCTTCTTTAATGCTCTACATACAAATTTGGTGTGCAACCAGAGTTGGAAAACAGCAATCCGTTTATTCTATGGTAATGTTTAAAAACTTTCCATTTCCAGCCACAGAAAGCTCTGGATGATTTGAGCTACGACAAAATGGCTATCAAAACAGACTTGGTTCTTGGACCAGTTCCCATAATTTGCTACCAGTCAGTGACTAGCCATACAAACCTAGCCCTCTGTAAATCAATCCCACAACTTCTATGTCAGCTTCAAATAGAGGTCTTGTTTCTTTTGGGGTAGGTTCAAAATGTTCAGGCCCAGGATTTGAGGCCTCTGAGAGCCTTAAAGCCTTTGCCTAAGATTAAAGGGTAACTAACAAAGAACTCTCAACTAAGAATTACAAAACATAAAGTGGATGACTTTGAAAGTTCACCTTTTATTTAACTACTTACTGAGTGCCAGTCATGCACCATGAACCCACGGAGCTTGGGTTACACCAATGAACAAAACCCACATGACTTTCTGCCTACAAAGAACTTACTTTCTACTGTAGAGACTGGAGGGAATAGATGGATCATAGTAAATTATAAACTCTGTTAGAAGATAAGGATGCCACAACTATATTAGAGTTTATTAGAAAATAAGATCAAAGAAGCAGAGCAAGGAACATGAGGTGGCGCTGATGGCAGTGGCTGTGTTATGAAAAAGGGGGTCCCGTGGAGAAGCCTTGGAGAGGAGGCCTGAAGGAGGTGAGGGAGCCGGCGATGTGGCCACCCAGGGCAGTGGTTCTCAAACTTTAGCAGGTGCCACTGTAGAGCAGGTAACATTCAGACTCTGGTTTTTGTTTGTCAACTAAAAAATAAATAATTTTTGGCCAGGCGCGGTGGCTCACGCCTGTGATCTCAGCACTTTGGGAGGCCGAGGCGGGCGGATCAGCCGAGGTCAGGAGTTCGAGACCAGCCCGGCCAACGTGGTGAAACCCCGTCTCTACTAAAAGTACAAATACTAGCCGGGTGTGGTGGCGGGCGCCTGTAATCCCAGCTACTCGGGAGGCTGAGGCGGGAGAATCGCTAGAACCCAGGAGGCAGAGATTGCAGTGAGCCAATATCGCACGATTGCACTCCAGCCTGGGTGACAAGAGTCAAACTCCGTCTCAATCAATCAATCAATAAAAATAATTTTTTTTTAACTCAGACTCTGGCCCCATCCCAAGTTTCTGGTTCAGTAGATCTGGGGTGAGGCCCATGAATTTTCATCTCGAGCAACTTCCATGTGATACTGATGTGCTGATCTGAGAACTGGACTTTGAGAACCCCTAATCCGGGGATGAGCAATCCACACAAGGGGAACTACTGGGGCGGAGGCCTTCAGGTGGTGCTGGGGGAACATGTCTGACAGCAGGGAACAGCAAGGAAGCCCGTGTAGCTGGAGCAGAGCGAATGACAGGGGCAACAAGTGAGGAAGACAGGGAAGAGAGGAGCTACATCAGCAGAGCCTCATAGACCATGGCGAGGAAGCTGGCTTTTAGGCTGAATGAATCAGAGAGCCACTGGAGGGTTCTAAGGAGGGAAATATGTTCTGGCTTCATTTCAATAGGATCACTCTGGCTGCCGTGTTGAGAATTAAGACAGGAGTAGATTGGAGAGGGAGACAGTGGGCTAGGAATTAACATTATAGATAAATGTGTAAGAACGGCCCAGGGTTCAGGAGCTCCCAGGAGCAATGATCTGCTCTGACAATAGGACATTGAGAGGTGGGGCTGGGTGGGGGGGTAGTTAGAGAGGAGGAGGAAGAATGGGTTAAAGCAGTGATGAGTCAGGAGGACAACCACCAAGTCACCAGGCCCAGCATACAAGGGGAGGAAAAGAAAGAAAGCACAGCCACTGCTTAAAGACTGTGGGAAAGGCAAAACTCAGGGGAGAGCCACACTTCAGCTAGAACAGGGTCGGGAAACATTTTCTGTAAAGAGCCAGAGAGTGAACACTGTAGGCTTGCAGACCATGAGGTCTCTCTCACAGCTATTCAACTCAGCCATAGTAGCTGAAAGCAACCAGAGAATATACTCAAATGAATTAGCCTGCCTGTGTTCCAGTAAAATTTGACTTAAAGACACTGAAATTTGAAGACAATTTCCACACGTAACGGGGAAAAATACTCTTCTTTTGATTTTTTTCAATGATTTAAAAATGTAAAAAATATTGTTAGCTTCAAGGCTGTACAAATACAGGCAGCAGGATAGTCGGGCCTGTGGGCTGTCCTTTGCTGACCCCTGTTCTAAAGCTTTGTTCTGGAGGCACAATTAAGTTACCTAGAAAGAAACTGTGGTTCTTTGGAGGTGAGCCTTTAGCTTTGTTAACAGGGAAGAGGGCAGCCTTTAGTCTAGAATTAATTTTGACTCACTACTGAGGCAATACCTTTCTGAGGACACTACCCAATGCCCCATGTCTGAAGAGGATTTTCTACTCTAATTGGTTTGAACACGAACTATTCCTGGCTTTGTGAGAGGACTGACTCTCCTGAGACTGTCCCGCCTGCTCACTGGTAGGTAACTCAACCTCTATCTCGGGTGGTGGTTTCTCACATGCATGCACCTGTCAGTACTCAGCTGAAGATTCCAGAGGACACCTCCGTAAACCTCTAGCTTGGTTCTGGGTGCGGCTCTCCTCTCCATGGGGCTCTCTTGTATCCTGCCTTGCAATTCTAGCTGCCTTGATTTCTCAAATTCTCAAAGACCCCTCAACTGAGGTAGGGCATGGGCTCTGTGTGGGCTCCCTCTCCGCAGGCTGTGGCCTCTCTCCAGCAGTCACCTCGGGCAAGCATCAGGCTCACTGTGTTCAACTTCTTGCTCTCTGGACTCACTGTCCTATGCTGCTTGTCTCATACCAATGTCTCATATAGTTGTTTCAAAGATTTTGTCCAATTTTTAAGGTGTTTAAGGTATAAAGCTGGTGCTTTTTGCTACATCTTGGCCAAAAGTCTCACATTAACATTCAAAAATCAATTCATTTTATTGCTTTGACAGATTAAATGAGGAAACTTTATTATCTCAATAGATGCTGGAAGAGTACTTGATAAAATTAAATATCTAAGATATTTAACATGAAAGATAAAAATGCTTAGCAAACTGGGAATAGAAAGGAACTGCCTTAATCTGATAAAGGGTGTCTATAAAAAAAGAAAGCACATTAAATACAAGCATGAAGCAATGAAGACTTTCTCTCTAAATCAGAAATAAGAAAGACGATGGGGACTCCTGTTACTGCTACTTCTATTTAACCATGTACTGAGGTCCTATCCAGTGCTCTAAGTAAAATGAAGGATTGTAAGGATAAGTATTTGAAGAGAGAAAACAAACCTTGCACTATTTGCATTGGCCATGACTAAATCTGTAGAAAATTTGAAAGAATTCATTGAAAGAAAGTTAGAATAATTAATAATAATTTAATTAGGTTGCTGATTCAGCATTGATATAAAAATCAATTATATGTCCATCTACTAAATCAGGTAGAAAATGAAATTTTAATAGATATTATTTAGAATAGCATAAAAATTAAGATAACTGGGAATATATCCAGCAAAAGACAGGATATTCCAGAGAAAACTATAAAACTTCATTGAAAGACATTGAAGACCTAAATAAATGAAGAGATATACCCCGTTCATATGCTAGAGGAGTCAATATTGTAGAAATGTCATTTCTCTCCAAATTGATCTATGGGTACAATGCAGTGAGATCAATATTATAACATTTTTATGTGGAATTTAATAAAATAAACATTCTAAAATATTTATAGAACTCAAATGAGCTAAGAATAGCCAAGAGACTGTGTAAAAAGAGAAAAACATAGAACTTATTATAAAACTATAATAAGAGAAGCAGAGTATTAGTATAAATATGAGAAAATGGAACAACAATAGAAGAAAGAGACTAGAAACATTTACATGTATATAGACATGATGTATGGCAGAGGTTTATTGAAGATCAATGGGGGAAAATGGAGATTTCAATAAATGGCGCTTGGACAACTGGCTTTCTATTTGGAAAGAACATAAAATTGGAGCTTTACCTCCATCATTCACAAAACTCACTTATAAGTGGGGGTATTTCCTTTTTAAAGAAAAATGGAACTATGTTGCAAATCTTTTCACCTATTTTTCCCATGTCAATAGATAGAAAATAATACATATATAAAATAGATATGACTTTTAATAAATGTACCAAAATTTATTCAGTCTGATTAGTTCATTGCAAATATTTTACTATTATACAGTGAGCATAGTTGTATAAGAGATCCTAATTTTCACACATTCTATACTCCTACAGCTTCTTTCATACACTGAATGTGCTGCTTTTAATAAGTGAACATTTTGAGCTATTACACGGCAGCTACACTGCCTTTATTGTATTGCATTTGCTTTTATTTTTATAAAGAACTGTGCAAAAACGAAACAAATGAATTTGCTGCTACTAGTGATAAGCGGCACAGTATCGTATACTTTTAAATAGGCACAAAGATAAAAAGCACTTGGCATTGTGAGTGTGGCTAATCTTGAGCGCACTCACATACTCACTGAACTCAATCCATTCAGTGGTACTCAGTCATCAGAGAAAAGAACAATGGTAAAGAACATGAATAAAATACTCGGAATACATATTATTAAAGACTTGGTATAAAGGAGATGTATAATTAGACATTTTATCTTTCTCTTTTAAATTCCTCTGGAACAGAATCTATTTTTTTTTTTTTAGCATTCACATATCCACTTTCACCAGTGTTTTTCAGATTTCCATTATGTAAAAAAGGACTGCCTACATTATATATTCATCAGGTTATTCCAGTAGGATAAATTCCTAGAAATACAGTTAATAGGGCAGAAGGTATGCATATATTTTAGACACTTTATGTATACTATGCCAAATTGCTGAGACAGGATGTTCCAATCTATATTCCCATCAGAAACACACACCACCACTAAGCTTTTAATCTATAACATGCTTTTTAGTCATGACAATTCAATCTTACTATTTTAATTTGCATTTCTTTGCTGAAATCACTCTGTCTCCTTACCTACAAAATGCAGATAAAGATATCTACCTATAAGGATTACATAATATTATGTAAAATTCTTAGGACAGGTGCCTCACATGTAGTAAATAATCAGCAAATATAAGCTATTTTTTCATATGCTTATTTCTTTTATGAATTTTCTATTCTTACCCCTTGCTCACTTTTTATATTAGTCCTTTGCCCATTTCTCATTGCTTTATCCTAAGAGCTTGTTAAAAGGAAAGTGAATTCCTGGTCTATCACATGCTAATATTTTTCCCAATATGTCATTTAAAAGTTTGTTTAGAATGTCTTTTTAAATAAAAAGACAAATGCATCAATATGATTTTTGCCTTAAATGTCATGCTTAGAGAGGCCTTGTCCTCCTTAATTTTATACTGATAATCACTTAGATTTTACCCTAATACTTTTTTTTAACTTCAAACTTCTATTTTAAGTTCCGGGATACATACACAGGAGGCGCAGCCTTGTTACATAGGTATAAACGTGTGCCATTTACCCTACTACTTTAATGATTTTATTATTTTACATTTAGTTCTTTAATCAAACTAGAATTTTTTTTATAGGGTGAAGGGAGCTATGTTTTCCAAATGTTTTGCAATGGACATGTATTATTTTCATAGTTAGAAAACATCTCAATACTCTGAACATTAATATTAGAATCAAACTTATCACTCTATTAATATTGGAATCAAACTTTTCACGACATTCCAACTCCATCTGCTAATTTTCAGACTGGCCTAGACAACTGTGAACAGACTAATTTGCATACAAGCTGAATGTAATTAGTCCACAGTTAACAATTACTTTCCTATTGGCATTCTCATTGATATAAATTACCAAGGTTTTCTCTATACTAGGGTCAGTAAACTTTTTCTGTAAGTGACCAGATAATAAACATTTTAGGCTTTGGGCCATACAATCTGTCACAACTACTCAGCTCTCCCCTGTAGCACAAAGGCAGCCACAGACAATATATTTGTGAATGAATATGGCTGTGCTCCAATAAAACTTTATTTATGGATACTGAAACTTGAACTTTACGTATTTTTCTGTTCACAAAAATTATTCTTTTGATTTTCTTTGCATCATTTAAAATTAGAAGATTCTTGGCTTCTGGGCTATATAAAAACAGGTGGCAGACCAGTTTGCCAATGCCTGCTTTATTTCAATACTTTTGGGTGTGTTGTCTATAGTAGCACCACCCAACAGAACCTTCTGCACTGACGGACAGGCTGTATACCTGTGCTTTCCAGTATGATGGCTACTAGCTACATATGGCTGTTGAGCACTTGAAATGTGGTGAGTGTGACTTAGGAACTAAGTTTTGAATTTTATTTAATTCTAATTAATTTAAATTTAACTAGCCACATGTGGCTAATAGCTACCGTATGGGATAGTGCATACCTATAGATTGGGCCTAAATAAATAATATGTAGATATAGATACAGATGTATGTGTGTGGGTATTTTTCTCCTGAGGATCTAATTTGACATATTTAGTACAGTCACAAAAATCGTGGATATTTACTCAACTAAAAGTTCCACAATTTTTTTCCAGTGACAAATGGGAATAGCTAATTTTCATTTCTAAAGCCCTCTTGCCCTAAGTTCTCTGAATGCCAATTAAGCAATGAGCAGAACATGTAATCAGAGCCCCAGAAGCATTTATGCCACTCCTGCAGGTGGCAGCTTCTCCTCATTGCTGTTATTCCTTAAAGGCACACCACATCCTCTTTCTCCTGACACTGCCCTCTCTATCTCCACAGGGTAAAAATAAAAATAACTGAATTAGTGGGAGAGGACTATAGCTATTGTCACTTTTCTTAGGTACCAAATGCTTTTCTAATAAAAAAGCACACTTACTGTCGGGTCAAGCTGATTATTCCGTGTTGTGATGGACAGTTCAATGGTGGACAGCTGCACATCTTTCCAGACCTCCGGGCTCACCTCTTGGGAAAGGGCTGTGGGAATCCATTAGATACAGGTCAGTTTCTTCCATTAACATTTCACCACCCACCACGGACGGCTAGCTGCTAGCTGCTCAGCTCAGCTTCTCAACCTTTCTGCTGACTCTGCCTTCATTTTATTTATTTCATGCTTCTTATACATAGAGGTAAAAATGGCATCTCTGTGCCTAAAACATCACTACCAAAAGCAGTCACGTTAACAGAAAGACTGTGCACAGAGACTGCTATGCCCATTGATGGCACATTGCTTGGGCCTGCTCTGGTGGCACACAGAAGGATGAATTCAGTGATCCCTGAGAGGCTTCTCCTGCTCTAGTTAAGTCTCTAAAACTGATTTTGGAGGTCTACTTTAGGGCACTTCTAAACTGACCAGGGCCCTCCAATCTTTAGTCGCCACATTGCTCACCATCCTGTGGTTGTGCCCAGTAGGACGCAAGCCTTCGTAATATTCTCCTGTACAAAGAAGGCCTTTGTACAGGGGTCTCCTCTGGTTCATTGGGAGGTCTCTCTGTAGGTCCCGTGTATGAGATAGAGGCTTGATGAGTCTGAGGCCACTCCTTTTAATGTGGAGAGAGAAAAATTTTGTTATGCATGTACAATTCCACTCTGGGAGTTTCTCTCTGCAAAAGTTATTTATTTGTCTACCTATACCTGCTAGAAAGTGAACTAATAATCTCCTCTCACTGGATGGAATGCTAGTTTGGAGCATGGAATCCTCAAGCTTTCTTTTCCTCTTAAAGCTACATCTTAAAAACCATGAATTCAGCAAGTACTGCCTCCATTGCTCCCCCTAAAATTGGCTAACCACCACCATTTACATTTGTCCAAAAAGAGGGTGAATGAACATAGGGTCATCCGTAATAAATTTATCTTTGGCTTACAGATGGTGATGCAAAATGAAACTGAGGAAATCCAGTTGCATCAAGTACCTACCTCACTTCTGGAATCTTATTCCACACACAGGCCAGAATGGTTTAGCCCAGGCTCACAATCCAGCCCAAGGCTTCTCACTTCTGCTTCAAAGCCCATCACCCTCACACTCTAATTTTTTTTGTCTTCTATGTCCTGGCATCCCAAGTCCAGTGTCACCCTGGATCACATCCTGACCGCATGAATGAATAAAACCATACCCCAGCCTCTCAGCCCTTGACATCACCTCTGATTCACCACATCCACCCATTTCCATGGCCACATCCTGGCCCCTAATGTCACCCAGAACTATTCCACTTTGGAAATCTAAAACCCTGAGATCCTGCTCTCTAATCACATCCCATATTCTTCTGGTTGATTCTTTTGTGCCCATTGTGTCTCTTAGGGTGAAATGCTTCCCTGTTCTCAAGTTTCCAGGTGGTGAATTACAAAGCAGTAGCAACACTGGCTTCTCTCACTCCACTGCTTACTCACTCCTCCCCAAGTCTAGAAGGACCAATGCATGGATCCAGCCCTTTCCTTTCTCTCTGACAGCAGCTGTCCTTGTCTCAAACGGTCACTGCTTCTAATTTTCATGTGGTGAAAATTAGCTTCTTGTGGTGGTCTCTGCCCTGAAGGAGCTGTTTCAATGGACACCTTTGTTCACAGTATTAGGAGATCAGATAGAGACCACGTATCTGTGCTCTGTCCTCCACTCCTGCTGACATTTATAAAGATGACGTTTTGATCTTCATCTGCCTAGTTCCTGCATTTGTTTTCATACCTTGGTTCAAACTAAAAAGAGGAAGAGAGGGGTTTTATTGTGGGCCCCTGAAGACCTAACTGCACCAAGTTTTCAATCACATTGAGGATTCTACTCCCTGACCACTCATTTTCCCCTCAGTGCCAAACTGATAGTCAATTACTTTCAAGTGCTTTCTTTTTCCACTTACTCTTGGCTTTCCTGTGTCTTTATTCTTCTACAATATGTCCTAAAAAGCCCCAGTTCTGGATCAGCCTTGTCATTAAGTTCCTGTACTCTTACATCATGGCTCAGTATTACTAGAGAAGAAAATGATACTCCTGCTGAGTATTAATACAGGGAAAAGCAGTCACCCAAAGGAGCATTCATGTCTACAAATTGTTAGCCTCAGGTCTTCAGTGCTACTTGATAATCCTAAGCCTCCTCCTACATTCATCTTTCTTCAGGATACCCCATACCACTACTCACCACCTTTCTGACAGGATCACTTTGCTTCCTACACTTCAGTGAGAATATCAGGGACATCAGTGAGAATACCTTAACTTTCTCTAATCTCATTTTCATCTGGACCTACCCTTTACTCCTCTTCTGTATCAATGAAAAAAGGTGCCCCTTGTCCTGTCCAGGGACAATCCAGTACTCTGGATCCCACGCCCTTCTACCCGCTCTTGGATTTTGCCAATTCAGTCATGCTTTCTGTCTCCCTTCTCACCTCCTCACATTCTTTTCTTTTTCTTCAGTCTAGAAACACATGGATATTCTCCACTTTTAAAAATTCCATATTGACCCCATGTTTCTCTCAGCTTTTGCCTTCCCTATCTCCTTCTCTTCAAAGTCAGGTTTCTTGAAGGAGTAGCGTGTCCTTGCTGTCTCCACTTCTTTACATCACTTTTATTTCTTGACTTTCTTCAGTCTGGCTTCAGCCACCACACTTTGGAGGCTGCCCAGCTTTTGGAGGCTGCCAAATTCGATGGATACTCTCTTGTCTGTATATTTAAAGTCTTTGCTTTTGCTTCTCGAAACTCTTACTTTTTTCTTGAAATTCTCTCTTCTATTGGCTTCTATGTTAGTATTCTCTCCTGCATTTTCTCTTAGCACTTCTCAGTCATTTTTGGTGGTTCTTTAAATGTTTATGTCCCTTAGGGATATTCCTGGCCATCTGTACTCAATGGTAATTTCACCCAACCCATGGTTTCAACACCGCTCACACACTTATGACATTTGAATCTGTTTCTTTAGTCCAGACCTCTCTGCTGAATTCCGACCTAAATCACAATTGTATCTTTGCTTGTCTGTACCACAGGTATGTTAAACTCTACATAGATTAAACTGAAAATTTCATCTCTCTTCACAAACTTGATTTACTCTAGTATTACCAACATCAGTGGAAAACTCCAGTTACCAAACTCTAGTCCCTCATACCAGAAATCTGATAATCCTACATTCTTCTGACTTTTGAGGTTCTAACTTAAGAGTTCTTTAATCCATCTTCTATTGTCAATACTGTTACCTCCTTAGTCTATACGTCACTTCCCACCTGACTACTTTAACAACCTTCTATCTAATGTCCTTGCCTTGAGCTACCTACATCCTATCTGTTTTTCTGTTTAGAAAAAAACAATTTTTCTAAAATGCAAATCTGCTCATTTCATGCCTCTGCTCAAGACTCAATAACTCCCCATTGCTTTAAGGATAAAAGTCAAATTGCACATCAAAACCCGCCATAACCTGCCCTTACCTAACCCACTGGCTTCACTTCCTGCCATTTTACTGCATTAATCATAATTAAGGGCCATGTCACACCACTGTGACTTCACACAGCCTTTAAATGTTTCAAAATTTAGTGTGTCTCCTCTGCTGGGAAGATTTTCTGACCCTCATTAGATTTAGATGCCCCTCCTCTCTGCTCCCTTCTTAATCTTTCTATCTTTCTCTCACAGCACTTGCCAAACTGCTGATTTACTTACACTTCCCTCCCAGCATCTGAATACTTCTTGAGGGCAGGAAACCTGTCTCATTTGACTTTGTATCCCAAGCATATGTCAACTATTGTTTGCTGAATAAATAGTGGCAACAGTTTATATTCCATTTAAATATGTAGCTACTCTATTTCTTCCTAAATGCACTCACAACTCCACCAATGAAACTCGAGGAATAACCGATTTTACTAATCCAGTTTGCCCTTGGTATATAAAGACCTTGCCCTGCAAAGTTCATTTTTAAAATCACATACATTTACTTCTAGTAGTTCAGTGATTTTAGGGTTTTACATTTAATTTTTTAATCCAGCCAGAATTTTTTTAAAAGGTAAAGGAAGCTATGTTTTCCAAATGTTTTGCAAGGAACATGTATTACTTTTATAATTAGAAAAACATTCAATAACTCTGAATATTAACATTGGAACCAACCTTCTCACTACATTCAAACCCCATCTGCCAATTTTCAGATTGGCCAAACTATCAATATACCACTTTGATTTGCATAAAAGCTGAATATAGTCTGTAGTCCACAGTTAAAGATGACTTTTCTATTAGCATTTTCACTAATAAAAATTGTTAGGCTTTTCTCTATGCCAGTATTTTTTATTGTATCATATAGAGTAGCAGTGCCCAACAAAACTTTTTCTGATCATGGAAATGTTCCATATCTATACTCTCCAATACAGTAACCACCGCCCATATTTAGCTGGTACAGTTTGAAACCTACTGATACAAACACAAACCTGTACAATTAGATATTATATATTCAGATACAAATCTTCAATTCATTTCCAGGTACTAACATAGACAAGCATAAAATAATCGCTGAAGAATATGTCATTATGTTCAAGGTCTGTCGGGCAAGAGAGTGAATTAATAGCAAAGGCAAGTAGAATGCTTAAGAGAGATTAAATATGGGTTTGGTAGTAGAGGGAATGAATTGGTAGATAAAGGGTGATTGCTTATCAAAACAGGAATGCGTTCTATATTTGTATTTAATCAAACATGCCCTGTTTTAGTGTTGAAGCATGCCACATTCATCTGTAGCAAGGAATTAAAAAAAAATACCAAATATATGCATTACAGAGAAACAACAAAATAACACAGCAAATTTCTACACTGTAAATCACATTTACCTTAAGAGTGCTGAAAAAGTGGGCTGCTTTGATTTTTAGAGGCCCAAGATACCAGTACCTGTGAAAAGACCAAGATAAAAATCTGATAAGAATATCAAAAGAACTATCATGTGATAGATACCATTCATGGCAGACAATACATTAGAATTACATCTCTGCTATGAGTGGCTATTCTGGTAGCTAGGAGGTTATGGCTTAGTATAAAAGAGTATTACATTCAATTTTAAATCCACGTTTTGATGCCTTGTCAAGTTATATGTAATTAGTTACGCAGTAAAGATTCTTGCAATTTATGAGAGATATATAACCAGGCTCCTTGAGTCACTAAATTCACAACATCCTTTAAACACATCCTTTAAGCCATAGAATACAGTTTGGTATAGAGTTGTCCCTCAGTCCAAAGTCTGCAGATGTTCAAGTCCCGGATATAAAATGGCATATTTGCACGTAACCTATGTACATTCTCTTGTATATTTTAAATCATCTCTACATTGCTTATAACACTTAATACAGTGCCTACACATCACTTTATTTGCACGGATTCAACACAGTACTCGGTGTGCAGCCAATTCCAGTTTTGCTTTTTGGAATTTTGTGGAATATTTTTTTCCCCAAATATTCTCTATCTGCATTTGTTTACATCTATGGATACAATGGGTCAAGTGTACGTTCAAAAGAGCTATGAGTAAAGGATGATACAGCCACACTAAGATGCAAACACTGCATGCTCTGATGTGCTGATCCCAAGCTAAATGACTAGATCCTGTACACCATGTCCTCTCACACACACAAATGCACATATGCACACTCAATTAAAAATGTGTAAACCAGCATAATTTCACATTACTCATGTTATATAGCTCTAAAATGGCAAATGTTAAATCTGGGAATAACGAGAATCTATTGCATATTGCTAAATACATAAAAGCTACTGGAGAGAGGAAGACACCTAATCGGAATTAGAAAACGGCATAAAATAGATTCTTCTCTTAAAACTTATCTCTGTTAACAAATCACTCAACATTAACTGCTCTCTGTTGATTCTGATCATATACATTTATTTAGCACCCACTATGAATGCGGAGGAAACAGAAGAAATATAAAGTATAAATTTCCCACCTTTGAGAGCTTATGATTTGAGAAAATAAGACCCAAATATGTAAAAGCAAACAATGAATGACTATAAGGAAAAGCATAAACTGATCACTGCTTATTGGTAAGGGGAATCAAAAAGAGACAAAGTCATTAAGGGCCTAAAATCACTGGAGCAGCCATGCCTATAAAATGAATGGCACAGAATAAAGTCAGGGTACAAAACTTAGAGTATGGGAAATAGGATAACAGTCAGAGAAAGAGAGAAAAGCTTAGAAGTAAAGATACATAATTATATAATTAGGGGTGATGACAGAGTAAGTTGGGCCTGGAATAACAGACAAAGAGCTTAGATATAATCCAAGAGGGAATGCAGAAACATTCTAAATTATTATTCAGGTTGATACTGTGCTACTACTAATGAGGCCCTTGATCATCTGATTTTTTGTGTTATTATTTTTTAAAATTTACTTTATAGTTTGCTTCTTTCCCTAGTTAGCCAAGTAGAAGGTCATCTCAACTCAGGCAGTTACCTTCTAAAATTTCCTCAGTTTCCTTCATCTCTACCAATAGTACATTTTGCCACTGACTTTGTAGTCTTCCTACAGCCAGCTAGGAAATGATTTCTCATATCTCTACCATTTCTTTCTTAATACAAACAGCAACTCTGTGGAAGGGCCTAGCCAAGGTAGCACATAATAACAATCAGAATTTTAAAATTCTTTGTGCAGAAACCAATCGAGATATGGGGCTAGTATATAAAATAGTCCTAAAAGCGTTGATCTGTACTGTGCTTTCTTGTTGCTTAACACATTTTGGAAAGCAATTTGTCCTAACCAGACTTTTTTGGGGAAAGCTAAGCAGTTTCTCTTGGTGAGCTGCTGGATTTGAGATTTCAGATCAAACACAAGGTAATTTGTAGAATCCCATAATCATGGCACACTTGCAAATAAAAAGATGTGAAATACTTCAGAATGCAATGTGTAATATAATATGGTAATGTCTCTCTTTTGACATTTCACTGTCAGGAATCTCATTAGCAAGAATAATAAAGTGAAACAAGTGAGAGAAATTTCTGTTAAAAAAAAAAAAAAAGCATGGCAGGCTGGCCTATTAAGTGAAAGAGCAATTTCTTGAGAGCTATGTGTGAGATCAGCCACAATTCATTTAAACTATACTCAAACTGTAAGCCCTCGATTTTAAGAAAAGGTAAAGAGAAAATACCACCACCAGGTATGAAGCGAATCTCACATGGTGTCCCCTGCAGTCCTGCTCAGCAAGCCCTTGCCTACTTTACCTCTCCACAGCAAATGGAACATGACACACCCTCTCTCCAAGCCAAGAGTTTCATTGCATACAATGGATTCTCCAAAAATAAGTCAATTCTCATGAAAAGCCAACACTGGCCCTCTAATCAGCTCCTCGATAGGCCTGTTTCTCCCATCTCACAGCACAGCCAGGCGCCGCCTTTCTTCCTCCTCTAAGAGCAGCGGCCTGTGGTCTCCCAATCTGCGAGGCCTTCACAAAAATACCTCTCAGGAAAAGTTGTCTGACTGCAACAGCTCCGTAAGGCTGTAGCCCAGGCAGTCCCTTCCACTTGGTACCCAGCTAAGCAGCTGCAGAATGATAGGCAATCCAGTTCTCCCTACAGCCTAGCTTGAGCCTAACCTATGCTCAAATAGTGTGTCTAAAAATAGAGACATACCCTTCTCCTCTTCAGCTACTGCCCAGCTAGTGTTGAGGAAGCTGCAACTTTCCCCAGCCTTTCTGCATATAGGACATAAACCTCTACCTGATTGTTCCTACCTCCATTATTCACACATAATTCAACCTCCAGGCCCACCAAATTTATTCCCAGAAGATCACTGTGAATTAAAACCTGAAAGGCAGGGACAGAATAAGATTTTTTTAAAAAACATCACACATCAATATAGTAATCCTTTACTTGCTAACTTTGACGCCAGCATCTCTGAAAGATCCCCATCGAAGGCCGGTCATTGCAAATACAGGCTGTTCCTTTTCACCCTGGAAGTTAAATACATTTCATTTAAATTCATGACTATAATCACTCAGAACTCTTTACATCTAAGTACTCAGCAAATGTTCATGGCCTACTTTTCATCAAACCAAAATTCTAAAAAGTCTGCTCAAACATTAAAGACATTAACCCTGTGAGTGCTTAGTAAAAATACTTGAATAAGCCACACTGTAATATGAAGGTAATTTTTACACATCAGGTTTCATGAATCTGCTGGCAGGGGAACATACTGTCATACTTTGGACTGTAAATTTGAGAGTACCTAACTATGTTACCTCTCGAGCCAGTCAGTAGTCAGGTCAGCTAGAATTTCTTTTCTTTCATGTACTTGTCCAAGGCAAAGATAACTTAAGCCTGCATTTTCCTTATAGGATCAAGAGCTCTCAAGTCAGATCAGAATCCTGGTACTCTAGAATGTTTCACCTGAATATCTGAAACTACAGTCAAATACGTGTTACAAAAAGTCGAAATAAAAAGTGATTTGGATTTGGTCCAATGCTTTATGGCCAAATACTGCATATTATAATCAGTGAGTTTCTAATAAATCAGTGAATTAAGCAATATATAGAAAAAATGCACAATACAGCCAATGTCCCTAAGAGTTTATACTCTACCCTGAACCTTCCTTAAAAATTATAAATAATCTAGGTACCAGGATTCTAAATGGAATTTTTCCTGTAGCTCAGAATTTCATCTAAAGTCTAAGAGCTGAAAACTGACAGGCACCCAGTGCCCCCACACTCTAAAGAGAGCTACCGAATGCTACATAAGACTCCACAGAAGTTGCTAAAAGTGGGCAGAACCAGCTTGATTCCCACCACAGCCAGTGCAAGGAGAAGAGTAGGAACTGGAGGCAAATCCTTGGCAGTGCAAGTCGCTGCCTAGAGAAAGCATGCTGTCTTCTCCGCAAGGGTAAGAGTGCTTCCCCCAACACCACATTCACTCCTGTTTCCACTACGCCAAAAGCAGGTCACTTGCTTTGGAATGACTAGGAGAATCAGAGAAATTTCTAGGAGAATCAAACACAATAAAAGAAGCCTGCAAGGAAAGGATGCTGGCCTCTCATCCCTTTGTCGAGTATCTGCTCATGCAGTAGACTTGAATCTTCACTCTCTGTACCTGCTTTAGTAAGGGACAAGGGAACCAGAGAGAAATGGCAGAGAAAAAAGGAGAACGTGCAGCAACTCAGTGGCTGGTACAGCAAGGACATATTAGTTTTCTGGGTGCCTAGTGGATAGTGTGTAAGATAACAGGGCTTTGAGTCATCTTGACAATGCCCCATCTAAGAGCCTAGCCCAGGGATGATAGTATCCCAGTAGTTAGAAGCTGTGGAGAGAGCCAAGCCTGGATGCTCTCCACAGGAAGTTGAAAAGTGGAGCTAGAACAGATCTCTAACATCAGAAAACTATGTACGCCATGGGGAGGAATCCCAAAGAATTCACACATGAACCCATAAGACAGCCAGCACAGGGGCATCAGCAACCAAGAGGGAATGGTAAGGAAAAAGATTTTTCTCTAATCATTGCTTTATGTACCAACAATAAAGGAGCTAGAAATAGTAGAAAGCAGAGAGAGTGGGATGAAAAAACAGCCCAAAGACATTGAGGGTAAGGAGGATTTTTAAATTTTGTGGGTTTTTTTTGTTTTTTTTTTTTTTAGACGGAGTTTCACTCTTGTTGCCCAGGCTGGAGTGCAGTGGCACGATCTCGGCTAATTGCAACCTCTGCCTCCCAGGTTCAAGTGATTCTCCTGCCTCAACCTCCTGAGTAGCTGGGATTACAGGTGCACGCCACCACGCCCAGCTAATTTTTGTATTCTTTTAGTAGAGACGGGGTTTCACCATGTTGACCAGGCTGGTTTCCAACTGCTGACCTCAGATGATCCACCTGCCTCATCCTCCCAAAGTGCTGGGCTTACAGGTGTGAGCCACCACACCCAGGATTGCTTATTAATATAAGGAGGTGATGGAGGATATCAATGATGCACTAACATTTGAACAGAGACCTGAAGTACATGAGAAATCCAAATGAGGCCGGAGAGGTCAGAGGGACTGGACTGTGTTTGGCCTTGAAGGCCTTTGAATGACTTTGGTGTTATTCGGAGATGGGAAGCTGTTGATGGGCTCTGGGCAGAGAAGTGACATGCTCTAATTCCTGACCACACACTGGCTGTTGTGCTGACAACAGATTGTAGGGAGGCAAGGGGAGAGGGAATGATAAGAATTTGAGGACTCCTGGAATGATCCAGATAAAAGATGAAGGCAGCTGGGACCAGAGTGGTAAGAACAGAGGCAAGAAGAAATGCTTGATTTTGGATATATTTTGAAGGTAGAGCCAACATGACTTCTTGCCTGAATGGGGGAGTCAAAGATGACTCCAGAATTTTGGGGTGTAATAAGTGATGATTTTATCAAAGTATAAGTGATCATTTAAAGACTGTATTATTTCTTAGGAATGTTACATGCTGACCACTACAGATCTATAAAATGGCATAATAACGTAGAACAATTGTTTTGAAGTGAGAATCCTCACAGAATACCTAAGTGATCCTAGGCAAGTCACTTAACTTTTGAACGTTGGCTTCTACCTCTGAAAACAGGGTCATCTTTTGCTTAAACAACCTTCTCTACATTATCTCCTATGAGTGTATAAAGGGGTTATCAGCACTGTATCCTCAATTGCTAGCAGTGAGTGGCCAATAGTAAAAATTTATAATAAATAAATACATAAAATTTAAAAATTACTATATTTAATCATAAAATGAGGTGACAGAATAACCTCATAAAGCTTTTACATGAGCCAAAAATATTCCTACCCTCACTGGAATTTCACAAACCTCACCTCTCATGTATCTGAAGACAGGTATGTTTTCACTCATCCACTCAGTATTGATGGAACCCCTACTCAGCCAAGCATGGTGCTGGGAGTTGAGGACACAATGGTGAACACACTAACATACTCTCTGCCTCGAAGCACTTACATTCCCTCCCTAGCCTTAATGCTCTCCAAGCTAAACGTCTAGTCTTTCCGTTGTTCCGCCATGATTTTACAGCCTCATTATCTTGTTTACCCAACCCCCTCTGTTGCTTGTCAGTGTCCCTCTTAATTCTCTCATCTAGAACTGAATCTAAAAATTGTCTAAATTAAATCCCACTTAATGCCTTCAACTTAACAAAATTGCTAAGTAAGTATAATAGTGTGGTAAGTTTTCATACACCAAAGGCTTCTGATTTATATTGAGATACCTATTGAGTATCAGGGAAGTAGGTACAATTGTACAATGGGTGGGGGGAGCTAAGGAGATGGTCAAGGAAAATATAAATTTTAAAACAAAACATAAATTATTATTTTTAATTGATAAATCACACTTGTATATGTTTATGGGGTACAATGTAATTGACATGTGGGATGATTAAATCAAGCTAATTAAATATTCATCACCTCATTTACTTATCCTTTTTTGTGGTGAGACATTTGAAGTTTATTCTCTTAGTTATGTTTAAATATACGTTATTATCAACTATAGTCACCCTGCTGTGCAATAGATCTCAAAACTTATTCCTCCTATCTAACTGCAACTTTGCACTATTTGGCCATCATTTAAAAAACAAGGTACCTAGATTAGGGGAGATTGGAAAGAACTGGAAAGAAGAGAAAGGAGAGAAGAAAGTGATTCTAGTCCAAGGGAGAGAAATAACAGTATATGTCTTTAGCATCATTTCCCCAAATGTTTCATAACATGTTAACAAGTGCTATGTCTGAGGATGATGATGCTGCTGCTGATGATGATGATAGAAGATTCCATGGTGAAATAAATTGGAAAATACCAAACTTACTTGGTTTGAAGCCAGTTATGTTTACTACAGTTCTTAGAGTCTTTAATATGTTAATGTACATTACACATTTCCAAAAGAGGAAGCACAATATACAGCTTTCCTGAGTTGTTAACTGTGCAACCCTTCTTTGGGAGGACATTTTTGTATAATTCATATTTCTTGGTAAATGCTGTTCTAAAGCATGTAGTGTAGGCAAGAAGCACTGAGATAAGTACTGAGGGTTGCCGACTGATCCTCTAACCCTGTTTTCTCTTTCTTCATCTCGGGGGGAAGAGTTTTTAGGAACATTCCATTAGAATTAAATAAAAAGCCTTGTGACCCCAAAGTTCCACTGATGTGGAGTGCTGTATCCTAGCAAAAGGTGAGAATGGCTCTGGACAACAGGAAATGAGCCAGCAAGGCAGAATATGTGTGAGCAGATCTAGAGAATAATTAGTATTCCAGATGGGCATAGGACTGTCAGGATTCAGAATAGCCCTGAGGACCAGTCATGGAGAGACTAGTCCCTGTTGGGGTACACATGAACACAGAAAAAGCATGCAAGGTCAGATGGACAAAGTAGAAGCCAATAATAGACAAAGTCCCACTGTATCTTAACCCACTCATCTGGGTAGGCAGTCAAATTTTGAGATGGTTGGGTCAGTAAACAAAAACAAAAAGAAAAAGAAAGACAAGCACACAGTCAGATCTTCACAGCAAAGGAGATGTGCTGCCCCAATTCACAGCCTCCCCTAGAAACAGTAAATCCCTGGGAGAAAATGGCCTAGGGTTTGTGGAAGAAAATAATGGAGCGAGCAGGTTGGAATAAACGCTTAAGGAACACTGAAAAGAAAACAAGTCCTATAAACTAGATAGATGCCTAATCTGGAAATTTCAGGGATCCTAGATAAAGAGAAAGAAACAAAGTAGAAGGTGTTCTAAAGGAGTTCTGAAGCAGCTTCAAGCATCATCTTAAGAGAATCATCAAAGCCAGGGTCTAAAAAGAAGGAGTCCATGTAATTAGCCAGGAATGGCAAATAGGGAAAAGGGAAAGGTTCTAACTCCCCATGAACTCCCCTCTATGCCTTATTTGGTTCTGGGTTGGCAGGGTCTTAAGAATCTAGTTGAAAAAACAAAAAGAAAAAGCTACAAAGAATTCTATAAACCTTCCCAGTAATTACTTTAAAGTCAAGTTATCAGGCATCATAGATGTCTATATGGGAAAAACTGCCCTTCAAAAATCATGGAATGGTGCCAACTATGATGCCACCTGGACAAAGCACTTAAGTGGAAAAACCAACAGACTATGAGAAAGAAAATCTAAATTCTAGTTACATCTCCAGCACAACTCGTCATAATCAAAGGATTCTTTTTTTCCCTAACCTGTCAAATGAGGATACGAATCTCACCTCGACTTCCTCACTGAGTGGGAGATTCAAGTGAAATGTGAACACAGATTGAACAATCTAAAAAGCTAAATATAAGGCATTATTGTTTCCAAGAACTATTTCTTTTATCTATGGAGAATCGTCAGATATATGTTTAATAGGGTTGGATTGTTCTTTAAAAGAAGAAAAATGTGGTATCAGGCTTTATCTATAATGCTTATAGTACAAGGCTTTGTCTATAATCTTTTTCCCCATATTCTGAAATTAATTTTCAGAAATAAGGAAAAAAGAGAAAATGTATCCAACTTAGTTGGGTTCCTCAGAAACCAGAGCAGAGACTGTTGTACCACGTTTTCTAGGAACTGATTTTCAGAATTTTCTTCCTGGGTTGTGTCATCAATACACAGAGCCTGTGGTAAATTTGATACTGGTTTCATCAATTCACAAAATCAGCATATTTCAAAGAAAAACATAAAAGAGACAAGAGACATTTAAATATAAGCACAGGCCAGGTGCGGTGGCTCACGCCTGTAATCCCAGCACTTTGAGAGGCCGAGGTGGGTGTATCAGGAGGCCAAGAGTTCAACACAAGCCTGACCAATATGGTGAAACTCCGTCTCTACTAAAAATACAAAAATTAGCTGGGTGTGGTGGCATGCGCCTGTAGTCCCAGTTACTCAGGAGGCTGAGGCAGGAGAATGGCTTGAACCTGGGAGGTGGAGGTTGCAGTGAGCCAAGATTGTGCCACTGCACTTCAGCCTGGGTGACAGAGTGAGACTCCGTCTCAATAAATAAATAAATGAAAGCACAGCAAGAATTTCCAGTTAAATCTCAGATACTCTGGGATGGATTACTTCTAACACATATATAAGAAAGAATAAATCAGTTATTGAGATGTATCCTGATGCACCTCCTTTGGTAATAACAGTATTTTAAATAGTATCTCCATAGATAATAATCTGTAGTACCTTTCTTAGGCTGAAATTTCAGCATAGCCATCCCATTTTATGAAAACAAGTTAGCTTTATTATATGCTAAAAGATCAACTGCAATTTAAATCACTTTTATCATGATCAGTGAGGTCATGGTGAAGAGTCCAGACATCAGTGCACGAGAAGAAAATAAAAGGCAAGCCCATGGGTTCACCAGTTGTAAATATACATAGAGCAAGCTCTATGTAACTAACAGCAACTTTTTGGGATTGAACTTTGGAATCATGACACAGTGAGGATCCTTCTTTCACAAATATCAGGGAACGTGAATGAATATAAGATGTTCATCCTGAAAGTAGCTGGTACATTTTAAGGCCAAATCTAAGAACATGGGGCTCACTATTTATAGGGTTATTTTACTTCGCAGCTTTGCCTTCCTAGGAATTTGCCCTTTCCAGAAAAAAAAATAAGAGTTTAGATGAAAAAGGAATCGCTATGTAACTACTATCCAAGTGAGAATATCTGTTTTCTAAGAATTAAATTATTTTTTAATAGAGAACCCTGATCAAGAATTGACAACAGCTACTGGACCTTCTTACCCTCAAAGTTATTTTGGAAAAGTGTCAAACCAAAACAATTTTTAAACAGTACAATGAACACCATTTATAGCTTTCACCCAGATTCACCAGCTGCCAACATTTCCTCCACATTAGCTTTATCTATGTGTATATGTTCTCCAGAGATGTTAAATTTGCCAATAAATTGCAGACTTCATGACCCTGTACCACTAAATATTTCATCTTGCATCTCCTAAGAACAAGAACATACACAGACTTAACCATAACACCACTGTCCCTCTCAAGACATCTAACATCAATACATAATATTTAAGATATAGTTAATACTAAAATTTCTCTAATTGTTCCAATACTGCCTCTCATGATTGCCATTGTTTCTCATTTTTCCAATTCAGGCTCTTGTACTGCAGTTAGTTATTTCTTTAGTATTCCTTAATCCTGAACAGACTGTCTACCTTCTTTTGGATTTCATGACATTGACATTTTTTGATGAGTCCAATTTTTGCTTTTAGAATTTGGATTTGTCTAATTCTTCATGATTATATTCAGTTAGTTAACACTTTGTGCAGCAAAATACATAGGTGATGTTATAGCCTTCTCAGTATATCACTTCGGGAGGCAGACAATGTCAGTTTATCCATTATTCATGATGCTAAGTTTGATCACTAGATTTCTCCATTATCAAAGTATATTTTTCCCTTTTAAATTATTAAGTAATCTGAGATACTTTGAGACTGTGGGCTTTGTTTCCCAACAATCTTTTATCCAGTGGTTTTAGTATTCACTGATGATCTCTACCTGAATCAATTATTACGCAGGTGATTTAAAAAATGGCGATTTTCTATCATTCCTTCTGCATTTACAAGCTGGCAATCCTGAAATATCACTGGAAACTCATGGATTCTTCATTTTTAAGGCTTATGATCCATCATTGTTGTTCTTTGTAATATTCAAAGAGTCCCAAATTGGCGAGTAGGACACCTGCAGGCTACATCTTTTGTGATATCTCCATCAGCTTTTGAGTACTTTCTTGTCTTGTTATTGCCCTGCGAAAGCCAATCCTTCACAGCGCCTTGGCTATTTTTATTGGGAATGGTATTTCAAACCACCTTCTGGGTGCCAGGTATGATCACTGCTATTAGGTATCATTGCTTCTAAGGCTTTTTAAAAAATATATTTCTAAAATAATTCATCAGTTCATGTATAAATCAGTAAGAAAACATTACACAATAAGAAAAATGGGAAATTCTATTCCCACCTAGCATGCAGGAAAGTACGAAGAACATAGTCCCACCCTAAAAATGAGAAAAAGCCAGATAATCTACAAAATCATAACTTTAATAAAGCTCACCAAAGAGCTAAGATTGCAAGATGACCAAGTAGCCTGAATTCAAAAAAAGAAAAGCTACTCTAATAGAGTGATGAGATATGAGAACAGTTTCACCTTTGGCAGGGCATGAGAGGAAGAGGTGGCCACCATACACACAGGTAAAAATCATTGTCCTAAGTATTTTATATTTATTTATATTTATTAACTCTTTTAATATTCAAAACAACCATATGAGGTAGACGAATTACTTGTGGACCAAAGGTCATCAATAGATGAACTACAGCCTGGGCAACAAAGTGAGACTCCATCTATACAAAAAAACTTTGTAAAAAATTAGGCATGGTGGTATGGGCCTATAGTCCCAGCTACTTAGGAGGTGGAAGCAGGAAGATCCCTTGAGCCCAGGAGTTTGAGGTTGCAATGAGCTGTGATTGTGCCACTGCACTCCAGCCTCGGTGACAGAGTGAGATCCTGTCCAAAAATAAATAAATAAATAAAATAAAGGAACTAAAAATAGCATTTCAATTATATTGAGAGGAGATAGAGAGCAATTCTTATATACCTCACAAATGTTGCAGGTTCGGTTCCTGACCACTGCAGTAAAGTGAGTATCACAATAAAATGAGTCAAAAAAACTTTTTGGTTTTCCAGTGCATATAAAAGTTATATTATACTATAGTCTATTGAGTGTGCAACAGCATTATGTCAAAAAAAGTATGCACCTTAACTTAAAAAAAATGCTAACATTAAATGCTAAATTAAAAAATGCTAACAATTATCTAGGCCTTTAGTGAGTCATAATCTTTGCTGTAGAGTGTCTTGCCTCCATGCTGATAGCTGCTGACTGATCAGGGTGGTGGTTGCTGAAGGTTGGGGTGGATGTGACCATTTCTTAAAATAAGACAGCAATGAAGTTTGCAATGTCTGTTGACTCATCCTTTCATGAATTTATCTGCAGCATGTATGCAGTTCGATAGCATGTGACCTATAGCAGAAATTCTCTCAAAGTTGGAGTCAGTCTTCTCAATCCCTGCCAATGCTTTGTCAACTAAGTTTATGTAATATTTTAAATCCTTTTTTTGTCATTTCAACATGGTTCACGGCATCCTCACCAGGATTACATTCCATGTCAAGAAATCACTTTCTTTGCTCATCCATAAGAAACAACTCTTCATCCATTCAAATTTTATAAGATTGAAGCATTTCAATCACATCTTCAGGTTCCACTTCTAATTCCAGTTCTCTTGTTATTTCTACTACATCTGCAGTTCCTTCCTCCACTGAAATCTTGAACCCCTTAAAGTCATCCATGAGGGTTGGAATCAACTTCTTCCAAACTTCTGTTAACATTGTTATTTTGACCTCCTCCCATGAATCATGAATGTTCTTAATGGCATCTAGAATGGTGAATCGTTTCCAGAAGGTTTTCAATTTACTTTGCCCAGATCCTTCAGAGGAATCACTATCTATGGCAACTGGGACTATAGGCCCACACCACCATGCCTGTCTAATTTTTTTACAAAGTTTTTTTGTATAGATGGGGTCTCACTTTGTTGCCAAGACAGTAGTTCATCTATTGATGACCTTTGGTCCACAATTTATTTATTAAATAATAAAACTTGAAAGTTGAAATTATTCCTTGATCCATGGGATGCAGGATGAATGTCTGTTAGCAAACAAGAAAACAACATTAATCTCTTTGTACATGTCCATCAGGGCTCTCGGGTGGCCAGGTGCATTGTTAATAAGCAGTAATATTTTGATAGGAATTGCTTTTTCTGAGCAGTGGGTCTCAACAGTGGGCTTAAAATATTCAGTAAACTATGCTGTAAACAGATGTACTATCACCCAGGATTTGTTTTTCCAGTTATACAGCACAAGCAGAGTAGATGTAGCATAATTTTTAAAGGCCCTAGGACTTTTGGAATGGTAGATGAGCATTGGCTTGAACTTAAAGTCACCAGCTGCAGTAGTTTTTAACATGAGAGTCAGCCTGTCCCAAACTTTGAAGCCAGGCATTGACTTCCCGTCTCTAGCTATGAAAGTCTGAGATGGCACATTCTTCCAATAAAAGGCTGTTTTGTCTATATAGAAAACCTGTTGTTTAGTATGGGTACCTCTGTCAATGATCTTAGCTAGATCTTCTGGATAACTTGCAGCACCTTCTCCATCAGCTAATTGCTGCTCCACCTTGCACTTTATGTTAGGAGGAGGGCTTCTTTCCTTAAACCTCATAAACCAACCTCTGTTAGGTTCAAACATTTCTTCTGCAGCCTCTTCACTTCTCTCAGCCTTCATAAAATTGGAGAGAGTTAGGGCCTTGCCCTGGATTAGGATGTGGCTTAAGGGAATGTTGTGGCTGATTTGGTCTTCTATCTAGACCACAAAAACTTTCTCCCTATCAGCAACATGGCTGCTTCACTTTCTTTTTTTTTTTCTTTCTTTTTTTTTTCTTTTTTTTTTTTTGAGAAAAAGTTTTGCTCTAGTTACCCAGGCTGGAGTGCAATGGCGCGATCTCGGCTCACCGCAACCTCTGCCTCCCGGGTTCAAGTGATTCTCCTGCCTCAGCCTCCCAAGTACCTGAGATTACAGGCATGTGCCACCACACCCAGCTAATTTTGTATTTTTAGTAGAGATGGGGTTTCTCCATGTTGGTCAGGCCGGTCTCAAACTCCCAACGTCAAGTGATCCACCCACCTCGGCCTCCCAAACTGCTGGGATTACAGGCATGAGCCACTGCACCAGGCCACACTTTCTTATCATTCATATGCTCACTGTAGTAGCACATTTAAGTTCCTTCAAGAACTGTTCCTTTGCATTCACAACTTGGCTGTTTGGCATAAGGCCTAGTTTTCAGCCTATCTCAACTTTTAACATGCCTTTCTCACTAAGCATACCTATTTCTAGCTTTTTTTCTTTTTTTTTTTAAATGCCCAGCTAATTTTTGTATTTTTAGTAGAGATGGTGTTTCGCCATGTTGGCCAGGCTGGTCTTGAACTCCTGCTCAAGTGATCCACCTGCCTGGACCTCCCAAAGTGCTGGAATTACAGGCAAGAGCCACCGCACCTGGTCTCATCTCTAGCTTTTGATTTAAAGTGAGAGACAGATGCGTCTTCTTTATGTGAACACTTAGAGGCCAAGTAGGGTTATTAATTGGTCTAATTTCAATACTGTTGTGTCACAGGGAACAGAGAAAGGTAGGGAAATGGCTGGTTGGTGGAGCAGTCAACGCACACATTTAATTAAGTTTGCCATTATATGTGGGCACAATTCGTGGTGCCCCAATTACAATAGTAACATCAAAGATCACCGATAGCAGATCACCATAACAATGTAGTAATGATGAAAAAGGTTGAGGTATTGTGAGGATTACCAAAATGTGACACAGAGTCATGAAGTGAGCACATGCTGTTGGAAAAATGACACTGGTAGACTTGCTTGGGGCAGGGTTGCCACAGACGTTCAATTTGTAAAAAGCACAATATCTGTGAAATGCAGTCAGGCAAAGTGTAATAAAATGAGGTATGCCTGTATAACAAAGAGGTCAAAGATAAGGTCTAAAAGTGATAAATCAAAAAGTAGTTAAAATTAGCCAGTTGTGGAGGTGGGTGCCTGTAATTTCAGCTACTTGGGAGGCTGAGGCAGGAGAATTGCTTAAACCCAGGAGGCAGAGGCTGCAGTGAGCTGAGATTGTGCCACTGCACTCCAGCCTGGGTGACAGACCAAGACTCCTTCTCAAAAAAAAAAAAAAAGTAGCTAAGTGTACTTAACACTACTGAACTGTATACTTAAAAATGACTATAATGATAAATATTATGCTTTTAGCCACATTTTAAAAATAGGAGCAAAAGCATATTAATTAGTGATAACAACTAGAATTAACAGGTAAAATTATTTCCTCTGGGGACTAATACTTGGGGTAGGAATGGAAGAGCAACTATTGTTTTCATTATAACCTCATTTGAACTGCTACATTTTATTTTCTTTAACATGTAAGCGAGTATTACTTTCACAATTTTTCCAATATGTGATGAAAAGATTTACCTTGATCTGCAAGACATCAAGTGGAACTGTCTCTCCTTTCACAATGGCAAGTGTGGCATCAGTAATATGTCTAAAAGAGAAAAGGAAATGATCATATTATGAAAAATAGGCAACATCTCCCCCACCACACTGCCACATGCACTCATGCACAAACACACACACACACATATTCTCTCTCATTCTCTCTCTCTCCCTCTCTCTCTCTCCCCCTCCTTCCCTCTCTCCCTCCCTCCTGCCAAAGTACTAGTAGTTTATAGGGACTCAAAGAGAAAGCTTTGGCAAGGAGAAGTTCATACAAGGCACTGATCATTCATTCATTTAACATTTACTGAGTCTCTACATTGTGCCTGACTCCTATTTACCATTGGAAAATATGACACTTAATAACTTTTTTTATTCATTGTAAGAAATTCAGGCATTTCCAAAAACAATACTTATTCTTGCTCTAACAGCCAGAAGAGTAACTAAAGGGCAGAATTTGTTATAGTTATCTTAGCAAAATATAATCCAGAACCTGAGACATATTTCTCTTATTTTCCAGGACTACTAGGATGCGCTTCATTTTAATTGCTGATTCTTTTGAACACAGACCGTTCTTATCTACATTCTGAGAGCCATTTGGAAAGTCTATAGGTTAAAAAAAGTATCATCAAAAGGCATGTACTATTGACATCCATGTAGCATGTGAAGGGAGGGGAAGCAATGATTAGGTTCGATGATTAGGTCTCAGGCTTTAATGAGCCTGTCTCTGGACTTTGAACAAATGTTTCTCAGTTTTTTCTCTTCCCTTAGGTGGACAGAATGGCTAGAGTAGGCTGGAATTGGCTTTTTCCCTTCTCCCACATGCAAGGCTGGAGCTGACTAGAATTAAGTATTTCCCTTCTCCAGTTAAACCTTGATAATACTCCAGCAGGTTGGGCTCTGGTTAACTTGTTTCTCCTGAGGACAGGCCTTGTTAAGAAGAACAGAATACTGTGGCATATTTCAAAATGGTTCCTTTTCCCCACCAGTGCCAGAAGTATAAGGCGATTTTTCTCTGATATTTATTGTGAGCTCCTGGTTGAGCTCCTGGAGGCATATCTTACAATATTGTGGGGGACTCCTTATGACTGGATCCCAGTAGACTGGGACTCCTCTCAGAGCTAATCACACTGAGCTTCAGCAATTTATCAATTACAGGTCAGGTTTTCCTACCCTGGCACTGGTTTCCAAAGTGGTTTCCAAAGTGGTTTCCAGTGTGTGTCTTCGTTAAGTCAAAATCCCCTGTATTCCCCTGTCTCTCCAATCTTGGGGGCAGCAGTTTGCCCTATGTCCTACCTTCTCCTTCAGATACAAGAAGAGTTGCTGAGTTTTCAGGTTGTTCAGCTTTTTGTTTATTGTTAGGACAGAGTGACAACTTCCAAGCTCCTTACATGTGGAACTGGAAACTGGAAGTGTAACTTCTTTTTTAAAGTTAGATTTATTGGGGTATGATATATACACAGTAAAATTCATACTTTTAGGTACACTGTTTTATAAATTTTGACAAAAGCTGCAGTCATATAACTATCACCATGACAAATATATATAACATTTTCAACATCCCAAGAAGTTCCTTCATAACCCTCTGCAGCCAACCCACTGCCTGCACCTTCAGCTCCTGACAATTACTATGTTTTCTGCGTCTAGAGTTTTGCCTTTCCCAGAATGTCATAAAATAGAATCGAAAAGTATGGAGCCTTTCCAGTTCAGTTTTTTTCTCTTAGCATGAGCTTGAAATTCATCTACACTATTGTTTATGAATGGATGTATCAGTAGACTATCCATATTCCATTGTATGGATGTACTGGAATTTGTTTACCCATTCATCAGTTGATGGACATTGGCATTGTTCCCAGTTTTTGGCAGTTAGGAATCAAGCTACTATAAATATTCATGTACAGGTTTTTGTACGGACATATATCTTCATTTCTTTTGAATAAGTACCTATAAGTGTGATTGCTGCTCATATGGTAGGTATATGTTTAATTTTACAAGAAACTGCCAAACCATTTTCTAAAGTGGCTACCATTTCGTATTTGCACCAATGATATCCAAGAGTTTCAGTTGCTGCATTTATTTGACGGGTTTTTGTTTGCTTTTTTTTTTTCTTGTTTATGCTGTCCTAATAGATGCATAGTGGCATCTCATGGTAGATTTAATTTGCATTTCTCTAATGACTAAAGATTTTCTTCTAGAAGCTTTACAGTTTTAGGTTTTATATATAGGTTTACAATCCATTTGATGCTAATTTTTAGATATAGTGTGAGGTATGGGTTGAAGTTTACTTTTTGTATATGTTCAACTGTTCCAATACTGTTTGTTGAAAAAAACTGTCTTTTCTATTATACATTGAATGGCTTTGGTGCCCTTATTGAAAAATCAATTGTCCATATGTGTGTGGGTCTAATTCTGGACTCTTTCTTCTACTGATTTATGTCTCTTGTTTTGCCAGCACCACACTGTTTTGATCACTGTAGCTTTAGAGTAAGTATTGGAATTAGATAGGGTAAATCCTTAAACTTTGTTCTTTTTCAAAATTATTTTGATTATTCTGCTTCCTTTATTTTTCTATATAAATTTTAGAATCAATTTTTCAATTTCTACAAAAAGCCTTGTGAAACATTGATTGGGATTGTATTGAATTTATAGATCAGTTGTGGAGAGAATGACATCTCAGTACGAAGCCTCACAATCCATGAACACAGAAGTATCTCTATTTACTTAGGTCTTCTTGATTTCTCTCTTCACTGATTTGTAGTTTCCATCATATAAATCTTACACATATTTTGTTAGATTTATCCATATGTATTTCATGTTTTTGTAAAGGTATATCAGTGTTAGTGTCCTATTGCCTCTATTGTTACATAGCTATATTTTGGAAAAATAAATACGGTAATTATTATTAATAAAGTAAAATATTTTGTCTGGAGTTTAAGTACAACTACAAGTAGAAGTCATTTAGAAAGTACTTTAATTTCCATTCAAAAAAGGGCAGTTCCTAACCAAACAGGGCACCTCCTAATCTATTCTGCTATGTGCAGAACTGGTTGATACTGTGAATTTCATAGAAATTGTTGCCATCCTATGGTAACTGATTTGAATGACTACAAAACATTCTTTCCTTTTTTAAACAAACAAAAAAAACTTTTCTAGGTGAAGCAGTTAGCAATAGAATAGAGGCTTATCTGTTTTGATTTATATTTGTTTTAATTATAGAATCTAGACTCAGTAATTGTAGTCAACCTATTTATTTACTGTTTGTCCCCCCAAATGAATTTTTAATAAATATGAATAAAGTCCACTTTACTAGGCATAATTACACTTACGTAAATAGACCTACTTTAGCTTTTTAACAATCTTCTGAAGTAGGTACTACTAGTGTGCATTTGATAAACACATGTAAGAGAAATTGAGGTTCAGAGAGATTGAATGAAATTACCAAGAGGACAGAGCCAGCATGTCACAAAATGAAATTTGTCTCCAAAGATGTGCTAACTTAACCTGTAAGGCTGCTTTGGACGTATCAAATGGATATCAATGGATTCCCAAAGAAAAAATCCACATCTAAAATCTGGGTGCTCTACAGGCCTCCCCATCAATGTGCTCAGGACTAAATGTAAACACCTAAGGAATCAAATCCACCTAAACCAGTGTTTCTAACAAAGTTAGGTACAACTTAAGATACTTTAAAATCCCAAGATAGACACATTAACTCAAATGCTTGGATTAAACTCTAGCTGAAACTATTATACTTTCTCATGTTTCTCTATCAACTCATTTTTACACCATTTTTTTCTCTCCAATATAGATGCTACTTGGGAAGTAGGCAGCAGTTTGGAATATGAGTTTCAGTGTAGGAGAAAGTAAGCAGCATGCTCACAAGTTTAATTTGATATGAATATATTAATTCTGAAAAAAGCTATCAGAAAGAATCCTAAAGCACTGTACTTATTCTGAACAGTATTTAACACACTGAGAGATTTAGTAAATGCCTTTGAGAGGCTGACCTTAAAAAAAAATTGTTGTAACTCATCAAGTCTTTTTATATTAAATTTTTTTCCTAAATTGCTGGCAGAAGACAGCTAAAATTGCAACCTATAATTTATCATTCTCCTGCCAATAACTAAAAGTTCTAAATAAAGCAGCACTGTAGCATGGAATAGCACTTTTCAGATTATTTACTTGCAACATTCCAAATTCAAAATTCTTTTTTCCTCTGTGGTAACTATGGTACAACAAATCTTGACAGCAGTGCAAAAAGCAAAGCCTTGTTCTTTTTAAATAGCCTTAGGCTTCTGCCATTTTATGAGGCCTACAGAACTCTGAACTCAGGACAGACTTCCTGGATTACCTAACAGCCCTGGGGCATGCTTATAAATTAAGTTTTATAAATTTTTAAACTATAAATAGCAGCAGCAACAGTAGTAGTTTAACTACAAGAGAAAATCAGTTCCCCCAAACTGAAGACTCTCTCAGACCCTGGGGGTTGCCACACTCTGTGTAAATTAGCTTTTGGACAGGCAAGGGGTCTCCAAGGAAAATGGTCTACCCTTGGATCAATGACATATGCTATTTGGAATACTGGCTAAAGCAATTCAAAAAATCTACACTGACACAAGGAGAAGACAAGCTCTCTAATGTAACCAACACCTGAATCAGACAGGATTCATCTTGGAAAAGCAAAAATGTGAGCAATTAACTGTCATTATCTACTGCCCCTCAGAAATTCTAAACCGGGAATAAAAAGTATGGCCAACTGACTTTGGGAGGCCGAGGCGGGCGGATCACGAGGTCAGGAGATCGAGACCATCCTGGCTAACACAGTGAAACCCCATCTGTACTAAAAATACAAAAAATTAGCCGGGCGTGGTGGCGGGCGCCTGTAGTCCCAGCTACTCGGAGGCTGAGGCAAGAGAATGGCGTGAACCTGGGAGACGGAGCTTGCAGTGAGCCGAGTTCGCGCCACTGCACTCCAGCCTGGGCTACAGAGCGAGACTCTGTCTCAAAAAAAAAAAAAAGAAAGAAAAAGAAAAAAAAAGGATGGCCAACTGAAATGGCCTCTCCTGTAGTTAGGCCCTCAGGATGGCTAATGAATAGCTGAATAATCCCCATTATATTAAGGTTTGAAATATAAAAGAAGTTTGAATGAAGATCTGACATATATATATGTGTGTATGCCTAGTGTTTTGAAAACTGGACTAAGATGCTTATTAAAATATAGAATTGTTAAAAGAGATACAGTTGACTCCTAACATTACAATAGCAAAAATAAATTCACAAAAGCCAGCCTAATCAAAGAATTCCAAAGCAGAAAAAAAAATCCTTAACCAAAACAGAAAATCACTTGGGTATTATTATTATTTATTCTAGAAGATTATAACCAGAAAAATCATGAGAAAATTTTCATTAAATCATGCAACAAATATTTATTTATTGACTTCCTCCAATGTGTCACAAAGCTTACGTTAACCATCAGGCAACTGATCTCTCAGCTATCTCTCCATTTATTTGGGTCTTCTTGACAACTATTTGCTCAAAATGATGTTATTAATCACTGTCAAAGCTCAAATTCAAGATTCCTATCTTCTTGAAAGAGCAGAGCTTTGTTTACATAATGCCTTCAAGCAAAAAAGAACAATAATAACAACAATTTGCTTGACTCCCAAAAACACTGTGAGACTCACAGCAATTTAATTTAGATGTCAGAGCTACACTGCTTTCCCAGTCTACTTTGTCTACACTGTCTACCACTTTAAGTATTCCCAAAAGGATGTGGCTATATTTACTTGTTTTAGCTATTTTTAATATCAAGATAATGAAGCCAGGCTACTAGTTCAGTCTTCACAAGGGACTTGTTATTTGTCATTGCATATACTTAAAGCAAACAAATGAGCAGCACAAATATGTCTTCACTAAAGAATCTTACAATGTACAAGCACAAAAACGGTTTAGGTCAGGGATATTATCTTCATAACTGACAAAAGGACATCAAGTATTCACCTCCCTACCTGACCTGGAGACTTATTATAAGAGTCCCACAACCAAGTTGGGAGACTTCCCAATGAACTGAAAGGCTGAACTCTGATCTAGGTCCTCCTCTTAATTATTTGAAGTTTCAGGCTATCAAAACTCAAGAAAGTTATAGCATACACATAAATTTTTCATTCCCAGTCTCGCTCACCCACAAATGCTAATTCCCCACATTGACAACCTACTGGACTTTGTTTCCACTTTCGGCAAAGAGGGTATGACTCAAACTACTGGTCTCTCCCAGTGGGATAAATCCAATGGGAATCTTACTGAAGGTAGCCTGGGGGGGGAAAGAAGAGGAAAGTTTTATTGTTATGATCAGAAAATCAGGCTTAATGGAGAAGCACAGGTGTGTCCACTATGACAAATAACTGACCCTGTATCTGCCTCCCCATCTCCTTTCCACATCCTTAGACCAGTAATCAAATAAAGCTAGGTGGGTAATTTCTAAAACAAGGCAGTCAATGAAAACAAAATGACTCAGAATTTGGAAGAAATATTTTAGTACTCATTAATGACAACTGTTTGAAAGAAATTTGGTTAAGATAATGAGGGTTTTGAAGATAATATATCAATGCACTAGTGCAACAGAGACTGTATAACATTGTCACACTATTTGATAAAGTTGCAGATAAAATTCAACTAAAAATGTCTACCATTTATACAGTGACCAATGACAGGTGAAGGTGCTTTATAAACTATCTTAAGTACAAATAAGGCAAAGAGAATAAACAAGTTCAAATAATAGATGGTACTGGCATAGCAGTTAATTAAATGCCACACATACAATAGATACTGTAAGGTTCAAAACAATTCTGAGCACAATGTACTATTACCAAAGGGACTGAGAAGGATCTTCTAGCTATTGTAGAAAAGTGCATAAAATAATGTTACAAAAACACCCATGTGCCCACAACCTATATTTAACAAATGTTAACATTTACCTTTTTGCTTCATATGTTTCAAGAAATAAAACGATAGAGATACAATGAAAGTCCCTTCTAAAACTATTCTCCTCTCTCCCTTCCCAGAGGAGACCATTATCCTGAGGTTGGTGTGATTCCTTTTCATCCACATTATTATTCTTTTGCTACATATTTAAGCATCCATTAACCATACATAGTATTGTTTTCTGAATTTTAAAACACTGTAGAAATGCATAACATACCTGGGCAACCTGCTTTTTTTTTTATTCAAAACTTTTGAGATTTAGCCATGTAGATATTTATACATTTAGTTCATTCATTTTAACTGTTAGATGATTCCCACTATATGAATATGCCACAATTTCTTTTATGAAAAAGTTCTTTGAAAAAAAGATTCCATAACAAAATTTTAAATAACCATTGTCAAAGTTATTGGATACCATCAATTACCAAACCAGAAAAGTCCCCATGTGTTAATATACGTGTTCTATGACATGGGTAGCAGTATTTTCTTTTCTAAAATTCAAGAAAGCACAATTTGTACCCGTTTTAAAATATACAATGGAAAAAAAAAGTAAAAGAAAGAAAAGCAATAAAAAAGAACAGAAAAATAAAAGTTAAAATGCAATTACTCTTTAATGCTCACCTCATCTGTTCGTCGAAGAACACCAGTAACAACCTACAAATGTAATAATAAAACATTGTTATAAATAATATGTATTTCCTTTACAATAAAAGAATTGGATTCAATTTTCATAGACCATAAACTTACTCCTGTTTTCTTCTTAGAAGCTCTGTTAAAAGATGCACTGGATCTTAAAACATATAGTATTCTCCAATAGAATCAGAGCTAAATTAGATTTTATTTTTGACCTATGATCAATAATACAATAAAGGCTAAGATAAAATAATTATAAAAACTCCAAGTTGTATTACTAAAAATATGTTTTAAGTTCTATAAAATGGGTATAAATATGATGTACACATCAATTATACAGAAAACCCTAGTTTACCACTATGAAGTACATATACAGGAAAAAAGCACTTTGCTACACTCAGAGAGTGTGCACTTAACAAATCGTTCTTATTGACAAATATGAAGAAGGATAGTATTCTGTAAAAACTGAAAAATACCTAAATACAAAAAAAAATTCTCATAATTCCACCATGCCAGATAAACAACTATTATTATTTTGTTTTTCTTTTGCAGTGGAGTCTCACTCTGTCACCCAGGCTGGAGAGCGATGGCATGATCTCGGCTCACTGCAACCTCTGCTTCCCAGGTTCAAGCGATTCTCCTGCCTCAGCCTCCCAAGTAGTTGGGATTACAAGCACCCACCACCATGCCCTGCTAATTTTTGTACTTTTAGTAGAGACGGGGTTTCGCCATGTTGGTCACGCTGGTTTCAAACTCTGGACCTCAGGTGATCCGCCCACCTTGGCCTCCCAAAGTGCTGGGATTACAGGCATGAGCCACCACACCCAGCCCCAGATAACCAATTATAAATCACTTGTTTATATTTGATATATTTCCCTCCAATCCTTTTTCTAATCAGTGCATATTTTTATATGACTGTAATTATACCAAATACACAATTTCTTTAAAAACATTTTGTAAAGTAAAACCTGACCCAGATCTCCTCCCTTCATCTTCTCCTGCCTCACTGAATTTCAGGAATAAATGGGGCTGTTGAGAGGTCTACTTCCTTCTTTGTAGGCATGCTATCAATATTCTTCACACTTCATTAAAAAGCCATAAAAACAATTACAACATCATTAGCACAGCCTTTTTAAAAGAAGCTTACTAAGGCTCACATAATGACTAAGTCAAACATAGGACAGTACTCTGCTGTTAGCTTCTGATCCCTGAACACTGGTAAAACCAATGAATGGGGACAACAGGCAATCAGAAATGAGGTATGAATATGAAATATAGTATACAGGAATGAAAAATTAAGCAGTGCGTGGGATCACCTGCACTGGGCTCTTTAGGGGTTTCCAAAATATAATGAATGCACTACTCTGCTGCTAGAAAAGAAGAGTACTTGCAGGGTAACATACTTACCGCCCTTAATGGACCAAAGTAAGCATTAAGGGTATCTTTATTAATAAATTTTATGTTTTAAAAGTAGTTTTAGGCTCACAGCAAAATTGAGAGGAATACAGAGATTTCCCATGTCCCCTCTGGCCCCCTATACGTGAACCTTCCGCCCATTATCAACATCCTTCACCAGAGTGGCACATTTGTTACAACTGATGGACCTACATTGACACCTTATTATCATCACCCAAAGTCCATCGTTTACACTAGGGTTCCCTCTTGGTGTTGCAGATCTATGGGTTCCCACAAATGTATAACACTTATACATTTGTGTATAACAAATACACACAAAAAATTTGTGTTAAACAAATTTGTGTGTAACACAAATGTATTCACCCTTACAGTATCATAATGAATAGTTTCACTGCCCTAACAATCCTCTGTGCTCTGCCTATTCATCCCTCTCTTCAACATCTGGTAACCTCTGACGTTTCACTGCCTCCATAGTTTTGCCTCCTCCAGATATCAAATTGTCGGAATCACACAGTATGTAGTCTTTTCAGACTATCCTCTTTCACTTAGTAACATACATTTAGGTTTCCTCCATGTCTTTTCATGGCTTGATAGCTCACTTCTTTTTAGTGCTGAATAATACCTATTGTCTGAATATATCTCACTTTACTTATTCATTCACCTACTAAAGGACATCTTGGTTGCTTCCAAGATTTGGTAATTATGAATAATGCTGCTACATGTGCAATTGTGTGGACACAGGGTTTCAACTCCTTTGGTAAATACCAAGGAGCATGATTGCTGGATTGTATGTTAACAGTGTGTTCAGTTTTGTAAGAAAACACCCAGCTGTTCCAAAGTGGCTGTACCATTTTGCATTCCTACCAACAATGAGAGTTCCTGTTGCTCCACATCCTTGCCAGCATTTGATATCATCAGTGTTCTGAAATTTTGGCCATTCTAATAGGTGCATAGTGGCATCTCATTGAGAAGATGCAATATTAAAACAAAAGCAGATGCATGTATCTTAACATGTATACCTCTTCCTATTAATGTAGTATAATATTATATGTAATGGAAATGACATGAGAATGGATAGCTGAATATCTGTTTATTTTATAAGAAACATACCTGTTGATGGAAACTATGATTCCATTACAAACAGGGCTACTTCATAAGAGTCTTCAAAATATAACAAGATTATCCCATCCACCATCATTTTTTCTTCTGTTATATTCAATATTATCAAACTTAAATATGATAATACAAAAATCCTTCTATGTGCTGGGTAGAGGGTTTACAAAAAGCAATGAAATGGAAGTGCAGGAGAAAAATTTAAAGCTATACTAGCTTTAGAGAGCAACAATCCTAAAATAATGAATTAAAATAAAAAATTTCTTTAAATTACAACATACCATTGCTCTAGGATTTAATTTCCATTTTTCTCACCTTCAAAATAGCTTCAAAGAGAAAAACAGTCATACCTCCTGCAGTGTCCCATCTCCTCCTGCAACAATGATCACATCCGTGTTTTCCATCAGTTCCAGGAGTTTCTTGGCTTGTCCCTCATAATCTGTCTGAAATACCAAGGAAGCCTTTGGTGAGTTTATCAACCTAGAGCCACAAGGTTAAAGGTTTAAAAATGTGGGATATCTTCTTTAAAGTTTTACATTGACTGTCTTCGTAAATTTTACATAACTGATAGACATGAAAAAAATAGCTATCAAAGCAATTATGTATAGTCGTTACAGTTTTACACTTTTAGAGCCAGAGGGACCTCAGAAACCATCTAGTCAGCTCCATACTTTGAAAATAAAATTCAAACCCAATAATTTGTCTCTTACACAGCTAGCTAGTCAAGGGCATCATTTCCAGTCAAGTGCAGATTCTATTACATCCTTTATAGGAAGTCAAGTGTACATGCAAATAGGAAGAAGCAGATGTAATGACAAGAGCACAGATGTCAGAGCCCAAGAGACCTGGATTAAATCTCAACTCTGCTACTTTTTAGCTGAGTGACCTTAAATTCTATGGATCTTAATTTCCTCATCACTGAAATTATGTGTGTTGAGGGAGGGAATAATGATAACTTCTCAGTAAACCAGTTGTAAAGCAGTATGTAAAGCAACTGGTAAGGTAACTGTTCATAACTGGTATTGCACTAAATAAAAGGAGGTTATTATTGTTTTGTTATGACCATACATAAAGAAATACAGGTAGGATTCAAAGTAGTCACAAAACAATGCCTAAGACTTACCATTTTTATTGATACCATTTGATTTCAGATACATACATAGACTTCAATGAACCATTTAAGCCACCAATAATATGTATACTTCTAAAACCAAACACTAAATTTCAATAGACATAATGCAACTAATATTAAAATAGGAAACACTCCCTCCAACTGATATCACACTATACATACTAATAGACAAAAATTAAATGTCTGGATTTCAGATGGGCTTAAGCACCTATGGCATAATAAAAATATATATATATCTGGGCCAGGTGCGGTGGCTCACGCCTGTAATCCCAGCACTTTGGGAGGCCAAGGCAGGTGGATCACGAGGTCAGGAGATCAAGACCAGCCTGGCCAACATGGTGAAACCCCGTCTCTACTAAAAATACAAAAATTATCCAGGCATGGTGATGCACGCCTGTAATCCTAGCTACTCAGGAAGCTGAGGCAGGAGAATCGCTTGAACCTGGGAGGTGGAGGTTGCAGTGAACTGAGATTGCACCACTGCACTCCAGCCTGGGCGACAGAGCAAGACTCTGTCTCAGGAAAAAAAAAAAACAAAAAAAAACCCATACATACGTACATATATATACATATGTATGTCTGGTCTCTGTCCTTGGTTCCTGGCAAAGAGTTCCTAAAACCCCTGGAATTTCCTGAGCGATAAAAATGTCTTTTGTTATTCATGGCAAGGCCCTCTCAATCTTGCCAGTTTGTGCTAATGAGGTGATTGGTGGGCCCCTGAATAGCTTCAAGATGGGAGCTGGTCACCAGAAAGATCAGCAAGGTGATTAGAGGGTTGGAACTTTTAGCCCCACCCCTAACCTCCAGGGAGGAGCGAGGGGCCTGAGATTGAGTTAACTCACCAATGGCCAATGATTTAATTGATCATGCCTGCTTAAGGGAACCTTCCTAAGCAATGGAGTGTGAGGAGCTTCCAGGCTGGAAGCAAATACCTCAACACTGAAGTGTTGAGAGGAGGCACACCTACAGAGGGCATAGAAGCTCTATGCCAATCCCTCTGCCCCCATACCTTGACCTATGTATCTTTCCATTTGTTGTTCCCGAGTAGTATCCTTTATAATATACTGGTAAACTAAGTAAAGTGCTTTCCTGAGTTTGAGTTACCGAACCTGAGGGGAGGTTGGGAGAACCCTGGATTTGTAGTTGGCAGGTCAGAAGAACAGGTGACCATTTCCCCAAGATGTGAGACTGGCGCCTGAAGTGTGGACAGTCTTGTGAAACTCAGCCCTTAACCCCTTGGAGTCTGCACTAACTCCAGGCGTTGGTATCAGAATTGAATTCCATCAAATTGAATTGAATTGTTGGACATCCAACTAGTGCAAGAAAAGACTCCAGCATCTGAGCCAGTAAGTCCTATATGACATTAATTCACAGTGAACACAGAGGAAAAAGGAAGACTCCTTAAAATACTACCATCTAATTTTAGGATGAATAGTTCCACTTTTATTCTAAAAATAAAATTATGGGCTTTATAGTTACATATTCGCAAATATTTGACTTTTAAAAAAATGTATGTATGTCAATCCTGATGAAAAGGATGGTTCATGAACACCCAGAAATAAGTGATCATGAGGAATTAGCCTGTGTTCTCACTAAGGCCAAGTGATTTCATACTGTCCTCATTTCCTTCTTTGACAGATTAGCTACATTAGTAGATCTTGGAAATTAGACAGACACATTACATCAGGTCTTTAGCAAGATGCCTGGCAAGTCACTTTATGATATCCCTGTGGACAAGGTGAAGACATGTGGAAACAACATGCTAGAAAACAAGTAAGTGGATGAGCTACCAACTGAATATCTATGTCCAAAATGTGATGCTCATTGGAATGATGTCAAATTGCTGGAAGATTCCTAGGACATTTCATTGAGGGTCCCCCTTCAGCCTTTTCTTAGGCAATACTTTGTCAACAATGGAAGTGAAAGGTAATTTACTAGATACATAAATGATACAAAGCTGACATTTTCCCCTCCTTACTTCTCTAACCTCATCCTCTCTTACTCTCACCCTTTGCTCATTTCACTCCAACTACACTGGCCTCTTTACCATGCTTCAAATATGTCAAATACACACATGCCTCAGGGCCTTTGGACATGCAGTATCACAGCTCGTGATACTGTGATACTTCTTCCTCAAGCATCTACATGACTAACTCATTTCCTTTGGGTGTCTGTTCAAAGCTCATCTTGTCAGACCCACCTTCCTTGACCATCTGCAGTAAAATAACACCCCTATTAGGAGTTAATAGTAATAAGTAAAATAACCTTTGTCTCCTTACCCTGCTTAATCTTTCTTCTTAGCACTCATTGCCATCTGACAAATTATACATTTATTGATATATTTGTTTCTCACCTGCATTCTTGCTTTCAAACCTTGAAATGAAGCTCTTTAAGGACGGATAGGGAATTTATTTTGTTAAGACTATATCCCCAATACCTAGAACAAGGCTTAGCTCATAGTGGGCACTAAATAAATATTTGTAAAAACACATTAATAAATGTGAAAAGGTGTATGAATAAAAGAATAAAAATTTTAAAAGATCTTGACAGATTTGACAGACCATAATTTCAAAGATTAATAGAGATAATATTAATATATTTGAGGCTCTGATCTTAGAAAAAAAATCCCAAATGCACTAAAAGAGGAAGGATAAAAAGGTGGCCTAACAGTTGCCCCCTCCCAGAAAAAAAATCTAGACACTAACCTTACACTTTTCAAAAAAGCTAACTCAAAATGGATCATAGGCCTAAAGGTAAAATAACACAGGAGGGAATTTAAGTGATCTTGGGGTTGGTGATGAGTTTTTAGATACATCACCAAAAGCAATATCCATGAAAGAAAAAAAAATTGATAAATTAAAATTCAGTAAAATTTAAAACTTCTGCTCTATGAAAAACACTATTATAAGGATAAAAAGACAAGCCACAGCCTGAGAAAGAATATATGCAAAATGCATAGCAAACAGCTTGCATCTAAAATATATAAATAACTCTTAAAACTCAACAAAAAGAAACCAGCCCAATTAAAAGGGCAAAGATCTGAACAGACACCTCACCAAAGATCTACAGATGGATAATAAGCATATGGAAATACACTCAACATTATATGTCATTAGGGAATTGCAAATTAAAACAATGAGATTTCATTATACATTTATTTCAGTGGCTAAAATCCAAAACACTGACAATAGCAAAGACTGACGAGGATATGGAACAAGAGGAACTCTAGTTCACTGGTGGTAATAATACAAAATGGTACAGCCACTTTGAACGGCAGTTTCCGATAAAACCAAACATAGTCTTATCATATTATCCAGCAAAAGCACTCCTAGGCATTTACCCAAATGACTAGAAAACTTATTTATGTCCACCCGAGAACCTGCACATTAATGTTTATAGCAATTTTATTCATAGTTGCTAAAATGGAAGTGACCAAGATGTACTTCAGTAGGTGAATGGATAAACTGTAGCACATTCAGACAATAGACTATTGCTCAGCAAAGAAATGAGCTAACAAGCCATGAAAACACAATGGAGAAACCTAAAATGCATATTGCTAAGTGACAGAAGCCAATCTGAAAAGACTACATACTGTATGATTCCAACTATATGACATTTTAAAAATAGCAAAGTATGGTGACAGTAAAAACAGCTGTGGAGGGAAGGATGAATAGGTACAGCAGAAGAACAGAGAGGATTTTTAGGACAGTGAAATTAATCCGTCTGATAATATAATGGTGAACACAATGCATTATGCATTTGTCAAAACCCATAGAACTGTGCAACACAAATGCAAATGAAAACTATGCAAATGAAAAGAGCAAATGCAAATGAAAACTATGGACTTGAGTTAATAATAATGCATGAATAATGGCTCATCAATTGTAGGAAATTTATAACACTAACGCAAGATGTTAATAATACAGGAAATTGTGGGCAGGGGAGAGAAGGAATATAGGTTTTCTGTGATTTCTCTTGAATTCTTCCTTAAACCTAAAACTGCTCTAAAAAATAAAGTCTACTTTTTTATAAAGTGGCTTGATGGTACATAGCAAACAAGATAATGAGTCCAATATGACTCAAAATATGATATATCGACAACAACAAAAGACTCTGAGCTTGAGCTGTTTGAAAGAATAGTATATGGAACAAGAGACTTGGTGGTCTTGCTTTACTCTTCCTTAGATAGCCCATACCTCATGGAAAGAAACCGGAAATGTTTAAACCACAGAAGGCTCAAGGGAGCATCAGGATAACATTCTTGATTATTCCAAAGACTATTTTGCGGAAGAAAGATTAGGCTTGTTTCACATGAACCCATGGGATAGAACCAAGCCTGAAGTCTATGATTCTCAATCCAACTACACATTATAATCACCTGGGAATGAATAAACAAATGAACAAGTAAATGAATGAATGAAATTATTTTGTAAATACAGACAGACTCCACTCCACATTAGTTATATCTAGGGAGTGTGACCTGGGTACGACTTACATTTTTAAACATTTCCAGGTAATTTGATATTCAGCCAGAGTTGAAAACCACTGATCTATGTGTAAAAACTCTTGGGAAACAGATTTCTTCTCAAAATTAGGAAGAATATTCTAATAGTGCTATCCTAAGATGAAATAGGTTGTCTTGGAGCTTTCATGTCAAATGGGAGACAAAGCCTAAGGTAGAAAGCACATGCCTTAGAGTCGACAGACCTAGGTTTAAATGAGTTTTGTCACTACTAATTGTATAACTGAGCAGGTTTCTAGATGTTTGTATCTTCAATTTCCTCATTCACAAAATAAAGATGATAACACTCAACTTCACTGAGCTTTATGTGACTTAAATAAAACCAGCTATGTGAAGTGCTACAATTCCATTTCTAAAAGAATGGTAGGCTAGGTACCCTGCCACTGAAAATTAAAGCTACTGAGTAAAATAATGAAAACATCTTTGATGCATCAATAAACGAGAATAAAGTAAGGAACACTAAATATAAAACTAGCACCTATGCAGTAAATGTTCTGAGGGCATCTAGTAAACCAGGTAGATCTGAATGTTGGTTTTCAAAGCTTCACCAGGTTCTAGGAAAAGCAAACAAAAATCCCAGGACCTGCTCAAGATTAGTGAATCTAGTACAGAACCACATCCCACTATAAACCAGGACCCAAAAGACTGCATGTGCAGTTTAGAGAGAATAAAAGCGGGGTTGACTCACTCATACTCCTCGACGATTCCCAGGGCACTGCAAAGAAACTTTCGTGTTCTGAAATTTGGTGCTAAATGAAGGGATAAACATCTTCCCTGAGAATCCATAACTTTAGGCTAGTCCTTACATAAGTAACCGAAATGCGTGCTACCTGGATAATCTGAAAAATCTCAAGCTAAAAATTTAATTTAAAGAATTCACAGGACTGTCATACATATATTATGCATTGAGAAAGACACAACATTTTGTGGTACTTCCACTAAACTACATAATCTGAATCTAATTATAACAAAACAGTAGATAAACCCAAACTGAAGGACGTTCTTAAAAAAAAAAAAATTGAGGAATTTTTTAAAGTTGCCTAAACAAATATCACAACTAAATACAATATGTGATCCCAGATTGGATGCAGAACAAGAAAAAGTGTTTTTTCTTTTGTTATAAATGGCATTCATGGAACAATTGGAGGCCGAGGCAGGCAGATCACGAGGTCAAGAGATCGAGACCATCCTGGCCAACATGGTAAAACCTTGTCTCTATTAAAAATACAAAAATTAGCTGGGTGTGGTGGCACGCACCTGTAATCCTAGCTACTCAGGAGGCTGAGGCAGGAGAATCGCTTGAACCCGGGAGGCGGAGGGTGCAGTGAGATGAGATCATGCCACTGCACTCCAGCCTGGTGACAGAGTGAGACTCTGTCTCAAAAAAAAAAAAAAAAAAAATTCTACAAGATAATAGTACATCAATGTTAATTTCTTGATTTTGATAACTGTTCTTGCAGTTATATAAGAGAGTGCCCTTGTTTTTAGGATATAGATATTTAGAGATAAAGGAACATTATTTCTGAAACTTACTCTCAAACAAGCCAGAAAATAATATGTGTGTGTGTGTATGTATGTGTATATATATATATATATATATATATATATACACACACACACACATTCATACATATGCACACACATACATGTAAAGAGAGAGCATGTGTAAACATGGTAAAATGTTAATACAGTATTTGAGGAGTTTGGGTAAGTGATATGGGAATTTGTATATTCCTGTACATTTTTTTTATAAGTTTGAGATTATTTCAAAATAAAAGCTAATCCAAAAGAAAGAAAACAAACCCTGTAAAGAGTAGTGGTTTCTACTGAGGCATAAAAAGTAAACATTAGTATTTCTATTTATTTTTTAATCTCATCCTTCTAAATGTCTATTTTCTGTATATGTAATGTACATATTAGTACTTGCATATAATTGATAAGTATCTTAAACTGGAAAAAATCACAAATACATGAGTCACAGGACATTTGATAGTATAAGATGGGGTTAGACAGTGTAAGATGATAAAAGAGAATCGCTACTTTTCCTAAGTATGAAAATGGCACTGTAGATAAATATAAAAGTATTCTTATTTGTTTAAAAATACACATAAAAGTATTTAGGGATAAAATTAGAGGATATCTGTAACTGACTTCAGGGAACCGAGCTACCATGTCAAGATACATAGTGGAGACAACATGAGCCAGGGGACAGCCAGCATCAACTTGGAGACGTGAGTAAAGCCATCGAAGACCACCCTTCCTCAGCCATGCCACTATGAGCCCAGGCGAGACTACTGACCAATGGAATCATAAGCAGAAAAACAGTGAGGCCTTTTGTTCTGTAGCAATAGATAACTGGTATAGAATGTTGGAATGAATTAAACAGTCAAGTCAAAAGATGAGAAAATGGGCTTTACAATATCCTGCTTTCATGCTTTTATCAACAATACATCTAAAATCTCAGGAGAGAAAAAAGATAAAAATAAAGGGATATAAAAATGATACCAGGCAAAAACTAAAAATAAGCAAGCTAGTATAAATTACCAATAGTACTAGATAAGATAGACTATCACAAAAGGCAGTATTTGTGCTAAAAATAGTTATTCTATGACAGGGTCGAAATGTAAGAAAAATGAAATAATCTGAAACTTTAGTGCATCTAATGACCTAAGTCTCAAAATACAAAATGCAAAAATGGACAAATCTATGTAGTGAAATAGACAAATCCACAATTACAGTGGGAGATTTCTAATACCCCCTCTTGAGAATTTATATAGTTAAAACAGAAGAAAAAATCAGTAAGGACATAGAAGATTTGAACCCACACAATTAACAGACTTGACTTAATGAACATATATAGAATATAGTGCCCAATAACTGATATATACTATTTTTAGGCATAGATACAACATTTATGAAAACAGAGCACATGTTAGACCATAAAACAAATTTCAACAAACTTTAAAATACTAGAATTTTATAGACTACATTTTTTGGCCAAAATGCAATTAAGTCTGAAATCATTAACAAAGACAATCAGAAAAACTTTAGATTTGGAAATTCAAAAACACATAGATCAAGAAAAATCACAAGGAAAATTTGAAAATATTTAAAAATAAATAATAAAAATATTATGCATCAAAAAGTATAGGATGCAGCTGAAGCAGTAGAGTGGATCTGTAGCTTAAATACATACAATAAGAAAGGAAGGTAAAAATGAAATAAGCAATGAAGTTAAAATGTCAGAAAAAGCACAGCAGAAAAATTTTTTTAAAAAGTAGAATGAATGAAACAATAAAAAAAGATCAGAAATGAATGAAACATATAAATGAGAGGATCAATAAGCCAAAAAACGGTTCTTGGCAAGGGCTAAATTGACAAACCTCTCACAAGATTACTGAGGGGAAAAAGAGAGGGTACAAATAAACAATATTGAGAATGAAAATGAGACATTACATATGCTATAGAAATTTAAAAGTTAAATAGAAGATATTATGAACAACCTGATGTCAATTAATTTGAAAATTTAGATGAAACAAATTCCTTGAAGAATTTACCTTACAAAAATTAAGTGAAGAATGAAACCTGAGTACTTCTAGAACTGTTAAAGAAATTTAATGTACATTAAAAATTTAAAAAAGGTAAAAAAGGCTGGGCATGGTAGCTTACACCTATAATCCCAGTACTTTGGGAAGCCAAGGTGGGGGGGATCACTTGAGTCCAGGAGTTCAAGACCAGCCTTGGCAACATAGTGAGCTCCTGTCTCTACATACACACACACACACACACACACACACACACACACACACAAGAAAATCTCCCCTCAAGGAAAGCTCCAGATCCAGATGGTTTTAGCTGTGAGTTTCACCAATCATTGAAGAAACAAACATCAGTCTCACATAACCATACTTGGGTCTCTCATACCTGCCACATTACAGGTACTCAAATATGTTAGTTTTCTTCCCCTTTCTCCTACCCCCGGGGGCAAACAACTGGAAAATCATGACAGAAAAGTTGGAAAAGAGGGTTCAACATTGCATGGTAAACTAGACTAAATGATCCTTTTTAACTTCTATGATTTCCTGGAAGTGTACAATATTAGAAATTGGTCAACAGACTTATAACCACAGTAAGAGAGGTTTTCACTATATACACATGTATGTACTTACCCACATATATCTCATTTAAAATTCAACAAGTAGAGTCCTGCATCTTCGAAATAGTACAATTCCTTGTAATTTATGCTTGCCTCCTTTTCTTCTTAACTAAATCTCACAAATTCTAAAGCTTTACCATTTAAAATTCTTCACCAAAGATAATTCCTTACCAGAGAGAAAATGGTTTACCTGTTTGTGGAACTACTAAGAAATTAAATTAATTACTCAGACTTGAAGGTTGTGTATTTTCAGGAAAAGAATTCTTACAGCTATAACAACTTTCATCTTCCAAGAGATGTAATTCCACATCCTATCTCTCAGATGAAAGGTGTCAAGTTCTCCAAGCCTCCATCCAATCCTATTCTGAAAATGAAAAGCTGACACTATTTGGAAAAAAACAAAACTACATTTATTAATTGTCAGAACAGGATACAACATTAATTTCTTTGCTCTTGTGACAAGCAATTTTTGCTAAGAAGCCAAGAGAAGAGGTTGTTATAAGAGGCAGCTGCTTGGGTGAAATAAACATTCAGGAGCCATTCTTACCTTAACAATAGTCACATCCATGCCAGATAAATGTAAAATCGGGGCAGCATTTTTTTCAAATAGAGTCCTGGCTTTTCTGTTAACAAAGGAAAAAATATAAACATTTTAACACAGGTTATCAAGAGCAAGAACAAAAAGCCTTACAATCTTCTTCAGGGCAGAATAAGAAAGACTATGCAATACGGGTTTCCTTTATTTGTTCAAGCACAGAAAGTTTAACAACAAGTAATGAGTTAATATGAATGGAAAAATAGAACCTTAAACTCTGGGGCCTTTGAGAATTTGCTGTTTATCTAATGCAATAAGCTCTTATCCATTTGGGAGGCTTATAGTTCACAAAGTAGTTCCTCTAGGGGAAGAACGAACACTAGATATGGTTCCATTCAGGCAACAATGCTTGATTCACTCAAGTATTCATTGAGCACCTACTGTGTGATAGACACAGGTGGAGGAGCTAGGAATACAACATAACAAAGCAGACCAAACTACTAATTCACCAGAAGCTAGTCTGAAACTCCCAGGCACAGTCATGCCCTCTCTGTGCTCCCCTAGTACCTTATACACATCTCTGTTAGTGACTTTCATACTGTATGGTGATTAGAGACTTCCAAGACTGTTGTCAGGACTAGACTGGAAGCGTTCTAAAAATAAATACCAAATCTTATTAATCCTTGAATCCCCTGACCTCTAGGATTATGTATGGCACAATTAGAAAGTACTTACTAAGTATCTGATGAATTAATGCACAAACGAATGAATAAACCTGCCCCAAATGTAGACATGTAAATTCTGAGGAAAAGGAAACAACACGATGTCTTATAAGAAGAGAAAAAACAGCCTTCAAAGAGTTTGCATATTTCAAAAGTATTATGCATATCATTCTGACAGTGAACTCTTGTCCAATTCAGGTCAGAATTCAAAAACACAGTCTAGGAATCCAGGGACACAGAAGTTGCAAAACAATCTCTTCCACCAATGGCATAGTCTCAAAGTCAAACTAATGTTAAAACATACCAATTAGTTGACCTTTTACTCAAATATTTCAACTATTACATAAGGAAAAAAAAATCCAGTACTTTCAATCAATGTCAAACACCTAACTTTTATATCCACATTTACTCAGTCCTCTGTCTTATTTTTAAACTAAGGCTGTATCCTTTGACCTTAAGGATACTTTATACAAGAATTTAAGGATATTTTATAGAAGAGACATTTTATATTCAGCTACAAAGGCAGCTAATGAGGAACACGTATAGTTATGCACAGGCCAAGCTCAATATTCTTTAAACTAAAAAGAACCACCAAATGGCATATAGAACACAAATCACTTCTTATTGTGAATTAAAATAGAAATTGAGAGGCTTGCACAAATTTTCACAAGAACCATCCAAAAGAATATCTCAAACCAAGGGCCTGAGTGTATTATAAGCAAATTAAATATTTTCTACCTTTCTACTGCTCTGAATGATTATTAGAATGAACATAAAAGGGTAAATGATAATTTCTCCTTTCCAGCTCACCATTTCTGGGGGCTTAACCCAACATTAAAGCACTGAGCTAGTGGTACTGCAAACAATTCTCCTTCCAGGGTTGCTTTCATTACTAGATTGATAGGAAAGGATCAGTTGGAAGTGGATCAGATCTATTTCCTAAAAGCAAAATTCTGAAGAAGTCTCAATCTGCCATATCAATCACAACAAATCTGTAACCTCCTCTGAGTTAGTTTAAGAAATCAGGTTAGAATATTTGGGTCTTTATTCACATCTTTATATGATGTTATAAGTTCAGAAAACCTCTAAAATGAAGGTGAAGACTTTTTTCCTTCTAATTTTCTATATAAAAGATTGAAAAACAAGTGTTACTAATAAGAAATAAATTATTTATTACATAATTAAGGGTGAGATAACACCGAGGCTAAATAAAAACCTTAGGTACTTTTAGCAATTTCCAGACTCAGGCACATACAAAAAATAATTACTCTTTTATGTATTATTTATTAATGCTAAACACACAGTTATCTTATTTCTTAAAGCTCTTATGTAGTTTTAAACCAGTACTACATAATGAAATAGCTACATGATAAATTATAAATTATGTGTCAGGACAGAGCTATGATGACAAAAATAGTGCAATTAAATAGTGAAAGCTTTTAAAAGAAAAAAAGAAAGGATGCTGGAGAGTTTCAGACTTTCCCAGAAGCACGCAGGGATTCTTCACCTTGTTAAAGGAGACAACACCTTTAGAAAAGACTTTCCTTCAGTGGCAGTATTTTAGCTTACCTTTAGATAAAGATGTTATAGTTTTAAACAAGAATCTACCTTTAAAAATGCAAATATATTTACATGTAAAAAGACCCTAAAATTGCTCTGAAAAATTTGCTTATTAATTTTAAAAATGTAGATACCTCTTAGAAGCAGGAACTCAAAATAACTGGTTATTGCTTAAACAAATTGCCATAAGTTTCATCAGAAATTAGCAGGTTGTTAATTTATTAGGTCTCTAAAGGAATAGAAGAGTTACACTGAAGTAGGTCGAAGGAGAGGTACAAGAGCTTCTGGGAAGGATGGGATAGCGAAGTGAAGACTGTTCTGAACCTAACCCATAGTCAAGAGTAACAATTTCAGCAGTTTATATTTCTTACATTGTGTGCTTATTATGAAATGGAAATAGTGCCTAATAAGCATTATCTCATTTAATACCAAAGGTCCCTATTCCACATAATAATTTTTAAAGTATGTACTATTGCCTTTCTGATTTTACAGATGAGTAAACTGGGGATTTAAGAAGTGAATTAACTCCCACAATATCATAGAGCTAGTAAGTGGCAAAACAGTAAACAGACCAGATTCCTCAAACTCCCAGACCCAGGCTGAGTTCTCTGTTATCTTCAGCCACGGGCCACCACTGACAATTTACTTATCTTAGGTATTTTGACTGTGTTATATTAGGGCTTGTTGATTTGTTGGCATGATTTAGTATTGATATTAAACAAAAATGATCAATAGGCATTATGACTGGTGCGTTTATGGGGGAGGGAAGCGGCTCTAACAAAGCCCAGCAGATATGATTCAGTTAGGCAGAATAGTCTGTTTAGACAATCTGAATTAAACCACTGAATTACAAAGAAATAAAGCAGGATGTGTCCTCCTGTCTGTGAAGTCACACTCACTGCCTCTCAAGAAATGACTAGAAAAACTGACTTCAGAGACCCTGTGTTTTACTCCAGACAACATTATGCCTACCACTTACAATTCAGCCCAAACTATCTTTCTTGTTGTTGTTCTTATTACCTTAATGTCACTTGACTTAGATCTTATAGAATCCAATTTAATACATATTTACTAATTTTCTTTCTTCTTTCTTTTTTTTTTTTTTTTTTTTTTTTTTTTTGAGACAGAGTCTCACTCTATTGCCCAGGCTGGACTGCAGTTGCGCGATCATGGCTCACTACAGCCTCGACCTCCTGGGCTTAGGTGATCCTCCCACCTCAGCCTCCCAAGTAGCTGCAACTACAGGTAAATGCTACCACGTGTGTCTAATTTTTGCATTTTTTCAGCTAATTTTTGTATTTTTGTAGAGACAGAGTTTCACCATGTTACCCAGGCTGGTCTCAAACTCCTGGGCTCAAGTGATCTGCCCACCTCAGGCTCTCAAAGTGCTGCGATTACAGGCGTGAACCACTGCACCCAAACTGCTAATTTTCTGATTCCCAAAAAGCCAAAAAGAATTGTTCTCGACATTAGGGACATAAGAGATATCACTTTTTAACACTCAACCCTTTAATTCTGACTATTTTTTCAAAATAAAATGTTAATTATTTATTCTAAAGCCATCAAGGTCTTTGTATTCACCTTTCCAATTGAATAATAGTTACATCTAACATTGTAAAAAAAAGTTTTGCCTATTTATTTTTCCTTAACAGACTTTGAGTCTCCACACACCCACTCCCCACCCCCACATACAGCCTCTCCACGTTTTAGTGTGGTTCATTTGTATAATCAATGAACTGCCATGATCAAATCATTATATACCCAAGTCTCAACAATTCTTCACACCTTAATTCCCACAATTCCCACATGACATTTCCAGGCCAGCCAGTTCAGTTAAAGGCTGTCCTGTGTCATAACAAAGCCATAACTAGGTCACTCCTGTCTCCAGGCCCCTGTCCCATGGGCTGTTTCCTCAGCTGAGAAGAATGGGTAGTCTTCTCCTGCCTGCTTCCTCCCAGGTCTAGCTCAAGGATCATCTCTTTTGGAAAGAACATTTCTGATCTCCCAAGCCCACAGTATTCTTGGCCATTTCTGAACATCCTGTGGACAGAGATGGCCTAAGGATTTACGTCCTAGCAGTACAGCAGTCGCTCCCGAGGGGACTACTTCCAAGCAAATAAGACATCTTTGTAGGTGTTAATCATGGAATGATTATTAAACTTCAATTAGACAAGTTTGCTAAGCATCCATTAGTTTTATAGTTATTTCTCATTTAACTGTTATTTCTACATTACAAATGAATCTTATTGCTAGAAGAGTACTAAACCTAGTTCTTCCAATTCCACACAATCTCACTAGCTGCCTGATAGTCTGTGATTTCTTTCCCCCTTAGAAAAAGCAAGTATATAACAAGTCACAAACGGAACTACCCTTTGCAAGCTGCAGGATTGAGAAAAACAGTGGCCTTCTTCACTTGTGCATTGGGAGGAATGAGTTGATTGCCAAACACCTAAAAAAGAAAAGAGCAAAGTTTTCAGTAAAAGTCCATTTATTTGGTAAATGTCACATGTATTCTTTCATTCCAAAAAAAATGTACTTGCAGCACATAAGGTATCTACCCTTGGGGAAAAATATTCTTTCATGATCTCATATTAACGAAAACACCATCAACAACAACAAAAAGTAACATTATTTAATGACAATAAGCTGTATTTTGTATTGGAATAAAAAAATCCTGCTTTATCTACTAGAGGCAAATAACATTTATTTTCTCTATAAGATATAGCTAGGTTTATTATAACATATAATTAGTAAGGCCATAGTCTGTCAGGAGAGAAGTTTAATCTATGTCTTTAGTTTTCAGAGTACAATATTCTTTCCAGCTCATTACTAAAATTTGTTCATGAAGAATCTTTGTGTTACCAGTTAATCTTCATATGTTTACACACATACAAAATAAACCGAATACTCTATTTGCCTTCTCTTCTTTGCAACCCTGTATGATAACTAAATAGCAGCAACTGGCAGGGGAAAAGAAACATAACTAATATATACCAAGCACCTTTTATTTGACATTTTTACACACATTATTCTTAGTTCTCAGAAACCAAGGAGGTATAAAATAATCTCAGTTTTCCAGATTAGAAAGTCCAGAATCAGGAAGATTAAGTTCCTGAAAGTCACAGAGTTGATCAATTACAAGCCTGGAATACACATCTTCTAATTCCAAAGCCTCTCTAAGCTCTAAAGAGAGGATCAAGGATGAGGTAGAATTAAAAGGCAGAGGACTAGATGTGAGGAGTCCAAATGAGAAATGAATGGGAACTCTTGCTATTATGTCTGAATTGGAAATGATGTCAACAAAAAGAATAGGAAAGTACCAAAATGGGCAAAAATTGGGGTCTTGAATGGTGGGAGGTGGCCTGAACCAACAAAGCAGAATTCTAGTATGGAAGTACAAAGTAAAGATAGGAGGAGGAAAAAAAGTAATGCAAATATTTTTTATTGAATAACTTACTCTAAATCTGCTATCTCCCTGACAGTTCATTTTGGAGCCTTTCTTATTATTGTCTATTGCTTGCTTTAAAAACAAAAACAAAAACAAAAATACTTTTTTTCTGAAGTAGAGAAAAAGACAGACTATTTCTTTGTAAGAAGTTTCTGGAACATTATAATTTCTATTCTGTTTTCATTCTTACTTAGACTTTAACATTTTGCTGCTAAATCTCCAAATACTGTAATTTTTCCTTTTTCTATCTATACTATTTCTGGAATGTGGCAGAAATGATATCACTAACCATTCTCTCTGGCCTATCAGATTCCACACCTATGGTAGTAAGATTATTCCTCCTTGCCCTCATTTCTTAGTGTCTAAAGTTGGTACCTACTTGCAAATCAAATCTCAGATTCACAGTGAGCTAAGGAGTTTATGTGAGACTACATTAAGTTTATGTGAGATTTGTTATTAAATATCATGTTTTCAAGAATTTAGACTGTAAAAGGAAGTACACAGATAGGAAAATTAGCCAGCTGAGGCTATAAGGACAGATCCACTTCCATTTGTGAGATGGAAGGAACTAAACATGCAGGGGAAGTGGAGAATTAGAATAGAAAGAAATAAGGCCAGGCAAGGTGGCTCACACCTGTAATTGCAGCACTTTGGGAGGCCAAGGCGAGTGGATCACAAGGTCAGGAGTTCGAGACCAGCCTGACCAACATGGTGAAACCCCGTCTCTACTAAAAATACAAAAATTAGCCAGGCTTGGTGGCATGTGCCTGTAATTCCAGCTACTCAGGAGGCTGAGGCAAGAGAATCACTTGAACCTGGGAGGCGGAGGTTGCAGTGAGCTGAGATTGTGCCATTGCACTCCAGCCTGGGCAACAGGGCGAGACTCGTCTAAAAAAAGAAAGAAAGAAAGAAAGAAATACATGAGAAGGAGAAAATAACTAAAGGAACATCATCCCTGAAAAAGTATGAGGAGAGAGAATTTAGAACAGAGGTGGAGGCATTTACTTTCAACAAGAAAGGGAGGGCCCTACAATCACACAGGTCTACTCTTCCTTAAAGAGAGAAAGAAAGGGGCCAGGTGTGGTGGCTCACACCTGTAATCCCAGCACTTTGGGAGACCAAGGCAGGTGGAACACGAGGTTGAGATGGAGACCATCCTGGCCAACATGGAGAACCCCTATCTCTACTAAAAATACAAAAATTAGCTGGACATGGTGGTGTGTGCCTGTAGTCCCAGCTACTCAAGAGGCTGAGGCAGGAGAATCGCTTGAACCCAGGAGGCAGAGGTTGCAGTGAGCCAACATCACACCACTGTACTCCAGGAAGATTTTCCAGTCGCTAATGATTGGCTTGGGACGGGGATCACCTTTAATTTAATATTAAAGTTTATTTGAATTGATTTCCAAAACAACTTAGAGCCATATGAAAGATAATACATTTAAACAAAGAAGTAATCAAATTCGTAAAACACAGGTTTAGAACAGCTAGATAACAATCGCTAAAAAGAGGAATTATAGTATATACTGTAACAACTGCTAAAGAGAGGAATTAATTTATAGTATCTATTGTAACAATCGCTAAAGAGAGGAATTAATTTATAGTATCTATTCTCACTGTCATCCATTAAAACATTTCAGAAACAAACATGAGGTCTGCCACCTATTTTTATTACTAAATGCTTCACACATTTGCCACTTTTGATTTTCATGTTTCTATTTTGGTATTTCTGACATCATAAGCTCAAATGATATAAAACAAAAAGGCAACTCAGTCTCAGAATTTCATCTGCAAGGTATAATGCACATTTTTGCAGTGGGGGGGCAAAAATGCTGTCTTATATTTGAAAGGACAAATATTATAATCCAGCTATAATTAGCCATATAAATGAATATTTAAGTAAAATCTCATGGAATATAACAGTGTACATGATATGGATCAGTTGAACTTGGAGATGAGCTTTAAAAATATGAATCAACAATTTTAAGAAGATTTGACTTTTAGAGGTAACACTTGCTCTGAACTGATATCCTTGGGGGTTATTCAGATCAGGGATGATTCAGGGGTTAGACAAATCTACAAAGACAACTGCAGACACAAACAAATTCCCAGAGCTTCTACCAGTCCAGTTCTGTGTTCTTGGGACCAATCCAGAAACAAACAGTCTATAGGGGTGGGCGTCAGAACTGCTCTTCACCAGATGGTTAACTTCCTGGAGTTCTACTCAGAGTTGGCTCCCAGCGTGATTCATCCTGATAGTGCTAAAAAATAGCCAGACTGCACAGATGCAAGACACTGTGCAAGTCCCCTGAAAGAGCTTAAGTTTTCTGCACAATGAAGATAAGGAGGGGCTTAATTTTATCACATTAAGTAGTATTACCTGAGCTTCTTGACAGGCTGCTCTCCTTAGGAGGTTATCACTATCAAAGTAAGCAAAAGAGAATAATCATTAGCTTTAATAGATTATGATCCAAACAAAATTTGTGAGCTTTTTAATTTTTTAATATAGGCACCTCTTCTCTAAAAACACCCCAGTGAAAGTTCCTTAAAAACCTGATAACAGGCCGGGCATGGTGGCTCACGCCTGTAATCCCAGCACTTTGGGAGGCTGAGGTGGGCAGATCACCTGAGGTCAGGAGTTCGAGACCAGCCTGGCCAACATGGTGAAACCTCCTCTCTACCAAAAATACAAAAATTAGCCGGGCATGGTGGTGGGTGCCTGTAATCCCAACTACTCGGGAGACTGGGGCAGGAGAATCGCTTGAACCTGGGAGGCAGAGGTTGCAGTGAGCTGAGATCATGCCATTGCACTCCAGCCCGGGCGACAGAGCGAGACTCTGCTGAAAAAAACAAAAAACAAAAAAACAAAAAAAACCTGATAACAACTTATCATCACATTTGAAAAATACATCCTCCGAATAAAAGTCTGTGTTAAATATTTCCATATTATGGTAACCAGAATAATGCCACATCCCCCCAAAATTTCCACATCCGAATCCTCAGAACTTGAGGATATGTTACTTTACATGGCAAGAGGGATTTTACAGACATGATTCAACTTAGGACCCTGACATGGGAGATCGTCCTGGATCATCCAAGATGGGCCCAATCTAACCACAAAGGTCCCAAAACAGAGAGTTTCGTGGTTGTGATCAGAGGCAGACGTGATTATGGAAGAATGGTCAGAAAAATGCAACTTTGCCAGCTGCGAAGATGGAAGAAGGCTCTGAAGAGAGTCAAGGAATGTGGTGGCCTCTAGAAGCTGGAAAAGCAAAAGGATTCTCCCCTAGAGCCTCCAGAAGGAACATAGCCCTTGCCACACTTTGTCTTAGCCCAGTGAGAGCTGCTTTGGGCCTCTAATTCACAGAATGCAAGACAAGAAATTTGTGGTGTGTTGAACCACTAAATTTGTGGTAATTTGTTAAGGTAACAACAGAAAACTAATATACATATCCTGCATTTTTCTTACCCAGTGGAAATTAGGTCATTTGCCACAAGTAAATTTGATATTAAGTTTCTTCTGCTACTGTCTTATCTAAATCACTTGTTTTTTATATCACTGTCAGACAATAAATCATAAATGGAGAATTTTGTCATGAGGCAAAATTTTGGCTTCCAAAAATGAAAGCATTCTGTCAGAATGTGATCACCTATTTAACGTCAAGGTCTCTAAAATAGGTTTCTACCATAAAAGCATTTTAAATGGCTCCAGTCACCTCCGGGGCTCCAGAATCTTCATCTAAGAGCTTGTGCTAATGCACATTGCTGGCACTGCTAAGATAGTAACTTCAATGTGGTTAACAAAAGTTAAGAAATCAAATACCCAGAAAAGATGAACAATAACCAATTTATAGAAAAACTTGAAAAAAGGTTATTTTGCTTATATTCTCTTTCTAGACTTTTTTTATAACATTGAAAACTTTAAATTTTGCATTTTCACAGGAATTCAAAAGGCAACAGGCTCTTCTGGGTGATTTGACATTTACAGTGAATGAAAAACAATAAGCAAGCTTTGCTTTTTGCCAGAGTTGCTGTCAAAGGCTGCTGCTCAGTGATTCCATAGCCAGGCTGCAAAACAACCCCTGAAGTTCACAAAGCAGGCGGCTTCACTAAGAGAACACCATCCACAGGGAAGTATGGACGCTGTGAATCTGAAATCTGAAACCTAAGAACCGCAGGGCACAGTGGCTCACACCTGTAATCTTAGCACTTTGGGAGGACAAGGTGGGCAGATCACTTGAGGTCAGGAGTTCGTGACCAGCCTGGCCAACATGGTGAGACCCCGTCTCTACTAAAAATATAAAAATTAGCCGGGCATGCTGGTGCATGCCTGTAATCCCAACTACTCGGGAGGCTGAGGCAGGAGAATTGCCTGAACCCGGGAGGTGGAGGTTGCATTGAGCCAAGATCACGCCATTGCGCTCCAGCCTGGGGCTACAGAGTGAGACTCTGTCTCAAAAAAAAAAAAAAAAAAAAAAAAAAACAACTTAAGAACCATGTTTTACTGAAATTATCATGACATCAGTACCCCAAAAGCTGATGTTGTTTGATAACAAAGATTTTCAGGAGACTCACCCCTTGTGAAATCCAGCACAAGTCAGCCCAGTCCCCATTGGCTTAAGTGACTCTGCTCCCCTGTGCCCAGGTGGCAAAGAGCGTTGTGCAACCTTCTCTTCCTCCACACCCAGTATTCACAAATATTCATGTTTTTTTGAATGACCCACAGGAAATAACACATATTCATGTTTCACTTTTCTTCTTGCGTCCCTCCCAATCAAATGCTCTCACTGAATCATTCTAACATCAGTAACAACAACAAAAATATACAAGATGAGGTAAATTCAGGGTAGAAACTAGCGAAATATCTTGAAAATAATTAACATGTCACTAACTCCTTATAGCTTACTGGATACTTTGCATTTATGACCTTATATACAATAAAGAGGTAAAACACTGAACCCACAGTAACCTCTGGATAACAAAATAATATGAGGTTCCTCATAGTAACCTGGGCATTGTCACTGACCCTCCCCCTGGACTGTGCTGACCCCTAGTCCAACTTGCACAGGCCCTGGGAACGCAGCTTCCAGCCTCTCCGGACTGTGCTCCCACCGGCCACTGCTTTCAATGCTTTCCTTTAGTAGACTAATTACCTTGTACCTCCAATCTCTCCTAAAAACTCGCCCTGTGGATTTTTTCTGCACAAGCCCTCTATGCTTCTGTAAAAGCTACAATCCCATCTCTATATCCTGCCCATTTCCAGGCTCCTCCTCTACTATGAAGGACAGGTCTCCAAAAGGCAACAGGCTCCTCTGGGCTATTAATAAAGAACATTACCCTTGCCACAACTCAGGCACACTGATTTCCATGGACCTAGCTGAAAAGACAATAGCCCTGAATATGCACAAGAATATGGGGTAGCACCTTAGATCATTTTTTTCCCTAAGTTCTTTGTTGCTAGAAGTAAAATTCTGATTATTAGCTTGTGATTAAATATATTATTAAAGATTTCAGCTCTCCTGAGTTTATTAATTTTGATTAATTTATCAGAATGCTATTCAAAATAAAAAGATTTTGTGATAGTTAATTCCCTGAATTTAATGTGCCAAATGGAATATCCTGTCAATGCCACCTGTGAGAGAGCCAGAATATGTTCCAATTTTGATATTACAAAAGAAGATCTCATTATAATCATACTTAACTTTGGGTCTGGCACAGTGACTCATGCTTGTAATCCCAGCACTTTGGGATGCCGAGATGGGCGGATCACCTGAGGTCGGGAGTTCGAGACCAGCTTGACCAACATGGTGAAACCCCGTCTCTACTAAAAATACAAAATTATCCAGGCATGGTGGCACATGCCTATAATCCCAGCTACTTGGGAGGCTGAGGCAGGAGAATCGCTTGAAGCCAGGAGGCGGAGGTTGCAATGAGCCGAGAACGCGTCATGGCACTCCAGCCTGGGCAACAAGAGCGAAACTCCATCTCAAAAAAAAAAAAAATCATACTTAACTTTGTTTAATATCAAAAATGGTGTTAACCATCTTGATCTTGCTATCTGAACCCGACTATTCCTAAAAATCAAACACATCCTCAAAGAAAAAAGATTTCTCCCATTGAGATAGTCTGATGATCTATAGCAAGCTCTGAAAACTATCTCAGCAAAGAAATTCCAAAAATATTTCAGTAATATCAGCATTGTCAGAATAAAAGACAAAACTTAAAATTCATAGAGCAACTACCTTGTACCAAGTACTATGGCAGTTGTTTTCATAAACCTTTAATCTTTGTAACAACCTTGCAAGGTAGGCATTATCAGGTAACAGAAAATATTCTCATTTTACATATTAGGAAGCCAAGACTCAGAGAAGGAAAGTGACGTGCCCAAAAACACAGAGTTACTAAGTGGTAAGTGTCAGAGGCATTTGAACCAGAGTGACTCCATCTTGAGTAGGGGCTGGGTAAAAAGAGGCTGAGACCTACTGGGCTGCATTCCCAGGAGGTAGGGCATTCTAAGTCACAGGATGAGATAGGAGGGCGGCATATGATATAGCTGATAAAGACCTTGCTGATAAAACAACCTTCAGTGAAGACACCAACGAAAATCCACCAAAACCAAGATGGCGATGAGAGTGATCTCTAGTGTCCTCACTGCTCATTATATGTTAATTAGAATACATTAGCATGCTAAAAGACACTCCTGCCAGCACCATGACAGTTTACAAATGCCATGGCAACATCTGGAAGTTACACTGTATGGTCTAAAAAGGGGAGGAATCCTCAGTTCTGGGAATTGCCCATCCCTTTCTGAAAAAACTCATGAATAATCCACCCCCTGTTTAGCATATAATCAAGAAGTAACAAGAATAAGCACCTGAGTGGTCCATGCTGCTGCTCTGCCTATGGAGTAGTCAACCTTTTAATCTTTTACTTTCTTTTTTTTTTTTTCCGAGGCGAAGTATCACTCTGTCCCCCAGGCTGGAGTGCAGTGGCGCTGTCTCGGCTCACTGAAACTTCCATCTCCCGGGTTCAAGTGATTCTCCTGCCTCAGCCTCCCAAGTAGCTGGGATTACAGGTGTGCACCACCACACCCAGCTAATTTTTGTATTGGTTTCACCATGTTGGCCAGGCTGATCTTGAACCGAACTCCTGACCTCATGATCCGCCTGCCTTGTCCTCCCAAAGTGCTGGCATTACAGGTGTGGCCACTGTGCCTGGCCTACTATCTTAATAAACTTGCTTTCACTTCACTCTATGGAGTCGCCCTGAATTCTTTCTTGTGCAAGATCTAAGAACCCTCTCTTGGGGTCTGGATTGGGACCCCTTTCTGCTAACAGTAGGGTCGGAAAGCAGATGCTTTTTCTTCTAAACTTCAGACAATACTCAATGGGCAATTACTCATTTAGTTGTATGTTTTATAGCACATTTTTTAAATTGCATAGTCTCATCTAATTTAAATTTTTCAATTTATATTCACACTCACATAATATTTTTTAAAAGGTCAGATGCAATAATGCTTCTGAAGGTAGTTGTTGAAACAAACTCATTTAACACAAAGTGCTGCCTATGGCACACAAATATGATTTGGTCCTGCCCTGAAGAAGCTTAGGATCAAGTGGTAAAGAAGAACAGCTCTTGGTAAATATTGGTGGCATAGTAAAACATGTTTCTTGATAAATAATATGCCAGGCACTGTGCTGGGTGTCTTGGACACGCTGGTGAATAAGCCCAACATTCCCTGTCCTAGTGAAGTTTATAGTTTAGTAGGGAACGATGACAATTCAACAGGTAATCAAGATGCAATTTCACTTTTAGGTAATCCATAAAAGGGGCACATAATGGGGGCATCTAACCTAGTTTTGAGAGAATTAGAGGCTTTTTACAGGATATGACATTGAAGCTGAGATCTAGGGGAAAAATAAAAAGTAGCCAGGCAAAAATAGGGAGTAGAATCTAGGCAAGAGAAACAGCATGTCAAAGCGTACAAGTGCTAGAACATGGCCAATTTAGGAAAGAGAAAGTAGTTCGGAACCGCTGGAGGCCACCCGCTGTGGGAGGAGCCAGTAAAGGCCAGGTCACCAAGGACATTTTCAGCTATTTAAGTAATTTGGATTTTACCCTAAGGGCCATAAGGAGCCATTAACAGGTTTTAAGAGAATTGATGTGACCAGGTTTACATTTTGGAGGGATTATTCTGGCTGCAGTGTGTGAAGAAGGCATTGGTCAGAGGTAAGACTGAATCTAGTGAAACTTCAGAGGCTCCCTCAGTGACAGTCGGTGATGATGACTGGAACTAGGATGGTGGCAGAGGGGACACAGAGAAGAGGACAGACTCAACAGATATTCAGGAGGTAAATTTGAGGGATGGCTGGTGGGAATTAAAGAAAAGGTGAGGGGTCAAAGATAGCGCCCACATCCTGCATTAAGCAATTGCTGGAAGGCAGTACCATTCACAGAGATGGAATGAAGCAGAAAGTGCAAGTGTGAGAGAGAGGAAACTGAGCTTAGTTCTGGGTCTGTCTATCCGAGGTGGGGTGAGAACCCGGGTGGAGGTGTCTAGGCCACAGCTGGAAATGCAGGTCTGAAGTTCTGTATAGCAATCTTAGCTACATGTTGATAGAAGGAATGAGAGTGGATATGATGATCTATACGAGTAGGGTGAAAAGTAGGAGGAAGAGATACCCTGATCATGGACAGTTGACAGAGAATACCAAATGAATCTCAAATAAAATGACCCTGTACTTCATTTGAAAGTCAAAGGAAAAATCAGGTAGATAACTGAGGAAAAATTTTCCTTATCTTCCACCATTCCCCCTTGATGCTGCTTCTGCTCTTGGCAAACTGCATGTTTTGCTGTTCTTAAGAGACACAACGAACTTTACATCTTCAAGGATTGGATCATTTTATCCCTTCCTTTTTAAAAAAGGCCAAGCACAATACAACCCATGCCCTTACCCCACCACACAAAAACTGCTTTTCTTATTTTCCTTCCTAGATTATAGACTTCTTGAAATCATGGATAATTCACCATTTTCTCATCCACAGCCCACAGCACACACTCGTAGATAGAGGGTACTTGGTAAATACTTGTTTAATAAATAAGTGGCAAATGTTTGAACAGGAGAGATTGACTCACTGTGCTCAGACAGGCATGCTTTGTCCTGCAGGAGAAACTGAAGGTTATTCTTTGTATGAGGATTTGGCATTCTGAAAGCACAGATGAGCGGGGATGTTTCTCCAATGTGATAATCACCAAAGGGCAAGGGTAAGAGTCATTATGGTGTAGTACAGGATGAAAAACTAAAAAATTCCAAACGCACAAAAACGTTACCAGATCAAGAAGCTCCCAGGGTGTGTGGGTGTGTAGAGTGTAATGGAAGAAGTACCCTCTAAAGAGGCTAAGCGGGGAGTTCCTTTTGACACACCACAAGCACCACAAGAAGTGGCCCTGTAGCTAGAAGAACTCTGAGTGTGGTCATCAGAAAATTCCAGATTACTAATGAGTCAAGAATCTGAATGTGAACTGAAGACCTCATTTCCAAGCCAACCAAAAAAAAAAGTACACTCTATAAATTCTAAGCCCATGTTCTTTCCACTACACCATGCTGTCTTCTGAGAACTGAAGTTAAATACAATTTAAAAGAGGTGCTACAAAACGTAGTCATATCAAAAAGGGTCCCTGCAGATCTGCTCAGTATTAAAATGCAGGTTCTTTGACAGAAAGAAATTAGAAGGCTCTGGATTAGAAAATGAAAAAAATCTGCTGATGTCACTCTGCCTGAGGCTTGAAAAGAATAAGAACATGCCTGCTACTATAGGTAATGGGATGCTCTCAATTTATTCCAAGTCATAAATGTTTTATTTATTACTTTAGGACTGTAAAATAAGACAAGTTGTTATTCCAATAGCAACTTTACATGGAGAGAAAAACCACCTTGATCTGTCCTATTTCCCAAAAAGAATATTTCCAACTACAGTCTAGAGGCAAATTGTACAGCAATTTCTACCACCAGCTTTTCCCTTGGTGCATGCAAACACAGTCTTTGCTTTAAAAAAAATAGATTTCAAGTTTAGACGTTTATAACAACCACTTCAACTTATCCAGGCTTCCTAGAATAATTAATCATGATATTGCCAGTGGCTGTGCCCATGGTTGCCCATGGAGCAATAGGAATGAAAGAAATGGGAGCAAAGACAAAAATGAATCTTAAAAGTGTGTGCAGAGGGAGAGAGCTTTTCTAAACTATATATTGCATAGCCCTCCCCATTTCCCGGACTCCCTACCCAAACAGATAATGGGAAAATAGTGACCAGCTCTGCCTTTCTGACAGAAAGACAGCTGATCCAGCAGGAGGAAATGCATCTTGCTAAGGAAGAATGCTTGATCTTTTCGGCCGACAGAATCTCCATTTGGATAGAAGGTATGCAGTGTAACAGGTCAGAAAGCCAAGGGAACAATGAAAATGTTAATGATTTTTAAAAGGATTTTAGGGCCTACCAGTCTGGTCTTCCCCATTTAACCAAACAAGGTTATCTCTTCTTGTTCTCCAAACCACACCATCATGCACTACCTGCTACCAAAGAAATTTGTATCTTCTTACCTCTCCCAAGCCCAATGCAACAAAGAAGTTTCCTAATGTCATGAAAGCATAAACGGTCAGGAAGAAATCCTATTGACAACCATATATTAAGTGGTGGCTGTCTTCATTTCAATGCCCCTTAGAGTGCTTAGAAGATGTGAGTGAAAATAAGGGCCACAGAGGCAATTGCATTAAAATTTCAACATCTGCATTGCTGATGGTGAAAAGTTTAGCAAAAGAAAAACAGCTAAAAATTCTACTATCAAATGCAAAGGACAAATATACAGCACTGCCTCCTACACTAGTAAAAACTACACCAACTTGTGTTCAGGAATTTTTAGGTCAAATGTGTGAACCCAAAATATCTGAGACAGGTCTCATTCAATGTAGAAAGTTTATTTTGCCAAGGTTAAGGACACAGCCATGACACAGCTTCAAGAGGTCCTGAGTACTCGTGCCCCAAATGGTCGGGGTACAGCTTGCTTTTATACATTTTAGGGAGACATAATAACAGCAATCAATACATTTAAGATTTACATTGAGTGTCAGGCTTCTGAGCCCAAGCTAAGCCATCGTATCCCCTGTGACCTGCATGTATATGCGTCCAGATGGCCCGAAGCAAGTGAAGAATCACAAAAAAAGTGAAAATGGCCGGTCCCTGCCTTAACTGATGACATTACCTTGTGAAATTCCTTCTCCTGGCTCATCTTGGCTCAAAAGCTCCCCCACTGAACACCTTGTGACCCTCACCCCTGCCAGCCAGAGAACAACCCCCTTTGACTATAATTTTCCACTACCTACCCAAATCTTATAAAATGGCCCCACCCTTATCTCCCTTCGCTGACTCTCTTTTCGGACTCGGCCCACCTGCACCCAGGTGATTAAAAAGCTTTATTGCTCACACAAAGCCTGTTTGGTGGTCTCTTCACATGGACACGAGTGAAATTTGGTGCCATGACTCAGATCAAGGGACCTCCCTTGGGAGATCAATCCCGTCCTCCTGCTCTTTGCTCCATGAGAAAGATCCACCTACAACCTCAGGTCCTCAGACCAACCAGCCCAAGGAACATCTCACCAATTTTAAATCAGGTAAGCGGCCTCTTTTTACTCTCTTCTCCAACCTCTCTCACTATCCCTCAACCTCTTTCTCCTTTCAATCTTGGTGCCATCTTTCCGTCTCTACCTTCTCTTAATTTCAGTTCCTTTCCTTTTCTGGTAGAAACAAAGGAGACATGTTTTATCCGTGAACCCAAAACTCCGGCACCAGTCACGGACGCAGGAAGACAATCTTCCCTTGGTGTTTAATCACTGTGGGGATGCCTGCTTGATTATTCACCCATGTTTAAGAGGTGTCTGATAACCATGGGGACACCTTCCTAGATCCTTCACCCTTAGTGGCAACCACCATTTTTTGGGGGGCAAGCACCCCCCACCCCTTCTCTCCATGTCTCTACCCTCTCTTTTCTCTCCACTTTCCTGGGGGGCAAGCACCGCCCACCCCTTCTCTTCGTGTCTCTACCCTCTCTTTTCTCTCCACTTTCTTGGGAGGCAAGCACCCCCCCACCCCTTCTCTCCGTGTCTCTACCCTCTCTCTCCTCTCCACTTTCCTGGGGGGCAAGCACCCCCACCCCTTCTCTCCATGTCTCTACCATCTCTTTTCTCTAGGCTTGCCTCCTTCACTATAGGCAACTTTCCACCCTCCATTCCTCCTTCTTCTCCCTTAGCCTGTGTTCTCAAGAACTTAAAACGTCTTCAACTCACACCTGACCTAAAACCTAAATGCCTTATTTTCTTCTGCAATACTGCTTGACCCCAATACAAACTCAACAATGGTTCCAAAAAGCCAGAAAACGGCACTTTCAATTTCTCCATCCCGCAAGATCTAGATAATTCTTGTCGTAAAATGGGCAAATGGTCTGAGGTGCCTGATGTCCAGGCATTCTTTTACACATCGGTCCCTTCCTAGTCTCTGTTCCCAATGCAACTTGTCCCAAATCTTCCTTCTTTCCCTCCTGCCTGTCCCCTCAGTCCCAACCCCAAGTATTGCTGAGTCTTTCCAATCTTCCTTTTTTATGGACCCATCTGACCTCTCCCCTCCTCCCCAGGCTGCTCCTCACCAGGCTGAGCCAGGTCCCAATTCTTCCTCAGCCTCCGCTCCCCTACCCTATAATCCTTTTATCACCTCCCCTCCTCACACCCGGTCTGGCTTACAGTTTCGTTCCATGGCTAGCTCTCCCCCATCTGCCCAGCAATTTCCTCTTAAAAAGGTGGCTGGAGCTAAAGGCATAATCAAGGTTAATGCTCCTTTTTATTTATCCAACTTCTCCCAAATTGGTTAGCGTTTAGGCTCTTTTTCATCAAATATAAAAAACCCAGTCCAGTTCATGGCCCATTTGGCAACAACCCTTAGATGCTTTACAGCCCTAGATCCTGAAAGGTCAGAAGGCTGTCTTATTCTCAATATACAGTATATTACCCAATCGGTTCCCAACATTAAATAAAACTCCAAAAATTAAATTCTGGCCCTCAAACCCCACAATAGAACTTAATTAACCTTGCCTTCAAGGTGTACAATAATAGAGTAGAGGCAGGCAAGTAGCAACGTATTTCTGAATTGCAATTCCTTGTCTCCACTGTGAGAGAAACCCCAGCCACATCTCCAGCACACAAGAACTTCCAAACACCTAAACCGCAGCGGCCAGGCATTCCTCCAGGACCACCTCCCCCAGGAACTTGCTTCAAGTGCCAGAAATCTGGTCACTGGGCCAAGGAATGTCCGCAGCCCGGGATTCCTCCTAAGCTATGTCCCATCTGTACAGGACCCCACTGGAAATTGGACTGTCCAACCGGCCCAAGGCTCTGACTGACTCCTTCCCAGATCTTCTTGACTTAGCGGCTGAAGACTGACACTGTCCAGTTGCCTCGGAAGCTTCTTGGACCATCACAGACACTTTGGGTAACTCTCAGAGTGGACGGTAAGTCCGTCCCTTTCTTAATCAATACGGAGGCTACCCACTCCACATTACCTTCTTTTCAAGGGCATGTTTCCCTTGCCCCCATAACTGTTGTGGGTATTGACAGCCAAGCTTCAAAACCCCTTAAAACTCCCCAACTCTGGTGCCAACTTGGACAACATTCTTTTATGCACTCTTTTTAGTTATCCCCACCTGCCCAGCTCCCTTATTAGGTCTAGGCATTTTAACTAAATTATCTGCCTCCCTGACTGTTCCTAGGCTACAGCCACACCTCATTGCCACCCTTTTCCCCAGTTCAAAGCCTCATTCACATCCTCCCCTTGTATCTCCCCACCTTAATCCACAAGTATAGGACACCTCTACTTCCTCCTTAGCAACTGATCATGCACCCCTTACCATCCCATTAAAACCTAATCACCCTTACCTCGCTCAATGCCAGTATCCCATCCCACAGCAAGCTTTAAAAGGATTAAAGCCTGTTATTACTTGCCTGTTACAGCATGGCCTTTTAAAGCCTATAAACTCTCCTTACAATTCCCCCATTTTACCTGTCCAAAAACCAGACAAGCATTATAGGTTAGTTCAGGATCTGTGCCTTATCAACCAAATTGTTTTGCCTATCCACCCTGTGGTGCCAAACCCATATACTCTCCTATCCTCAATACCTCCCTCCACAACCCATTATCCTCTTCTGGATCTCAAACATGCTTTCTTTACTATTCCTTTACACCCTTCATCCCAGCCTCTCTTTGCTTTCACTTGGACTGACCCTGACACCCATCAGGCCCAGCAAATTACCTGGGCTGTACTGCCGCAAGACTTCACAGACAGCCCCCATTACTTCAGTCAAGCCCAAATTTCTTCATCTGTTACGTATATCGGCATAATTCTTCATAAAAACACACGTGCTCTCCCTGCCGATCGTGTCCGACTGATCTCTCAAACCCCAACCCCTTCTACAAAACAACTCCTTTCCTTCCTGGCCATGGTTGGACACTTTCGCCTTTGGATACCTGGTTTTGCCATCCTAACAAAACCATTATATACACTCATAAAAGGAAACCTAGCTGACTCCATAGATCCTAAATCCTTTCCCCACTCCTCTTTCCATTCCTTGAAGACAGCTTTAGAAGCTGCTCCCACACTAGCTCTCCCTAACTCATCACTCACTCCCTTTTCATTACATACAGCTGAAGTGCAGGGCTGTGCGGTCGAAATTCTTACACAAGGACCAGGATCACGCCCTGTGGCCTTTTTATCCAAACAACTTGACCTTACTGTTTTAGCCTAGCCCTCATGGTCTGCGTGCAGTGGCTGCTGCTGCCTTAATACTTTTAGAGGCCCTCAAAATCACAAACTATGCTCAACTCACTCTCTACAGCTCTCATAACTTCCAAAATCTATTTTCTTCCTCACACCTGACACATATACCTTCTGCTCCCTGGCTTCTTCAGCTATACTCACTCTTTGTTGAGTCTCCCACAATTACCATTGTTCCCGGTCCGGACTTCATTCCAGGCTCCCACATTATTCCAGATACCACACCTGACCCCCATGACTGTATCTCTCTGATCCACCTGACATTCACCCAATTTCCCCATATTTCCTTCTTTCCTGTTCCTCACCCTGATCACATTTGGTTTATTGATGGCAGTTCTACCAGGCCTAATTGCCACTCACCAGCAAAGGCAGGCTATGCTATAGTATCTTCCACATCTATCATTGAAGCTACCACTCTGCCCCCACTCCACTACCTCTCAGCAAGCCGAACTCATTGCCTTAACTCGGGCCCTCACTCTTGCAAAAGGACTACGCATCAATATTTATACTGACTCTAAATATGCCTTCCATATCCTGCACCACCATGCTGTTATATGGGCAAAAAGAGGTTTCCTCACTATGCAAGGGTCCTCCATCATTAACTCCTCTTTAATAAAAACTCTTCTCAAGTCTGCTTTACTTCCGAAGGAAGCTGGAGTCATTCACTGCAAGGGCTGTCAAAAGGCGTCAGATCCCATTGCTTAGGGCAACACTTATGCTGATAAGGTAGCTAAAAAAGCCACTAGCATTCCAACTTCTGTCCCTCACAGCCAGTTTTTCTCCTTCTCATTGGTCACTCCCACCTACTCCCCTACTGAAACTTCCACTTATTAATCTCTTCCCACACAAGGCAAATGGTTCTTAGACCAAGGAAAATATCTCCTTCCAGGCTGACAGGCCCATTCTATTCTGTCGTCATTTCATAGCCTCTTCCATGTAGGTTATAAGCCGCTAGCCCGTCTCTTAGAACCTCTCATTTCCTTTCCATCATGGAAATCTATCCTCAAGGAAATCAATTTTCAGTGTTCCATCTGCTATTCTACTACTCCTCAGGGATTGTTCAGGCCCCCTCCCTTCCCTACTCATCAAGCTCGGGGATTTGCACCTGCCCAGGACTGGCAAATTAACCTTACTCACATGCCTCGAGTCAATAAACCAAAATACCTCTTGGTCTGGGTAGACACTTTCACTAGATGGGTAGAGGCCTTTCCCACAGGGACTGAGAAGGCCACCGCGATCATTTCTTCCCTTCTGTAAGACTTAATTCCTCGGTTTGGCCTTCCCACCTCTATACAGTCCAATAACAGACCGGCCTTTACTAGTCAAATCACCCAAGCAGTTTCTCAGGCTCTTGTTATTCAGTGAAACCCTCATACCCCTTACCTTCCTCAATCTTCAGAAAAGGTAGAACGGACTAATGGTCTTTTAAAAACACACCTCACCAAGCTCAGCCACCAACTTAAAAAGGACTGGACAATACTTTTACCACTTTGCCTTCTCAGAATTCGGGCCTGTCCTTGGAATGCTACAGGGTACAGCCCATTTGAGCTCCTGTATGAATGCTCCTTTTTATTAGGCCCCAGTCTCATTCCAGACACCAGCCCAACTTGGACTGTGCCCCAAAAACTTGTCATCCCTACTATCTTCTGTCTAGTCATACTCCTATTCACCATTCTCAACTACTCATAAATGCCCTGCTCTTGTTTACACTGCCGGTTTACACTGTTTCTCCAAGCCATCATAGCTGATATCTCCTGGTGCTATCCCCAAACTGCCACTCTTAACTCCCTCTTAAAGTACATAAATAATCTTTGCTGGCAGGGCTATGCTGACCCTCCTTGGGCACTCTCTAATTGGATGTCCTGGACTTTCCCAATTCTTAGTCCTTTAATAGCTGTTTTTCTTCTCTTATTCGGACCTTGTGTCTTCTGTTTAGTTTTTCAATTCATACAAAACTGCATCCAGGCCATCACCAATCATTCTATACGACAAATGCTCCTTCTAACAACCCCACAATGTCACCCCTTACTACAAAATCCTCCCTCAACTTGACCTCTCCCACTCTAGGTTCCCACACTGCCCCTACTCCTGCTGGAAGCAGCCCTGAGAAACATCGCCCATTATCTCTCCATGCCACCCCCCAAAAAAGTTTTGCTGCCCCAACACTTCGATACTATTTTATGTTATTTTTCTTATTAATATAAGAAGGCAGGAATGTCAGGCCTCTGAGCCCAAGCTAAGCCATCGTATCCCCTGTGACCTGCACACATATGTCCAGATGGCCCGAAGCAAGTGAAGAATCACAAAAGAAGTGAAAATGGCCGGTCCCTGCCTTAACTGATGACATTACCTTGTGAAATTCCTTCTCCTGGCTCATCTTGGCTCAAAAGCTCCCCCACTGAGCACCTTGTGACCCCCACCCCTGCCAGCCAGAGAACAAGCCCCCTTTGACTGTAATTTTCCACTATCCACCCAAATCTTATAAAATGGCCCCACCCCATCTCCCTTCGCTGACTCTCTTTTTGGACTCAGCCCGCCTGCACCCAGGTGATTAAAAAGCTTTATTGCTCACACAAAGCCTGTTTGGTGGTCTCTTCACATGGACGCGCGTGATACTGAGGCCAAGGCAGGCAGATCACTTGAGGTCAGGAGTTCGAGACCAGCCTGGCCAACATAGTGAAATCCCATCTCTACTAAAAATTCCAAAAAAATTAGCTGGGCGTGGTGGCATGCACCTGTAGTCCCAGCTACCTGAGAGGCTGATGCAGGAGAATTGCTTGAACCTGGGAGGTTGCAGTGAGCAGAGATCACACCACTGCACGCCAGCCTGGGTGACAGAGTGAGGCTCTGTTTCAAAAAAAAAAAAAAAAAAGAAGATTTATGTTGGGGCATTCGATCTGGAAGGGCAGGACAACTTGAATTGAGACAGCCAAGACTAAGGGGTCCCCGAGAAACCCCAACCGGCCTGTGCACTGGGTGGAGTGCACACTGGGGTGAAGCCTCAGGAAGTTCCTGCCTTTTGCAGCAGGGAGGAGACTGGCCTCTCCTGCTCTGGGGCGGAACCTGGAATTCAGTCCGCAAGGCAGGAAGGCTATGGTAGCAGGACTCTCACTCTGCTGACAGTCCCTGTTTCCCTTTATTTTTGCCTTTTTGCCCAATAAATTCCATTTTTCTCACCCTTCAAATTGTCTGCAAGCCTAATTTTTTGTGGTCACATGACAAGGACCCTGTCTTTAGCTGAACTTAGGAAAAGTCCTACTACAGAACTGGGGGGTGGTTCTAGGTCATAGGTAGATTTAAACATAGTCTGAGTGGCAATTGGTTGAAAGTTATTATCTGTAGAAAGCAATGTCTGAATTAAGATAAGGGATTGTGAAGACCAAGGTTTTATCATGCAGATGAAATCTCCAGGTAGCAAGCTTCAGAGAAAATGGATTGTAAATGTTTCTTATCAGCCTTAAGGTTGGTGCTGAAGTTAACCCTGGAAAGACAGAATGAGGCCTGTCCCTCTCACCGCTACTCTTCCTTTCATGGCCCAAACCAGTCTTTCAGGTTAAATTTTAGAGTGCCCTGGCTGAGGAGGGAGTCCACTTAGATAGTTGAGGGGGCTGGGGAGACCTTTGAATTTTATTTTATTTTTTTTATTTTTTTGAGACGGAGTCTCACCCTGTCGCCCAGGCTGGAGTGCAGTGGCATGATCTCAGCTCACTGCAAGCTCTGCCTTCCAGGTTCAGGCCATTCTCCTGCCTCAGCCTCCCGAGTAGCTGGGACTACAGGTGCCCGCCACCACACCCAGCTAATTTTTTTGTATTTTTAGTAGAGACGGGGTTTCACCGTGTTAGCGAGGATGGTCTCGATCTCCTGACCTTGTGATCCGCCCACCTCAGCCTCCCAAAGTGCTGGGATTACAGGCATGAGCCACCACGCCTGGCCTGAATTTTATTTTTTGTTAGATATAGTGAACTCCAAGTTTGTCTTCAAAGAATCACTATGTCAGTATGTTCAGCTCTCTTATTCTTTGATTCTCCATTTTAAGGTTTAACTTCCTGGTACTCTTCGCCCCCTTGTCTCTAGTATCAGTATCTAGTATCCAGTATCTAGTATCTAGTATCCCACCAGTTCTAATCAGTAGTTCAAATCTGTTCCCCTGGTCATCTGCTTTGACCTGAGTCACCCCTGGTCACCTGCTCCATCCTGACTCATCCTGAGTTACCTGTTCTGTAACTGCCCTTCCTGCCAAACTACTCACCCTGCCACTCTGGCTGGTACCCCTGCTCTCTTTAAAATAGCAGATCGGAATTAGCTTAGACTGTGTGGTCCAACCCTAGACAACAAGGGAATGACACAGCAGTAGGGGCTACCTGCATCAGGAATAAGAATCCCTTCTCCTTCCTTGTTCAGGTGTGCTCTCACCATTGCTCCATCCATGAATCACACCCTTCTATAGAAGTAAAAATTGCCTTGCTGAGAAAATTAAATGTATGTTCCAGTGCTATTTCTTTGGTGGCACTGAAAATTTATTGATATATTTTTGGTTTACAAATGGCTCCTCTGAATGAATTTCTTTAGTTAGTGGTATATTTAACAAGGCAACGATCAACATATTTAATATTAATAGAAAGCAAGCCAAGAGCATTTTTGTTCCAAGAAGTGGGGAAGCATTAAGGAAAGAAGGGAGGAAGTCAAGTTCATAGTTAGCAAGTTCATTGTTTAATTCAGCATTTAAATTGACAAAATAGCTATTCCAAGGAATGAGGAATGAACCAACACAAACAGGGCTGCAGCATCTTGTGTCTCAATAAAGTCAATCCTCCCAGCAGCCTTTTGCCAAAATATGTTTTACCTCATTACATGAGATTGTGATTCACCCCAGAGATATGAATTTACCCACTGTTTAACCATGGCTTCCAAATATTTACAGCAATTTTCAGGTCTAAAATCCCTGTTTTTACTATAATTATTTTTATTTTCTGTGAAAGTTTGAAAGCCCTAGAAGCAGCCAGGCCCAAAAAAAAAAAAAAAAAAAAAAAAAAAAAGGCCTTTGTAAAAGGCATCTAAGCCCAATTTCCATTTCCTGGAAATCTTAGTTTTTCAGATTGGAAGAGTCCTTAGAAATTATCTAGTCCAATGCTTGTCAACCTCTCTACACACCCTGAAACCCCTGAAACAAATATATGACAATATCCCATTAGTAACAAAGTTCAATACAGCAATAATTCTCATTTGGGCACACACACAGAGCACATGTAATTCTATAAGCTCAGGTCTCTAAGTGCCAAGTGATTCTGGTATGTTCACTTAAGCAGGATGCTGTCATCTCCTTAGAGCTCCCAGAAAATAACTAATTGACCTAGTCTGTAAAAGCATCTGGCCTGGTGATTTGCCCACTTGGACAGAAGTTACTAAAAGGCTTAGGCCTAGAACTGAAGTCTCCTGCTTCTCAACATGGCATTTTCCCCCTCAATACTCTGCTTCTCTTCTGTTCTCTACAGACATTCTCAAATGACAAAAACGCAATCAAGAAAGTGCTGTCCACTGTTCCACCATATGTACTGGCAAATGCCACACTTACGTCACCTCAATTTATGATTTATCACTATAGTGATTACTACCATTTTTCTTCCCTGCAAGTGGGTTTAGGAAAAAGCCCAGCTAAACCTAACCCCACTTGAATTCATTAATTCAAGAACACTTATTAGCCAAAACGCCACGTCTGCCCTCCATGGGAAGGCCTCACCTAAAATAACCTAAATAACCTAATAACCTCACCTAAAATAACAGCTAAAGGCTGCAGTAAAGCTCCAGTTTGGTACCTATTCTTTCTCGCTCCCTGAAATAAAGTATAGAAATCCCAAAACCACAACTTCCCTTCTTATCAAATCCCAACCACTGTACTCTACACTTCTATGCACTCAGGTGGAACAAGCTACTACTTGTGAATACTTCAAGTACCTTCTAATTTCTCAGATTTTCTCCACACAATTTGTTCCCTCTCCAGTTCAGGATGGGAAATGACTTAATGAAAAATGTATCGCCTGGAGGCTTCTCTCACATAACTAAGCTAATCATTTTGGTCTGTTCTGCAGAATTTTTCATTAACCAGAGGATAGTTCTGCAGTTTATCCCCTCATTCTATTGACCAAGAGAAATGGAAGTGGAGGAAGCCTGTCTTCATAGCTCACTTTTTCTCCTGTTAGAACATGAAATTTTTCTATTTTCACTCTCTTATCCTAGCCTCAGGTCTCCGCGAGATATCAATTTCTGTTCCTAATATTCACAGGAGCCCACGTTAGTCAGCTGAGTTCTGTGGGCACTGGGGAAAAAGTTCTGCCTCTGACTGGCTGCTATGTTTATGCTGAAGTCCAGACTGTACCACCATCAGGCAAAGCTCTGGGTACCACTAATGGGCATCCTTCTCTGACCTTCTACCACCAGCCATTTTTTCAATGATTTCTACCCCTAATTCTCATAAGCACTGACATTCTTTCATGGTCCAGTCACTTCTTCCATTTTTCTGCTCTTTTTTCATTTATTTGCTTCCATCCAACACTCCAATTTAAATACTTTATGCCATATACTGTTCTTCCATATACTGTGTAACATTATCTTTACTAGGCAACCAAATTACTAGTTCTTTTTGTGCCATCAGCCATTATGTATTTGCATATACAATTATAAACAAATATATATAATGAGACTCAATTACATACAAGGTACTCAAATCTATTTACATTTAAAAAAAAAGGAGAGTAAATGACGAGTTAATGGGTGCAGCATACCAGCATGGCACATGTATACATATGTAACTAACCTGCACATTGTGCACATGTACCCTAAAACTTAAAGTATAATAATAATAAAGAAAAAGGAGAGAAAACAGATTACATAGAGCTCCTGACAGCTACTCCAGAAGAAAGAATAGAATGAGAGAGTCCCTATGTCCCCACGTCCCTCTGCCTCACAAGTTGTTCTCTATAAATAGCGTGCGTGAAATGATATTTACTTTGGGTTCCAGAATACGTGACAGATCTGGACAACTTCCGGCCTATAAACACATAAGTTAGCAGCTACTACTGTCAATCTTTTTGCTGTTCTGGGACATGAAATGTTTGAGATGTCAGTTACTACCTACAGAGGGTCTAGTTTTAGCATCAGCTGGATTATTCTCTCTGTAACGCTTGGAACGTGTAAAACCATTGATATAAAACTCCCTTAAAATCATGTGAAATCAACAAAACAGAATATAAATTAAATATACTGGCTGCCCATCTCAGCCCACCACTCCCAAGAGAGAGGGGAGGAAGCAAAATAAATATATAGATTTTTTTTTTAAAAGAAGAAATCTGCTTTCTGGATAATCTAACAAAAGAGTTGAAAGAAAGGAAATATAATTAAACTTCATTGTACTTAAAATAAAAATTTAAAAATGTTCCCCTATTCCCTATCAAATCTGGGCTGACAGGCATGTTATTTAATTGCCCATAAATGAGCTTCTTTAAATAGCACCCATTAATACCCCAATTTCAGCATCAGCCTGTGCACAGAGAGAAAAAGATAAACTTTGAAATGGCTAAAAAGCAAAACAAACTGCTTTCTTCAAATGTCAGCAGAATCTGAATGAGGAAAAGCCATGAGGGGGAAAAAAACCTCCCTACCTTCAGCTGTGGATGAAGCCGCCAGGCCCCAGACCATTGACTGCAAAGTCAGAGTCTAATCTGAACTGATGTCAAGGTAAGACATCTGCTTTGTCAGAAACCCCAAAGATACTGAAAAACGGAGCACAAACCATTATTGAAACCATAATCTGCACCAAAAGTAAATCTATGAGTCTAGTCAAGTGTGGCTTATGCATAATTTACCCCGGCATCCAACACATTTCCCCCCCCCATAGCCTGTCGGGGTTTCAAACTCAACGTATCTAAAACAGAATATAAAATCTCCTCCTTAAACCAATTCTCCCTGGCAACTTTCTTATTTCTATATCACCAATTATCCTAGTCTTGAAGCCAAAAAATCATTTCTACTACCTTCCTCTCCTTCAATCATATGCCCAGTCAACTACCTAGTAATAATAATAACTAGCATTTATTGAGGGATAACTATAAGCTGAGCACAGTACCAGGCACTTGACACACCTATTTAATCCTTGCAACTAACCTGCCAAACAGGTGTAATTATTCCCATTACACTTATAAGGAAACTGAGGCTCAGAGGTTCAGGTGGTTAAGTAACTTGATAAAGGCCACATAGCTAGTAAGCAGCAAAACTCAAAGCAGAGACACCCCCTGCCTTTGGCACCCATGCTCATGTATTATTCACACTATCACAATCTCACATCCACCCACAAGTTCTTCCATTCCTAATGCCATCACTCTGGTTTAGGCCTTTATTACCTTTTGTGTAAACTATTTAAATGCACTCTTAACCTTCAGACTTTTTTCCTTCAAATGTATCCTGCTGCACAGGTGTGCTGCATGAAACTTCTTGAATGCTACTTTGTTCATGACATTCTCTTCCCTTAAAAATTTTCACTGTTCCCCAAATACTACAGACTTCCTATATCCAAAGCCTTCCATCAGCTGGATTTTCCCCCATCCTCCTGAAAACATGCAACTTTACAGTCAAGTCTAATTCTTTGCCACTCTCCAAAAATATGGAGTGAATTCCCATTTTCTGCTTATAATTAAGTAATTAATATCACCTAGAACACTGTCCAACTCATTCTGCAGGACTTAACTCAAATGATATCTTTGTAAGGATGCTTTCTCTGATGAGGAGGGAAAAGACTAAAGAAGAAGAAAAGAAGTGTTATTTCTGTCTGAGAGCTTTCTTTGTGTCAGGCATTGTTCTAAAAAAAATCTGCATGACCAGTGAAATGGGTACTACTATTATCTCCAGTTTACAGATAGAGACTTGAAACATAGAACAGTTAAGTAACTATCCAGGGTTGCTTTGCTGTGTAAAGTCAAGATTCAAATCCATACTATTGGGCTCTAGAGCCCCCTTTCTTAACCATTTTGCTCTAGTGAACTCTAAGAAGTGATCCTTCTTAACTTTCATGGATGGGTCAAGCTGATCACATGAGGATCTACTGATCAATCTTAGTATCACCAAAAACAGGACACCTAGACAATATATGCCTCTTAAAGTTATACAATAAGCAATTCACCACAGGCCTATAAGCATCCTTGCCAAATAAATTGCACTGGAATCTAATTATGGCTCCACTCAGTACTTCTCAAACTTTAATGAGCAAACACATCATCTAGGGATCTGGTTAAAAAGCAGATTCTGACTCAGTAGGTTCTGGATGGGGCCTAAGAGTCTGTATTTCTAAGAAGCTCCCAGGAGATGCTTATGCTGCGGGACCACACTGTGAATAGCAAAGCTCCAGAATGTGGATCTAATCACCAGCTGACAAGACACAGGAGGGATAGAGGAACAAATTAAGCAACTCATGGCTGGGGCTAGAACACAGTGATGAGGCACTTGCCTCAAGGGCACCATTTAAAGGTGTGCCAAAAAATACAGTACTGGAGATAAATATTTTAATAGGTATTTTCCAAAATCAAAAATGAATGCAAAAAAGTTATAATGAATATAATAACACAATTTTAAATAAAGTCAGGGCCAGTATCACTGGTTTTTCTTCTTGCCTCAGGCTCCCATATGGCTCTGCACAGCTATGCAGAAGCTATCTGCCCAGTCGAGGGTATGAAAAATTCTACAGGGCAAACGTAGACCTAGTTTCTAAAACATGTAAATATTATCAAAAGAAGAGGAGTTATACTTTAAGAGACTTAAGAGACAGAAACTCATTTTGATACTGATTTGAACAAAATGTACAGTAAAACAATGTGGAGACAATAAGAAAAATAGAAACACAGACTGAATATTAGATAAAAGAATTTTTGTTTTTTTCAAGTTCATGATAATCACATTGACAGTGTGATTTTTTTTTAGGTCCCTTCCTATTGGAGTAAGGTACTGCAATATTTATGGGTAAAATGATATAATATCTGGGTTTACTTTAAACTACTCCAGTAAAAACAAAAAAAAAAAAGTAGAGGACATAGATGAAACAAAATTAGTGAAATATTGATATCTGCTATAGCTCAGTAAATGTTACTTGGGGATTCATTATACTATTCTCTAATTTTTATATGCATAAGATTTTCATAATAAAAAGTTTTTTAAATTAATTTTTTTCTTTAGACATCCTTAACATGTACTTTGTACCCCTCGAACAGAACATAGCACATAGTAGTGCCTTATACATCTCTAATAAAAATAGGTAATTTTTTTTGACAGGGTCTCACTCTGTCACCCAGGCTGGAGTGCAATGGCGTGATCTCGGCTCACTGCAACCTCCGCCTCCCGGGTTGAAGTGATTCTGCTGCCTCAGCCTCCCGAGTAGCTGGAATTACAGGTGCCCACCACCATGCCCAGCTAATTTGTTGTATTTTTAGTAGAGACGCGGCTTCCTTATGTTGGCCAGGCTGGTCTCAAACTCCTGACCTCGTGATCCGCCTGCCTCAGCCTCCCAAAGTGTTGGGATTACAGGTGTGAGCCACTGCGCCTGGCCTAAAATAGGTACTATTTTTAATATGTGCCAGGAGCAGTGATTAGCATCACGATAATATTGTGACATATTGCACAGGTAAATAAAAGTGAAGTTTAACAAGTTAAATAACTTGCCCAACGTCACACATCCAGAAAGTGGCAAAGGCAAGACTTAAACCCAGACTCCACTGGCTCAGAAGCTCACACTCTGAAGCATTGTGGTATAACAATTTCTCTTATTCCAAATGGATTTTATGACAGAAGGTAATCTCAGCTTACAGTTCTTCATCTCTCTCACGCTCCTAAGACACAGTGGCCATTTTGAGAGGTTAGGATCAGGACTATCTGGCTTTGTATGATGGCTCTGATACCAGCTGTGTGACCTTGAGCAAATTACTTCATCTTGCTGCCCCTAAGTTTCTTCATCTATATAGGGCTATTAATCTCACATGAGTATGAGATTAATAACCATCTCATAGAGTTATAAGGAAGATGAAATGAGTTAATAAATGTAAAGTGCTCAGAACTGTGCCTCGCACATGGCAATCACTGATTAAGTATTAGCTATTATTATTATTATTTTATTTTATTTTTGAGACAGAGTCCTGCTCTGTTGCCCAGGCTGGAGTGCAGTGGCATGATCTCAGCTCACTGTAGCCTCCACCTCCCGGGTTCAAACAATTCTCCTGCCTCAACCTCCTGAGTAGCTGGGACTACAGGCGCACACCGCCACACCCGGCTAATTTTTGTATTTTCATTAAAGACGGGGTTTCACCATGTTGGCCAGGATGGTCTTGATCTCCTGACCTCGTGATGTGCCCGCCTCGGCCTCCCAAAGTGCTGGGACTATAGGTGTGAGCCACCACGCCCAGCCTATCATTATTATTAGTAGTACGTTCTCAGTAAAATCGAATGACACTGAACACACCCCTCAGGCAAACTCATAACCATTTAATTTTACTACTTCTAAGAAACTGTTTTTGACCATAGAACTTGAAAGGTGGCTTGCACCAATGCTTAGAAAAGCCAATATACAGTAATCAAAATTAATGTTCCTATGTTTGGAGAAAGAAAACTCCAGTATTAATTAAAACCCTTAAACACAAGGACCAGGACCATTGCTACAGTAGCACACTTGCTTTGCAAGCTTAATGTCAAGGAATTTATGGTGTCTGTGGGATTTTAAAATCTCCAGGAAAGTACCAGGATCCTAAGCTGAGAAGCTAGATGCTCCATAGAAATAAATGGGAGGTGCCAGGCGTGGTGGCTCATGCCTGTAATCCCAGCACTCTGGGAGGCTGAGGAGGGTGGATCACTTGAGGTTAGGAGTTCAAGACCAGCCTGGCCAACATGGTGAAACCCCATCTCTACTAAAAATACAAAAAAAAATTAGCCGGACATGGTGGCACACACATGTAGTCCCAGCTACTCAGGAGGCTGAGGCAAGAGAATTGCTTGAACCTGGGAGGTGGAGGTTGCAGTGAGCCAAGATCGTGTCACTGCACTCCAGCCTGGGTGACAGAGTGAGACTGTGTCTCAAAAAAAAAAAAAAAGAAAGAAAGAAATGGGATGGCCCTGGGTCACAGGCTGAGGTGGGTAGCAGAACTGGTGTCAGAAGCACTGAGCCAAAGGAGTAAACTGAGAACCATGTGCCAGAACTAAGCAGGAGCCAAGCTATTGTTAACTGCTCAGCCAAGGGAGTTAGTTGGGGAGTTGTGCCAAAGCTCACCAGCCAAAATCATGCGGAGACAGACCAGAGCTGGGAAGAGCGAGGACAAGGTCCCCAGTGATGCAGGAATAATCTGAGCCCAAATCAGATGGAAAAGGCTTCCGACACGGCTTGCTGCTTTTAACCATGTATGGCAGGCCTCTTTTGTAGTTATGTTGGGTCAGTCTTGAAACTATACTTTTCCAAGCTGTCTTGTTACATATGAAAGGCGAAATAAATAAAAGGCTCAGACCTTAGACCACCTGGCAGATCCACATCTCCCTTCCCACTGGCAGTCTCTCAAGTCACTCACAACCCAGTCACCAGCAGCACTTGGTTTTAACTTCCACAGGGCTGAGTATGTATTATATCAAGTTTACTCACAATTACTAGCATTTATTCAACCCTTAAATCTAGCAGACAGGATGCTAACAGCTTTCCAGTTATATCACTTAATCAATCCTTCAGTGACCCATTGAGATATTATTATTATCCCCATTTTACAGATGAAGAACCTAAGGCTTAGAGAGCACAGGGTCACACTGCTAGGAAGCGTCAGTTCAGTCCAACTCCAGAGACAACTTTTATACTCCACTGCCTCCTTTCTTATGCTACTTTTTATTAGCAGACTCTTTGCTACTAAAAGGACCAGAAATGAGTGACAGACTATTGCAGGTAAACTGCTGACATGATAAACCGAACAACCTGGAACATAATCTTCCCCAGGGAAGCTGGAAAGCTTGGTAAAAGCAGTTGAAGAGGAATGAGCAATCCTTAAACTGTCTTTACTTTCAGCAAACAGGGTCATTTTCTCCTCTGCAATTGCTCTTCTCCAGTTGAGAGCAGTCCCTGCTGCTCTTGTCAACTGCTGCAACCTGCTGAGGGGAAATTATGCAGAGGGGAAAAATATCACAGACTTTTTTTTCTTTGAAACTTGGGGGAAGGGAGAAAAAGAAGGGGGTGGAATTCTCAATGGAGAAAAAAAATTATAAATACAGTAAAAATGGAATAGAACCTCCAAATAAATAATATCTGATACCAAAAGACAAACTAAGAGCAGTAATCAAAAGGGGTCAGATAAAAAGAAATTAAAATATGCAATTTTTCACAAATCTGTTACCAAAAAATATTTGTTTTCTATTCATACAAAATGTCAAGAGAAGCAGTACCTGGGCTACAAAAATATGATGACTCCAAAATCCATATATCATACCTGAAAACAACTGTGTGGTTGTGATCCCTTACAGAGTGTGTAGAATGAGAATGGAACATGAGGGACACCAACATTCAAGGCACAAACAAAGCAGGAAGATATCTAAAGATACCTAAAAGGATATGGGCCAAGAAAATCAAATGTGGCATGAAAAGTATCCCTTTAATTTAACAACTAAGAGGCCATTAATGACCTCATCAAGAGCAGGTTCAATCAGATGATGGGATACAAGCCATTTTACTAAGCTTATTCTAAAATGGAGGTAGGACTGCAAGTGTGAGGTACACTTCTGAGGACGGTGTCAATGGAAGATGAGAACAGGTCACCAAACACATGGGAATGCAGACTTGAGTGAAGATGTATGAGCAAGATTCTGACAAATAGGGGAGAGAGAAACTGAAAGTCTGAGACTAAAGATACAAGTGAGGAAATGGACAACCAATGGGAGGTGAAACAATGGGATGAGAGTCAGAGGGGCTGAACAGGAGGATGGCAGCTTCAGCCACTGAGACAGAGAGACAGAACATCAATATGCACTCTGGGGTAACTGCCCATGTTTTTTATATTCTCTTTGAACTAGGAGTTAGGTTGTCTAAGAATAAGTATAGAGAACATAGAGCGGGTAAGGAAATTCATGAGTATTTCAAAATAAATGTTGTAGAAATTGAAAGAGTAACCTATGAATTTAGGGTATAATTTCCTTCAGAAGGACTCAACAGCCTAGGTTTGTGAATTCCTAATGGTCAGACAATAAGGTTGATATTTGCCCTCTGCACACTCATCCTTTCATTCTCTTGTTTGTTCCATCTTTCATAAATAAAATGTGTGTCAAGTATCTTCTATGTACTGGGCCTGCAGGACAACACTGAGCAAGACAAACAGCACCCCTGCCTGTAGAGTCTTATAACAGAAGAAACAAACAACAGAAAATCACAATAGCAATGAATAATATATAGGAGGAGTTCATAGTACTATGGAGAAAATGTAAGATGATTGCCTAATCCTGACTAGAGAGGACAAAGAAGGCTTGCTTAAAGAAATAACATTTGAGACTTGGAGAAATGATAGTTGTCTCAGGAAGAAGAGAAAGTCAGAATGTTCCGCGGAGAACAACATGTGCAAGGACATTCCAAGAAATCCTGAAACAGAAAGAACATGTCACTTCCGAAGATCGGAAAGGTCCACGTGTTAAAGTATAAAATGTGGCAAGTCTAGAGATGTATGCAGGGGCCAAGCACATGTAGAGCTGGTAAGAATATTGTGCTTGAGTCTCAAAGCAATAGCAATCTGTACTTACAAAGGATTACTCTAGCAACGGTATCCAAAATGGATTAGGAACAGGCAAAAGTAGGTGCCAGAACAGTGAGGAGGCTGTTATTAAGAACCCAGGCAAGCGACAATAGTAGTATGGACAAAAGCCAAGACAGTGAGGACAGGATAAAGAAACTCAATACATTAAGAGATGTAGAGGGAGCAAAATCCTTTAGAATGTATGACCTGGATGCAGGGAATGAAGGAGGATAAAGGATGATGCTTAAATTCCTAGTTTGGGAATTTTTTTTTTTTTTTGAGACGAAGTCTCTCTTTGTCACCCAGGCAGTGCAGTGGTACGATCTCAGCTCACTGCAGCCTCCGCCTCCTGGGTTCACGAGATTCTCCTGCCTCAGCCTCCCGATTACAGGCATGCGCCACCACACCCAGCTAACTTTTGTATTTTTAGTAGAGATAGGGTTTTGCCATGGTGGCCAGGCTGGTCTCGAACTCCTGACCTTAGTTGATCTGCCCGCCTCGGCCTCCCAAAGTGCTGGGATTACAGGTGTGAGCCACCAAGCCTAGCCTAGTTTGGGAAATTAGATGGATGGTGAGTGGTACCAATTACTGAGAAGGAACAGGTTTGGCAGGAAAACTTTTTACTTTATTTTCCATCTGTTAAGTTTGAGGCACCTGTGAAGCATCCAAATAGACAAGTAGCTGAATGTATATACAGGTCTGGAATTCAAAAGAGGTCTTTATAGAGACAAAAATCTGGGATATGGCTTCATATTGCTGGTAACTGAAGACATCATGAGTGATTAGATCATGCAGGAAGAGAATATAATGTGAGAAGAAGGCCTAGGGCAGAGTCCTAGAGAACTACTCCTCTAATGTCTGAGTAGAAGGGCAGAGAAGAGTAACAAAGGAGGCTGGGCACGGTGGCTCACACCTTAATCCCGGCCCTTTGGGAGGCTGAGGAGGGCGGATCACCTGAGGTTGGGAGTTCAAGACCAGCCTGACCAACATGGAGAAACCCCGTCCCTACTAAATACAAAATTAGCCAGGTGTGGTGGCACATGCCTGTAATCCCAGCTACTCAGGAGGCTGAGACAGGAGAATCGCTTGAACCCAGAAGGCAGAGGTTGTGGTGAGTGGAGATCATGCCGTTGCACTCCAGCCTGAGCAACAAGAGTGAAACTCTGTCTCAAAAAAAAAAGTAACAAAGGAGAAGAAGAAGAAACAGCCAGAGACAGAGGAGGAAAAACAGGAATATGGGAGTCAAAAGACAAAGAAATGAAGCATTTCGAGGAGAGTCAACTGTGTCTAAAGCTGAGTGGTTTATATGGTTTGGCTGTGTCCCCACCAAATCTCATCCTGAACTACAGTTCCCATAATCCCCATGTGTCATGGGAGGGGCCCAATGGAAGGTAACTGAATCATGGGAGTGGTTACCTCCACCCTGTGCTCATGAAAGTGAGTGAGTTCTCACAAGATCTGATGGTTTTTTTAAAGGGGCTTTCCTCCTTTTGCTCAGCACTTCTCCTTGCTGTCATCATGTGAAGGAGGATGTGTTTGCTTCCCCTTTTGCCATGACTGTAAGTTTCCTGAGGCCTCCCCAGCCATGTGGAACTGTGAGTCAATTAAACCTCTTTCCTTTAAAATTACCCAGTCTCAGGTATCTTTATTAGAAGCATGAGAACAAACTAATACAGTGGTCAAGAAGAATGCAAAATAAAACTGGTGAAAATAATTATAATGAAAATTGGAGAGGATGTGGCATGAGAGGGAGATAGGAAAGCAGAGAGAACCTATTCAAAAGGTTTAATCAGCAGGGTGTGCTGTCATGCACATATAGTCTCAGCTTCTCAGGCGGCTGAAGTGGGAAGATCACTTGAGCCCAGGATTTTGAGGCTGCAGTGAGTTATGATCACACCACTGCACTCCAGCCTGGGTGACAGAGCGAGATCCCATCTCTAAACACAACAACAACAGAAACAAACCTTTAGTTGTGAAAACGAGAGGAAATGAGAGCTTAAAAAGCCCAGGAATGACATGTGAAAAATGGAGTTGAGGAACGTATGATGTGTTGGATCAAGGAATCTACGATATGAAAAAGATGAAAAGCAAGGAAGAGTGATGGATTGGGAAGAAAACAGAGGAGCCAAGGGACAAGAAATCCTAATAACACTGAAGAGCAGAAGTAATGGAATGAAAAACTGGAATAATAGAAGGCCGTAATGACAGAATGGGATACTGAAGTTCCATATTTCAGAAGTGGAACAGGAGCAAGTGATGATAAAGTTTAGCATTCAACCAATGAGAAGGGGGTGAAGTTGGAAGAAGGTGGAGTAGTGGGTCAAAGTCACAGATACAGAAGAAGTCAAGGAAAGTGGGGGCAAGTTGTTAGGTAGGTCATCCACATGGACACTCAGGGTGTCCGGGAAGATAACAGGACTTAGAAAGAAAATGGCATTGATAAGCCAGGCGCCAAAGCCTAAGCTGAATGTAACTGAGATCCCAGAAGGCTGGAAGATTTATAGTTTTATTGGATAGCCAGATAAAAGTCTTGAAGGATGGAAGATGTATAAGATGGAAGATAAATGGTTTGGAATAGCTACTGAAGGGCCAGGAGAATCCCAACATCCTTACACCCTGATCCCATTTGAAAGGACAGAGATGGGAGCAAGATGACAGATAAAAGGCAGGGCTAATGTGCATTGCATCTCCCACCTGGACAGACAGAACAGTGTGTGGAGAATCACACTGTGATCTTTTGTTCCAAGAACCACCACAGGAATGTACCAGGAAAACTGAAAGAATTCACAGATGCTTTGAAAGAAGCAACACACTGTTGCAAATGCTGCAAGACAGACGAAAAACCGTGATTCCCCAAAGTGTGAGGGGGGAAAACCCACCTCTGAACACACATCCCCACTGGGGAATTTGAAAATCCAGATCATAGGAGAAGGATTTAACCTTACCTAGAGCTGGAACAAATTTAGGAAACTCTGTGAAATAAAAAAGTAGAAGCAGCAGTGGGCAAAACCTTGTAGGCACACAGTCTCCAGCTCAAGCCCAAAGATGCCATCCCTGACTATATCTTGCAGGAGCCACCAACATTGTGAGCAGACAGCGAGAAGCATGGCCTGAAAGCCTTGCCTGCTTTCTCAGCGGGGAAGCTTATGACCTGGGGCAGATCTGAGTTCTGCGCACAGGCTGCCTGGATCTAAACTTGGCACTGTTAGCAGAGCACTCTGGAAGTGAGACCAGCCACACTAAATGCGTGGGAGCTGGATGAGGCCTTTCACTATCAGTTATCCCCTACTTCCCTGGTGAACTATACGGCACAAGAGAAGTAGCCATAATGCCCTCTGGAACATAACCCCACTGGCCTGAGAACCACCTCCCCATACCCTACTGTGGTCACAGCAAGCCCTCCCCAAGGAGAGTCTTAGCTCAGACCCACCTAACCCTGCCCCCACCTGAAGGTATTTCTCTATGAGCCCTGGTAGCTGAACACAAAATATAGAAACTCTTGGGAGCTTTATGGCCCCACCCATCGCCTGAGAAACCAGAATACTTGCCCCAACTTATGGCAAGTTCAAATCCCACTATTACTACCGCAGCTGGTGTTCTCTTGCAAATGCCACCTCCTGGCTGAAGGCCAACCAACTCAGGACATTACCGCAACTCATGACAGAGTAACACTGCTCCCGAGAAGGAGAAAACAACAGCTAATACCACTGCCTGCAACATCCTGGCTAACCAAAGGTCCTGAGTCTATCCATGTGACAACTTCACCGCTTGCATAACCAGCATTCAAGAAAGCCAGCACACTAAACCTATCTATAGCCAAGGATCCTCACAGAGTCTACATCATTCCCCTGCCACCTCCACCACAGCAGGTGCTGGTACCCATGGCTGAGAGACCTGAATATGGATTACATCACAGGACTCTTTTCAGACATTCCCCAGCACCAGCCTAGAGCCCGCTATCCCTGCTGGATGGCTAGATCCAGAAGACCAGTAACAATCACTGCACTTTGGTTCTCAGGAAGCCCCATCCCTAGGAGGAGCAGGAGAGCACCACATCAAGATATCGCCTCATGGGACAAAAGAATCTGAAGAGCAGGCCTTGAGTTCCAGATCCTTCTGCTTGTGGGTAGTTTCTCACAGCAGAGACAAAATTGCAGCACTGGACACAGTAGGGAAAGTTGCACCTAAACCCCAATAGGCAGGCAGCCTCTGTGATCACATAGGGCCTTGGAGAAGAGGTCCTTGTTCCCTACTGGCACTCCACCACAGAGGAACTCAAACAAATCAGCAAGAAAAAAAAAATAATTCCATCAAAAAGTGGCCTAAGGACATGAATAGACAATTCTCAAAAGATATACAGATGGCCAAGAAGTATATGAAAAAAATCTCAATATCACTAATCATCAGGGAAATGCAAATTAAAAAAAATAATGAGATACCACCTTACTCCTGCAAGAATGGCCACAATTAAAAAATTAAAAAATAACAGATGTTGGCATGGATATGGTGAAAAGGGAACACTTACGCTGCTGGTGGGAATGTAAATTAATACAACCACTATGGAAAACAGTATGGAGATTCCTTAAATAACTAAAAGCGGAACTACCATTAAATCCAGCAATCCCACTACTGGGTATCTACCCAAAGGAAAATAAGTCATTATATGAAAAAGACACTTGCATATGCATGTTTATAGCAGCAAAATTTGCAATTGCAGAAATATGGAACCAACCTAAATGCCCATCAACCAACAAGTGGCTAAAGAAAATGTGGTATATATACACCATGGAATACTACTCAGCCATAAAATAAACTGAAATAATGGGCCGGGCGCGGTGGCTCACGCCTGTAATCCCAGCATGTTGGGAGGCCGAGGCGGGCGGATCACGAGGTCAGGAGATCGAGACCATCCTGGCTAACACGATGAAACCCCGTCTCTACTAAAAATACAAAAAATTAGCTGGGTGCGGTGGCAGGCACCTGTAGTCCCAGCTACTTGGGAGGCTGAGGCAGAATGGCATGAAGCCGGGAGGCGGAGCTTGCAGTGAGCCGAGATCGTGCCACTGCACTCCAGCCTGGGCGACAGAGCGAGACTCCGGCTCAAAAAAAAAAAAAAAAAAAGAAAGAATGGCACTTGCAGCAACCTGGATGGAGTTGGAGACCATTACTCTAAGCGAAGTAACTCAGGAATGGAAAGCCAAATATCATATATTCTCATTTATAAGTGAGAGCTAAGCTATGAGGGCACAAAGGCATGAGAATGATATAAGGGACTTTGGGGACTCAGGGGGAAAGGTGGGAGTGGGGTGAGGAATAAAAGACTACACACTGGGTACAGTGTACGCTGCTCGGGTAACGGGTGCACCAATATCTCAGAAATCACCACTAAAGAACTTATCTATGTAACCACAAACCACCACCTGTTCCCCAAAAACTATTAAAATAAAACAAAATTTGTAAAAACCATAATAATAAAATGACCTGATGGGGGAAAAAAAAAAGAAGAAGAAGAAAGAAAGGACAAGGCAGCTTCCACTCAAGAAGACTACAGGGTAAGATCTTCTCAGGGTAAAAACAAGTTTGGTATAAAGAATGTGAGCACTGTTCTGTGAAAAGGTTGGGGATATATAGGCAAAAAAAAAAACGGAGGGAGGGCAACAAAAGGAAAAGTATCACAGCATAATAAAGGTCATTTATGATGAGCCCACAGCTAACATCATACCCAATTTTGAAATACTGGAAGTTTTTCTTCTAAGATCAGGAATAAGACAAAGATGTCCACTCATCACTTCTACTCAACATAGCACAGGAAGTTCTAGCCAGAGCAATGAGGCAAGAAAAAGAAATAAAGGCATCCAAACTGGAAAGGAAGAAGTAAAATTATCTCTATTCACAGATGACATATCTTATATGTAGAAACCCTAAAGATTCTACACCAAAAAAAAAAGCTGTTAGAACTAATAAATTCAGCAAAGTTGTAGGATACACAACACACAAAAATCAGTTATATTTCTATATCCTAAGAATGAACAATCTGAAAAGGAAATTAAGAACACAATCCCATTAACAATTGCATCAAAAGAATAAAATACTTAGGAATAAACTTAAGCAAGTAGGTAAAAGACTTATACGCTAAAAACAAAACACTGCTGAAAGAAATTAAAGAGTACAATAAAAAGACATCCCGTGTTCATAAATTAGAAGACTTAATATTGTTCAAATGTCTATTCTACAAAACAATGTACAGATTCAATGCAATCCCAATGGCATTTTTTGCAAAAATAGAAAAAACATCCCAAAATTCATATGGAATCTCAAGAAATCCCCAAACATCCAAAACAATCTTGAAAAAGAACAAGGATGGAAGTCTTATATGTACTAAATTTAAAATATATTACAAAGCAATAGTAATCAAAACAGTGTGGTATTGGCATAAATACAGATATATAGACTAATGAACAACAGAAAGCCCAGAAATAAATCCTCATCTATATGGTCAAATGATCTTCAATAGGGATGCCAAGACCACGCAATGGGGAAATGACAGTCTCTTCAACAAATGGTAATGGAAAAACTAGATATCCATATGGAAAATAATGAAGCTGAACCCCTATCTTATACCATATAAAAAAAATTAACTCAAAATCTGTTAAAGACCTAAATGTAAGACCCAATATAAAACTCCTAGAAGAAAACATAGGGAAAAGCTTCATGACACTGGATTTAGCAATGATTTCTTGAATATAACACCAAAAGCAGAGGCAAACAAAAGCAAAAGTAGACAAATGGGCCTTAACGAAACTAAAAACAATATATATCAAAGGACATGATCAATAGTGTAAAAAGGCCAGCTACAGAATAGGAGACAATATATTGAAAATTCTATATCTCACAAGGGATTAATATCTGGAATCCATAAAGAACTCCTACAGGCCAACAACAACAAAACTCAATTAAAAATGGAAAAAGGACTTGAACAGACATTTCTCCAAAGATTTTTAAATGGCCAACATGCATGTGAAAAGATGCTTGACTTCCTTAATCATTAGAAAAATGCAAACCAAAACCACAATGACATATCACCTCACACTCATAAGGATAGCCCATATCAAAGAAACAGAAAATAACAAGTGTTGATGAGGGCGTGGAGAAACTGAAAACCTTGTACACCGTTTGTGGGATTGTAAAATGATGAGCCACAATGGAAAACAGTATGAAAGCTCTTCAAAAAATTAAAAATAGACTACCATATGATCTAGCAATCCCCACTTCTGGGCATATATCCAAAATAATTAAAAACAGGATCTCCAAGAGGTATCTGTACACTCAAGTTAATTATAGCATGTTTCACAATAGTCAAGAGGTAAAAGCAACCAAAATGTCCATTGACAGATGTAAAGACCATACCTCTTTAAACGTAAAGAATATATCTTTACATTTAGAGATAATATAGGCCAGGCGCAGTGGCTCACACCTGTAATCCCAGCACTTTCAGAGGCCAAGGCGGGCAGATCACCTGAGGTCAGGAGTTCGAGACCAGCGGGCCAACATGGTTAAAAAAAAAAAAAACCATCTCTACTAAAAATGGAAAAATTAGCCAGGCATGGTGCACGCGCCTGTAGTCCCAGCTGCTTGGGAGGCTGAGGCAAGAGAATCACTTGAACCTCGGAGGCAGAGGTTGCAGTGAGCCAAGATCACACCACTACACTCTAGCCTAGGTGACAGAGCAGGACTCCGTCTCAAAAAAAAAAGAAAAGGTAAAGATAATATAAACATTATAGACATTATAAGTGAAATAAGCCAACCACAAAAATACAAATACTATATGACTCACTGACACAAAGTATAAAGTGGTCAAATTCCTAGAAACAGAAAGTAGAATAGTGGTTGTCAAGGACAGCTGGGTTGGGGCGGGAATGGGCAGTTGTTCAATGGGTACAGAGTTTCAGTTTTGCAAGATGAAAAAGTTCTAGAGATCTGTTGAACAACAATGTGAATATACTTAACACCATCGAACTGCAGATTTACAAATGGTTAAGGTGAAAATGTTTATGTCCTGTGTTTTTTCACCACAATTTTTTAAAAAGGCTAAATAGTACCAAATCATGCAAGAGAACAGTCTGAGAAAAAGAAAAGCAATAGGACAACAAGAGTTTGCATTTGGGGCAGTAACATTGAATGTCAAGGGTGAAGACAGAGCAAAATGAGGCCTCCAGGCTGCCACCACACTTCTGGCTCAAGCTGTTTCAGATCCAATTTAGAACAAGGCCTCCATTAGTCCTGAAGACTTAATGGTCCTTTTTTAAGGTCTCAAGGCTACATGGGCAAGAACTTATCATGGTTCCTCTAAAGACATCCTGAACAGAGTACACAGTTCCTCAAATCTTCACCTAGTCGTAGAAACAGCAGTAATCCTCAGTGGGTGGGAATTTTCCCCGACTGACCTAGCCATGGCCTAGATTGGATGCTCCAGCAAAGGGGCCTTGAGGACTCAAGTGTAGTTAGAAAAAGGAGAAGCCAAACATTCCATGCTCCATTTGTTAAAATATCCGCTCCACCCTTTTCTTAATTACAAATTTTAAGCTTCTTATGTCTGCTTTTTTCCTTAGATGCTGGCTAATGGAATTTGAATGCCTGGCCTTGACAACACTTAGAAAGAAAAGAAGGGGAATGTATTGCAATTTTTCCACAGCTGCAAAAAAAGCAGACATCATGTTATATCATAAAGTTATTCTCACAGTGGTGAATTGAGTGTTCACAAAATATCAATATGAATCTCTTTTCCAATGTGGAGACTTCTAATTCAAAGAGTAACTGTTCTGTTTTCTGTTCAACAAAGCAGTCATTTAAGACATCTGGATTTCAGTGTTGCTACATACTTAAAATGTAGTCCTTAATCTCCAAAAGACTGCAATTTGATTGGCTGTCTTTTGTATAATTTTTATACAAAAAAACTTCTCTGTTTATTTAAATCTTATTACCATATTAAACTAAAAGAGGAGCTCTGGCACTTTCTTCTCCCTCCATGCAGGAAGACTAATAAAATCCATGACTCCTCTGAATTCTTTATTTAAACAAAAGGTTTGAAAGTCTACTTCTCATTTAAATTAATGTAGGCTAATGGGACAGATGAGGATAGTAACAGGGGATGGAGGAACAAATTCAGTAAGTGTCCCTTGATGACAGATCAAGAGACTATAGTAAGAAATGGAAGGAATAAAATGCCAGGGAGACATGAGTTCCAGTACTTGCTTACTACTGTGAAAGGAAAAATAAATCTTGGGGCCCCAAAATCACTAAGCTAAAGAAAAACAGTCAAGCTGGGAACTGCTTGGGGCAAACATGCCTCCCATTCTTTATTTTTTTTTTTTTTTTTGAGACAGGGTCTCACTCCCTCACCCAGGCTAGAGTGCAGTGGCCCGATCTGGGATCACCACAACCTCCACCTCCCAGGCTCAAGCGATTCTCCTGCCTCAGCCTCCCGAGTAGCTGGGACTACAGGTGCACGCCACTACTGCCTAGCTAATCTTTGTATTTTTAGTAGTGATGGGTTTCACCATGTTGGCCAGGCTGGTCTCCTGACCTCAAATGATCCACCTGCCTCAGCCTCCCATAGTGCTGGAGTTACAGGCATGAGCCACTGCGCCCCACCGCCTCCCATTCTATTCAAAGTCACCCCTCTGCTCACTGACATAAATACATATCTGATTGCCTACTTTAGAGAGGCCAATCAGAAACTCAAAAGAATGCAACCATTTGTCTCTTATCTACCTATGACCTGGAAGCTCCCTTCCTACTTCCAGTTGTCTTGCCTTTGTTTCAAGTTGTCCCACCTTTCCAGACCAAAACCAATGTTCATCTTACGTATATTGATTGATGTGTCATATCTCCCTAAAATGTATAAAACCAAGCTGCGCTCAGACCACCTTGGGCACGTGTCATCAGAACTTCCTGAGGCTGTGTCGCAGGCGCACGTCCTTAACTTTGGCAAAATAAACTTACTAAATTGACTAAGACCTGTCTCAGATTTTGGGGGTTCACACTACTAACTTGGGAAAGGACTTCTCTTTCTCTAAGATGTCTTAATCTCTTCCACTATAAATATAATGAATAAAAATAGCTTCCTTTCTGATGTCTCTACTTTATTCTCTAACCACTGGATATAAGTATGCATGTAGTTCCAGCTCTGGTTACAAGAAGTCTTTGTTTTTGCTTTGAATAGCATTTATTTTTCTTTTACACCACATGTTTTATAGGGATAAGCACAGCTGAGCAAGATTTTAACCTGAGGCCCTTTGGGGCTGTTTTGCTGCAGATGCAAAGGTGGGATGGGGCTGTCAGATAGTTACCAGTGTTTTCCATAGAGCCAATGGCCTCCCCAGGTCAGCAGGCAGAGCCCAGCTGTAGTTTTCTTCCAGTGATTTCGAAGCGTTTTAAAGAACACCGTCATCTTCTAGAGATTTGCTAGGTTAGTAGAGGCGGAAAGAGAAAAAAATATAATTTATCCATGGTCTTCATGTAATGTCCCTATTACTCTGTCTTCCATTCTTTTATCCTCTCTCACTCCTTTTTTTCCCACTCACTCCTCTTCCTCCTTACCACTTCTCCTCTGGCCTCAGCTCATCTTCTCCCTTCTATTTCCATCATCTTCATCTTCTCATCCACCCACACATCCATCCACCTTTCTTTCTTCCTTCACGTATTTCCACCTAACCTATACTTCTTCCCTCTCTGATCACTATTTCTTCATTGCAATAGAAGGAAGAGGGAGGGGCAGAAAGAGAGGAAGGGAATTCCAGGCTTCCTCTGGTTTTTCTAACTCCTTACAGCCTCACTGTACCACTGTTTAAGAGTATACATTTGTCTATCCATCATAATGTAAGTGTCCCAAAAAATAATAATATGAAGGGCGAGTTCAAAATAGAAGAAAATACCAGGTCCTCAATAGGAAAAGAAACAGAAAACATGGATAGAAAACTCAATGAAGAGGCAATGTACATGGCTATCTAAAAATGTTCAACTTCCTGAATAATCAGACATGCATATTACAAAGAACTATCATTATTGACCAAAATAAATTTTTAAATGATCATATTCACTGATGACATAACAAAATGATAGACACTCATACACTCCTTTAAAGAAGGTAAATTAGGAAGACTTTACTAAAAAACAGAGTGACACTATAGAATATCTTTATTCTTCATGACATTTATTATTTGGTGATGCTTATATTCATTTGCTCATTTATTAGCCTAATCCTACTGGAATGTAAACTCCATGAGAGTAAGGACATAATTCTGGTCACTGCTGTATCCCATGCCTAAAGTAAGATCCGGCACACAATAGCTGTTTAAGAAATATTTGTTCAATGAATAAGTTAAATAGCAATTAAATATTTTTTTACCCAAAATTTTTACTGATGGGGGAAAAAACCCAAAACATAATGTTAAGTAAAATTAGCAGGATAAAAAGCCATATATAATTGGCATTATACCAATTATGTTCAAACATGAGTATAAATTTAAAAAGAAAACCAATACAATTAAACAAAAACAATTTTTTTTTTTTTTTTTTTAGACAGGGTCTCACTCTGTCACCTAGGATGGAGTCCAGTGGCACAATCATAGCTCACTATAACTTCTGGGCCCAAACAAATCTCCTGCCTCAGCCTCCCAAGTAGCTGGGACCACAGGCACATACCACTACACTTGGCTAATTTTTTTCTTTCCTTTTTTTGTTAGAGACAAGGTCTCACTATGTTGCCCAGGCTGGTCTCAAACTCCTGGCCTCAAGCAATCCTCCCGCCTTGGCCATCCAAATTGCTGGGATTACAGACGTGAGCCACTGCACCTGGCTCAAAAACGAAATTTTAAAGTAGATCCCTCTAGGTTGTGGAATGGTGGGTGATGTTTATTTTTAAAATTGCAATGTACTTTCTAAGTTTTTGAAAATGAACTTATTTTCTAGATAAACAAAAATTTAAGCAAAATTTTTTTATGACTATCTGTTAGTGAGGTATATAGACCAAGAAAAAAAAAACTGTTTCCACTTAAAAGTCCAGTTCTTTTATGACTCCCTTTAAATCCCATTGGTTAAAATTCCTCTCAAGGGTAGAAACATCCTTATCAAAAGCAGCAGTGAAGCCAGTGCCAGGGAGACCATCTTCCTGTGAATCCCATACACCGTCAGGCTGACACATGATTCCAAAGGCCCAACTAATTCTTGAACTCCTCTCCATCTGGCCCTAAATCACTCCTTCATTCAAGAGCCCTTTAATAAACACCTATATGGTAGGCTCTGTGCTGGGGGTGAGGGCAGAGAAGAATGGGTCTCATGCGTTCTCTCAAGTGCTCACAACTGTCAAACCCACAATGCTAACACAATTATACAATTATGATTGCAGTACAGTGGGATAAATGTCGAGGAGTCAGCACAAGGCTTTGTGAGAGTCTGCAAGAATGAACCTAACCTGGTCTAGGGCTGAGGGGGTGGTGCACAGTCAATGAAGTCTTCCCTGAGCCTTGAATAATGAGGAGGAAATCACTAAAGTAACGAAGGAGTTTTGTGGATGCTATTGTCTGAATGCTGTGTTCCCCAAAAATGGTGATGTGGAAGCCCTATCCCCATTGAGATGGTATTAGGAGATAGAGCCTTCGGGAGATAATTGGGTCATAAGAGTGGCTCCCATGAAAGGGATTAGTGTCCTTATGAGACTAGACACTACAGAGATGGTCTCTCTGCATTGTGAGGATACAGCAAGAAGACAGATCTCTACAAACCGAGGAAGAGAGCTATCACCATGCACTCAACCATGCTGGCACCTTAACTTTGGACTTCCAGCCTCCGGAACTGTGAGAATTAAATTTCTGTTGTTTAAGCCACCCAGTTTTTGCTATTTTTTTTTTACAGTAGCCCAAACTGAGAGTGTACAAAGGCATAAAAGACAGTAAAGTGTGTTGAGAGAAACATACGTAGATAGTTGAGGGGAGAATTAGGTTCATGGCTGAGACTGGAAAAAGGGGGTATGATCTAACAGTAATACGCTGGGGAGAATTTAGCAAGGCCTATTTGTTCTGATTCTTCTCTGTGTACCTGTGTCTTCAAAGATAAGGGCATTCCTTTCCTCGATCCTATACTTACAGGATGAGCACCTCTCACTGAAGGGTCTTATACAGAAGAAGGTCAAACAATTCTTTTATGGCCTGCTTCAGGGGAGAAAAGTGGGAAGACACAAAGTGACTTTCCTGCTTCAGTTGTTTCCTCTAATGCCAACGAGTCATATTTTGCGGCAGTGTGTCCTGAATCTCATCAACAGCGGAGTAAAAATTGGAGTGTCTAGAACAGGGGTTCTCAACCTTTAGTGCAGAACTTGTTAAAAACACAGAATCCTGGGAACTGCCCCTTCCCGCAAGAGTCTCATTTGTTCTGGAATTAAGCTGTCATCTTCACTTGTTAACAAGTACTCCCATGTTGGTTGCAATGGAGGTCACCACTATACCAGACTTTGAGAAACAGTGGTTTAGAGATAAAGGATTGAAGACCAGGTGGGATTAGAAAAGACCTTGAACCCACACTAAGGACTTTGGCTATTATTTTGAAGACAATGAAAAACCTTTAATGGGCTTTAAGCAGGTGAGTGATATAATCATATTTGAACTGTTAAAAGACCACTTTATAGCAGAATGAAAAATGAACTGGAAGAAGCTAAAATTAAAGCTAAAGAGAACCATTAGGAAGTTATTGCCATAATCTGTAGGCTCCTAAAAGAACAAACCAAGATAAAGGATGGATTTGGAAAGCTTTAGAAAGTAGAAATTGGCAGCAGTTGGTGGTCCATTGACTGTAGTAAGTGAGAGAGGAGGAACCAAGCCAGGTTTTTGTGCTTGGGTGACTGGTTGAATAGTGATTTCAGTCATTTAGATTTGAGTGGTAGGTTTGTGGAGAAAAGTAGTGCGGTTTAGGAGATACTGAATTTGACACGCCTGTGGAGTATCCAGGTGGAAATGTTTTTCTTACTAGATAGTGAACCCCTCATGGGCAAGTTCGTCTATCCATCTGCAGCACCAGAACCTAGTAAAGCGCCAGAATGAATGAACCAACCAACCCATCAATGGATCTGATACTATTGGCCCCATTTTGCAAAGGGCTATGCTGAAGCCCAAGGGACGAAGTGAGGGGGGTCCACAAGTTAGCGACAGCTCTGGGACTCGAACCCAGGACAGCTGACTCCCGCCGTGACCACGGGATCCGCGCGAGGCCCTCCCCTGCCGCGCCGGCCAGGCCCGCACCCCCTACCCTCAAGCCGCGCCGCCGCCTGCACCCACGACCCCTGATGCTTGGGTCCCCGCGGCTCTCGGCCCAGCGCGACTCCAGAGGCTCCGCCCAGCGCCCCGGGCCCCCATCCCGACTCCCACCCCGCTCGCGCGCTCAGTCCCAGCGACCCGCACTGCGCTCCCCGCCTGGGCGCCGCTGCACTCACCACGGCTGGTCCAGCTCGCGGCTCTGCCTTTCCTGTGTGCTCCCTCCAGATTCCCCGGCTCGTTCAAGGGAAACCGCTGCCGCCGCCCTCGGGTTCCGCCGCGGGGCTGCGAGCGCGCGCGGGCCAGTTCGGGCCGGGGGCGGGAACCGGCTCGGATGCTCAGGGACGGTGGGGGTGGCAGGGCCCACCGGCTTGAGGCTGCCTTTCCCGGCGTTCCCTCGTTTATTGGCTCACTCTTCCTTTCATCCATCCATCCTTTGCGCAACAATATTTGATGGGAAGCCTGCCAAGGTAACACTGTTTTAGCACCTGGAACTAAGTCGGAAAATAAATTAACTAAATGAACAAGGCCATTGGAGATGGTGCTCCGTGCCACGAAGAAAATGAAACGAGGTGATGGAAGGCAGTGCGGGAAGGGGGAGAACTGTGTGAAATTAGGCGGCCTGCGCTAGGCCTTCTGAGTAAGGGGCCATTGGTCTGAGACCTGGATGTCAAGAAGGAGCAGCTGAAGCAAAGATCCAGGGGAGAGAGCCTGGAGAGGGAAGGGCCCGTGCAAAAGCTGAAAAGCCTGGGGCACTCTGGCGAGTTGCAGGCCAGTGTGGGTGAGACAGAGAGAGCTAAGGAGACAGGCCAAGCGAGGAAGCTGGAGAGGTGGAGACAGGCCACGGCGGCCAGGAGTTTGGACATGACATTAAACAGGGCGAGAAGACATTGCGGGGGTGCAATCAGGGGCTGGTGGGACTGGTTTCCATTTCACACAGCTCTCTGGCCACAGGTGCTTGATTGGATTCTAGAGAACAAGAGAGCAACGGAGAAGCTAGGCCAATGCCAACCTCCAGACAGTTTACATTCTGTACTCGCCCACCAGATTGGTGTGGGGACAAAGCCAGGTCCTTCTTCTTTCCAGCATTCAGTCTGCCAACTTTTTTTTTTTTTTAGACAGGGTCTCACTCTGTGGCTCAGGCGCTAGTGCAGTGGTGCAATCTCAGCTCACTGCAGCCTCTGCTTCCCGGGTTCAAGCAATTCTTGTGCCTCAGCCTCCCGAGTAACTGGGATTACAGGTGTGTGCCACCAGGCCCAGCTAAATTTTTTTGTATTTTTAGTAAAGACGGGGGTTTTGTCACGTTGGCCAGGCTGGTCTCGAACTCCTGACCTCAAGCGATCTGCCCGCCTTGGCCTCCCAAAGTGCTACGATTATAGGCATGAGCCATCGCACCCGGCCAGTCAACCAACATTTGAGTGTGCACTAGGCCCTGCATCAGGCACTGGGGGTATGCTCAGGTACAAGGCCCTTCATGGTTCCTGCCCCATGGAGCTTGCTATCTAGTCTGCACATTTCCTACGTGTAGACATGCATCCTACCTATGTCTCCCTAGGTGAATGCTTCAAAAAAAAAAGGCCGGGGCGGGGACCTTCAATGAGGCTATGGTGCAGTAAACATATTCCTTATGCCAGGGTGCACCAATCCATTGGGCCACACTGTTTAGTAGCAAGAAATTTCTAGCCCTCTCTCCTGAGTCTCCATCTGTAAACTAGGGGACTGAGAACATTACTATTAAAAAAAAACCCTTCTAGCTCTAAAATGTTGTCATAGGGTATGGAAGACCATTATTTTCAGTTCCTCTTTTCCAACTATCTAAAGCGTTTGTGTTTGGAAATAAGCTTCTGAACTGCTCACCTGCAGGCTAGAAAAATCTGAGACTTGATTTTGATGTTCCAAGGGTCAGACTCAGCGTATGCTTTAGGGCTTCAGCATGAAAGTGGTTCCCCAAATAAGAAAAGGTCAGCTTTGATGAAGGATGAAGAAGGATGGAAATATAGGAGATTAAGGGAATCTGAATACACACCTGCAGGCAGATGTGTAGGTTGGAGTTTTGGAGACCTATACCAATTCTACTCTCTTCCAAATACCATTTTACTAGGATGCATTCAGATTCCAGAATAATCAGGCACAAGCTCTAGCCAGCCCTGAATGGGTTCCTGCAGCCCAACAGAAACCTGACACTCTGACTTAGGCAGCCCCAAGAACTTCTGTTAGGCTGGGCGCAGTGGCTCAAGCCTGTAATCCCAGCACTTTGGGAGGCCAAGATGGGTGGATTGCCTAAGGTCAGGAGTTTGAGACCAGCCTGGCCAATATGGTGAAACTGTCTCTACTAAAAGTACAAAAATTAGCCAAGCGTGGTGGCAGGTGTCTGTAATCCCAGCTACATGGGAGGCTGAGACAAGAGAATTGCTTGAACCTGGGAGGCGGAGGTTACAGTGAGCCGATATCGCGCCATTGCGCTCTAGCCTGGGCAAGAAGAGCAAAACTACCTCTCAAAAAACAAAACAAAACAAAACAAAACTCTTAGTCAAGGATTAACACAAGTTCCCTCTCATAGTCAAAGAGAGTCCTGGAGAGCTTCCTTTGCTGATCCGTGTTAAGGATCTACGATGCCAGAGAAGACTCAGGTCTGACACTCTGGCCCTTAGAGGCCTGGAACAGTGCCTCGGGCACAGTCCCTGAGGCTCAATGGCACATTCATGCCACAGAGAGGACCAAAGACAGATCCAAATGCACACAGCCAGAGAGAAGGGCTTGGCTTATGTACTTCCTTTTCCATGTTCTTTGTTCACTATCACTAACAGCTGAGCGAGGTTCCCAAGGAGCTATTTGGAATTTGCCTGGGTCTTCAGCTCTTGCCTGGGATCGTCAGAGAAGAACATTTTGCACTGTCAAGGATAGGGACTTGTGTCTCTTTTCACAACTAACACATTGCCACATATAATACTATACTTTATGCATATTGAAATAAGTGACACATTGAAAGTATGGGCCCCAGTTGCTTACAAAATGAATTTATGTTCCCTTGAGGACGAATGTACTGACTGACATCTAGTAGCTCCCAGGAATGGAAGAGTCTTACAACTCAAGATCTCTAGCATTTTCCAAATATGGTGGCTGACCATCCCAGTAGCTTCTCATTAGTCCAGAACCAATCCTGAGGTAACATTCTCTTGGCTCAGAATCTGTTTGGTTTTGTTTGTCTGTTTTTTGAGACAGAGTTTCGCTCTTGTCACCCAGGCCTGAATGCAATGGCGTGATCTCAGCTCACTGCAACCTCCACCTCCTGGGTTCAACCAATTCTCCTGCCTCAGCCTCCCAAGTAGCTGGGATTACAGGAGCCTACCACCACGCCTGGCTAATTTTTGTATTTTTAGTAGAGATGGGGTTTCACCATGTTGGCCAGGCTGGTGTTGAATTCCTGACCTCAGGTGATCCGCCTGTCTCAGCCTCCCAAAGTGCTGGGATTACAGGCATGAGCCACCGTGCCTGGTCTGGGCTCAGAATCCGTTATTAAGGATGTTACAGGGAAATGACCTTGGCCTAGAAATAGGGTGAGAAGAAACTAAGACAGGAGTGCCATGGTCATTCAACAAGAAAGAGTATTTCACTCTCCAGTCAGATTGCCCCCTACTGTGGAAGAGTGTTCAAGAACATAAGACGAGAGAAAGAATCAAGGTTTAAGGTAGTCTCACATTTCAATTTTTTGCTCATTGACAAGATATATAGAGATATATAATTTTTTATATGTGTATAAAAAATTCTCATACTTGCAACCTCCCTCTCAGTTGTGTACATCAACTACATACAGCTAGAACAGCAATGATGGCATGCTGAATTGCTGTCAATTGATTACCTAGAAAGTGGGCACTGTGTGACTCTCACCTCTCAGTTATCCCCTCCCTGCCTTTACCACCTCCCTGAAGCCCCTGAAGTTGGTCAGCTTCACTCAACCTGGTGGTATAATAAAATCCATTGCAGGGGTAGGATTTGGAGTGGTTGGTGAACCCACCACTCTAGAGTCTGAAGCTTACAGGTGTAAAACAAAAAGGAAGGAAGGAAGACTGGTGGAATAAATAAACCAAAGGTAAGTGGAGCCCCCTTCACCATTCTTAGCTTCTTTCGTAACTGTTATGTTGTATCATTAAAGTGTATTGTACATTTTATCTCCTTACCTAACATCCATTGCCCCTTTCTTCTTTCCTAACAGGAATTAAATTTTGTTCAGACATCCACTCTTCACCTTCCCAGCCCCTGTTTGCCTGTAACTACAAAGCAGGTGACTAGATAACCCCATCCCCTTTGCCAAGGGTTAGTTTACAGTCACTTTAGGTAATCACAGTCATTCCTCTTCCATCTCCAATGATTAGATTAGGAATAGATCATGTCACTCGATTTAGAACAGTCTTAAAAGGAAGTCTGCTGAGAGATCTCTAGGAAAGGTTTCCTTCTTAAAAGGGAGAATTCAAGAAAGAAATGGCAATCAACATTAAAAACATTAGGCTAGGTGGGCCGGGTGCAGTGGCTCACACCTGTAATCCCAGCACTTTGGGAGGCCAAGGCAGGAGTATCACCTGAGGTCAGGAGTTTAAGGCCAGCCTAGCCAACATGGTGAAACCCCATTTCTACTGAAAATACAAAAATTAGCTGGGCACAGGGGTGCATGCCTGTAATCCCAGCCACCTGGAGGCTGAGGCAGGAGAATCACCAGAACCTGGGAGGCGGAGGCTGCAGTAAGCCAAGGTCACGCCACTGCACTCCAGCCTGGGTGACAGAGTGAGATTCCATCTCAAAAAAAAAAAAAAAAAAAAAAAAAAATTAGGCTAGGCGAAATAGGCCAGTCACAAAAGACCACATAGTGTATGACTCCACTTACATGAAACCACCAGAAGTGGCAGATGCATGAAAATGGAACATGGATTAGAGGTTGCCTAGGACTGCAGTTGGGGGGAGGTTGGGGAGAAGTGGGAAATGATTGCTAATGGGTATGGGATTTATTTTTAGGGAGATGAAAATGTTCTAAAATTGATGGTGGTGGTTGTAGGACAACTATGAATCTACTAAAACTCAGTGAAACATAAAGTTTAAGTAGGAAAATTGTATGGTATGTGAATTATATCTCCATAAAGCTGTTTTTTAAAAAAGAGAAAGAGATGGTCGCACTTTTCTCCTATAGGATCATATATGTGTATGTAATGCCTGAAACTGCTATAGTCATTCTTCATCCATGAAGGGAGCCAGCCCTAGGGCAAAGCCAACTCACAGAGAATGTCAGAGGAAAAAGATAAAGAGCCCAGGTCCTCAATGACATCACGGAACCAAATGGTTGTACTATGTCTGGAGTTTGCCCAAACTCTGGGACATCCTATTATGTGAAATAATAAATTCCCTTATTGTTTAGGGGGGAGTCAGGGTTTTCTGTTCCCTGGAGCCATGAGCCCCAACTTGATAAACTGCAAGCCATAGGCTATATTGGTGGATAGGAAACACAACGAGGACAGTGATTTAAAAGAAAAAAAAAAATGATGGCAAGGTTTTTTTGTGTGATTTTTGTTGTTGTTGTTGTTGTTTATGGAGTCTTGCTCTGTCGCCCAGCCTGGAGTGCAGTGGCATGATCTCTGCTCACTGCAACCTCCACCTCCCGGGTTCAAGTGATTCTCCTGCCTCAGCCTCCTGAGCAGCTGGGACTACAGGCATGGGCCACCAAGTCCAGCTAATTTTTGTATTTTAGTAGAGACTGGTTTCACCATATTGGCCAGGCTGCTCTCGAACTCCCGACCTTGTGATTCATCTGCCCCAGCCTCCCAAAGTGCTGGGATTACAGGTGTGAGCCACAACACTGGCCTATGGCAAGGTTTTAAGGGTGAAAATCGATGACAGAAGAAAGCAAGTTGACATCAATGGGATGCTTAACCTTTGGTTTTTCCTAAAATCATCCTCCAGTCATTTCCCTGGACCTTGGACCAGTGCTATGCTCTTTTTCTGTAGATTCATTAACACTAAAATAGAGTTAAAAGTTCAAAAAAAGATATAGTGTCCTTATGACCATTAGTAACCTTACTATGTAGCATCGCCAATGAAACCTGCTTGTGGGAACAGATGCTTCCCAGGGTGAGTACTTTGATCATGGAAAATTATGTACAAATTCTTTTAAGACTTATCTTGGTTTATTTGCTCATTTTTTGCATGTAGATACTTCTTTAGACTACTTTGTTTCCCCTAAGGAAAAAAATATGAAATGGTGTTCTTGTGGTATTTATGCTTAAAATCCTTTCCTTATTATGACCTTTAATATCCACTGAATCTATTGCTACCAGATTGGAAACATGTAAATGAGGCCTTTCAAGAAACCAACAGGTTCCTAGGAGAGAGAATATGTTTTCACATTATTGCATGAGGTTTTATAAGAACCCTCTATGCTGCCCATTGTCACCCATGATCTATATGGGCCCTGCATTTTCCTGAATGTGACTTCTCTTGTTAATGTGTCTTCTTGTCATCCTTTGCCACTTATTCCTCCTGACTCCAGCTAGGCCCTGGTCGGCACTTCCCAGCTGCCTGTTTAATATGGCAGTGAGTAGGAACAAAGGTAGGGCCCACATTGATTGTATTGAGCCAGGTCTCCAACATTGTTTTGCAAATTTTGGTTTTCAGGAGTAACCCAAATTCTAAGTACCCTGGAAGAAGAAAAGGGAAATTCTACCTGGAATGAATGTTAAGTTTTTTACTTTGGTAATTCATTTTTTCATTTCCAGGAGCATAGAGACCAGCAGTTTTTTTTTTAATTTTTTTTTTTTTTTTTTTTTTTTTTTTTAGGAAACCAAATTTCAAACAAAATAGTAATTATGGTAGTGTCATCCTAATAAGTTACCATATAATAAAAACTCTGAATTTTCTTATTTTTTAAACTACGAATTGCTCTAAGTATAGGGCATTGGAGAACAACAGGTACACACCATCATTATAAGACTTTTTTGGAATTTTGGTTCTGGCAAGGTAGTAGACCTGAAAAGTCTACCTATTCCAATACCTAGAAATTCGGGTTAAAACATAACAAGAGGATTCATAGTGCATAACTGAACTTGCCGTAAAGGAAGCTTCATCCCATGGGGCCAGAAAATAAGCGGGACCTGAAAGCTAAAATAGAAATATATGAGCCGATGATGTCATTGCCTGGCTTGAGGGTTCCGGCTCAACAATCTAGAAGCTATGTCTCAGCACAAGACATGAGAACTTGGGTCCTCCAAAGTCAGGGAGCTGGAAGTAAAACCTCTGACTACAATCACTAGGGAAAAAAATTTTTAAAAATCTACTCACCAATATAGGAAGATGACAAGGAAGTGGTGTGTCCCAGCCTGAGCTCTAGGTGGAAAAAGAGTCCCCAAATAAGTGATAACACCAAATCTGTGCCTAGGGTGGGTTTTCTGATTTGAATACACGTTATCTCAGTGGTACAGAAGTCTCAAAACTGGGAAAGTTAATATAAAAATTAGTCTCATAGTGATAATAGCTTTGAGTGTCTGACAGAAGCAAACACAAAGGCCTCTGGGGGAATGCTCCCATACCAGGCCAAAAAGGATTTTCCTATTTTTTAAAAAACCTTTCTAAAGATGTCACAATTTTAAAAAATCACAAAATACATGAAAAAATGATTTACTTTGAGTAAGTGAGGGAAAAAAAACCCATAGGAGAATTAGAGCCCCACAAACTTAAAATAATTGAATTATAGTTTAAAATAAAATAGTTCAAAATGATCAAAATCATTACTAAAGAAAAAAATTTTAATCTTAAGAAGAATACAAGGCACAAAGAAAAACAAAATAGCAAATTTTTAAAAGAACTCAGTATAACACCCAGAAATTTTTAAAATGCATAGTTACTAAAATTAAAAATTCAGTGATAAGTTAAAGAGGAGATTAAATACAGCTGATGAGAAAATTATTGAACTAGAAGACAGATGTGAGGATATTAACCAAATACAGCAAGAAGAGAAAAAAGAGAGGCAAAATATAAATAAGAGTTAAGGTTCTGGAAGACAGAATGAAATCCAATAGATGTCTAATAGGAGCTCCAGAATGAGAGAGTAGAGAGATGGGAAGAGGCAGTATTCAAAATATAACAGCAGGCCGGGTGCAGTGGCTCATGCCTGTAATCCCAGCACTTTGGAAAGCTGAGGCAGGCAGATCACTCAAGATCAGGAGTTCGAGACCAGCCTGGCCAAACATGGTGAAACCCCATCACTATTAAAAAAATACAAAAATTAGCTGGGCGTGGTGGCAGGTGCCTGTGATCCCAAATACTCAGGAGGCTGAGGCAGGAGAATCCCTTGAACCTGGGAGGCAGAGGTTGCAGTAAGCTGAGATCAGGCCTCTGCACTCCAGCCTGGGTGACAGAGCAAGACTCTGTCTCAAAACAAACAAACAAACCCAGCAGATACATCAGACTGAAACTGCAGAACATTAAAGGCAAATTTTACAGGGAAGCAAAGGAAATTAAATGGAAACATATAAATGCATGTGACCTTACAAAAGGGAAACACGAGTGGAGGTTGCCGTTCTTGGTTCTGCCACTTGCTGCTGGGCTGTGGCTGTGATTCTGACTTGCCCCTCTGTAATTCATTTCATACCTCCTTACCTCAGGCCAGCCCTCAGCTGGCTAGGCTTTTTGGTTTGTTTGCTTGTTTGTTTGTTTAGTAGAGACAGGGTTTCACCATGTTGGCCAGACCAGTCTCGAACTCCTGGCCTCAAGTGATCTGCCTCCTCGGCCTCCCTCAAGTGATTCCCCCGTCTTGGCCTCCCAAAGTGCTGGGATTACAGGTGTGAGCCACTGCACCTGGTCTCAAGCTAGGCTTTTTGTTTTGGTTTGTTTTTGCAGAGGGTAAGGGCGATCTGATCTTCATTCCTGGAGGATTGAGTTCTGGGTCCTGCCTGGTTGGAAATGTAGTCGTCTTTCATTAACACTCCCACTGGATATGGCAATATAAAGAGGTGTCCAGTGTGTTCTTCTGGGTTTCATGCATTCATCTTCCTGCCCTCATTGCACAGCAGCAACTTTATTTCCCCTTGAAAATTGTGGTGAATTGTCCCTGATGAGAAAAAATCTTTTGCTTAGGGCCTCTGGTGACTTGCTTCCCTCCCAACTTTAGCAGGCTTAACTATAAGCTCAGTTGGTAGGACTGAGCTAGCTCAACAAAGAATGCAAAATCTCTGGCTTGCTGTGCAGACTCCCCTAGCTAAGTTCCAGATCCTAGTCATTTCCTTGGTGTGGATGCTCCCAGCATCACATAGTAGACCCGGTGTTTCTGTCTGTCTCCCAACTTCCCTAGAAATATCAAAAGCAGAAGGGACAGGATTCCATTCCTGGAGGACGTTCCACAGTATGACCAGCTGTGCCCAATCCAAGAACACCTCAATATGAAATAATAAGAATTTAAGGGATCATGTCATATGCACTCTCTTCCTCCTCCTCCCTTTGCTGCCACTATTGTTTTTCTCAACAAACCTTCCTTTACATTTCAGTAGTGTTTGTATGATACAGGGTGTGTATGTGTGTGTGCATATGTGTGCATGCTCACCCATGCCCCTTGCACATTGCTAGCTGTCTCAGCCTGGGTTCCTCAGTAAGTAGAGTTTGTGGGTTGGGGCTCATATGTTGTTACTTTATTAAGACATGCAATTCCAAGGAGGATGATGAGAAGCAAGGGGAGTGCAAAGGCAGGACAGCCCAAATGAGGATGTGGTATTGAGCTGACCACTGTTAAGTGTGACCAGTTGCTTCATTCAAAGGGGCAGTCTTCCAAAAAATCCATATAAACTGACTCTCAAGAACCATCCCATAGAGGAGAGGTAAGTGGAAGGATTTATCCACCAGTTCTTGCCTCCCACTGGTCAAAAGTTTGCCCCACAGTGTGTTAACAACCTACACTTCCAGGAAGCACAGGTGTGGGTGCTGAGCAGGGCTTCACAGCTGTGCCAACAAGGGAGCCCAGGGAGAAGGAGGCAGGAGGCTTGGGTTCCATCTGACAATGCCTCTCTAAAGTCAGCCAGAGCACATGCAAAGCTTGTCACCACAGCGACAGCTAGAAAAGAGATAAGTGGAGCTGTTAGTCACGAATGAATGCATGTGTTGGACACACTGACTAAAAACCCTGTTGTGTGCCTGTCTTGACCAGCTGCTAGTCTAAGCTTCAAATTCAGCATGACTATTAATCTCTTGGTGCTAGAGTTCCTTTATTGAGTATTAAGTGTTCTATACAATGGGGACATGGAACAAAAAGTTGTGAACAGAGGTCATTGAGTATTTGTGAGATGGTCCATCTTCAATTCTACTACTTAGTTCCCTGACTTATGTACTCTGGTTAATGGAAGAACTGCATCATATATTGAGCTGGTTCAAAGAATATTCTTAATCTTACAGGCAGCACTTTATATTGAAAGCATTTATTTAACTGAGGGCATGAGTGAAGTATAATAGGTTATTCCACTATTCTATAAGGACAGCTGCTTCTGGGTTGTTGGGTATCACATGATAAGACCAGTGATTCTCGTCTGCTATAACCCATTATTTAACTTGGGGTCCTTGGTTAGAAGCAATGTTGTCCAAGAAACTACAATCATTTATAAGACCTACCGTAAGTCCCCAGACAGTGGTTCTGGCAAAGCATGACCAAAACCAAGTCTGTGAATCCTTCATGGGGTCTTACTGTAAGCTGAGCTGTCTGTAGACACTGGAAGCATGATTAGATCTAAAGGACAAAATCAGATCATATCTGATCAGCAGAGGAATCTTCTCATGCTCTGAGCTCACTGAAACCTGGTAGCTTTTCATTCACCTCTCAAGTGGGTACTGGAGCACACACAAATCTTATACTTGCTGCCTCGAAAACATGTGCCTTCTTTTGGTAGAAGGTGCAGTGCACAGCGCCCTTCCCCTACTCTGATGCATTAATGCAGTGGACTAGCCAGTGTGATGTCTTTGGGATTGGTATGGTAGTAAAAGTCCCTTGTCCTTAGGGCCACATTGTTCCAATGACCATAGATCATAATATTTTCAATATTGAATATATCACTGTTTATTCCTTCACTGTTTTGTTTTTGTTTTGGAAATGGAGTCTCACTCTGCTGCCCAGGCTGGAGTGCAGTGGGGCTGGCACGATCTCAGCTCACTGCAACCTCCACCTCCCAGGTTCAAGTGATTCTCCTGCCTCAGCCTCTCCAGTAGCTAGGATTACAGGGACGTGCCACCACGTCTGGCTAATTTTTGTATTTTTTTAGTAGAGGCAGTGTTTCACCATGTTGGCCAGGCTGGTCTCGAACTCCTGACCTCAACTGATCTGCCCGCCTCAGCCTCCCAAAGTCCTGGGATTACAGGAGTGAGTCATCTCACCTGGTCTATTCCTTTACTGTTGAATGACTACCCATTAAGATTTTAACTTAAAAAATTTAAATAATTGACGTCATTTATTATAAATGTAGGGTTAGTTTTTAAAACTAGAATTAATGAATCAGAGGAAATATATTTGAGGTTCCAGATGCATTTTTCCAAATTTTTTAATTAAAAGCTTATAACCAATTTATGTTCCCACTATCTTCACTGGATAGTGCCTCTCATAGCACCCTTGCCATCAATAAGTATTGTTTTGCCCAATGTCTACTTATTTAATTGCTGGGAAAATAGTATTTCATTTTTTCAGTTTAAATTTCTTTGGTTATGAGTAAAACTATTTTTTCATCTATCCAGCCATTTTCCTCTTCCATAGAAATTTGCCTGTCTTTTACTTGTATTTTTATTCTATTTTCCCAACTTGCTTTTTATGTTTATTTTTATTTTTAAAATTCTATAAACTTACCTAAATGACTAAAGGATCAATCATTTTAGAAGGATGATCTACTAACTGGATTCTGTTGATGTTTTAATGCTTTTCTTGTCAGTTTGATACATGCTCTTTATGTAGTAAGGATGGTAATCCTTTGACTTATTTGTTGCAAATATTTAGCACTTGGTTTACAATATGTTTCGAAATAAAAGTAAAGAAAAAAACCTCTTGAATTTTATGTAGTTAAATCTCAGGCATATTCTTGGAGAGTCCTCTATCTAGTGATCAAAATTTATTTATATTTTCTTGGAGTTTTCTATGGTTTCATTTTTTATATTAATCTCTTAAAACTCACATATAATTATTGTTCTGTATCAAAATGTACCCAAATCTGTCCAACCTTAAGGTCTTCACTGAAGCCATTCCATTCACTTATCACCTAACTCCTTCTCACCTTCCTCCTCTCAGCTGAAAGGTGGCTTCACTCAAGAGACCTTCCCTGAGCCATCTGTTTAAATTAGGTTCCTTCTGTTGCCCTCTTTAATAGATTCCTTAACCTGTATGGCATTCATAATAATCTGTAATTATGTATTTAGTTCTTTAATTGTTTAATGCCCCCCATCTACTGTATTCTAAATTATATGAGAGCAGAAACAGTATTATTCTTTCTTACAGAATATCCATATCTTTATTTATAAAGTGCCTGGCATAAAATAAATAAAGGTTGAATGATTGAATGAGCCATGAACTTCCTTTGCTTTCTGCCCTCCCACATACAAAATTACATTTGTCTTTGTTCAAACTTAATAGTACAACCACTTTCCTCTGCTGCAGACTCAGGGAGCTTATGTTCACTCCTCCCATCCACAGCTCATCCATCCACCCGTGCTTGGGATGGCACCCCCATCTTCCCGTCCCCGAGAAATCTGCCTCATCAGTCCTTTCCTCACTCTGGTATTTTCTCCCTCCATCTCCACTGTCTTTTCCTCTTAGCATATAAACCTACTCAAAATCTGCCCACTCTAACATAGAAATATACCAAAATTACCCCCTTTCTTCTCCTTGCATTCCCACTACAATTTTTAAAATAAATCTTATTGGCATAACATTTACATACAACGAAATGCACCCATTTTTAGTGTGCAGATTGATGACTTTTGATAAATGCGTATGTTCCTATACTGGCCACAATGAAGATACAGACATTTCCATTGCCACCCAAGTGTTCTCTTATTCTTTTCCAGTCAGTTCCTACATTCCCTCAGTCCACCCCAACACCAGCCAATCACTAATCTTCTTTCTACCACTGTATGTTAATTTGTATCTTTTAGAGTTTTACATAAATGGAATTGTACAATATAGAACCTTTTGTTTCTGGCTTTTCTCTCAACACGGTTTTTTTTTTTTTTAAGATTTATCCATTGTGTGCTTCAGTAGTTTGCTCTTATTGATGACTAGTAGCCCATTGCATGGGTTTACTGCAATTTTTTTCATTCATTCACCTGTTGACAGACATTTAGGTTGTTTCAGGCTTTTTGCCATTATAAACAAAGGTGCATTCAACATTTGTATACAAGTCTTTTTGTGATATATGTTTATGTTTTTATTTCTTTTGGGTAAATACATAGGAAAGTGATGGCTGGGTTTTATGTAAGTGTGTTTAATTTCTTAAGACACTGTCAAACTAGTTTCCAAACTGGTTGCACTCCTTTACATTCCTGGAAGCAGGATATGAGACTTCCAATGGCTCCACATCCTCACCAGCACTTGGTATGTTAGTTTTAAAACTGAAGACATCCTAATATATCTAATCATCTGTGGAAGATATTGACAAAGCATCTGTTGAAATGTTTTGCCCATTTAAAAAATTCTTCTTATTGAATTGTTAAAGTTCTTTATATATTTTAGATACAAATCCCTTTCAGATATATTTTGCAAATATTTTCTTCCAGTCTATGTTGTGCTTTATTTTTATAACAGTGCTTTTTGAAAAGCAAAAGCTTTACATTTGGTGAAGTACAATTTATTGATTTTTTTTCTTTTATAGTTCATATTTGTAGGGCCCATTTAAGAGTTTTTTGCTTAATGCAATATCATTCCGATTTCTCCGATTTTTTTTTTCTTGCAGAAGTTTTATAATTTTTATTTTTATTTTTTGGTTAGGTCTATTACCTATTTTAAGTTAATATTTGTGAACTGTGTGAGGTAGGGGTTGAGGTTCTTTTTCCCATATGCCTCTCTTCAGTTGTTCCAATGTTATTTCTTTTCTTTTCTTTTCTTTTCTTTCTTTTCTTCCTTTTTTTTTTTTTTTTTCTTTTTGAAATGGAGTTTCTCTCTTGTCGCCCAGGCTAGAGTGCAATGGTGCGATCTCGGCTCACTGCTATCTCTGCCTCCAGTATTCAAGCGATTCTCCTGCCTCAGCCTCCTGAGTAACTGGGATTACAGGCACATGCCACCATGCCCAGCTAATTTTGTATTTTTAGTAGAGATGGGGTTTCACTATGTTGGCCAGGCTGGTCTCAAACTCCCGACCTCAGGTGGTCCACCCGCCTTGTCCTCCCAAAGTGCTGGGATTACAGGCATGAGCCATGGTGCCTGGCCCAACATTATTTCTTAAAATGCCATCCTTTCTTCCACTGACTTACCTTGGCAAATCATTGAACCATGTATGTATGGAGTTTTTCTGGATTCTTTACTCTGTTTTATTGATCTGTATGTCCATCTTTATGCCAATACCATGCTATCGTGATTAATAAGGCTCTTTAGTAAGTCTTGAAATTGGCTAGTTTAAGTCCTCAATTTTGTTCTCTTTTCTCAAAATATTTTGGCTATTCTAAGTCCTTCGAATTTCTATACAGAGTTTAGAATCATCTTGTCAATTTATTTTTTGTCTACAAAAAATAAAACTGTGCTTGTGATCCAGATTATGTTGAATTTATAGACCAATTTAAGATTTAATCATTTTATAAAATTGAGTCTTCCGATTTATAAATATGGTATTTATCTCCATTTATTTGGGTATTATTTCATTTTTCTTAGTAATGTTTCTTAAGTTTAAGTGTACATGTCTTGCACCATATTTTGTTAAATATATTTCAGTGTTTTCCACTGTTTAGTACTGTTATACATGGTATTGTTTAAATTTCCATTTCCAATTGTTGATTACTAGAATATAGATATACATTTTTTTTTTTTTGAGATGGAGTTTCACTAATGGCGCAATCTCGGCTCACTGCAACCTCCACCTCCTGGGTTCAAGCGATTCTCCTGCCTCAGCCTCCCGAGTAGCTGGGATTACCGGCGCCTACCACTATGCCCAGCTAATTTTTTGTAAATTTAGTAGAGACAGGGTTTCACCATGTTGGCCAGGCTGGTCTCGAACTCCTGACTTCAGGTGATCCACCCACTTTGGCCTCCCAGAGTGCTGGGATTATAGGCATGAGCCACTTTGACCGGCCTAGATTACTTTTTTTTTTTTTTTTGAGACAGTTTCACTCTTGTTGCCCAGGCTGCAGTGCAATTGCACGATCTCGGCTCACAGCAACCTCCACCTCCTGGGTTCAAGTGATTCTCCTGCCTTAGCCTCCCGAGTAGCTGGGATTACAGGCATGCACCACCACGCCCGGCTAATTTTGTATTTTTAGTAGAGACAGGATTTCTCCATGTTGGTCAGGCTTGTCTCGAACTCCCGACCTCAGGTGATCTGCCCACCTCAGCCTCCCAAAGTGCTGGGATTATAGGCATGAGCTATGGCTCCCAGCCTAGATATACTTTTTTTTTTTTTTTTACATTCATGTAAAAAATGGATACTGTAACTTTACTAAATACACTTCCTTGGTATAGTACATTTTGTAGTTGTTAGGATTTTCCATGTATGCAATCATGTCATATGCAAATAAGGGCAGTTTTACTTTTTGCTTTTCAATCTCAATATTTTTTATCTCTTTATTTCTTTATATTATCAATTAGTATTTAAGGGGACTATTGCATAGAATTGGTGAGAGTAGATATTCTTGTCTAGTTCCTGATTTGGGGAGAAAAGCATTCTGAATCTCACCGTTAAGAGTTATCTTAGCTATATATTTTTCATAGGTGCTCTTCATCAGGTTAAGGAAGTTTCTTGCATTTCTAGTTTTCTGGGAGTTTTTATCATGAATCGTTGCTGTATTTTTTTGGCATCTATCTGTCTGCTCCTATGCTAGATTTAGGACTGGGATGAGAGTCCCAGTATAAATAGCACTGAATCCACTGGCAGAGGCTATGTGACACAGGAAAATGGAACAGACAAGCTTGGGGTTACAGACTCAGACAGTCATTGACGCTCTTTCTCCCAAACCTCCCTGAAGCTATTTGAAATTTTCCAGTTAAAGGAGGCTTAATTATTCCCATCACAAATACTCCTGAAGCACAAAGGACTCATAATATAATGAATATCAATTTGGTTAGATTGTTTTCCTAACATCAAACTGACAAGCACTGAGGAACTCGGAAGAGGTGTGAGAGGTAACGTTGAAACCCAGTAAGCCCTGGGAGGGGCAGGTTAAGATGAGCCAGCAGAGCGGGAAGCAATCCAAGAAGAGGAGAGAGATGTCAAAGAAAGGAAGAGAGAGGAGGCCATAGATACGTTTTACATTCTCATTGAGAGCCCTGGTGATAACCATTATGCCACTGAAATCCTGTTCTCCTACATTAATTCTTTCTTAAACAAGCAAGGTTACAAACAAGTATTTTAAAACAAAATTATGCTGTGAGCTGTTTTTGGCAAGTGTGCCCAAGGACTATTTTGGAAGACTGAATCCTCATTCAGTTCACAGCTATCTCTCTAGTCCAGATCGCTCCAATCAGGCTCTCCAGCATATTATCTTCCAGACCAGCACTAATCACTGTGTGCTTTATAGAGCACTATTTCAGAGGAGAGTTAATAGATATACGTACACACTCAAAAAAAAAAACCCCGAGAAAGAACAATAATTCCATGAGTGTTGCTAAACATGTATGTTTATATTAGAATTCAATAGGACTGTGGATATACAAATGAGCATAGTGAATTTTCAAAAGGATATTATAGTACACAGCATTGTATGTGGTATTTAAGTTGGAAATAAAACTCAGACTTCTGGACTTCGAGTCTAGTGGATTCAAGAGGTCTGGTAGAAATACTACTTGACTTCAAGACAGAAAGTCCACTTTCAATTTCCAGCTCTTCTGTTTAGTGTCTATCTAGGGGTGGTTATTTACAATTTCTGTCTTTCTTTCTTCATCTATATAAAGATAATTATTTGACTTACCTCATAGTGTTAATCATAAAGATTAAATTAGTATATGTAAAATCACCTAGTCAATATCTGATGCTGAATAAATGTAAGTTCTCCATTTAATTCCAAACCACATTCTCTTAAAGAAAAGGCAGATTTTAAAATTTCATTGTGAATTGTATAACTAATATAATCACCATGAATTATCAACAAATTAACTGCAATCTAATTAATATTTACAGTATTACATATAGAAACTGACCTAATTTAAGGTCAGTTAACAAGTAAAAGGAATATGAGTTAACATTATACATAAGATATTTAATGTATATATAACACATGAATTGCCATTCACATTATGAACATTCTAGGGAATTCTAGTTCCTGCATGAGACAGACAGAATGACCCAAGCCTTTAGGGGAACACTGTAGTTTGTGAGTTTAGAATAGAAATGAAGCTTATTGATCCATTGGTAGGAGAATATCAGTGCAATTGTAGCAAAACAAAGCAAATATTGAAAGAAAAGGGGTACTTTGAAGCAGCATAGCAAAAGAAAAGGCACACTCCACACAATTCAAGTTCTTGCCTCATATATTGGACATTTGACCTTGGACATTTCGTAGGGTTTTACTTGCTTTAAATATGAAATGGAAATAACACTTCCCCTGCCTGGCGGCAGGGGCTGGATCAGATTCTCTTTTTCCCTTCTTGGTGCTGCATTTCCTTTGCACGGCTTTAACTTTTGATCTTGGCCTCATTGTCCAAAACTACTCAATGTCCAAAACTGCAAAACGGTATGGGCAACTACAAAATCCTACTACTAACTGTGTATGTAATTGCTGAGATTAAGTTTTGTGACTTAGAATTCTCTGATGTGAATCCTAAAGCTCTCAATTTGCTCATTATGCCCACATAGTCTCTTATCTTAGACCTTAAGAGGAAAGTTTTAATCCTTGCAGCTTTAAACCAAGGCATTTGAATCTTAGTCGGTTGCTTTGGTAGTGCAGCCAGCCTGAAGAGCACACCACTAGGTGGCGCTGAAGATCCGGCTGTAGAAGGAGAATTGTCCATAAACAGAAAAGCGTTTTTCCCTCTGGGTTCCTCTATTAGCCAGCGCCAGCCTAGTGTTTGCTTTATTGTCAGGGATCTTGGAGATGTCTTGGCTTGAGTCTGACGCAAATAGTCCCCCTGCAGTGCTCAGCAGTTTGTAAAGGGGGTCTGGGGCCTGGCAATAGTCTCTCAAAGGCCTTATGAAAAGATCATTAATGACCCTCACTTTCTGCCTCCTCCCTCCACCTTCCCTCAGTCCCCAAGTCTGGCGGCCTATCCTGTGCTTCTTCAACCATTCATTCAAGCATCTACTGCATGCTTTTTTTTTTTTTTTTTTTTTTTTTTTTTTTTTTTTTTTTTTTTTTTTTGAGACGGAGTTTCGCTGTCGTCACCCAGGCTGGAGTGCAATGGTGCGATCTCGGCTCACTGCAACCTTCGCCTCCCAGGTTCACTGCTTCAGCCTCCTGGATAGCTGGGATTACAGGCACGCGCCATCACGCCCAGCTAATTTTGGATTTTTAGTAGAGACAGGGTTTCACCATGTTGGCCAGGCTGGTCTCGAACTCTTGACCTCAGGTGATCTGCCTGCCTCGGCCTCCCAAAGTGCTAGGATTACAGGCGTGAGCCACCACACCCAGCCTATTGCATGCTCTTATGGATCAGGCATACAGCTAGTAGTGCTGTGGTTTGAGAGACACATAACTTTAGCATTTCTTTCTCGATCTGCCATTAGTACCGAACCCAGGTACGGTGCATTAGGGTGACTGCTCAGGCTCTGCACTTAGGGGATCAGGCTGCTGGCAGCTAAGCTGTATTTCAAGGATGGGATAGAGTGGATATATTGTGTTTCTTATATTTACAACCAGCCCAGAATCCCTCCCTCCTCCAAAACACAACATCTGCATGAGGGCCTATAGCCTCCGTCCATCCTCCCATATCCATCTTCCATTCTTCACCTTTTTTTTTCTCTTTCGCATAGCTCTTGATACTATTTTAATTGAACTCTAAGGCAATGTAGTCTTTGGTCATTTTTTTTTAAGTAAAAAGTCTGTTGGGAATACACTTATAAATTGGAATATTACTCAGCAATGAAAAGAAATGAGCTATCAACCTATCAATTAAAAGACATGGAGGTGACTGGGTGCTGTGGCTCATGCCTGTAATCCCAGCACTTTGGGAGGCTGAGACACGCAGATCACTTGAGGTCAGGAGTTCAAGACCAGCCTGGCCAACATGGTGAAATCCCCATTTCTACTAAAAATACAAAAATTAGCCAGGTGTGGTGGTGTGCACCTGTAATCCCAGCTACTTGGGAGGCTGAGGCAGAAGAAATGCTTGAACCCAGGAAGCGGAGGTTGCAGCCTGGGTGACAGAGTGAGACTCCATCTCAAAAAAAAAAAAAAAAAGAAAAAAAGACAAGACAAGACATGGAGGAAACTTAAATGCATATTGCCAAGTAAAGGAAGCCAATCTGAAAAGGCTACATACTGTATGATTCCAACTATATGATGTTCTGGGAAAGACAAGGCTATGGAGACAGTAAAATGATCAGAGGTTGCCAGAGGTTCAGGGGGAGAGAGGAGGAGATAAATAGGCAGAACACAGGGGATTTGTGGGGCAGTGAAACTATTCTGTGTAATACCATAGTGGTGGATACGTGTCATACATTTGCCAAAACCCACAGAATGTACAACACAAAGAATAAACCCTAATGTAGACTATGGTTGTTAATTAATAATGATATAGCAATATTGGCTCTTCAATTGTAACAAATTGTTGCAAGGAGTTAATAATAGGGGAAACGGGATGAAGTAGAGAATATATGGGGACTCTACTTTCTGCTTAATTTTTCTGTAAACTAGAAAAGTCGATTAATTTTTACAAATGCCTGAGAGGGGCTGGGCGCAGTGGCTCACACCTGTAATCCCAGCACTTTGGGAGGCCGAGGCGGGTGGATCACCTGAGGTCAGGAGTTCGAGGCCAGCCTGACCAACATGGTGAAACCCATCTCTACTAAAAATACAAAAAATTACCTGGGTGTGGTGGTAGGCACCTGTAATTCCAGCTACTTGGGAGGCTGAGGCAGGAGAATTGTTTGAACCTGGAGGCGGAGGGTTCAGTGAGCCGAGATGGTGCCACTGCACTCCAGCCTGGGTGACAGTGTGAGACTCCGTCTCAAAAAAAAAAAAAAAAAAAAAATGAAAAGCCTGAGAAGAAAAGCCTCATATTTACATGGTGCTTTACAGTTTTCAGATTACTCCATTTGATTCTCACAAGAACATCGTAAATGGAAAAGACTAGAATTGCCCTGAGTTCACAGATTGGTCATCGAGGTCAAAGAAATCAAGTGACTTCTGGAGGCCACACAGCTAATAAACAGCAAGGCAATGACTTGAACCCAGGTCTTCTGGTTCCAGGTCCAGAGCTCTTTTCTCTATATTCTAAACACTTGCAAGCAGGGGAAATGTTATCAGTCCCCTACACTCTCCAGTGACTATTCTGTGTCTTTCCTAGGGTTTTAGGTGAGCTCAATTTGATAGAGGTATACAACATAAAGTATAACTCAAGACTTCACACTAAGGCTGACATGATTTAATGCAAGGATCTCATGCAGAAAACAGCATCTTCAATGTACTTTCTTCTCCCAACACTACCACCCATTCTTTCCTCCAGTGTCTTTTGGGATTTTAGCTTCCTCTACACTTTTAGGATAATCCATTATAGCAGGAATGAAAGCAGAGAGACCAGCTAGAAGAGGCTAGGGACAATTTTATATAACCCTGTACTGAGAATGTGGGATTGTTCCCTTAAGAAAACCACAGTGGCTTGTGATGGGATCTGGGCCTTCTAGAAGGCATCATCCCAGGGTAAATCATTGTTAGCTCTGAGACTGCATAGAACAAGTTTTCAACAGTGACACCTCGTGATACTGAGAATCAATAGCAATAGAAGACTGGAGACCCTAATTTTCTCTTTTGGGGGGGTTATGGAGACCATCCTGACTCCTCTGGAGGCTGTATAAACCTCCAGAATTCCTCAACATGGTGGACGAGGGGAATGAAAGTTCCCAACACAGGCACCTGCTTTCAGCAAATTAGTCATTTGGCCCCTTGTGCAATTGAATAGAAAAATAAAAGAGATTGTGGTCATGTTTGCACTTTGAGGTTGGCGAGCAGTTCACAAAAACTACAGCAAGGAATGTGTAATCCGGAAAGACACATTTTGGAAAGGACTGAAGTAGATTGGGAATGTCCATATAATGACCAGGGCAAAGCGGATGCAATGGAAGTGTCGTCTGACTGTGATTCTTATGTGGTGGCTGTCTCTATTGCGGTATGTTCTGGCCAGCCTCAGGAAGGTGGATGAAACTTAAGTAAGTAGAGATGTGGCCTGAAAGGGGAAGACCAATCTAGAAAGTGAAGAGATTACTGGTGAAATGTCTCTGGAAAGTGGAACTTTTCCTATGAGAAATAGACTGTGGTTTAGAAAGTCATAGCAAAGGTAACTTTTTTTTTTTTTTTTTGAGATGGAGTCTTGTTCTGTTGCCCAGGCTGGAGTTCAATGGCATGATCTTGGCTCACTGCAACCTCTGCCTCCCAGGTTCACGTGATTCTCCTGCCTCAGGATCCCGAGTAGCTAGGATTACAGGCACCTGCCACAACGGGCCTGCCTAATTTTTGTATTTTTAGTAGAGACAGGGTTTCACCATGTTGGCCAGGCTGGTCTCAAACTCCTGACCTCAAGTGATCCACCTGCCTCAGTCTCCCAAAGTGCTAGGATTACAGGCGTGAGCCACCATGCCCAGCCTATCAAAGGTAACTTATTTTCACATTTGTTACCCACAGTTTTGAGGAACAGTAGGGAACAGGAAAGATACAGCCTCGTTTGCATGGAGTCTGTGACATTCTGAGGGGGAAGTTAGATGTTCTAATGGGGAGCACAGCCCAGATGAAAATGACAGCCCAGATGAGCTGCTATTTCTTTCACCTTGCCCAGCCCACCAGACTTCTACCATTGCTATTGCTGAGAGAGAGCCGTGCACCCTTGTTACACATTGAGTTGTGTTCCCCAAAAAGACCCATTGAAGTCCTAACCCCCACTGCCTTGTTTATTTGGAAATAGGGTCTCTGCAGCTACAATTATTTAAGATGAGGTCATATAAGGAGTAAGGTGAGCTCTTAATCTGATCCGACTGGTGTCTTTTTAAGAGGCAGGGAGAAAGACACATGGGCAGGAGAATACCACATGGAGACACAGACACACGAGGGGAGGATGCCTGCTGACCATGGAGGCAGAAGTGGGACTGACGCATCGATCAGCTGAGGGATGCCAAGCACTGCCAGCAAACACCAGAGGCTTGATGGGGGCGAGTATTCTCCTGTGCAGGTATCAGAGGGAGCCTGGCCTTGCAGATACCTTGATTCCTGACTTCTGGCCTCTAAAATGGTGAGAGAATGAACTTCTGTTGTTTTAAGCCCCCCAGGTTTGGTACTTTGTTATGATGGCCCTGGGAAACTAGCACAGCTCTCATCTCTTGCCCTAAGTGAACTTATCCATCTCCATAATTTAAAAACCATCTGTTTGCTGATGATTCCCAAGTAATACAGTAAAGCTACATTAGATGAAAAGTGATTCAACTCTAGTCACTTGACAAAAAAAAAAGCCAACCCTACTTTTTCCATATTTCCATTTCTACAAACCAGACTTTGACTTCGCTTAAACCGGAAAAGATACTGTTGGAGAGGAGGGGAGATGGGAGAAGTTGTGGCCACACATCAGGGAGAAAAACAAGTTAACTCCTATCTTTTGAGTTTCCAAAGACTCAGGTCCACAGCTCTAAGGGTTTTTGAAGGATGATTTTTAATTGTTTATTCTTTGGCCTTACATGCTGACTTTACAAATTAACACTGAAGTCAGATGAGATTCTACTACATCTCTAGCCGACACCTCATCTTTCACTCCAGCTTGTATGACTGGCTGCTGAACACATCTAGTTGGGTGTCTCACACACATCTCAAACCAGCATGTTCAAAACTAAGTTCTAGATTTGCCTCCCTAACCAGTTTATCCCCTATTTCCATCACCACCATGCTAGTCCAAGGGATTACACTTCCCTTCTGGAAGTTTTTGGAAATAGCCCCGTTGCAATTCCCGCCTTCACATTTGCCTCCAACAGTCTATTCTCCACTTAAGGAGTTGCATCATAGCTACCCTGCTTAAAATCTTTAAAAAAAACCTTCCCAATGCCCTTACAGTAGTCTCTTAAATCCTAAGCCACAAGCCCCTATGCAATCTAGCCCCTGCCTACTCTCCAGCTTTGCCATGGGTTACTCTCCCTGTCACTTACTGCATTCCAATCATCCTGGCTTCTTTCCTTCTTTTCAAACATGCCAAACTCTTTCCCACCTAATTCCCTGTCCCAGCAGAGGGAACAGCACATGTGAAGGCATTTCCATGGCTGGCTCCTTCTCTGCCTTGGATCTTAACTTGAAACTCATCCCCTTGGAGAGATCTTTCCTAACTCCTTAGTCTACAGTAGGGGCTCCTGCACTTGTCTCTCATGGCACTCTGTTCTTTCCTTTAAGTACTTACTATAATTTGCAATATATATTTATGTGTTAGTATCAGCTGCTCCCCCTTCCATGCCCTATGCCCCATCCTGCCCAGACTATAAGGTCTTTGGGGACATGTCTGTCTTGTTCATCAGTATATATTTGGTGTTGGGCACATATTAAGTGCTAGAGAAAGTTGAAGGAATGAATGAATTATACAGTTAAAATTTCACAATTGTGGTAAGTCCTGGAAAGGACAAATAAGGGTTGTTTGCTCTGAGAACAAACTTTAACACAACTTGACCAAGGCTGGGATTATTGGAGGGCTGGTCTGGGGAAGTGATGCTTAAGTTGAGACCCAATGGGCTGGTATCACACAGAAAGCCTTCACAACTCAGGGGAGCAGTGTGTGCAAAGGCCCTGAGGTGGAAAGGAGCACAGTATGTTCTAGGATCTGAAAGGGAGAACTCAAAGCAAGAAGGAGAAAGATTCTAGAAGACGCTGGTGAGGCAGGCTGGAGGCTGACCCGGAAAGACCTTCAGGAGATGTGGAAGAGTTTGGAGTAATGAGAAGCCATTTTAAGTACAGGAATGATTCCATCGAATTTGTGTAAGATCAGTCTGGCCGCTGGGTGGAGGCTTTCTAAGATGGGGTTGAAGAGGGATGGGGAGGAGTAAGGAAGGCTGTAGAATGACCAGGAGTCCACAGGAGGCAATGTGAGAAATTGTGGCTTGAACTAGGCTGAGGGAAGCAGAGGTGAACAGACAATTTCCAAAGATACTTAGAAAGATATGCAAAGAAGACTAGGTCCTTGCCCTCAAGACTTACTTTTTCTGAGCATGGAAAGACACACAGAAAGAGGAATTGTAGGCTGGGCATGGTGGCTCACACCTGTAATCCCAGCACTTTGGGAGGCCGAGGCAAGCAGATCACGAGGTCAGGAGTTTGAGACCAGTTTGGCCAATATGGTGAAACCCCGTCTCTACTAAAAATACAAAAAAAAATTAGCCAGGTGTGGTGGTGCATACCTGTAGTCCCAGCTACTTGGGAGGGTGAGGCAGGAGAATCGCTTGAATCTGGGAGGTGGAGGTTGCAGTGAGCCAAGATTGCCTCACTGCACTCCAGCCCGGGTGATAGAGCAAGACTCCACCTCAAGAAAAAAAAAAAAAAAAAAGAGGAACGGTAAAGGGAAGAAACACAGAGGAAAAGAGGAAGAGGAAAGGATTAGGACCTGGTATAATAAATCCTGAAAGTATTAAAAAGGGAATTCTGGGAGGAGATAGTCTAATTGTGTCCTACCAAATGCTGGTGCTCGGATTCTCTTACAAAACCCCCCATGTAACACAGGAGCCCAACACATATTGGTTTACCACTGGAAATAATCATATTTTGCATTAATAGTTTTGGCCTTCAGCCCATCTTCATGCAGTTTCAGATCTGATTTTTTTTTTTTTTTTTTTTTTTTTTTTTTTGCAACTCAACAGATTGCATTGTTGGTTGCCTTTTAATTGTTGAATTGCTGTTCTTTATCTGCAGTCTCTGACTAGTAACCTTATTATAGCAATTACCCAAGACTTAAAACTAAACAGTGAACAATAAAAATCTACAGTAATGAAAATGCTTAAATTAAATAAAAATCTCCTAACATGTAGCTGAGCATACTGAAATGGATTGTATGAGTCACCAACTGTATGAATGATTTATTTTAGAAGTTATATCAGCTGAAGAAAATCATATATCAATCTCATCATTCAATACCCAGGCCAGCCCAAATACACTCATCACAGAGCCTCTGAATGAAATGGTCTCATGCAGAGATTATTAATCTATAAATAATATCCTAATGGTCTGTTAGTGTTTATGACTACTGTTTTAAAAATATTCATTAGTGGCTTTAAGAGCTGTTTCATATTTGTTTCCACTGTCCCATATATGTTTGCAACTCTGTGTGTGTGTGAGTGTGTGTGTGTGTGTGTGTGTATATATGTGTGGGTTTATGTTGTAGCCCACTAAAACAGCCATACTGTGATAGCCAGACGAAGAATCTGCTCCTGTTTGCAATACTATTTTAAAGACAAGTAAGAAAAGAAAAAAATCTCATAAAATATTAAAGAAAATCCTAATTTTGTTACTTGAGAATGCAGAATGGCTTTATGAATAAATAGAGAGCTATGTTCTAAAGTCTATTCCTCTTTTATCACAACAGCAAACAGGTATAGCATGGTACTAAGAAAAAGCTGTTTTTCCTTCTATAGTCAATACTTCTGACGCCAAATGTGTGGGTTTCCCATACCAAGCAATTCTGATACTGCCTACCTGGAGTTAGTGCAGATCCTCCACGTTAAGGGGTCAGCCCACGAGACTGCCCTCCACTCAGATGCCAACCACAAGTGGTGGGTCCCCAGGTTACCCACACTTCTGTCTGACTTGGCTACAAATCAGGGGTTCCCGCAACTCCCCTCAGGTTTGACAATTTGCTACAACAGCTCACAGAACTCAGGGAAACACTGATGTTTGCTGGTTTACCATATAGTAAAGCAGACAGAGGAGCAGCAAGATGAAGAGGTGCATAGGGTGAGGTGGGGAAGGGTCCTGAATGCAGGGGCTGCTGTTTGGGTACACCGCCCTCCCAGCATGTGGATGTATTCACCAACCCAGAAGCTCTCCAAACCCCATATGTCAGGGATTTTTATGGAGATTTCATGACATAAGCATAATCAATTAACTCAATCTCCAGGCCCTCTTCCCTTCCTGGAGGATAGGGGGTAGGGCTGAAAGTTCCAAGTGTCTAACCATGGCAGTGTCATATATTTCTGATGAGCAGCCCCCCCATCCAGGGACCCACCAAGAGTCATCTGATTTGACAAAAGACACTCCTATCACCTAGAACATTTCAAGGAATTTAGGAGCTCTGTGTCAGGAACTGGGGTCAAAGACCAAATATTAGAATAAAAGATGCTCCCTACTAGAATAAAAGATATCAAAGAAGATCAGTTAATTAAACATTTTACCAAGAGGAAATTATAAAAGTTTCAGGAGCTCTGTGGCAGCAACTGGGGATGAAGGCCAAATATATCTTTTATTATATCCCAATATCACACATGGCGAGAGATTTGATCAGCACTTCACTTAAGAGGAAACCCAAATGTCCAATAATCATATGAAAAGTTACCCCACTGCCTTTGTAATTAGAGGAACACATTGAAATAGAAATGAGATATCACAACAGAATGGCTGTAATTAAAAAGACTGATGACACCAAGCATTGATGAGGGTGTGGAGCAATGGGAACACTCGTACATTCCTGGTGGGAGTATAATTGATACAACCACAATCGAAAACTGCTTGACAATCTCTATAAGAGATGAACATGTACATACTCAGTTATTCTACTTATAAGAATACAGTTATATTAATTTTCTATCACTGCCATAACAGATGACCACAAACTTAGTGACTTAAAAGAATACCAGTATATTATCCTACAGTTCTGCAGCTCAGAAGTGGGAAATGGATCTCCTGACTTAAAATCAAGGTGTCAGCTAATGTGTGTTCCATCTGGAAACTCTATGAAAGAATCCATTTCCTTAATCATTTCAGCTCCTAGAGGCCCAGCCACAGTCCTTGTCTGATGGTCCCAAAGCTAGCAAAGGGGAGTTCTCACATTACGCCACTGTGACCTCCTCTTCTGTCTCCCTCTTCCACATTTAAGGATCCTTGTGCTACCCTGGGCCTGCCTGGATAATCCAGAATAATCTTCCTACTTTAAGGTCAGCTATTAACAAATTTACTTCCATCTTCTACCTTCATTCCCTCTGCCATGAAATGTAGCATATTCACAGGTTCTAGGGATTAGGAGACAGGCATCTTTGAGGGATCATTACTTTGCCTCCCATGGTAGCCAACAGATATGCACACACATGTGCTTCCAAAGACACCTCTGAGGTTGCTTAGCGCAGTATAATCTTTGTTGGCCAAAAGGTAGAAAAAGCCCAAATGTACATCAGGAGTAGAGTAGATTTTTATATATTGTATATTGTGGTATGTTCATAAAACATAATTCTTTACAGCAGTGAAATAAATGAGTCACAGCTTCAAGCTCCAGCTTGAATGGATCTCACAAACATAATGTTAAGCAAGAAGCCAGACACAAAAAGAATACATATGGTAGTACTCCGCTTATATAAAGTTAAAAAACATGCAAGCCCGCTGCTGGAAGTCAAGGTAGCGGCTTCATGTGGGGAGGAAGAAGAAAGGTGATTAGGAAGAGAACGAGGGCTTTGGGATGCTTCTGGGTCATGTTCTGCTTCTTGACATGGATGGTTACATGAATGTGTTCACTTCCTGATCATTCGTTGAGCCGTACAAGCAAATGTGCCTACTTTTTGTATCTTTGTAATGCTCCAATAAGATTTTTTAAAAATAACATGGTTGTGGCACTGTTTCTTATCAAATGTTTCTTTCCTATTGGTCTCATCCCTATAAGATAAGCCCTTGAGGATGAGTGTCATGTCTTACTTATCTATGGATCTCCAGAGCAGATGCTCAGTAAATGTCAAAAAGATTCAGTCCTTACAACTTGCAAGATAACCAGGGCTGCTGCATACGGTTTCTCAGGATGTGCACTGCGCCACTCTAGAGCTTGTTACCCACACTGTCTCTGGCTCCACATAAGTAAAGCAATTATTATCATCTTGTCCAGTGTCATGGATGAGGAAACTCAGGCTGAGAGCCTAAGAGACACATTACAAAGTGAGGGAGTAGATCACAAAATTGCCCTGACTCTGACACTAATTGCAAGTCCAGGGGTTTCCCAAACCACTTTCAGATTTGATAGTTGCTAGAAGGACTCACAGCTTCCCTGAAAGCTGTTCTACTCAGAGTTATGGTTTATTACAGTGAAAGAAAACAGAATAAAAACAGCTAAGGAAAGAAATGCATGGGGTAGAATCCAGGAAAGTTCCAAACACACAGAGCTTCCAGTTGTGTTCTCCCAGAGAGATATACCCAGCATTACTTTCTCAGTAATGGTGTGTGACAATACACATGGAGCACTGCCAACCAGGGAAGTTCCCCAAGCCTTGGTGTCCAGAGTCCGTGTTGGGTTCCATCACATAGACATGGTCACTGCCCATGTGGCTGGCCTAAGTCCCCAGCCCCTTTAGAAGTTAAGCTGATACCACATGACTCAAAGACCCCACCATACATCACAATGTTAGACCTTCTGGTGTGGCCCAAAGCCCCCAGGAAAACTTTTATCAGGTGGGACATTCCAAGAGCTTAGAAATTGCCTCTCAAGAGTGAAGCGCAAAGTCCAGTCCTCTCTTTAGGCGACATTAAATTATTTACTACACACATATCTAAGGTCACACCTGAAATGGAAGGAGACACACCTGGAAATGGAAGTTTCTGGAAAGGTGGCTTAATGTATGGGCTCTAGAATAAGAAAAACTTAGACCCTTATCTTGACTCTGCTTCTTATCAGCTATTTGAACGTGGCCAAGGCTCTGTTTTTATTGGTAAAACAGAGATAATAAGACAGAGGTCATAGGGTTATTGGGAGCATTAAATAAAATAACTCAGGTAAAGCACTGAGATGAGTACCTTCAATAAATGGTGGCTATTTTTAAAAATACCCGTTGATTGATAGATCTTTTCTTGCTGAGCACCCATGCATTTATTGACCTGACCATGTTTGTGGTATACCACCTGATGTCGCCACATGGTCTTAGACTCCTCTGATGGCGGGGCATAGTCCTCCTTAGGGCATGAGTGCTAAGAGATGGTTTCTTTATGGGAAAATAAGTAAAACAGGAATCTCTCAGCCAGGCAGTAATAACTTCTGGGAACTTGAGAAGGGCAGAACAAGCAGGTTTCAAAGGGTGAAAACGTAGCACAGCTTACCCTCTTGAAAACTGGCACCCACGGTGGGTCAGGATTCATAGACATCTGAAGGCCCATATCATTTCATTGCCTCCCCAGCAGCAGGAATTCACGTTCTCATGCTCTGCTGTTGATAGGGTTCAGTGACACTGTTCCCACCTGCTGTACCTTCAGATCAAATTGAACATAGAGAGAGAAAGTAATTGGTTGGACTTTATCATTTTCACCTCTGTTGGGCTTAACTCTCATACCAAGACACATCTGGCCAGCTTGCGGGTTGGATGTGCCTGAGTCAGGAGCCTGCTCCTAGTCCAAGCAGCTGTGGCTCAGGAAACAGCATCCATGTGGTAGCAGGAAGGAAATTTGGGATTAAGGAAATGTGGTAGGCAGCCTCTGCGATGGCCCCAGTGGGCCCCACCTCCTAGTATTCACACCCTTATATAATCCCTTCCCTTGAATGTGGACTGGGCTTTTTGACTTGCTTCAGTGACGGTATGTCACTTCCAAGATAAGGTTATAAAATGACTCTGGCTTACATCTTGATTTCTTTCTCTTGCTCTCTCTTTCTCTCTCTCTTTTTTTTTTTTTCAGATGGAGTCTCACTCTCTCACCCAGCCTGAATGGAGTGCAGTGGCATGATCTCAGCTCACTGCAACCTCCACCTCCTGGGTTCAAGTGATTCTTGTGCCTCAGCCTCCCAAGTAATTGGGACTACAGGCCTATACAACCACACCCAGCTGATTTTTTTTTTTTTTTTTTTTTTGTATTTTTAGTAGAGATAGGGTTTTGCCATGTTGGCCAGGCTGGTCTCAAACTCCTGGCCTCAAGTGATCTGCCTGCCTCGGCCTCCCAAAGTGCGGGATTACAGGCATGAGCCACCACACCCGGCCTCTTGCTCTCTTTCTGATTTCTCTTTCTGGGGATTCCAGCTGTCATGTCATGGAGGCAGCCCACATGAATGAGTTTGGAAGCAGATCTTTGGAGGCCTGCTAACAGCCACATGAGTGGGCTGTGAAGCAGCTCTTCTACCTTTGAGCTTTCAGATAAGACTGCAGCCCTGGCCAGAGACCTTGAGCCAGAAGCACCAGCTAAACCAACTCAGATTCCTAACTCATAGGAACCTTGAGGTAATTGATACTTTCTGTTTTAAATGGCTAGGTTTGGGGTAGTCTGTGAGTCAGTCATAGATCAATACTACAGGAATCACCTAGTACTGATGCCCTTGGCAGGGATTTGTGAGAGAGGTTTGGCCTGTGCAGTTCACACATCCATGTGAAAGCGTTAAGGGTAGCTCAGATTTACAAACAGTGACTCCCTGAATGAAGGCATTGTCCTGCCATGGAGAACAGGGACGGGCTTGGTGTGCAATCCACATTTGTTGGTTGAAGAGCAGTGCCTTCACTGTAGAAGAAGACAGGTAACAGTGACAGCATGTCAGAACAGTCACATCTAGACATCCGTCTCACAAACGCTAGGTAGCAGAAATAAAGCTCTTGTTGGCTGAGATCCCTACACACTCCGTATATGCAAATCAGGACATGGATTCCTTGCCAGAGAGACTTCAGATGGACCCTTCTTTCCCTTTGAGTACAGAAAACAGTGGTTTCTTGATCCTTTTCAATCCATAGGATGGTTTCTCAAGTCTTTCTTGGAGCAGTTATTCTGAGAAATGGTTCCCAAGGGATGGAAACAAGTGAGTTCTGAGAAGTCACGTCTCCTTTTGTTTGTTAGGGGGCTGTCTAGACATGACTCTTCTGACACCCAGCTCCAAGCCTGGTCCACTCAGTCAGGTAATAGAGACCTGACACTGCCAGGTCCACTCAGCTGTCCCTCCTACAACCCAGTTTGGAGGAACATGCATTCTTCCTAATATTTTCACACCAGGACAATTTTGTTAAAAGATTTTGTGGTTATGTGGTTGTATAATCGAATCTAGCCACTTGCTTTCACGAGGATGTCTCCAACTCTACAATATGTATCATAGCACCCCAGCTACCTAGCATTTTGAAGGCAGAGATTTGGTCTCATGCATCCTCTGTCACATTGCACACAAAGGCAGGTGATCACATGTGCTCCTTGGACTCATGCAAGGAGCCACGCAGATTCACATGTGCAGAAATGTTTGTTGCCGCCGTTCACTCAGATGTGCCAAGAAAATGTAGCTTTTTAATTTCTCATAACTGATCTGCTCTTCATCAGCAGCTCCCATCCCACTGGGTAACTACTAAGAGAAAGAAAAGTAATACTTGCTGAGTGTATGGTTTCATAGCTTATTTGGCCACAGATAGTCTTGCTTCTAGATCACTCAGACTCTTTCTGGTTTCAAGTTCAGTTGTTCAGATTTCCTCCACAGCTGGTTCATTTCCAGGATGGTGCATGGGAAGGTAGAGAGTCTTCAGGAGTTGGTAGTGGCAGAGATGGGGGACCCGGAACCTTTGTTCAATCATCTCACTCACAATATGGATTGAACCCCTACTATGTACCAGGTGCATTCTGGGTGCCGAATATACAGCAGTGAACAAAACAAAGTCCTCACCCTCTGGCTTCATGGATCTTATGTTCTTCTGGATGTGCAATGGATAATAAATAGACTAATAATTTGCCATATGTCGGGGAGATGAGCAATATAAGGCGTGGAGAGGCAGGCTGAGGGAAACAGGGCGTGCCGGGTGAGACCACCGTTTTCTAGGTAGTGTGGTCAGGGAAGTCCCCATTAATATGAAGCCATCTGAAGCTAAGTCCCAAAGAAAGTGAAGGTCTGAATATGGGTAAGGGCCTTCCAGGCATGGAGACTATCAAGTACAAAAGCCCTCGGGCAAGAGCATGTGTGATGTTAGAGGAAGAGCAAGGAGGGCCAGCTGGCTGGACTGGAGCAGGTGAACAGGAGAGGCAGTGGACAGACAGACTGTGGTGGGCCTGGCGGACCATGGGAAGGAGTTTTGCTTTTACTCTAAATGAGATGAGAAGACATTGGAGGATTCCACACCAAGTAAATTTTAGGGGTCTCACTATAGCTGCTGTGTGGAGAATAGACTGTAGAGAGCAAGAGTGGGAGAAGAAAGGGGAGTTAGGAGGCAACTGCAAAATTCTCAGGTAGATGACAAGGGCACAGGCCAGGGTAGCAGCACCGGGGGTGGAGTAGGCAAGGTTTACTAATGGCAGGGGAGAAAAAGGGATCACACATGCTTCATGGGATTTCACTGAGCAACTAGAAGACTGATGTTTCCATAAAAAAAAAGGGAAAGACTGAGAGGGAGCAGTTTTCTAGGGAGGGAAGAGGTCAAGGAGTTCAGTTTTGGATTTTTTTTTTTTTTTTTGAGACGGAGTCTCACTTTGTCGCCCAGGTTGGAGTGCAGTGGCGCCATCTCGGCTCACTGCAACCTGAACCTCCCAGGTTCAAGCAATTCTCCTGCCTCAGCCTCCCGAGTAGCTGGGACTACAGGCATGTGCCAGCATGCCCAACTAATTTTTGTATTTTTAATAGAGATGGGTTTTCACCATTTTAGCCAGGCTGGTCTCAAACTCCTGACCTCAGGGAATCCATTAGCCTCAGCCTCCCAAAGTGCTGGAATTACAGGCGTGAGCTACCACACCCAGCTCAGTTTTGGATACTTTTATTTACGTATGTATGTATTTATTTATTTATTTATTTTATTTATTTTTGAGATGGAGTCTCACTCTGTCACCCAGGCTGGAGTGCAGTGGCATGATCTCGGCTCACTACAACCTCTGCTTCCCAGGTTCAAGCAATTCTCCTGCCTCAGCCTCCTGAGTAGCTGAGACTACAGGTGCACACAACCACGCCTGGCTAATTTTTACATTTTTAGTAGAGAGGGGGTTTCACCATGTTGGTCAGGCTGGTCTTGAACTCCTGGCCTCAGGTGATCCACCCGCCTTGGCTTCCCAAAGTGCTTGGATTACAGGCATGAGCCACCATGCCCAGCCGATACTTTTATTTTGTAAGTGGAAATGGTGGGGAAGGAACTGCCTTTAACAATCTAGTGTTCAAGGAAGATCTAGGCCTAGAGACATGCACGTGTTTAAAGCTGTGACATTGGATTATATCACTAAGAGAGGGAGTTAGGAAGTCCAGGGTTCATATACAAAGAAGAATAAAGGATATAAAGGAATAAAGGATCATCTGCAAAAAGGACTGAGAAGTGTGGCAGGGCCCAGCCATTGGCCCTGGTCTCAAAGTCTCTGTCCTTAACAGTCCCTTTTTCCTGACCACGAACCTCTGTGGGCCCCCAGCCCTCTCAGCATCTTCTCTGGGTCTGGTAAGATCATCTGAGTCCTCTGCTCTTCCTGAGCCAGCAGTGGAGAGCTGGGAGTGCTGCCCCAGGCTCCCTCATCCAGCCACTTCCTCAGCGGATGCCTTATGACTGCTTCTTGTCACCCTGAAGAAGTGGGACTTTAGTTGGGAGCTGGGAGCTTCCTCTAAGGTATGCCCAGGTACGTGTGACACGAGCCCACCTTTCACTTTAACATTTGCAGGTTCCCCACTTCTCTCCCCTGCTCTTCACCTACGGGCATGCATGCATGCTCGCACATGAGCATGCATACACACACACGCACATGTACCTGAGTGTCTGTCCCTAGGAATGAGAACCTATGTGATCTCTTGTCCCTGCTGTGTCTCTTCGTATCCCTCATATGCTTCTTTCTAGCACCCAATGAGATGAGTCTTCTCTCTGACATGGACCGTCCTTTCCTAAAATTTATCCATCTAGCCAGCCAGGCAGGGCTCTCGATGCATTAAAGGAAGAGTTCTAGAATTTAGAAATCCCTGCTGTTTTTCCACAAAGCCTAGCTTTCAAGAGAAAGCTCCTGATTAAGTGGTCAAGTAAGTGAGATTTGACACCACAAGGTGCTCGGTTGCCTCTTAGTTATCCATGGCTCTCACCTTCTCCTTCTCTGGGGCAGTAGACTCCTTGATTCAGACTTAGAGGGGAAAAGCTGAAAAGAATATGGGTTAAGGGAGAAATGGGCTAGTTGCGGTGGCTCATGCCTGTAATCGCAGCACTTTGAGAGGCCAAGGCAGGTGGAGTGCTTGAGGCCAGGAGTTCAAGACCAGCCTGGGCAAGATTGCAAAACCCCCCTCTACTAAAAATACAAAAAATTAGCTGGGCGTGGTGGTGCACACCTGTAATCCCAACTACTCAGGAGGCTGAGGCATGAGAATTGTTTGAACTAGGGAGGCGGAGGTTGCAGTGAGCCAAGATCATGCCACTGCACTCCAGCCTGGGCAACAGAGTGAGACTCTGTCTCAAAAAAAAAAAAAAAAAAAGGTTGGGGGGGGTGCAGAAATGAAACTGTATCATTTTAATATTTTAATAATCAAAATATGATTCTCTTCCCAACTCAACCGTCTGTACCCAGATAACAATCCCCTTTTCCCTTTCACTTTCTACATATCTAAAAGAGAAGGTAAAGAGGGAAATTCTGAATGGAAAACTTTAGAGGCCACTGGCTGGGTAAGTAGGGCAGAGACCAAGTGAGGGCTGAGAAGAAAGGGAGCAGAGAGTGGACAGCAGGAGAGGGTAGATGAAGTCATTGGACAGAGAATCTGAGCTGCAAATGGAAGGCAAGGAGGAGAATCTCAGAAGCTTCCTCCTTGGTCTTCACCAGGTTGGGAATGGGTTGCCGAAGGGGAGAGGGCATATTTTTAGCATGCAAGTTCCCCAACCCTGCAGTCAAGTTCAGGGAGAGGGCTGGAGAGCTCAGTTCCATGGCTTGCAGAGGGAAGCTGCAGGGAGTTGCTACTGAGCCCAACTGAGATTTAGCACATTGATTTTTGCCTTTATTTTTTTCTAGGTGCTGCGGTTTGTGATTGAGTGGGGAGGTTGGGGAGGACAGCCAAGGCTTTTAAAGGTGCCAATACTCTAGCAAGAAATAAGGAAGAGTGGCTGCTAAAAGAGCTGAGATTTTCCATTCTACCCTCCTGTGCCTCATTTTTCTTTTCCTCTTTCCACTTTCTTGGCTGAGCCTGCTTGTCAGTGAGATGATCAACAGCTGTGGGAAGCACAGAGTAGTAGGAAGAGGGCTCCGAGCAGGAGTCGGGACATTTGTCCTGAGTGGGGCTGATGGCATAAACCTGACCTTGGCCGCCCAGCTCCTTGGCCCAGGTCCACCTTCCTTCATTCACTGTTTCACTCTCGTATCCACCGAATACCTATGCAGCGTCTACTATGGAGTGTCTACTGAAGTCAAGCACTAGGCATCCCATTGTGACAAAATAGACATGGTCCTGACCTCAAGGGGCTTACACTCTGGGAAGATAGGTAACATTGAATAAATGGCAAGAAACCAATATGTGATTACAGATCATTGATAAGTGCTGCAAAGGAAAACAAGAGGACTCTATGAAGGAGAATTACCAGGTAGAGGCTGCCTACTTTAGATAGTGGTCAGGGATGGTTTCTCTGAGAAGAGACATTTAAGCTAGAACCTGAAGGATGACATAAAGCAGAGGTGAGACCCGAATCACTACCCACAGGGATGGTGTGCCAAGGAAAACAAGAGACAATGAGGAAATGAGCTGGGACTCCTCATATCCAATAGAACAGATTTAGAGCGATGTTCCATATTTTTGGTTATGCTTATTCATTAACATCCACCTGCAAGGTTGCATCTATCAAAGGAAATACAGTATCTGAATATACAATGCCCTTGACATGTGCACATTAAGCTACATAGTGGTACATGTCTTCTAGTTTTTAGTAGAACTTTCTAAATTAAAAGAATTTATGAATGATGTTATAAATGAGGAAGGCCAGGCGTGGTGACTCATGCCTATAATCCCAGCACTTTAGGGGGCCGAGGCTGGTGGATCACCTGAGGTCAGGAGTTTGAGACCAGCCTGGCCAACATGGTGAAACCCCATCTCTACTAAAAATACAAAAAATAAGCCGGGCGTGGTGGTGTGTGCCTGTAGTCCAAGCTACTCGGGAGGCTGAGACACGAGAATTGCTTGAACCCGGGAGGCAGAGGTTGCAGTAAGCTGAGATCATGCCACTGCACTCTAACCTGGGCCACAGAGTAAGACTCTGTCTCCAAAAAATAAAAATAAAAAAATACTTTAAATAAAAAGTCAAGAAGCCAAGATGCTTGTGGAATTAACTGTCTTCCTCATTTTCATTGGGGAAAGCCTCACATTTTTCATAAAAAATAGGAAACTGAGTGTGTTCCAAGATCTTCCTTATACAATGGTGACATTCTCATGTTGTAGCATTTGAGCTATCACCACCAAAGGTCATTAAATCCATGCTGTATATGTTTGTGACTATGGCCTCAAATATTCTTCTTTCCTTTTTTTTTCTTCCCAGTCTCTACCTCTATGTCCATCATTCAATAAATATTTAGTCAATCCTAATGTGTGCCAGGCAGCATTCTTGCTGGGAACACAGCATTAAACAAAACAGAACAAAACAGACTAAGTTCCTCTTCTCATGAAGCAGGGGCACAGATCATGGAAACCACTATCAGAACTTGGGATTTCATTTATGGTAAGATGGCAATCATTTGGAGAGTTTGAATAATGTAATCTGATTTCCATCTTAAAATAAAAATGTTGTGACTGCAAATAGATAGTAGGGGAGCAAGGCTGGAAGCAGGGAGGGCAATTAGGAGACCTTTGTACTTCCATAGGGAAGAGAAGTTTGTAGCTTGGAACAAGGTGGCACAGCCTGATGGTAGAGGTAGCTGATTTCTGGACATATTTTGATGTAGGGCATACAGAATTTGCTAATGGACTTAATGTGGAGCATGAGAGAAAGAGATGACTTAAGACAAGCTTTATGGTTTCTGGTCCAAGAAATTGGAAAAATAGAATAAATGTTTATTAAGATGGGAGGGGCTTTGAGAGGAAGTTTTGGATTTGCTAGATTTGGAAGGCCTGTATTAAATTAAATAAGCAGGAGGCCATTTGCCTGAGGCTGTTTCTCTACTTTGACTCACTATGTAGCAAACTGCAAGCTAACTCAGCCAACTGAGTTAGCCAACTGATCAGACCATGTCCAAATAATGCAAACACCTAGCTGTAACCAATCAAGCTATTTCTGTACTCCACTTCCATTTTCTGTCTATAAGTACTCGCTGCCCACTTTGCAGGGCAGTCTCCAAACCTCTTCTAGTTCTGAGTGCTGCCCAACTCATGAATCATTCTTTGCTCAAATAAACTCTGTTAAATTTAATTTGTCAAAAGTTTTTCTGTTAACACTGATTAGGCAACCACATGGAGATGTTGACAAGATGGCAAACCATATGTGTGCCTGGAACTTAACTAACACCTACCTCACTCATAATTTTATCCAGTTCCTTCTTGGCCAGCCCAAAGTCTTTTCTATCTTGTCATGACACTTCATGATGCCTTTGAATCTGGGAACGTCTATCCTCACTCCACACTTCTGAGTAGGTACAATTTCTTCTGAGTTCTCATGCTCCTCTTTCCTCCTAAATCAAAAGATGAACAGGTAGTTAGATGGTACCCTATGTTTCAAAAATGACCATTTAAATGCCCTTCCCACCTTACTTGCAATATCAACTTTTTTCCAGTATTCTAAGCTAAAGCAAAAAGTCTTGCTTAAGTTGAATTGCAGTTAAATAAACTAACTCTCAGGGCTTTGTTCTATTTCATGCTTACCAAGCAAGCCTCTGACAACAAGGTTTTTTATATACCTTGGTATGGGAAATGGGTATTTGGAACAGTGGAAACAAGTTATTTTTCCCCTGTAAAGATATACTAATGCTAACTTATAAACAGTCTCTAAAGCACAGTGTCTCAACACAATAACATTTTATTTCTTGTCCACATGATAGTCCAATGTGAGTCAGGCATCTCTCCTGGTGGCTGTCTTCCATGTGGTGACTTATGTATCCAGGATCCTTCTACTGTGTTTCTCCTCCATTGCGAAGTCCTTCACTTCCAGCACCTGAGACATTTTTTGGGTATATCTACAAGTGGCATATATCACTTCTGCCCACATTCACCTGGGTAGAACTCAATCACATTGTTTCACCTAACTGCAAGTGAGGCTGTGGAATATAGTCTCCCTATGTGCCCAAGCAGAAGAAACAGGATTGGTGAGCATCTAGCCCATCTCTACCACTAACAGTTTATCCCCCCTAATAAATCAATACACTGATGATCTAGTTTTGTCTTTGTTCTCTTGCGAATGTTATAGTGTGACTCTACAATGTGTGATTGCTCCTGGTGAATCAAAAGGATAAAGCTGCTGATTCTGCAATTTGATAACCCAACCATGCTGACCTCAAAGTGTAGTCAATCCATGAAGTTCCTCCCACCACAGCTCATCCTGAACACTGCCCACCTGAGTCATCAAGAAAGGTTTAAGTACATTATCTGTGCTCTGTTTAATATGTCCGTGAAGTGTGTCCTAAATTTAGTTATTTCTAGGACCTCTTTCTAGTTTGCAAGTAAGCCAGGTTCTACTGCTGTCAAGTGTTACTCATGGCTAACTGAGGAAAAGGGGTTCAAAAACATTGAGAAGACGAAAAGGAGGGAGAAGGCTGGGTTAATGGGGACGGAGGTAAGGGGTGAGACCCCGGCTAAACAGTGAAGATAAAAACAGACATGTAAATGAGAGAACCGGAAGAGAAGGTAATGGTGAAAGTCAATACGGGAAGGAAAGGGGTTGTAGGGGACAAACACTGAGAGGGCAAGAACTTGGAGTAGGTGAAACTAAGGTGAGCGAGGAGGCTGAAGAGAGGTCAGCTGCAGCGGGAAAGAGGGAAGGGCCCTTTAAGAGACACATCAAGCCGCAGGTGTGGGCCACGAGGCTGGCGCAGGGCTGTCGCTTCACGCGCCGCAGACTCATCCAGAAGCGCCTTGGGAGCTGCGGAGCCCTAGAGCCTCCATCCGGGCAGCAAAGCAGCTCACGTGTCCCACCCGGGAAGGGCAGGAGTGGGCGAGGAATGGTGGAGGGAAAGGAGGGAAAGCGGAGAAACAGGAGGGAGGGGGAAAGCTGCCGCTGCAGAAAAGAAACGAGTAAGCCCCTTTGTGCTTGGCCTGCGAGGTGTTTCCTTCCCGAGCAGACTTGAAGCTGTCACCTCTCAGTCTGGGTTTGGAATAAATACACTCGCCCACCGAGAGATGAGGCGGCGCCTGGCCGCACCTGGGAGGTACCTGGTCGCACCTGGAAGTGCCTGGTCTCCCCTGGCAGGTACCTGGCCGCTCCTTTCCTGGAGCCATGGGCACGGGCCCCTCCCGGACTTTCTACTGCTCTGCAGGAGGATCCGATGACTGTGACCGACTGGGACACCGACCCAGGAATGCCTGGCGGGGTGGAGGGTCTGGAGACTGCAATTGAGGTACTCAAGAGAGGGCTGCCGGCGTGAGGAGCAGCAATGTCCACGGAATCGGCCATAAAGGATCAAAGGGGCCAGGCAGGCCCCTCTTTCTGGTTTTCTCCTCCGAACATTGGTCTCTGCGGTTTTCTTGGCCACATTTTCCAGCCGGCTGGCTAGTAGCAGACAGATCATGAGCAGAACAGGTCGCACCACTGGAGAGAACTCACGTGCTGGCTAGGGAGGGCACCTGAGGCCCGGTGGGGATCGGGGAGGGGGGTCCTGGAGGTTATTCCCTCCTTAGGGAAGTTTCCCAAAGCTGGGGAAGCTGTGGCCTTGTACCTCACTGAATGGTGTCATATTCCACTCCATCACTGCAGCCTGGATTCTCCTCTCCTCTCGTCCCCCCTCCCCTTCTCTCAGCTTCTCTCTTCTCTCTTTCTCTCTTGTTCTTCTTTCTGGGCCACATCTGAGACTTCTCTTGGGCCCACGGATGTTACCCAGTATACAGAGCACTTAATATAAAGGGCATCACTAAAGCCACCTCAATTGAAGGTTTCTTTCCTCAGGCATCTTGGATGACTTTCTTCTGTTACACTAAGTCTCCTCACTGCCAAACTCCATCCCAAGCCTGTGGGTTAAAAATGCACAATTTACAGCTGTTTAAAGCAACTTCTCCGTTGGAACTGCTGATAATACATTGCACAGTTCTAAAATAATGGAGCTGACGTTCCAAGCTCCCTAGAAAAACCACTTCATCACTTCAGTTACACATCAACAGTGAAGTAATGGTCCAATCTTGTTTCACTCAAATATCTAAGCATGGATTGAATGCCCTTTCCATGTACCCCCAGTTGTCACCCTTCTTTGTGGCTCTTTGGGCTGGGTTTCCTGAAGCTGGGGGAAGGCATGGGCAGTTGGTGTCGTCCCTGCTTCTACCTCTGTCTGCCTCTTGGAAGCTTTGGAAACCAAGGGTTTTGGGTTGCCTGAGTTGCCTGGATCCACCAAGCACTTTCTGAGCTCATTCTTTTTTTTTCTTTTTTTTTTTTTTTTTTTTTTTTTTTGAGACGGAGTTTCACTCTTGTTGCCCAGGCTGGAGTGCAACAGTGCGTTCTTGGCTCACCGCAACCTCCGCCTCTGGGGTTCAAGGGATTCTCCTGCCTCAGTCTCCTGAGTAGCTGGGATTACAGGCATGCACCACCACACTTGGCTAATTTTGTATTTTTAATAGAGATGGGGTTTCTCCATGTTGATCAGGCTGGTCTTGAACTCCCGACCTCAGATAATCCGCCTGCCTCGCCCTCCCAAAGTGCTGGGATTACAGGCATGAGCCACCGCGCCCGGCCCCTGAGCTCCATTCTTATAGATCTCTTCTTCCTTTTAGTTCTTGCTCTGTTTCCTTCTTGCTCATAGGGTCTCCTGGCCCTTCCTTTACTCTAATTCCACTTATTTTAGCAACTCTGTAGCCTGCTTTCTGGAACAACTACACAAGGGAGTTATCTTATCTTCTCACAGCTCCAGTCCCTGGCCTTGGCAATACTGGGCTTACCTGGATGCTGCAGGGCCCAACCCTGTCACCACATTACCTTGACCTACAGTGTCTAGCAGGCTCCCGGAAGCTAGCATCCTCTGTTGCCAAGTCCCAGCTGGGTTCTGCTTATAAATGAACATGCTTAAGAAGTTGAGTCTATTTGCTATTCCAGAGACACAGCCTAATTTCCACCTTAGTCTCAGTTTCTACTCAGGATACTGCCACTCTGAAGGAAGGCTGTGGAGCTGAGCTCCCAAAATGACTGTCTTTAGATAATAGAGTGCCTTGTAGACTCCCAGAGCTTGACTTGACCTTAGACATCCTCTAGTCCAGTGGTTCCCAAAGGACATGCGGAGGATTAATAGAGCTGAAACATGACAGTGAGAGGAAACCAACAGTGTTTCCGAGCATCTGTAACATTCAGGATAGGTAGACCAGGAAAATGGTTCCATGCCCAGCTGATCATCAGGGTCACAGGGGAGCTGGGTTGCCAAGTTTCTGCTCAGTGTACCTTTCCCTTCTCTACTGAGGTTCTGTGAAATGTTTTGTTTTGTTTTGTTTTGTTTTTGAGAAGGAATCTCTGTCTTGTTGCTCAGGCTGGAGTGCAGTGGTACAATCTCGGCTCACTGCAACCTCCACCTCCCAGGTTCATGCGATTCTGCTACCTCAGCCTCCTGAGTAGCTGGGATTACAGGCGCCCGCCACCATGCCCAGCTAATTTTTCTCCTTTTAGTAGAGACGGGGTTTTGCCATGTTGGCCAGGCTGGTCTCGAACTCCTGACCTCAGGTGATCCTCCTGCCTCGGCCTCCCAAAGTGCTGGGATTACATGCATGAGCCACCGTGCCTGGCCTCTAAAATGTTAATTATTTCTTCAAATTCTTTGTTCACTTGTTCTTCTGAAATTTTCTATCCTCCCTACTACTTTTTTGGTGGTTTTCTCCTTCCTCTTCACTTACTCTATTTCCTAAAATTCTCTACTTTATATTTACCATGTATCTTCATATTTATTCTCACTGATGCTATCTTCTAAAGAACATACCATCCAGATAAGTTCTCCCTCTCTCCCATGCTCAATTGGCACACAATGGCATGTCTATGAATGTACACATGTAATAGGATGTTTAATACCAGTCTTCCTGAGGTCTACTGTTTCCACCAAATCCCTAAAGATAGAGAACAATGGAATAGATGTCATGTCCCGCATATACTAGAAGGTGTTGAACCACATGCAAAATACCTCACGAGCTTAAGAAATCAGTGTTGCTGCAGTTAGTCCATCACTTGCCATTGTCCCACGGAAGGAGTCATCCATATGCTTAGAGTTTTGATGCTGATATGGTTTGGCTGTGTCCCCACCAAATCTCAACTTGAATTGTGTCTCCCAGAATTCCCACATGTTGTGGGAGGGACCCAGGGGGAGGTAATTAAATCATGGGGCCAGTCTTTCCTGTGCGATTCTCATGATAGTGAATAAGTCTCATGAGATCTGATGGGTTTATCAGGGGTTTCCACTTTTGCTTCTTCCTCATTTACTCTTGCTGCCACCATGTAAGAAGTGCCTTTCGCCTCCCGCCATGATTCTGAGGCCTCCCCAGCCATGTGGAACTGTAAGTCCAATTAAACCTTTTTGTTACCAGTTTTGGGTATGTCTTTATCAGCAGGGTGAAAACGGACTAATACAGTAAATTGGTACCAGTAGAGTGGGACACTGCTGAAAAGATACCCGAAAATGTGGAAGTGACTTTGGAACTGGGTAACAGGCAGAGGTTGGAACAGTTTGGAGGGCTCAGAGGAAGACAGGAAAATGTGGGAAAGTTTGGGAATTTCCTAGAGACTTGCTGAATGGCTTTGCCTAAAATGCTGATAGTGATATGGACAATAAGATCCAGGCTGAGGTGGTCTCAGATGGAGTGAGGAACTTCTTGGTAACTGGAGTAAAGGTGACTCTTGTTATGTTTTAGCAAAGAGACTGCTAAAGCTAGAGCATTTTGCCCCTGCCCTAGAGATTTGTGGAATTTTGAACTTGAGAAAGATGATTTAGGGTGTCTGGCAGAAGAAGTTTCTAAGCAGCAAAGCATTCAAGAGGTGACTTGGGTACTGTTAAAGGTGTTCAGTTTTGTAAGGGAAGCAGAGCATTAAAGTTCAGAAAATTTGCAGCCTGACTAAGTGATAAAAAAGGAAAACCCATTTTCTGGGGAGAAATTCAAGCGGGCTGCAGAAATTTGCATAAGTAGCAAGGAGCATCATGTTAATGCCCAAGATCATGGGGAAAATGTCTCTAGGCCATGTCAGACCTTCACGGCAGCCCTTCCCATCATAGGCCCAGAGGCCCAGGAGCAAAAAATGGTTTCGTGGGCCAGATCCAGTGTGCCTGTGCTGTGTGCAACCTAGGGACTTGGTGCCCTGTGTCCCAGCTGCTTCAGCCATGGCTGAAAGGGGCCAACATACAGCTTGGGCTGTGGCCTCAGAGAATGGAAGCTCCAAGCCTTGGCAGCTTCCATGTGGTGTTGAGCCTGTGGGTGCACAGAAGTCAATAATTGAGATTTGGGCCAGGCGCGGTGGCGCATGCCTGTAATCCCAGCACTTTGGGAGGCTGAGGCAGGAGGATCACCTGAGGTCAGGAGTCAAGACCAGCCTGGAAAACATGGTAAAACCCTATCTCTACTAAAAATATAAAATTAGCTGGGCATGGTGATGCACACCTGTAATCCCAGTTACTCAGGAGGCTGAGGCAGGAGCATCATTTGAACCCGGGTGGCAGAGGTTGCAGTGAGCCAAGATCGTGCCACTGCCCTCCAGCCTGAGCAACAAGAGTGAAACTCCATCTAAAAAAAAAAGAGTTGAGGTTTGGGAACCTAGATTTCAGAAGATGTATGGAAACGCCTGGATGCCCAAGTGAAAGTTTGTTGCAGGGGCAGAGCCCTCATAGAGAACCTCTGCTAGGGCAGTGCAGAAGGGAAACGCGGGGTTGGAGCCCCCACACAGAGTTGCTACTGGGGTACCACCTAGTGGAGCTGTAAGAAGAGGGCCACTGTTCTCCAGACCCCAGAATAGTAGATGCACCGACAGCTTGCACGGTGCACCTAGAAAAGCTGCAGACACTCAATGCCAGCCCATGAAAGCAGCTGGGAGGGAGGCTGTACCCTGCAAAGCCAAAGGGGTAGAGCCGCCCAAGTCCATGGTAACCCACCTCTTGTATCAGTGTTGCCTGGATGTGAGACATGGAGTCAAAGGAGATCATTTTGGAGCTTTAAAATTTGATTGCCCCCTTGGATTTCAGACTTGCATGGGCCCTGTAACACCCTTTGTTTTGGCCAATTTCTCCCATTTGGAAAGGCTGTATTTACCCAATACCTGTACCCCTATTGTATCTAGGAAGTAATTAGCTTGCTTTTGATTTTACAGGCTCATAGGCGGAAGGGACTTGCCTTGTCTCAGATGAGACTTTGGACTGTGGACTTTTGGGTTAATGCTGAAATGAGTCAAGACTTTGGAGGACTGTTGGGAAGGCATGATTGGTTTTGAAATGTGAGGACATAAGATTTGGGAGGGGCCAAGTGAGGAATGGTATGGTTTGGCTGTGTCCCCATCCAAATCTCAACTTGAATTGTATCTCCCAGAATTCCCATGTGCTGTAGGAGGGATCGAGAGGGAGGTAATTAAATCATGGCGGCCGGTCTTCCCTGTGCTATTCTCATGATAGTGAATAAGTCTCACAAGATCTGATGGGTTTATCAGGGGTTTCTCCTTTTGCTTCTTCCTCATTTTCTCTTGCCGTCACCATGTAAGAAGTGCCTTTTGCCTCCTGCCATGATTCTGAGGCCTCCCAGCCATGTGGAACTGTAAGTCCAATTAAACTTCTTTTTGTTACCAGTTTTGGGTGCGTATTTATTAGCAGTGTGAAAACAAAATAATGCAGATGCTTTGCACTCCTCTCAAATCAGCAGGCATTGCTGGGATCACTCAGAGAGCCTGACATGTCTCTTAGGGAATATTAGGAACTAGTATCTAATACTTGCTTGAAAATATAAAAGAAAAAGGCTTGAAGTGGCAGAGCAGAGATTGAGAGGCAGAGATAGAGACACAGAGAACTGCCCTGGGAGCAATGTGCACTTGCACGTGTACCTGTAGAGCAATGATGTTTCCTGGTGGACCATATGTGTGATATGCTGGATGGAGATGACCCAGAGTCATCTGCAAAGGGACCTGGCCCATAACCTCTGTCTGGTGGGATGAACTGAACCAGCAGAGGGGTATACCCTTGCAGTGGAGAGCCTGAGTGTTGGAAGCTGACACAGCCATTGTGGGGAGTCAGCACCTGGTCTACTACGACACCATTGGGAAGCTCTTGAGGGCCATCTCAGAGAAACTACAGAGATAAAGTTTGAGTGAAGAGTGTACTTGGAAATTCTGCAAGGCCAGAGGCCACCAACTGCACAGCAGCCAGAAACTGTACCCTTTCCTGAATCCCTTTATCCATCCTCATCAGGGCCAGAAATAGCAGCTAGCAAGTAGTTAAGAGCCAGTAGAGAAAGAAAAGCAGCCATCTGCCCCAGTCCTGTTCGGCAGGCAGTACAGAGTTGAGGGAGCAGCAAAGCTTCAGATGGGATTAAGTATTATCTGGGACTGGGCATATTAACTATAAGAAACTTACTCTCATGACTAACAGGATGAGACAAATCTGAAGACCTGCCCAGGACTTGCCAGGCCCAGGGCAAAAACTAGCCTCCAGAGCAGATTGAAAGGGACACAAGGGGAGCTGAGTTCAGTGTAGCGAGGACTCATAATGGCACACAGATAATAATGAGCAGGGGAGCAGATATGAAAACATTCACTGACCTACAATTAAAATAAATGGGAAAGATGTGGACTTTCTATTTTGACTTGGTCATTCTCACTGCAGTCTTTACTATGACCAGAGGTTGGGCTTACAGCCCGACAGTGGTGGATGCTTTTTAGCTTCCAGGTACTTGATTGCCATTAGGTGCCCTGCCACTGATGAAATGGGAGGTAACTTGGTTATGGATTTATAATCCAAACCACTAGGCTTTCTATAGAGTGTTGAATAGCATGCTTTTCTGCTCTGCTATATTTTTGCATAAAAATACAAATCTTCAATAAAACCAGATCAGCATAAACTAGTACTAGCAGAACATAAACTATTGTTTTAAATCATGAATTATCTATTTCTGTAAGGAAATAGGAATATCTAGATATTTTCTTTCTAGTCCAGAGATTCACATATGCCTAAAAAAATATGTTAGGACCTTGTTAAAATACAGGCCTAGGCCCTGTCCACAGCGATTCCAGGTTGATAGTCTTGGGACAGGACTCAGGAATCTGCATTTTGTTAAGCACTCAAAGTGACTCTGATGTCTTTTGCAATTTAAGAAAGATTGTTTTGTTGGGTACAATATACACTACCCAGGTGATGGGTGCATTAAAGCGTCAGACTTCACCACTATACAATTCATCCACATAACCAAAACCACTTGTACCCCAAAAGCTATTGAAATAAAAAAGAAAGATTGTTGTAATTATTAGTGATGATATTACCACTCTTTGTTCAGTCTAACCCTTTGCTTTTACCTTGTACTTAAGTGGGACTAGTTTACCTTGAATTTTTTAGGTTAACATTAGAACATTTTGAGGAGCATTCAGCTTTAGCAAATTTATTAGACATCAAACCTACGAACACTTCTCTCATATAGGAAACTAATAAATTTGTTCTATTTACCTGACTTCAAGTTTATTAGAATACATATTTGCGTATTTTTTTGTGGCTCCTTTTCTTCAGGTGACAGATATACATAAAATGACCAGTTAAATTGTAGCTTCACCATGGTTTCCCTGCCAGAACTACTGTACCAATCAATAACAAACAAAACTGAAGCGTATTCACTAAACACTTTCCAAAGTACAGATCACACACACGGGATTAAATACAAGTCTGCCTCTGATATATGTACTTTAAAAGCTTGGGGTTTAAAAATCTAAGCTATCCCAGTTCATTTAATTGGAATTTAACAAGATTTTTAAACAGATACAGTAATTTCTTCACACACTCAGAGGTCATCAGAAACAGGTGTGATTAGAATAGTAAAAATCAGGAGGGAGGAAATCTATCTAGTTCAAGGATTTAATCAGAGGCTCCAGTCAATGACCTATAAGGTCTTTTCTTCTAAAATTCTGCCATTTATTTTTCTCTATTAAATTTCTTCCTGGCTCTTGCCCATCATTCCAGCCTGTTGAGAACAGTTGAAGTCTGGGTTTTGTCTTCTATCATATTAGCTATTCCCCTAACTTCCAAATTGATACACATACGTATGAAGAGGTTCTTTCAATCTGGTGATAAAAAACCCAGACCAGGACAGATCTGTAATTTTACCACAGTGCAAATAGACCTGTTCTACAAGCAACACATACATACATTGCCCCAATTTGCACATGAAACCTCAATATATAGCTATAATCACACAGAAAAAGACAGCAGAAAGGTAGCAAATATTTTATTCCCTATAGTTGGTCAGAGACACATAATAGGTGTGAGTTAGGGTTTATTAGAATACAAATTTGCCTATTTTTTCATGGCTCCTTTTCTTCAGGTGACAGAAATGTGCCCCCACATTGAGGGTTGGGGCATCAGGATGGGACTGGAAGAAGAGTCTACGAAGGACCTCAGGACATTCATAATAATCATGAACAAGTACATTGAGTTGACTTTATTTAACAGTGGCCATGCTTCCTTCACTATGCTAACACTGTGTATGCATTATCTCATTCATCCCCACTACTCCTTATAGGAGAGAACTAGTGGCTACCAGCATAGGCTTTGGCACCAAATGGCTTGGATTTGAATCTTGACTCTGGTACTTACTCGTTGAGGCCTTGGGAAAGCTACTCTCTGCTTGAAAAGCCTTATTTGAAAATGACAATAGTAATAGCACTACTTGTGGGCTTGTGCAATTAGGTAGGGACTCTAGCTGCTTTAACAGATGAACCCTTGAATCTTCCTGGCTTAGTATAATAAAGGTTGACTCCACGTGTAAAATAGTCCAAATGAGTATTCAATGGGCAACCTTCCACATGGAAATTCAGTTCATGTTCCTTCCATTTTGTGGTTCTGCTAACTGCCAGATAGAGGAAGATCATCTGGAGAAGAGCTGGGTGGATGAGGGGAGGGGTTATGGATCAGACCTAAAGGCAATACACTTTGCACAATACCCCGGACCCACTTATGTCAAAGCAGGCTGAGAAATGAAGTCTCTGTGTCTAGGAGGAAAAAGAAATGAATTTGGTCTCTTCCATACTTGTTGGTAGATTAAACATTAAATTCCTTGGAACAGTACCTAGCACCCAGTAAGTGCTCAATAAATGATAGTGATTATTACCATTTATGTTGTGCCAGTAATGGCTGTCTTTTTATCTTTTTATCTTTTTTTTTTTTTAGACTGAGTTTCGCTCTTGTTGCCCAGGCTGGAGTGCAATGGCACGCTCTCAGCTCACTGCAACCTCCGCCTCCCGGGTTCAAGCGATTTTCCTGCCTCAGCCTCCCGAATAGCTGGGATTACAGGCATGCACTACCATGCCCAGCTAATTTTTTATGTTTAGTAGATACGGGGTTTCTTCATATTGGTCAGGCTGGTCTCGAACTCCCTACCTCAGGTGATCAGCTGCCTTTGCCTCCCAAAGTGCTGGGATTACAGGCGTGAGCCACCACGCCCAGCCAGCTGTATTTCTTATATGTCTTCCTGATGCCTATGACCAGCTGTTTTAACCTTTCTCTTTAGAGTTCCCTCGGATTTAGCCCGTTGGACTGGTGATGCCTGGGGGATTCTCTTCATAATTATTGGAAACCTCCAGGCATTAAAGCTGGCTCTGTTCTATGGACACCATCCCCGGCCTCTTTTCTGAACCTTAGTAGTCACTGGAACACTAGCAGGATATGAGAGTGGGGACAAGACTGGGAGAGGTGGAAAGGAGAGAGATAAGGCGTTCAAAGAGATGGTGTTTTGCTTATTTTTGTAAAACATGGGAGATATTCGAGCATGCTTTTAAGTATTAGGGAGGGCAGTGGATGCACAGCTGTAAGTACTGGAAAGGGGATAACAGATGAAGCAAGGTCTCAGTTTGGGGGAAGATGGGAAGGGTTCGGATCAAGAGCACAGGTGGACAGACCAACTCAGAACAGAAAATGGATCATCTTCTCTCAGCTTTGAAGGTACAAGGTGAGGACACGTGCAAGCCCAGGTGATTCCTTGAGTATAGGAGTGGAAAGTGAAAGGAGTTTACATCTGGAGCCTAGTTTTCCTCTGCTAAGTAGCAGGTGAGATTTTATCTGGGGACAGAGAGAGAGAGAGAGAGAGAGAGCATGAGAGACTGATTCTAAGGAATTGACTCACATAATTGTGGAGGCTGGGGCAAGTCCAAAAACCTGCAGGGTAACCTGGCAGGCTGGAGACCCATAGAAGGGTTAATGTTGCGACTTGAGTCCAGAGGCAATCTAAGGCAGAATTCCCTTCTCCTTCTGGGGACTTCACTCTGTTTTCAAGTAAGCATTTCTTCAACTGATTAAATGAGGCCCACCTGTATTACAGAGGGTAATTTGTTTTACTCAAAGTCTACTGATTTAAATATTAACCTCATCTTTAAAAAAATATTTTTACAGCAACATTCAGACTGGTGTTTGACCAAATATCTGGGCACCATCGCTTAGCCAAGTTGACACATAAAATTAGACCATCACAGTGTATTAATCATCCCATTTATACCAATAGTGAAAATATGAGATCATGTAGATAAGGAGAAGACTATAAAATGTGGAGAGAATGTGGATTCTAGGAGGTTCTTGGTGGTAGTACGTGCTCTGTTGACTGAATTTTCACTCTCCTTTTTTTTTTCTCCTAATAAATTTAAGATTTCACCTGATTCTTGGCCACAAAGTTTCAAGGGAACCAGAGCTAATGAAGACAGCATGGAAGGGCACCGCCGAGACCTACCTGTGGGAGTCCACCTCACCCTCAAGAACAGCTACCATTTTAACACAGATGGATAAACCCCATGAAAGTGAACTTCCTAAATGCAAATTCTGATCTTGAAGCCCCAGCTGGCACATCTACTGGAGACCCTCCCAAGCAACAAGATGTAGATGCTTTAGAGATAACAAACTATACAAGTTGTCTTCCATTCTTTCTCCTTCCTCTATTTTCAACACGGATAAAATACATATATATTTATCTTGCTGAGCTCAGTAGGATTATTTAGCTTTATTTCCATGGCTGCCTTTTCTTAATGTAATAGAATTTCCAATCGAGCTTATTACTTCCTTCCGTCACAAGCCTGAGGTCCTTTCACACCCATCCTGTCCTTGGCAAAGATCTTTGGAAAGTAGCCTGGGACATACCTAGTGGTAAGCCACCTGCTCTGGGTTGAGGGTGGATCTATTCTAGTCAGAGGCTTTGTGATCTGGACAAAGGAATTGAGTATGTGGCTGTCAAACTGTCAGGCAATACTAAATTTGGCTGGCCAGCTGAATTCTAGCAGAAAATCATGCAAAATAAGGTTTAGCAATTGGGGAAAAATGGCCCACAGGAAAAACAAAGGGATGAAATTCCGTAGGACTACACGGCCATAGAATTCTAACTTGAGGGCTGCAACCAGCTATGTGACCTTGTAGTACAAGGACCAGTCTTCAGATACAAAATAGAGTTTGGAGTTAAAGGGATCTTTGAGAAGAAGCCATTATCCACCCCCTCCTCCCAATTTTATATGCCCTAAGAAAAAGGTTTCTTTCAACTTAGAAAGGTATGATTCTTGAAGTGCACTTCCTCCGAGTTTTCCTGAGCCTCTCAATCAAAATGACTTGCACCTGCCCATCCATTCCCATTGGCTTATGCTCCTACCCTGCAGTATTGGCTTCATTATGCCTCACCTTGTACACCTGTCTGATTCCTCTCCTAGATTATCAGCACCTTGACAATGGGCTCGTATCTTGTGTATCCCTGAATTTCCAGGGACAATGATAGTGCCTGCCACATAATTGATGGTCAATAAATTTTGGTTAAATAGTAACAAGAAACTCCCATTTAAAAAATGTGTTATCGTTATCATTCTCAATCTGGATGCTCTCCTCTATACACAGTTTTATTCAGTAACTCTCTTAAAATTGTAAAGGTGAGAAATTGAACACAGTTTCCCAGGTCTTTGAGCAGCACGAGATACAGGGAGAAAAAAAATGCTTTGTGCTTGAATACTTTACTTCTGATTGGAGAAAATAAACACTGCACTGGATTATTTTTAAAGATACATCACATTACGTTTGTGATCAACTGAAATGCTAAGATATTTGCATGTGGATTTCTGCCAAGCTGCTTTTCTCCCATTCTTCATGTGTGTGATTGATCTTGAAATCAAATGGTGGGACTTTATATATTTTTTTGTTTTAACTCAAGGTAAAGTCTGACAAAAATCACGTTAAATTTGATGCTGTCAGTGAAGACATTAGCAATCCTTCCTGGCTTAAGGTCACTGGCAAATTTGATATACTTATCTTTTGTGGGGTTTTTTTGTTGGTTTTTTTAAGACAGGGTCCCACTCTGTCACCCAAGTTAGAGTACAGTGGCTTGAAAATGGCTCACTGAAGCCTCGACCTCCCAGGCTTAAGCAATCCTCCCACCTCAGCCTCCTGAGTAGCTGGGACTACAGGCATGCACCACAATGTCTGGCTGAATTTTTTTTTTTTTTTTTTTTTTTTGTAGAGATGTGGTCTTCCTATGGTTCCCAGGCTGGTCTTGAACTCCTGGGCTCAACCAATCCTCCCACCTTGGCCTCCCAAAGTGCTGAGATTATAGGCATAAGCCACAACATGCAGCCGTCTTTTCCGTTTTTATCCCACTCTTTGACAATGTTGGAAGGATTAGGACTAGCTCTAATAAGAGTCACCCCCTTCATATTGGGTAATCAACCAACAGCTAGAAATGTACACTGAAATACTACCAGACATCCCTTATTTTACCATCTTATCCACAAAGATCTTACAGATGACATTTTAAAAACATTGTCTAAAGCACAGAAATACTTTTAAGCACAGTAGCCCCTGAAGCTTGCCAGCCAAATAATCTATTAAAACTTAAATGAAACAAGGCAAGTATGGTGCATGCGTATGGTGGCTGTGGTACTGGTGGCATGCTTTTTTAAATTCTACAGTCTCCTCCAACCACCCTCTGCTTTTTAAGTAAGTCTAATTTAGCATATGCCTTGGCATTCATATTAGGCTGACTTTCCACGACTGGCATCCCATCTGATGGCTATCTCCAATCTTATTTATCTCTTTCATGATTCCTCAAAAATTAATAACTGTGACTTTGAGACTATAGTACAAGTTCTTTAAACATCCACAGATAAAGTTATTTAGACTTGAAAATAAACTTTTTGAGGTTGGCCTTAATAAGGGTAGGAGAGCTCTCCTGGATTCCTCGCTTTAGTGGCAAGCGTCTGCTGTCAGAGACTGATTACTACTCTTCTTCTGATTTTTGTCCAATGCTAAAGGATGAGGCAGTGGAACAGACTTTGTCACCTTAAACATCTTTAACTATCAAACACAGCCACCTGGTGAGAAGCTGCTTATCTTCATCTGAGGAAGCTTTAAACCTTTTCCCTAGTTGACTTGAAGATTCTATACATCTTGGTATTCTTCTGTTCTTTTGAGGCTGAACATATTAAGGCCATGAATGATTCCCATGGTATAAAGAGGCCAAGCTAGTTGTCACAAGATGCCAAGGACTTAGAAGAAGGAGACCTTCCAGGTCAAACATGCCAGAATTAGAGGTGAAGGCCACAGGGCAGACTCACTCCTTCCCTGATCATAACTCAAGCTGCTATCCTGAGAAGACGGTGCCAAACCAGGAGGCAACTGGAAAATATTCTGATGGGGGAAGGAGTTTTCCTCTTATTCCTATAGTCCCTGTTCAGAATGTAAGCCTTGGAATTGGTAGAAGATATCCATGTTCTTGTTTCCATGAGGTGTCAAACATAATGAGATTAATAAAATATCCTAAGATTTAGAAAACCAGGTCAGGCTTTGTCTCTTCCATCTGACTCTGGAACTCCAAAAGTCCATAAGCTTTCCAAAAGGGGACTTATTGCAGGGTGAGGTATTAATGCTTGAGTCTTTAAAAGGTAGCTTAGAGATAAGGTAGTGAAATGGCCTCCTTTCACAGGTAAGAAAACTTGCCCAAGCTCACACAGTTATGAAAAAAACTGAGCTTGCCCTTGAACCCAGGGCTTTGCAGCTTCAGGCTCCATTCTTTTTAAGAGGCTGCTGCTGCTTTTGTCCATGAGTTGTAGTTGCTCCGTCAGCCTTTATTTCTGCTCCTTCCAGTTTGAAGATGTTTTTTCTTTCTAGACAATAGTCAAAGAGAAGGATTTGAATAACTCTGGCTTCTGCTAATATCATGCCGCAGTTTCTAAGAGTGGGAATACAGAAAGTGGTAAATTTAGAGACAGGGAAGCCAGTCATGGAAAATCAGGGTTGAGGAGGAGAGATTTGGCACAGGTGTAACACGAAGACAAGAGAGGTCATGCTTGACCACAGACGGAGGGATGCAGCAGTGGACTGCTATTGCTGAAAAGCCAAAATGATACCAGACTGTATTTATAGAAGGATGACATGCAAAGCCCACGAAGCAATCACTAGGCTACAGTCTATATTAGATCTCTATTCAATATGATGCTCAGTTTGTCACACTTGGAAAAGAGAGAGCCCAAAGGGGGTAACAAAGTAACGGAAAATCACAACTTAAAGTTAAGGAATTTGGGTTGCTAAAGGCAACCATTTTCTTGGATTCCATCCATTGTCTGATTGCTTCAACAGGCAGGAGGAAAGAAAGGAGAAAAGGGAAGGAGAGTTGTCTCAGCCAGAAATTTCTCTCCAACCTTCTGGCCTCTCAGCATAGAATTTTAGAAGCACGTTCTGCCTCCTCACCTTCTGGTCAAGGTAAAGATCCCCTGCCTGAGGTCTCTCTCTGTGAAAACTTGCAGCCTCTCACAATCAGATCTTATTAGGGATGGCTTCTCTACCTGTGTGTGCAGGGCTCTTACTGTCTAAGTCATCACCTCCACCGCTGGCTACAGGGACTTCAAGAGCAAAACTGGTTGAGCAGCCTCAGGCTCAAGCCTGCAGCCCCACACTGACCACAGCAATCTCGTAGCCTCTACCTGATTTTTGAACTTGTTTTCAGCCTGTATGTGAAAGATCTTCTCCCTGTCTTCACCAAATCTCTGTGGGAGTCTGAACCACTACCACCTTACCCCCATACTGAGATGCTTTCTTTATGTATCAGTACATTGAATACAATGGGGAAATATATAGGTCAAACACAGAGACTCAACATTGACTTCCAGAAGTGAAAAACTAGGATTCTTTTGATTTTAGACCATTTTTTTTGCAGTAATTCCATATTTTGGAGAAACATAGTGATTTTAAAATGATTCCTCTGTCATGTCTTCTTTTCCCTTCTACAGAGGTTTTTTTTTTTTTTTTTTTTTTTTGAGACGGAGTCTCGCTCTGTCGCCCAGGCTGGAGTGCAGTGGCGGGATCTCGGCTCACTGCAAGCTCCGCCTCCCGGGTTCACGCCATTCTCCTGCCTCAGCCTCCCAAGTAGCTGGGACTACAGGCGCCCGCCACTACACCTGGCTAATTTTTTGTATTTTTAGTAGAGACGGGGTTTCACCGTTTTAGCCGGGATGGTCTCGATCTCCTGACCTCGTGATCCGCCCGCCTCGGCCTCCCAAATCTACAGAGGTTTTAAGCTTCTTTTAATCTCTCCTGAAGAAAGCAAAGGAAAGAAAGCTGAAAGAAAGACATGCCAAGGAGAAAGATCCTTATATGGATCACATACCAGGTTCTCACAGGCCACTGACAGCAAGGGGAAAAGTTCAAGAGCTGGCCTCCTCCATCTTGCCCCAGGAGAAATCCCTGGGAAAAATGAAAAGACACTGTGTCCCAACTATAAGGGGAAAATTTCAAGAGGCCACATCTCCAGTGACTGACACTGGGGGCCAGGTCTTCATAGGAGCATGTGCTTAGCTTGCTCCATCTGGCCCCAGAGCTTAGGAGCTCTTTTTGAGAGAGCTCTGGGGCCCACAGGTCCAAGGAAGTGCTGGGCACTGCAGAGAATGGCCGAATCCCCAAGTTCATGCCACCAGAATTGCAAAAGATCAAGTATGTAAACATGAAGAGGCTGTGAATGGTTAGGAACACAGTCTTTGTGGACAGACACACCTGGATTGAATATTGGCTCTATCAATTTTCTTCCCCCAGTCCAGGGCGACTCTCAACTGTGTCTAAGGACAAACTCACATACCTTCTGGAAACTGCTAGTCTCCTCTAAGATCAAACTTACATGTCTGGTGTTTTTTGCTTAATGGTTATCTTGTACGTCTTTCTATAACCAACACACAGAGATGGACCTTGGTTGTTTTAGTGACTATATGGTATTCCACTATATGACCAGATTTATGTTTGCCATTTTCCAAGAATGAATGCTAAGTTGTTTATGATGTTTGCTATAGCAAACAATGCTGCAATGAATATCTTTGTATAAGTATCTGTATATAAATATAACTGGGGCAAAATTTCCAGAAAGGGAATTTCTGCAAGTGCCTTTCAAATCTTGATATTGTCAAGTTGTCCTCTAAAGCACCCCCACCAATTTACCACCCACTAATGGTGCCCAAGAAGGCTTCTCTTTGATAAGGCACTAAGAAAGAAGAATGAAAATCATGTTGAGGAAACTAAAAATGTCTTTTGCTATTCTTTAACACACCAGCAAGGCATTGTTGGTGCTATTTTAGGGGTCCTTGGGTGCTGACTCCACTGAAGATGAGAGCACGGTTGTGCTTTCCTCAGAGGGGACATCTGTCAGAATCTGGGCATATTTTTGGCAACCTAGTGACATGCTCCCTGCATTTCTAGTGGACTCTTGGCTTCCCTCAGCAATGACCCATTTGTGGCTGAATATTTAGCTGGTCTCTTAATCCCCATGTCTGCTCTGAAATCTATTTTGGGATTTGACATGTTGGTCCCCTGCAATAACTGTGAGATGCAAATCCCAAAATCAGGATCTTATAGTCTGTTATTTGGAAAGATGTATGAGGAAAACATGGTTTTTATTTTTACTATTTAATAAACTTTACTTATGGGAAATTCAAACATATATAAAAGTATAGAAAATCATGTGATGGTGCTCCCACCACCCGGCTTCAATAGTTATCAACTTATCACCTATCTTGTTTTTCTGTACCTTAACCAATTCCTCACCTCCTATATTATCGTGAAGCAAATCCCAGACATCTTATCACTTAACCCATAACTATCTCAGCGCCTACATTTAAAATATAAGGTCTCTTTAAAAACATATACTCATGCTATCATTAACACTCCTAAAATAATTAACATAATTTTTTTGTTTGTTTGTCTTAGAGACGAGGTTTTACTACATTGCCCAGGCTGGTCTCAAACTCCTGAGCTCAAGCGATCCTCCCACCTTGGCCTTTCAAAGTGCTAGGATTCTAGGCATGAACCACTGTTCTGGGCTGAACAATAATTTTTAATATACTCAGTGCAGTTGGTGTTCAAATTTCCAATGGCCTCATAACAATTTTAATATGATTTTTTAAATGTTATGAAAGCAAATGTTCAGAGTTGGGAGAACTGAGTTCAAGTCTCAGATTTGTCTCTTTCTCCTTGGGTGACTTTAGATAACTCCTCTGACTTCATTGCCTCTTTTTCTTAGAATTTTAGGGCTAAAAAGGACATATAAATCTAAAAATTTTCAGATGGTGTTGAGGATGAGAAGAAAGGAATAGGAAAAAGCCTGTTGCAATAACTGAAATCAGAATCAACTTTTCTATAACTTGTATATAATAGTTATAAAGTCATTGTGTCCACCGAATTCAATAAAAGTTACAAAATCTGTCTACTCTTATCTCTATAAAAGAGAAATGGCAGAGTCAGGGGATCCTTATCTTCTCCTCTTGGTAGATAAGTACTTTCCAAAATGAAGTAGAGATAGAAGCTACTTTCATTTTAAGGCACATAATCTTAATATAGTATTTGTTTTAATCTCACAGATACTCCTTTAAAATAATCGTGTTAGTTAGAAAACTGGGAAATGGGGAGGGGGGAAAGGAAGAAAGAAGTAAGATTTGCCAGTGATTCTGGAAGTGAAGCAAGGCCATTGGTGGCTCTAATATCACATGAGATAATGGATGCATACATAGGTTTTCAAGAGCCATGAAATTTTTATCAGAGAAATGAGGCTCACCAGGTGGTTCTAAATCACACCCAGTATTTTCCCTACTGAATTTGTATTGGCAGCAATTGTATTTCTAGAGAAAAATGTATATTCCATCAAAATCTAGAAGACCAGGTGAAGGAAGGGAAAATAGCCAAATGAAGATATGCATTGACAGGAAAGCAAAAATATTACTAAAAACTCTTGGAAGATGAAAAAAAGAGACCATTGCCCATCTCTTTTCCTTGCTTCATGTTCACGTCAGGGCAGCGGAAGGTGATGGAGCTGGTGGTGTAACAGGATGGAGGAGAAAATGAACAAAAAAATTACCTGCAGTTCTCCTTGTGGTTTGGTGAAGACAGAATTGAGAAGATCTTCCTGGACTGCAGCCGCAGGTGGGCTCCAGCTGCTAGGGATGCCATGTGTCTCTATTTTCTCCATGAGCTGGATGCTTTAGTAGAAAAACAGTTTGGGAAGGATGAGGGGTGGGTACTTTCTCTCTCTTGTGAAGTCAACAGTCCTCAAGGTTTGAAGAGGTTGCATTTCTGCTGTTCCAACATCTGTAGGGCATCGTCTCTGTCCTTCGTCAGAACACAAGTGCGCACACATCTGGACTCAACATCTTCTCACTTACACATAGCAAGGGCTCTAACAACCACCTGTCTCTGTTCAAAGATCACAGGCCAAGAGTCTGCTTCTTCCTGAGGGTCGTGAGGAGGGGAGAGACTGCGGAGGGGAGTTGGGGTTGGGGAGATGTCACACAGACAACCTGCAGAGGACTCAGGTGGATTCTGGGGAGACATGTACCACCAGTGTTCTCAGCTGCCCATGGCTGGTCAAGAGCAAGATGGAGATTCACAATTACCTTGGCAACCAGGTAACAGGCAGAACCGTTACTTGGCAATTTCCATTACATTTCCCTCTTTTCCCTACAACTGCAACACACACACATCAATATTTATTCCCCCTTTAATAATCCTCTAAGATCACCAGACTCTTTGTTGTAAGGAAATGAGGCAAAATGAGGAAAACAGTGAGATCTAAGATGTGGAGAAGGAAAATACATTTTTGAAGCACAGGTGGGAGGTGGTGGTTTGAATGGGCCACCTCTCACTGGGGACAAGAGAGAGAGGAGTCAGGAATGGGGTTTGTGAGAACAGGAAGAGGGGGTGGTTAGCAGCTCAGCTCTAATATCAGGCAGTTGATGTGCTCGTTGTTTCTAGGAACCACAAAAATGAAACGAAGGTGGAAGGAACAAGCAGAATTTATTCCCATTTTCATTTCTGTCGTTCCCACCTCTTTTCAGAGGTCCTGTTACGGAAACTCGCCTTTAGCGGTCCATATCTACGTGGTTCCTAGTAGGTGCTGACCTCCTTCCTTTTATGTATTGATTCCACACACATTTCGCAGGCCAGTATGTGCCAGGCATTGTGCTAGGCTCAGGGGCTGCAGAGTTAAAGACAGAGTCCCTGCCCTTGTGGAACGTAAGTTTTTAGTGGGAAAGGCTGACAAAAACAAATGAGCAGACAAACAACATAATTGCAAATTAGAATAAAAGTGCATTGCAAAGCCAGGGTCCGATATTAAGACTAAGAGAGAAGGATTTACTTTTGTTTGGGGGATCAGGGAAGGCCTTTGAAGAAGTGTCATGTAAGCCAAGATCTGAAGGATGATTAGGAGCGAGGGAAAAATGGGGAGACTGTGCGCAGCAGAGGGACCACATGGGGAGATTGAGAGGTCAGGACATGCTGGCATTGCTAGAGGAACTGGAATTAGACTGAGGTGGTGTCAGATTAGTGCGTTAAGGAGAGGTAGGCAGATGAGGATCAATAATAGGGAAGGTCAGAAGAAATAGGGCCTTGAAGGCCTCAGAAGGCATGTAGATTTTCTTCTTGGTACAACAGCAGGCCATTGAGTGGTTTTCAGCCTAGGAGTGCTGTGATCAGATGTGTATTTCATTTCAATATGGCTCCTGGGCACAGACTGAATGGGAGGGTGTGGAGTGGGAGGATGCAGATTGCTGATGACTGTGGTGGTCCAGGGGAGAGATGAGGAGGCAGGTGAAAGGGCACGCGATGGCATTCCTGCAACAGGGCCCAGGCTCCAAGTGCTTTTATGTTTTGCTTGTTTATTCTCTTTAGTAGGGAAAAAACCGATATACAATAAAACAAAGTGGTTAAGATGCAGGCTCTACAGTCAAAATCTGACATGACCCCCGCTTCCTATGTGACCTTGGCAAATTACCTAAACTCATGTCTGAAAAATGAGACTTGGTATAGAGATTGAGAGAGACAATTAATGTAAAGTGATTGGTATATAGTAAATGCTCGAAAAATGGAAGCTCATGTTATCAGTCACTGAAAACTTCAAACTGCCCAATTTCAGGTCAAGTAAAATTATAATAGGGTGAACATAGGGAGTGTTTTCCCTCAATAAAAATATGTCTTTAACAAAATAAGAAGTTTGGATTTATGAAAAGAATCTAGAGAGAGCAAATAAAAGGTAAATTTAAAGATGTTTAAGGATTTTGAAAATATAAACTACATGGTGGCAAGGAAAATACATTATGATCATTAAGAATATGAGTTTTGGCTGGGCTCAGTGACTCACACATGTAATCCCAGCACTTTAGGAGGCTAAGGCAAGAGGATCACTTGAGCCCAGGAGTTTGAGTCCAGCCTGGAAAACCTAGGGAGACTCCATCTCTACTAAAAATTAAAAACAAAAATGATCCAAGCATGGTAGCATGCTCCTGTAGTCCCAGCTACTCAGGAGGCTGAGGTGGGAGGATTTCTTGAGTTGGGGAGGTCAAGGCCGCAGTGAGCCATAACTGCACCACTGCACTCCAGCCTGGGCAACAGATCAAGACCCAGCCTCAAAAAAAATAAAAAAGTAAAAAATAAAAAAGAGTATGAGTTTTGGAGCAGACAGATCTGGATTTTGAATCCTAGGTTTGCTACATACCAGCTGTGTGAACCTCAGAAATGTCACCTAACCTCTTTGAGCACATTTTCTCATCTGCAAAGATAGCTAATAGCCATGCTTTCTGCATAGAGACATGGTGAGGAGTGAATTAAAAAACACATTAAAGGGCTTTCTTGGCATGAGGCCTAGGACCTAGCAAGGGTTCAGTAAACGGGAAGCTGCTGAAGAAAGGGAGCAACCTTATGCTGATGTGTTAGGGGTTAGGAGACCCATCTCCATAAAAGGGAAAGCTTCTTTGAAATGACAAAGGCATCTCTGGAGAAGGAGATTCCACACTGTGCTTCTCTACACACTCAATAGGTGTACGAGCTTGCTGGGGCTGTTGTGACAAAGTACCACAAAGCAGTTGGCTTAAACAACAGAAATGTATTGTCTCACTGTTCTGGAGGTGTTGGCAGGGTTGGTTCCCCCTGAGGCTGTGAGGGAGAATCTGTTCCATGCCTCTCCCCAAGCTGCTGGTTGTTACTGGCAATCACTGGGGTTCCTTGGCTTATAGATGTGTCACCTGGCCTTTGCCTTTATGTTCATCTAGCATTCTCCCTATGTGCACGTCTCTGTGTCCAAATTTCCTCTTTTTACAGACACCATTCATACTGAGTTAGGGGCCAAGTCTAATTACTTCATCTTAACTTAATCATCTGCAAAGACCGTATTTCCAAATAAGGTCACATTCTCAGGTACTGAGGCTTAAGGTTTCAACATTTTTTGGAGGGACACAATTCATAGTAATACCAGCACTGTTTCCTTGTCAGAGTATGAAGTTAGTCCAGGCTTCCACAGCTAGTGTGGAGGCTGGGGAGGGAGCGGAAGACCACGGCTGATTCTTCACAGATGGACTCTGCAAATCATCTCTCCTAGGAGCCCCTCCTCACTAAGTCAAATACTCCCAAATAGGCAACAGCAGCTTGCTTGAGGGCAACCAGACAATCGCATCCATGTGTCCACTCTAACACTTGTAGCAACCCCTATACAAATGAGCAAGCATTAAGCTTTGCTTCCTGTGTGCTCTCTTCACCTTCGTTGGGATTCAGCCTTGAGATTGCACCACTGGGCCACTGTGAATATTGTCCAGGTTGTGTACTGCACAAATCTAGAGGATGTTATTTACATTATAGTCTATTTTGTACGAAAGCATGCAAAAATCTTGAGCCCTCATCTAATCCCTACACCTCAGTTTTTCTCAACTGCTTTCCCACAAGTTTCCCAACTGAGTATTCAGGTTTACTTCTGTTCTGCTGGTAGAACACGGGAAAATGTGTGTGCCTGTGGCAGCGGGGAGGAGAGAGACAGAGAGAAAGAGAGAGACACACACATGAAGGGACTGGGGAGAGAATGAGAGAGAGACACACATGAAGGGAGTGGGGAGAGAAGGAGGGAGGGAGATTGAGAGGAGGAAGGAAAGAGAAATGAGGGAAGTAAGAGGTCACAATACAATAACCTGTATATAATCCTTCAAAATCGCTAACAACAGGAAAAGCAGCACTTTAATGATGGCTCTGATAAGGAAATTCATTAAATGATGGAGAAGAAGCCAACCGGCAGCTTAGCTATTGGCAGAACCATTGTGCTAATTATTAAGGGACAAAGGGGGGCAAAATGAAAAGTGGAGCTTCACTGTTATGCACTTGAAGGCAAGATGCAGGATTTAAAACTGAGATGGGCTTCCAGATCAAGGCTGGAGCTGCTGCTCAAAGTCTGGCCTCTTTTCAAGCTGAAGTATTTTGATGTTGAAGCAGGAAGATGATAAGAGATGGAAGGATGAAGTATTCAGCACAAAGAAGAGAATGCCCCTGATTTTTACAAGCCAGTATGTAAAAACACTTATGCTGTGTATTCGACATGATCACAAATATTTTAACAACCAGAAAAAAGTATGTCAAAATGTTAATGGTGGTTATCTTTAGGTGGTAGGATATTGCAGATGCCCCCTACTTCTTACTTCTTTCTCCTCCTCCTCCTCCTCCTCCTCCCTCCTCCTTCTCTTTCTCCTCCTCCTTATTCTTTTGCCTTTTCCTTATTTTCTCCAACGGGGGAAAAAAATTAAATTTAAGAGTCCTTTGGTTTTTTAAATTGCAGTTCTTAGTGCAGATAAACTGACATCTTTTTTTTTTTTCTAAAATGACTTAAAAGTCTTTGCATATTTTAGTTTCAGAAAAGTCTTCAGTATCAGAGGAACTGGGTTGTTCCAGAAGAAAATGCAGGCCGGGCGCGGTGGCTCATGCCTGTAATCCCAGCACTTTGGGAGGCTGAGGCAGGCAGATCACGAGCTCAAGAGATCAAGACCATCCTGGCCAACATGGGAAAACCCCGTCTCTACTAAAAATGCAACAATTAGCTGGCCATGGTGGCATGCACCTGTAGTCCCAGCTACTCGGGAGGCTGAGGCAGGAGAATCACTTGAACCCGGGAGGCAGAGGTTGCAGTCAGCCAAGATTGCACCACTGCACTCCAGTCTGGTGACAGAGCGAGACTCTGTCTCAAAAAAGAAAAAAAGAAAAAAAAAAGAAAATGCATATTCCAAGCCATGCAATATCCAATAGGATGAATCCACACTTGGCCTCCAAAATAGCTAAGGATAGATTTTATTTTTGCTTAGTCCTAATTTTAGTGTAGATGAAGCTCAATCCTTCAGCATTTGAAAGTTATATTAAAAGGCAGACCTCTGGGGGCTAGAAACCAAATTCTCAAGCTTGGAGAGCTAGAGTACTTTCTGAAGGCCATTTTGTTTTTATGACCATTTGGTTCAGAATTAATGAGAACTACTTTGCATAAGCATCATTTTACCTTCTAAAGCAGTGCCTTATGGAGATTCTTCCCACTCACCTTGTAGATATAGATTATCAAAGTTTTTTTTTTTTTAGGTCCCAACCCTTCACTGTTCTAGTATATGAACCTCAGAGATAATTATCTTTTAAGGCCTACAATTTTAGAGCATTTATCAGGTTATTAAAACCACCAATTATGGTGGTAAACACCCAAGGAATTTGGATACTGCTGAAAAGATTAAGAGAACTAACTCCAAAGATGCCACTGCGGGGAAGGAGCACGCAGAACAAGAAAAGTTTGTCTTAATTGAACGTTTATATTTTTACATTTTTTGAAATGTTTCCTTTTTCTTCTCAAGCAGAGATAATCCTTGTGAGCAAGGGAGGTCGTGAAGTCCACAATTTTTTTTTTTTTTTTTTTTTTTTTTTTTGAGACGGAGTCTTACTCTAATCACCCAGGCTGGAGTGCAGTGGCGCCATCTCGGCTCACTGCAACCTCTGCCTCCCGGGTTCAAGTGATTCTCCTGCCTCAGCCTCCTGAGTAGCTGGGACTGCAGACATGCGCCCCCACACCAGGCTAATTTTTGTATTTTTTAGTAGAGACGGGGTTTCACTATGTTGGCCAGGCTGGTCTTGAACTCCTGACCTCAAGTGATCTGCCTGCCTCGGCCTCCCAAAGTGCTGAGATTACAGGTGTGAGCCACCGCACCTGGCTCAAAGTCTTTTAGGCCACTAAAATGATTTGTGATTCCTGAAGTACACAACAATGGAATTCCATTGTCGCGGATGGAGAACACGTGTTAATACAGAGGGCAGAAGACCTTTGGCGGACTGGGTTTTACTGTGCCAGATAGGCTAATTCCATTCAAAAATATACTTGAATACCAGTCTCAGTGGTTCACTTTCAGGGCTGAAAGGAGACAAAGGAAACTGCATGTCCCTTGGTAGGTCCGTCTCTTACTAAGAAGCTGAGCTATAAGGAAGAAAAGGGTAAAAAATGGCTCAGCAGCATCACAGTGTGGTGAAAACCCCAATTTGAGTCCCACAGTTTGTGTAAACAGCATGTTGGCATGAAGTTGCAGCGAACATTTGACTTGGAATGGGCTCTGTTGCTCTCTTCCCCATTCCTCCTCCCTCTGCTTGTGTTCCTAAAGTCTGACCCAGGGACCACAGCATCTGTGTCCCTAGAGTGCAGATCTTTCCCCATACCCTCATCTCCTTCTGGTTGTTATCAGAATGTCATCTGTCCCTATTTAAAACCACACGCTTAGCACCTCCATTCCTTTTCCCTGATTTGTCTTTTTTTCCAGATAACGTATTACGATATTGACTACTACTTATTTCATTACCGGTCTCTCCCTACCCCACATGACACTGTCAGCAACTTCAGGGTAAAGATTAGTTTGTTCTGGTCAATGCTCCATCCCCATAACCCAGGACTGTGCCTGACACAAAATATGTGCTTAAAAAACAATTCTACTTATAAGTAGTGTTTGTTCTTTTTGCAATTTTTTCTTGTAGCTTAAAGGCCATGGAGGGGGAGAATTACTTACTTAGTCTTAACCCTATATAGCACATTGCCAAAATTTAAAGAGTAGTGTAGGGAACCAAGGGACCAAAAGCTAAGGAGTCCCCCACCCTAGGCAACCCCTTGTTCCAAACCTCAGTGACAACACAAGATGGACTCTGAAGGTATATGAAAGACTCATTTCACAGTCATTTCCACCTCACTGGGGGCAGACAGGGTCCTGAAGCAGGGCTCTTTTTTAAAATTTGTGTAAATTTGTGGGATACAAGTGTAATATTGTTACATGCATTGATTAGCGATGAAGTCAGGGCTTTAAGGGTATCCATCACCTGAATAATGTACATTGTACCCATTAAGTAATTTCTCATCATCCACTCCCCTCCCACCCCCTCACCTTTCTGGGTCTCCGTTGTCTATCATCCTGCATTCTATGTCCATGTGTACACATTATTTAACTCCCACTTATAGGTGAGAACACATGGTGTCTGTCTTTCTGCATCTGACTTGTTTCACTTAAGATGACAGCCTCCAGTTCCATCCATGTTGTTACAAAAGGTATGATTTCATTCTTTTTATGGCTGAATAGTATTCCGTTGGGTATATGCACCACCACATTCTCTTTATCTAATCATCTGTTGATGGACATGTAGGTTGCTTCCATATCTTTGCTACTGTGAATAGTGCTGCAGTGAACATACAAGCTAAAGCAGGGTTCTTTATTGGTCCCCTAACACAACTGAGAGATTGAAGTACATTGTGAATGTAGAGGGAGTCCAACTGCAGTCCCAGCCACCGGACAGGGGATGGAACTGTGGATATTATCACCGTAGGGGCTGCAGCCCAATCAGTGGCATCACACCCTGACATGGGAAGCTCCAGGCCCAGCCAGTGATGCCACCAGACATGGAGAAAGGCCTTCCCCACTAACTCCAGATGACCTGCACCATCATCGAGTTCAAAGTGCTATTCCACAGAAAATCCTTTCCCACTGGTATTCTTTATGAAGGATCTGCTTTAAGACGCAGCTGCAGAGTCACATCACCTCATTAGCCAGTGGGACTTTGCACAGGCCATTGACATTTTAAACTATTTAATAATAAATACTTATATGGTATCTACTAATATGCTAAGCAGTGTTTTAAGCATGTGGCTGAGATTAACTCACTGTATCCTCACAACAATGTTGTGAGGCAGGTATTATTTTATTATCCCCACTTGTTGAGGAGGAAAGTGAGGCACACAGAGGCTAAATATCTTGCCCAAAGTTACAACACTAGCAGATGGTGCCAAGTTTGAGCTCAAGTGGTCTGACTCCAGAGTCCTTACGTGTAACCGTGAGTTAAACTGTCATGAATGAAATCTTTGCAATCTAGCTTACAAAGAACACAAAAGAAGTGACAATGAGGATGATGGCTTCCAGTTCCCTCATCCTTCAGATCTACTTGGTCACATGGTCCGGGCTTTCTCAGGAAGAGGCAAAAGCAAGCTCCTCTCCTGTGACTACCCAAGACTGCTCTCCTGTGGTGATTGAAACCCATGTGGTCTTATGCACACCTGCTCTCAGGCTACTATAGAATCAATGCTTCCCTGACACCTGCTCATTAGGCCTTGTTCCCCTGGTACTTACCCTAAAAACCAGAGTTAGACCCAGCAGGAAGGGTTTTTCTATGGACATTAGTTTAAATTGATGCTTTTTCTGGTGTGGCTTTGAAACCTCAGACTGATTTTTTTTTTCATTGTCTTTTGAAGTCCTATGTGATCATTATTCTAGATAAAATATACTAGCAGCTGAGCCCGGCTCACGTCTGTAATCCCAGCACTTTGGGAGGCCGAGGCGGGCGGATCACCTGAGGTCAGGAGTCTGAGACCAGCCTGGCCAACATGGTGAAATCCCGTCTCTACTAAAAATACAAAAATTAGCCAGGCGTAGTGGTGTGCACCTGTAGTCCCACCTACTCAGGAGGCTGAGGCAGGAGAATCGCTTGAACCCTGGAGGTCAAGGTTGCAGTGAGCCAAGATCAAGCCACAGCACTCCAGCCTGGGTGACAGAGCAAGGCTCTATCTCAAAAACAAACAAACAAACAAACAAAAACAAAAACCTAGCAGAAGTGTTGAAGCAATCTTTCAAACCACACCTAGGTAAATGAATGTTCCAGACCAGTGTACACAAATCCTTTGGGGATCATGTTAAAATGAAGATTTCGATTCAGTAGATCTGAGGTTGGACCTAAGATTTTGCATTTTTGGCAAGATCTCAAGTGATACCGATGCTCCTGGTCCGAGAACCACCCGTGGAGGAGTAGCAAGGTTCTAGAACATTTCTATCACTCCTAGCAAAGGAAAGTTCTGCAGAGGGAATGAGTATTTTCAATCCCAGATTTTCTCCTCTCCTGAATTAAAAATATTTCAAAACATGATTTTATTACACATAGCTGTATACCTGTATAGGATAGTTGCAAAGACTAAACAGTGATTGAATACAATAAATGTGTTTTCACTTAAAATATTAATATATCCATTGTACATCTGCTGTCAGCTTTGGGTGTGGTGAGTGGGGTACGTGTGGGACACTAAGCACTGGACAGGTTTCAGTATTAAAATACTTCTTAGGCTGGGCATGGTGGCTCATGCCTGTAATCCCAGGACTTTGGGAGGCCGAGACGTGTGGATCACCTGAGATCGGGAGTTCGAGACCAGCCTGGCCAACGTGGTAAAACCCTGTTTCTACTAAGAATACAAAAATTAGCCAGGCGTGATGGTGGGCACCTGGAATCCCAGCTACTCGGGAAGTTAAGACAGGAGAATCACTTAAACTCGGGAGGCGGAGCTTGCAGTGAGCTGAGATCGTGCTACTGCACTCCAGCCTGGGCGACAGAGTGAGACTCCATCTCAAAAAAAAAAAAAAGAAGAAGGGCAAGATATAGAATCTGCTTAACAAAGAAAAAGGACTAATTGTGCATGGGAGGTGAAGGGAGGCTAACAGTTACTGAATAACGATTCTGGGCGAGGCACTCTCATATTTGCTAACTCTTCCATTTTCTAAAGTGGTATGGGACAGAGGTGTTGGAATACCTGTTTTTACAAGACACAGGTTGAGGAGGCCAAGTGGCACAATTTATATGGGGAAGGACTTCAATCCAGACCTGCTTAATGATTCAAGTACTGTGCTCTTTCCACCCTCATCCCCCTGTCCCCAGCCTCTTATGAAGGGTGCATGGAGCTGCCTGAGAAGAAGCAGAGAGAAAGGAGACCGCTAGACATAATGGTCTTCCCGGGGAAAGAGGGCCATGGCTGGATTTGTCTGTAGAGGGAAAGAGAAAGAATATAGGATACATGAAAGGAACTCTCATGTGGACAGGAAGTGTGTTTTGTTTGCTCTGACTCAGCACATAGCTCAGTGTGTAGTAGAGGGTTGACTCAGCTCTGGGCTTGGGTTACCCCAACTCTGCCCATCCCAAGGGAGCTCTGGCCTTTGGCTCCTGGAGATAGATCACTTCTAAATTACCTCCATAGATCATTTAGAATACCTTGCCTGATGAGAATGCCTTTGTTCACCTGCTGTACCTTGGGTCATGCTAGATAGTTGATGCTAACAATGTGACTTATGGTGGAGACCTTGGCCATGGGTCATCAGTTTGACCTCTGACAGGGCTGGAGACTGAGTAACTAAGGTTAGCCACATAGGTACTTCATGCCTAGGTGACTAACACCACCCCCCCACCGCCCCCCGCAAACACACACACACACAAATCCCTGGACATCAAGGCTAGGTGAGCTTCCCGATTGCCAATGCTTCTTCCATGTTTTCTCACAGTATTGCTGGGAGAATTAAGTGCTGTCCGTTGAAATCCACTGGAGGGGACAACTGGACACTTGCTTCTGGTCTCCCCTGAACCCTGCCCTATGTGTCCTTTACCTTTGCTGATTGTAATCTGTATCTTTCCTGTGTAATAAACCATAACCCTGAGTATAGTAGCTCTTCTGAGTTCTGTCAGTCCTTCAGACAAATCATTGAATCCGAGCGTGGTCTTGGGGACCTCTAAAGAAGAATTTAATACCAGCCACCAAGAATCCACTTGTGGAGGTGGATGGGGGAAGGCTTTAGTTTGGTTCAGACCAGTAAGCACCTGTTGAGCACTTACTGCTCACCAGGTGCTGCTAGTTGTTGGGATACCAAGATGAGTAAGTCAGAATCCCTGTGCTTCAAGACAGCTTAGTGCCTGCGAGGATCCCAAGGAAAGCAATACTTTCATCCAGAGGTGCTAAGCACCATGAGAGACACAGCATGCTGCCACAGGGTTAGGGAAAGAGCTCTTCGCCCAGGTGGGTGTTCAGGGAGGAAGGCTTCCTGGAGGAGACTGCCCTCTATGAACCACCCTGGGTATTTTGAGGGCTTGGTTACGGCTCTTGGAACTGCCTGTCTGCAATTATTTAACAGCTCTCACTAGGAACATTTGCGCCCAGAAGCTCTGAAGCTAAGGTGAGGAGGAGTAGGTGTGTTTCCCACAAACCCAGGTCTCTGCTAAACTCTGTGGGCTGCATAATTCATTTGAGACACGGAAATCAAAGTGGTGCTGCATTGGAAAAAGGAGAACAGAATGTCTCCTGTGGCTTACCTGAGGCTGTCCACAGAGCATCGGGGCCTTCTGCCTCAAAGAGCTGCTGGCAACTGCATCCACCCCTCAGGTCACGATGCTGCAGCATAGAAGTCCCAGGGTCTGGTGAGAACGTCTTCCCCATCCTACTCACCCCTGCCCGGGCTGGGGCAGACACTCTTTAATTCCACCTGTTTTCCCTGGAAGGTGCAAGGGTGGAAAGTCTTGCTCACTTCTTAAGATCAGTGGTATTTCCATTCTTTCTCTCTTCTAAGGGACATTACTATCAAGGTGGGGTGGGGCTCTCCCATTTCTTCAAGTTCTTTTCCACTTGTAAAACCCTTCCCTCATCTATTCTATAAGTCACCTGCCCTCACCTGCACTTACTTTTTAAATGCTTTACTGTCTCTGTTACCTCCAGGATGCCCCTTTTAAAGAAGTTCCACAGCTGATATTACTCTATATCAGAGTAAATCCACGCAGGTCTTCTTGTGCAAGGCCCAGCACTGTGCCCATCTTTCCACAGAGGCTACTAGCCACGACACTAATCACTGTCATGGTTTATGTCACACCCACTTGGCCACCCTAGAGATCTACCACACGGAGATGCAGCAATATACCTCTCATTCAGGTATCCTTCCTCTCCCTCAGCCATCCCACCTCTAATGGACATTTCTTCTTTCGGGCTGCCCAGATCTAGGTTTGGGGAATTGTCTATTCCATGCATCTTGGTGGGAGGCAGGGCTCATCCCTCAAGAGAGAAGATTAAAAGACCCTAAACCTGTTTTCTCAGTCTCCTTAGATGGCGCACCCATGTGGGATTCTGACACCAGAGCTACTGCCTGAGAGAGGAAGGGCCCTGGGGATTCATCCTGGTGGAGGTGGCGGCAGAAGCAGCGCCATACGGCCTCAGGGCAGTAGCAGCAGCCGGGTGAGCTGTGGTGCCCAGAGTCCAGCAGCGGTGACTGCAGGGTCCAGATCAGCATGAGATGCGATTCTGGCTGCTCAGCCACGCGTTTCTTCTTGATTTCCTTCCTACAGGCTTCCAGCTACCCATGTCTCATCAGTAAATTACTTTCCCACTTATATCAGACACAGCCAGTTTCTTTCACTGTAAATGCTGGCTGAGATACACCACCCTTTACAGAGCACTTGCTTCTCCAGTCCACTTCCCTCCTCCCCTAGCCTCCCACCCAGGTGTGAGCCCAAACCTTTGAAGAGGTAGATGTGTGGAAAGGAACTGTGACTCAAAGTTAGGGACAAAGCTGATGAAGACTAGGAGAGAAATTTCTCTCTTCACTGGGAACTGGGAAACAGGTTGAGGGGTTAGAATGTAATTAGTCATTCCAGCATCTCATAAAGTCTTTTAAAAAGAGTTATTAATGCCAGTAATAGGAAAAAAAGAACAACAGTTTCCCTCTTTTTCTCTTCTGAATCCCTCTCCATTTTTTCTCCTTCCACCCAACATGCGAAGCATGTACCTTTGGCCTTCACATGATTGAAATGTTTGCTATCTATTTTCTTCTGCATTCAAGTTTTCAGCTGGTTATCTACATAATAATTGACTTTTTTTCTATACAGAACCTGAGGGAAAAATACCCTTCACCATCAAACACTGCAGCCTCCACCCACCCCCATCTTGCTCCCTACCCCTAAGCAGACACAATCCTTTAAAACACACAACATAATCTTCTTTATTTAATTGTTTAATCAGTTTACATTCCACAACTGACAGATTATTTATTTTTTCCATGAACAAGTCATTTAATTAATTACCAGACACTTGTTTTTCTTCAATCAATGGAAATACAATATTTCTGCCAATTCGAAAAAGAAAATTGCAAGATGCAGTCAGTTTCAGTGAAGTCCCCAAATGCTCTCTGCTTCCTCAGTCCTTTCAAAGTCACAGGAACCTGGCAATTTCCCTTTTCATCCCCCCTCCCACTTCCCTGTTAAATTTACCTCTCAGAACATCACAATAGTTTCAAGATCTGGTTTGAATCGCCTTTCCTGTAATTAATTAATTATGAGAAGGAACAGACAGTACAATAGATCTGATAAGATGTAGCATTCTTGTTAAGATTAAACAACACATTTATTCACATCATATCAGAACAAATTAACATAATATTTTATCTTATTTTAGCACCAATAACCACAGGAATTGCTGCCTCCAAGGGCAGAGGCATTGTTAGAATCCTGCAGTACACACCACTCCTTGTCTGACCAATCAGAAAGCACTATGCAAATTAAAATAAAGGTAAATAAATTTATATTGACTGAGCAATAATCTGGTGGGCCATAAACACTCCAGGCGTTTGAGAGTTTTGTCAGTTATGGTCCCTGTCTAATGACCATATATAAAACATACTCACCAAATCAGCTCATTTTTGCTCAGTAACACAGGGCTCAGAATGTTATATTTTAAATCAATCAAACCTTGTTATACTGACCGTTGAAATGCTTTGAGAATACCCAGGGGTTGGCTCCTTGCATTTTATTCTGTTCTCTCCATTAAGATCTCGATACCTATCTTTTTCACAAACAAAAGAGGTTTCTTCAATCCTAAGGAAGGTCTCCAGGCAGGGAAGAGAGGTAGGCAATGGTGGGTTGAGTCCCAGTCCAAGTAGAACTTGTCACCAACACCACCACCTCCTAGGAGACCCAGTCTGCCTGTGGCCACTGCCCTTCCCAGGGTATCTCCTTTATAGCATTTGACTTTAAGATAAATATTTAAGAAAATTAAGGGATTCAGAAAACAGCTCCAAATATTGGTGAGATGATATTAGCAGGTGACTGGCCCAGGTGACGAAATGTTGTAGAGATCTTTGTTCTTGACAGAGAGAAGGCCTGCCTGCCCCTTCCCCACTATATGATAAGGGGATCAGGTTAAGGGGTGGGAGGCAGTAGCTGACATTCCTGCAGCTGAAGAATATGACCTGCTTTGGCCTCTAGGACTTGGACAGGTCATAAGGGACATGACTGGGGCAGCGCCGACACCCTCTGGGGGCAGATGGGACATGCAGTCCACAGGAGTGGTCATCTCCTCTTACTAAGCAGGTGAAGCAGAACTTCCAGAGGCTGAGACAGCAGCCTCGACATAGCTCTGTGCTTTCTACTCTAGGCCAACATAATAAGACTCACTCCTGCCTTCATCAGCTATGACAAGAGCTATGGCAGTGAGTGACCCACCAGGAAGGACCCCCCCCATCAGTCTCCTAATGAAGAACCTAAGTCCGTGCTGTCCTATACAGCAACCAGTAGTCAGGTGTGGCTATTGAACACTGGAAATAGGGCTGGGCCAGACTGAGATGTTTTCTAAGAGGAAAATCACATTGGATTTTGAAGACTTCATTTGGAAAAAAGAATGTAAAATATCCCAGTAATTTTTATATTGATTCCATGCTGAAGTGATACTATTTTTGACATGTTAGGTTAAAATGTAGTCTAAAAATTAATTTCACTGATTTTAGCTGTTTCTTTGGACTTTAAAAAATGTGGCTACTAGAATATTTTAAATTGCATATGTGGCTTGGATCATGGTTCCATTGGATGACGCTGGTCTATACTACCTTCCTGAAGCTGGTTCCATCACTGTGACCCAGCAGAGGAGAGGAAAGTTGGGATTGAAGGTGCCTCTAATCATGGGTTGGGTCACTGGCCAAGCTCGACGTGCCTCCCCTCTCTGGGGCAGCTGGTCTTCTCAGTCCTGCAGGGAGACAGCTGTTTATGCTGCAGATTTACCTAATCCCTGCTCCTCTTTCCTACTTCCTATTACTTCAGGGTTACTGCTTTGAGGATCCTTCTCTGCTGCCTTGCTGAGGATTTTCTGGTGCTTCTGCCATCTGTCCTTCCCAAAGCTCCGTTCATCTTACCTCTGCTCCCAACCCACATCTTCTGCCTACTGCCTCCACGCCACCACTGCCTCCACCATCTTCAGTCTTATTTGGTAGCAACCCTTGGCCAGACTCCCTGCTTCTGACACTGCAAGCCACATTTATATGGTGAGTCATAAATTACAAAGCAATTCACACATCATCTCCTTGGATGCTCTTTCTCCTACCCCAGCCCAGTGCAGCAAAGCTCAGTCAGTAGAGACTGATAGTAAAATGAGATCGTCAAAGTGGGTGGGAAAAGGAATCTGAGAATGAAACGGTAGATAGAAGGCTCTGGACTCTGAGTGCAAACTGGCTGCTAGCTCAAGGTCACTTTCTGAGGGGCGAAAGCAGAGGCCAGGAGTAGCAGAGAGAAAACATCTCCTAATTTACCTCCATGCAGTAAGCACGCACTAGCAAGGGCTCAAAGTCTCTCTAGAAATAGCAGCAAAATACACAAGGGGACTGCGCACCCCCAGAGCCCTGGAAGCCCCTGATCCCCATTTGGCTGAGAAGACGTGGAGACAAGGTGAGGTAATGAGACTCCCCCAAGGCCCTGAGTGAGCCGGTGACAGGGCCACTCATGCCACCCCAGAGTCAGGTCTTTGTCATGACCCTTGCCATGACCCTTCAAACATTGCTGATTTACTTTTATTTTGGGGGAAGTGCATTCTACTTTACAGGGAAAAACCTTTAGAACAGAGAGTTCTAAGCAGACACTGATGACTGTGAGAGAAACAACCAGAAAAAAACCTCCTGTGTCAATGGTATCCCTCCCTTCATATCCCACCCTAACTCAGGATTTTAGGGCCGTCCACAGAAGTCCTCAGAAAACTAAGGGCTACATCATTGCATTTGTTTAATCTCAATCTCCCTCCCCTTTATTTTCAGTTTTCACTTTTATTTGTACATTTTTACAGATAGTCTTGAATAGCAAAACAGTCACACCATGGGTGGAAATGGGGAAGGAGTATGAGAATGAGTTCATGAAAGCTCTTCACAGGAAAGGCTTCGTCACGCTCACAACACAGACGCACTGGTACAGACGGAGAGGGTCTATGGGTGACCCGGAAAGGAAAGGAAAAGCTCAGCCAGTGGGAGGAATGGGGTTCTGGAGAGGAGAGAGGGATACAGAGTTCCTTAAGGAGCAACACCTGGTCCTTGGGAATGAAGTGTAGGAGTTGCATTTGCTGAGGTTGGTGTTTGCCAAAGAGATGCCAGCTTCTTCGAACTACTGCTGTGCAACTCTTCATGTTCAGACCCAGTTTTCTGTTTTTCACACCTGAACATACACCCCCCTGCAGTTGGGTGGCTCCCCCGTTACCAGCTGGGCTCTATCTACAGAGAGAGCAATGGCTTCCCTTCCCTTGAAGGAAGTCTCACCCTCACAAGGACACTTGATCCGCTGCAAAGCAGAAAGTGTGCGGACCCTTTGGGAAGGGCGTTCTTTTCTTGTTTAGAACCTAGGATTCTGTTTTTCCCAAACAGGATCACACCCAGACACGTCTTAGTGAATGTACCATCTAAAGGGCTTCCTTATATGAATTCATATGTTTTTGACGAAGCTACTGGCTTCAGCAACTGACAAGAGAAAGAAGATCCCAGCTCCTTGAGACTTGGTCTCATCCTAAACTTGAAAGATCATTGAAACCTTTCAGAATCTGATTTGCTTCCACCCATTCCTTTTGGGAATGTACAGCTAGAAATAACGTTAGGAGAATTAAAAAAAAAAATACTAAGGCATTGACCATGTGCCTTGGTTAACAGTTAACTGGTTTAGCTCATATATGCTATTTGCCCCATATGGTTTACTCATTCTGTCACCTCTGGGAATAACTGAGATGGATAAAAGTGCCCTTTGCAAAACTGGCTCTAGACAAAAGGAAGTCTAGGAATAGGTAAAGAAAAATAAGGAGCCAATTTCTCTGGGGGACCTGAATGAAGAATAGAATCCTTTAAGTGTGCTTAAGTGCGACAGGTCCAGCCCTGTTCAGCAACAAAGATGACCTTGCACTCTGGGTTATCCTTCAGCAGCGAGGCACAGACACTTGATGTGAGAATTCCATTCCAGCGGGGGGTCTTCTGAGGGATAATTAGAACATACATAACTCATATGACACTTCATGTTTGCAAATCACTTTGCAATTTCTTTGTCACCCTTAATATACCATGAGGTAAGGTGTTATCACTTATCCTCATTTTGTAGATGAGGAAGTTCAAGTATGGAGAAGACACAGTGCCCAGAGTCACAAATCATTTCAGTGCAGAGCTGTAGTGAAATTTACAGTAACTGTTACACAAGTGTAGCTTAATGAGTGAGTTACTCTGGCTTCCGCATTCTTACATCTATGATTAGATTGAGATGGCAACTGACCAAAAAAAAAAAGGAAAGAAAAGGAAGGAAGGAAAGCAGGCAGACAGGCCCAAAGAGACATCTTTTAGCCCTGCTCCATCCTGCCCCTAAGGTCTGGCATTAAACTTTTAGGCCTCTTTGCTATCTCTGGGGGCTCAGGGCCCTGCACTCTTGCTGCCAGGAACACAGGGTCAACTCAACGCAGACCAGTGCGGTTCTGTGGTGTACACTGCTCACATGGCCCCAGCTGCCAACCCAGAGACAAGCACTCATTGGGGAAGTTTTGAGGTCATGACCATTTGGATTGGGCCCGCGGTAGATGCCTCAGAGTGACTGGATTATGAAAAATCTTGTAGTCTTTTTTGTATTTTATTTTTCTTATTTTCTACAATGAGCAGTTATTATTCAGGAAAGAAATCCAATACTCAGTAATCACATATTCTAAGAACCAGGAATAATGTTTAAGAAACATTTTGCATCATGGCAGCATCAATGAAAAGAGGGCAAACACAGCCCCAGACATTGAGAGCTTTGAGAGACAGACACGAGAATCACGTGTGTATGTCAACTCTGGTGGGGTTCTTAAAAATCTGCCCCCTTAGTCTATCCCACACCAGCTGGAAGATGGCATGGAAGGCAACCCTGCTGGTGTGCACCAGCTCTTCCTATCTGCACTGAAATCACCTCTCACTCAGAAACATCGTATTTCCCTGGAAAGGGCTGGCTGTGTCCCCTGGGATGGATGTGTCCCCTGGGATGGGTAAGTCCCCTGAAGACAGGGAACATTTTCAGAAAAGCAACTTCACTTTAACTACAAGAATCAACCAAGTATCCCCCACAAACCACACCAAAGGATGACCAGAGTGTATCTCTTCCCACTCCTTCCCCCAGATATTTGAAAAATCACTTAACACTCAGCACATAATCCAGGTGAAGAGAGAGTCCATTCTAAATGCCTCTGGGTGATGTACCTGAGTTCATTATTCTGAATTTGACCCAGGTGGGCATCTTTGGAGACCTAAGCAGCACATCCTCCCACTAAATCAAGACAGCTACACACAGTGCATTCATTTCCGGCATCTTATCATGAGTGTGGATGAATATTGAGATATAGGGCCCAGTCTCAGAGTCCTAGGATATCCTACCCTCTTGTCACAGGAGAGGCAAGCATTGCTAGGTGGGACCACTCATCCCTGATGGGAAGATATGCACCTGGGCTCAGGGCGCTTAAGAAAGTCTTTGTCTAGATTTGGAGGAGTTGTCCAGTCTCTGTGACTCCATGATCCCTGAAGTTGAAAGGGTAGGGTTGTTGAAAAGCTAAGGCTTGGAGGAGGATTGAAGCTGGAACAGGCACAGATTTTATTTTTCATATTTTGATGCCAGGGAGCCACAGACCTCCTTATAAAACCTACAGCCACAATGAACAAGGAAGGGGGCTGCTTGGAGTCTAGGAGCCTCTCTACAGATGAATCACTTGTCTATGTTAATTGACCAAAGTTGATGCAGGAGAAAGTAGGAGTGAGTAGAGAGAGAGGAAACGGAAACAGAAGAAGAAACCGTAACTCCCAAAATAAGGAGAAAAAGATATGGGACCTCTCTCTAGGTAGAATACCTCACTTTCCTGAATCTCAAGGTAGTAGAGTAGGGAAGGAAATAAAAGTTGCAATGGGCCCCAGGCTCAAGGTTGACTTGCATGGAGCTCAAAGCACATACATGTTCATATGCCAGTAAGAAGTTTGAACTTGACCTGGGGTTGCGGCTGGTGACTTTAGTGAGGTCATTGACCCTAAATGCCCTCATAAGGTTGGGTTCCACTTTGATTTGGAGTTAGCAGAGTCTGACCTACAGAGCCTCACAAGTCAAGGCTCCTCTCTTCCTCCTCCTCATCTCCCTCAGCTACCTCACAGCCAGAAAGCTTCCGTAACTGGTTGGAGTCACATGTTTTAATCTGTGGTCAAGCCCTTATGCTAGAGGGATCAAGGTCACCTGAGAAGTCCTCCCATTGGCCAGGACTTGCCGTCTGAAAGGGGCCTCTATCCTGGTCATGTGGCTGGGCGTCTTTTGCTTCCCAGCAGGATCAGATCCCAAAGTGTGTTCGTATTTATCTGGTCCTGCTATCAAAGAAGTCACTCAAAGCCCCTGCTCTGGGCTGGTGAGTTGAGCCCAGGTTGTTTACGTCTTTCCTGGGAGCTTTCTAACATTTCAGGAACTCTCAAGGTTTCAAAGGGATGCAGTAAGCTTTGCTAAATGTCTGTCACAAAGACAATAATTGGATAGAGCAGATAATCTATTCATTGAAAGTATGGGATTTTTTTTTAAAAAGAGGATATAAATAATGATAGGTCTGTGAGCCAGCATCCTCAAACATGATTACTTACAAAAAGTTTAAATGGTTCATAGCAAATTTCCCCATTTAGAATTTTTCCCCTCTCTCCTGCAACTGGAAAAAAGCTGGAATTTCAGTGTGGTCATAGACAAGCCCTCTCCCCCAAATGGATGCTTGTGAACCTGTCTGTCCCTTCCTCGGCAGAGCCCCTTCAGGACGCTTGGAAGGAAGACAAAAGGCCTCTCAATCTGAGATACTTTTCTTCACTTTTCCTTAAGCCCAAGTATGCCCTTCCCCTTAAGGGAGAAATCTAACTTTTCAAAGAAAATTAGAAATAAAATGCCCAATTGAAAAACTGGGTTTTCCTGAAAATTATTTCCCTTCTCATAGAATAAATCCTTTGTTTTAAAAATAATCCTTAGAACCCCAACTGGAAGCTAACAACTTTTCCCGTTGCACACCTTACCCTATCGCCCAGCACACCCACACACAGGGAACTCACACATGAGACCTTTTGCAGAAGCTGACCAGAGTCCCCGGTAAGGAAGTCTTGAGTAGGGCACCCACACCTGTGTGCAGGTGTGTACTGACACAAACGTACACAAAATGCACCAGAGAGATACACATACAGAGAGATCCACATTCAACCCCATTCATGCACATCAGATGTCATATCATATCCAGATATGAATTACATACACGCAGTTCAAAGGAGCAGATGAGGGTGGAAGATAGAAGAGAGAGAAGGTAAGTGGTTAGTAGGTGAGAAAAGGAGGAGAGTGGTAGGAAGATGGGTTGGAAGACGTGTAAATGAAACAGATTACACAGCAGTGGAAGAAAGGCTGCTGAGTGCCTGGCAAAGCTCCCAAAGCATATTTGTTTATGAAACAAGGGGATTCTCTGCTACACAGTTGACCATGGCTACACCAGCTCAGGGATTCTCACCTGGCCTCCCCAGGGCTGCTGGGCACCAGCAGGCTCACTGAGATGACTGTGAGCGGCTCCAGCCCACTCCAGCAGACTCCCACCCCTACAGCGTTCACAACTCTCTGGCTGACTTTGCTTGCCAGCACCTGCAGTGCTAATTTGCTCAAATGAGCCCGAGACACTGGGGTGGATTTATTCCACCTCTGTTTGGGTGCTAGCCACTAAGACTGTTATTTTGGGATTCATGGCCTTGAATATCAAGAGGGAAAGGAAGAGGATGGAAAGAGTCAAGAGTTCTGCATTAATTTACACAATATCATACAAACTTGAGCCCATGGGAAATGGAGGTGCTCTCTCTGCATGTGACCCACTTCCTTTCGTTTGTACAGAGGTCACCCCTAGGGAAAGGGGAGATGTCCAGTGACAAAGGACAGCTTCTATAATGGGGAGTGAAGGTCTTGTTGGTTTATGTTCTTGTACAACAGCAACCAGAGCAACATTTCTTCTCTCTCCTGAACTGTGTGTTCCCCCTCTTCTCTCATGGCTTATGTGCCCAGCTGTGTCTTGAACTTCCAAAATTAGAGGACTAAATCGTGCAGAGTCCCAGAGCTGTAATGTGGAGAACCACGGGGGTCCTCTGGCCCAGTGGCTTTGTTCTTGGTTCTGCCCTCTGGAAATTTCAGCTATACCAGAAACAATTTAAAAAAACACAACACAAACAATAAAACCCCACGCTCAAGAAACATCCACCACACACACACACACACACACACACACACACACACACGCACACACACACCACTCCAGGGATCTGTAGCTGCAGAATTGGCACCCTTATAGGCCTGTCCCTCATGACAATTTCTAGGTCTCTGGGCCTCTATCTGGGGCCATGAAACCACTACAGTGATAAGAGAGACAACAGTCATAATGCAGTATTTCCATTTAAAAGGTAGAAAAGAAAAAAAGGAAACCGCCCAAAGTACACATGCACGCACACCCACACACACACATCACAGCATGACTCCAAGGCTCCAGTCTGCCCAGGGAGTGCAGGTGCGGCTGGGGACAGGGTGGCCTCTTGTTTCACTGGGTGTAAGGCAGCTGGAAGGTAAGACTGGGTTGTCTGAGCATCCACCGAAGCGTCCTTTCATTGATGCAGATCTTGCCTCTCAGCATGTTCTCTTCCCTTCCCACCTATGAAACATGGTCCAAAAGTTTGGCAGCAAAGAGAAAACGTCCTTCTCAGTTTGTTTTCTCTTCCACTCCTTGTGTGTTGCTGGTGGGCTGGGAAGGAAGTCCGAACAGGAAGAGCAGGAGAAGAAGTGATTCTGAAAATGGCCTCAATAATTTGGTTACATTCTAGGAACTGAGGGCTTTGTTACCCTGTGATATGACTGGTTAGGGGTGGCGTCCTCTCCCGTTGACCCAGTGGGTGGCACTTCCTTCTCTACATCTGTGCTGCCTCAGACCCCTTCCACTGTCCCTTCACCACCCCATCCTCGCCAGTGATGGGGATCAAGACGCGGTCGCAAGTGGTGGTGTTTGCTCTGTCTTCAAGAGACCATGAAGCCAAAAGTCAAGAACTGATGGAAGAGCCACAGGATGGAAAAACTTTCCCCATCTCAGAGATGAGGCAACACAAAGTCCGGCGAGATGCAGGTGCCTGAGCCAACTCAACTCTACCTTGGCACTGGCATCGTCTTGATTTAGTTTTGTTTTGTTTTATATATGTATATTATATATATATATTTATATATATATATGTATGTATGGGTTTGTTTTTTAGCACACTGTCCCATTCTCGGGTCTGGATTTAGGGTAGTTGGTCCTCGGGACAGGTTGAACAGAAGGGGCTAAGGTACAGAAGAATCCCGAGATGAGTGTGAGGCCCAGGCCCCCCCATGCACAGAACATGGACCAGCCATAGCCATGGCTGATGTCATCAGGGAGTCCGTACAGGTAGCGTGGGTAGCGTGACAGCTCAAAGTTGATCCCGGCCACACAGGTGCACAGTGAAATGATGCAGAAGGTTCCTGGAGGACAAGGGAAAAGACACAGGATGGGGAAATGGAGAAGGAAAGGGGAGAGGAGCGGGAGAGAGAAAGAGAAAAGTTAATATTATTACATTTTCAATTTTCTTGAGTAGGAAAAATGGGAAGTCTAGGTAAGAGCAGGTTATCACCAAGGTCAGTATCTGGAAATATTCATGGAGCAGAGAATAGTATTAAAGGATCATCACTTCATCACTCTCCAATAATGGCCCAGTCTTGGACACACTCGGGAAGTCTCTCCTTTGGGAAGATGCTAAATAGATATCTCATGAGCATTTTGTGTGGGGTAGAGTGAGCAGAAGAGCATTCAGTTCATTTTCCTAAAGCATTTTAAATTCATTGTATTTCTTTGGAGACATGGAAAACACCTACTGTTTGCTACTTCTTTAAAGAGAAAAACAATCTTTTCTCTTTCTTATACATAACAACTTACTCATACAGTATTAGGTTTTCCTTTAATCTGTTCACCAACAATTCTTCCAAAACCTGGAAATATTTTCCTTTTTCCTATAAGACATTTCCCAAAGTGTTCTCTCTGGAGTGCTAACGCTATGAGATCCTTTACAAAGTGGGAGGCAGAGTCAAAAGACGGGGAATCCTACTCATGACTTCTCACCCATGAACACGCATCATCCACGTTAATATTAAGGTAACTCATCTACCCTACTTTATGCAGAATTTCACAAACTTATTGATGATGGGACGTCCTCTTAAAAACATTACTTATATCAGTCTCTAATAAGAAAACTGCTATAAGAGGTAGAATGATATAAAATGGTTTAGAATTATAAACCCATTTTAAACTAATACAACAAGTTTTTGGTGTGCCTAAAATGAATTCAATAACTTTTCTCTGCATTTGCCGTGTTTTCTGTTCTTTATGTAACCACTGATATGAGAGCAATGAGCAGAAGAAGGATGTATAGTTTGGGAAGGCTGGGCTGGGTCAATGGAAGGAAGAAAAAGGAAAAGCACTTTTATAGGGAAGGAACAAAAGGAGGTGCATTCAATTTTATATTTATTATTAAAACTCTTGCTTTCTAACAGCCAAGTTTCTTTAAGATTGAGACTTGTTTCTTTAAGATCTAGCCTAATTTTTTCCAGAAGCTTCCTGGAAGACAAGGAAGAAAATATAGAGTGGAAGAATGAGGCTCACCAGCTCGTGATAATTTAAATGGCCACAGTTGACCCTAAAATAAGTATTAAGTGCTATGTGCTAGGAACTGTGCTAATGATATACTGGTTAAAAATGAATTATTTAGGCAGAGAGTGAGGGTAAAGAAGTCCTCGGTAAGGTTTTCCTTTTAATAAAAAGCAACCCCCAAATCATTTCTTTGAGCAAATGAGCAGCCTGTAAAATTGAGCTGCAGACATAGATAAGCAAGCTGGAAGCTTGCATGGGTGCATACTGGCAGCTGTGCCAATAGGAAGAGGCTGCCTGGGGGCTAGGCATGTTCAACATGGTGGCTGCATCTTCCCTTTTCTTTGTCAACCACATGAACAGTAAGGAGGAAACAAGATGGTGCCCGCCAGGTAGAAAATCCGTTTGCATAATGAAAAGATTAGGATGGGGTGGCCAGCTTCTTCGTGCCCTATGTAAATGTCACACCCGGTTCAACCAATCTTTGAGCCCTATGTATCAGACGCCGCCACCTCAAGCCGGTCTATAAAACCCTATGCACTTCGCCACAGACTGGAAGTCCCACTTGGGCACCCTTCTCTCTCTGCAAGAGAGAGAGCTATTCTCCTTTCTCTTTCTTTTGTCTATTAAACCTCCGGTCCTAAACCCACTTCTTGTGTGTCTGTGTCCTCGAGTTCCCTGGCGTGAGATGACAAATGTCGGATAATTACCCCAGACAGTGACACTGCCTCACTAAATTTGTGGCATGTACTAAAACCTTAATTCATAAAACAACTCTAAGATGTGGGTTATATTATCCCCATTTTACTGATAAGGACATTGACGCCCAGAGAGCTTAAGTCATTTGCCTAAGATCACACAGCTAGTAACTGACAGAGTCAGGTTACAAACTCAGGCAGGCTAGTTCCAGAGCCTGCAGTCTCATCCACTGTACTGTTTACAACTGGTGCCAGGCAAAGTGGGTCACTTCATGGGTTTCCCTTGTTTCACACCTAGGTTCCAGATGCCTTCTCTCTCACTCGGCATGGGTTAGGGCAGTTTGTAGTTTTGGAGGACTCAAAGCAGATCACTGAGCCCCACACCCACAGTTTCTGGTTCAGGAGATCTGGGGTGGGGGCCTGAGAATTTGCATCCTGAAGAAGTTCTTGGGGCATGCTGATGCTGCTGGCTCAATGACCACACTTTGGAGCTATAGGATTTGAAACAAGTTTTTACTGGAGAAAGATAAAACTTAATCGGCCAAAGCCCAGATCCAGAGGAAGAAATACAAATGGATTGTACATGTGAAAAATGGTCAATTTTACCAATAACCAAAGAATTGAAAATTAAAAGCATAATGATAATCTATCAAATCAGCAACACTTTGTTTTATTTTATTGTTGTTTTGCTTTTTTTTTTTTTTTTTGAAAGATCATCTCCAAAACTAGTAAGGGGGCAGTAAAATAGACAATCCCATAGACTCCAGGGCGAGTGTAAGCTGGTGTTTCCTTGCAGAAAGGTGATTTTTAAAATACTCATACCTTCGTCCTAGTAATTTCACTTTAAGAAAATAATCCCACCTGGGGACAAATATTTAGGTATGGACATGTGTAAGATTTAGATATGAAGATGTCTGTGGTGAGGGCGCATTGAGGAGCGGCTGTCGGAGGGCAGACCAAATGAAGCCCCAGATACTGGGCAAGCACTGTTTTCAGAGCTGAGAAGTTTGACCTTCATGTAGGGTCAAGGCACTTCGGTGACTTCAATCTGCATTTCCAAAGACCACTAAGTCAGAAGTGTAGAGGGCAGCCCAGAGGTAGGGAGACCAGTTAGGAGGTTGCCGTGGTCATCAGGGGGAAGGGGCAAGTCTGGCAAGGTGGGAGCAGAGCTGGGAGCTCCGAATGGCTTAGTAGATGATTGTTTACTCAATGATTATTTGTAGAAACAACGGAAGGTGACCTGGGCACAGTGACAGTATGACTAAAATGCATTTGTGTCACACATGTATGCATTTGTATTTGTGCATGTGTGTGGATGCATTTGTGCATGTGTGTGATGTGTGTGTGTAGTGCCATCAATGCTTGTGAGAACAGTACTCCAAACTTGTGGGAGTTACAGAACATCATAGTTTTTTTCATGTTGTGCACTAGGGCTCAGACTGAATTCTCTGATGGTCCCCAGGGTGGATTAGGTCTCAACCTAGACTCCCTGAATCAGAGGGTCTTGGGGAAGAGCATGGGAATCTATAGTTTTTACAAGTTCCTCAAGATGACTTCTGTTGGTCAGCCTGCTTGAATCCTTGTGTGGGGCAAAGGTGCTTTGTATGACCTGGAGAAGTGATTCCAGGTGGGTGGAAGCAGGGGCAGGAGAGGAGAATGAGGCAGCCTGTAGGACACAGCCAAGGCAAGAGCAATTGCCTGGGGTGGGAGAGTAAGAGGAAGCTGTGTCTTGGCATTAGTTTCAAATAAACCAGATTCCAGCAGACCAAAGCCAGCCTGCTCGTGCCTCACCTACTGTGGATGCTTCCAATTGCTGGTTTGTGAACCTATCATTAGATATGTAATGCTATAATTTACTAAAATTTAGATTTAGGACAGAAAGCGGGGGCAGTGAGGTGAGTTCAAGTTCAAGCCACCCTTGGGATGTTCAAGGCATTTGAAAACATGGATCTGGAGCCTGATAGAAAGTTCTGAGCCAGAAATGTGGTCTGAGTCATCATCTCATAAATTGAAGCTGTGGATGGGATTGAGGTCACCCAAGGACTTTATATAAACTGTTTCTACAGAGGATACTTAAAGAAATGGAGAAATTTCTTCTTATCAAAAGCCATGCTATGCTGGAGAAGTCCAGTGATTTGTTCTGAAACAGGACGTCAACCTCAAGGAAACTGTGGTCTTCCCAAGCTGACAGTAGCTGATGAAGCTGGATATACATGATTCTCATGGCATATTCCACAGCAGGGCAGGCAAGACACAAAGGATGTGGCTGATGAATGGGGAGTGAAGGGATAAGGTCCGGGTGGACCTAAGTACCAGTAGAAAATGACTCAACTTCTTCATAACATTCATCTTGCTGTTCTGCTGTACTAATAGAGTTGATGAGGAATCTTCCTGCCTTCACTTCCTGTTGGTTGCTCTGTGACTGTGGAACCTTTTGAAATTCCTTCTGTTAGCTCTTGTCAATATTCCCATAGATGGGAAAACACCTTTATGTCTCCCACTTGAGATGGCCCTTAAAGTAGACCAGTGATACAACTTGCTTGGAAATTCCATGTGTCAAAGAGGGAAGAGTTGGAAGAGGTTTGATTAATTTCCATATATGCTACTGTTTTCTGTTATGAGCAAGGATTTATATGTTTTTAATATACACATTTTTTGAGACAGGTTCTCTTCTCTTGCCCAGACTAGAGTGCAGTGGTACAATCATAGCTCACTGCAACCTCTGCCTCCAGGGCTCAAGCGATCTTCCCACCTCAGCCTCCCTAGTAGCTGGGACTACAGGTGCATGCCACCATGCCCAGCTAATTTTTAAATTTTTTGTAGAGACAGGGTTTCACCATGTTGCCCAGGCTGGCCTCGAATTCCTAGGCTCAAGCAATCCAGGCACCTTGGCCTCCCAAAGTGCTGGGCTTATAAGGATTATAAATGTGAGCCACCACACCCAGCCAATAATTTATATTTTTATGTACCTCTCCACATAGAAGTTCAAATTTGAAAATGTGTACTAATAATTAGATTTAGATAAATGTAGGTGCATGGTAGATCCTCGATAAAGGGACTGAATGAATAACGCGGTGCCATTCCTACTCAGCACCATATTCTGACAGTTTACGTAATGATATGCTTTGACAAACATTGATTGAATCCCGTACAGAGGGGGACAAAGGGGAGACATATGGGCAAGGACCCTGACTGACACAGATTTCTGTCTAGTGTGATGAACACAACTCTCTGCCTGTGGTTTGGTGGCAAACTGGGGAGTGTGGCATTCAAAACTCCTCCCCATTGACTGGCTGAGGTTAGGGGGCAGGTCCTCTAGGAAAATATTTTAAATGGCTCTGCTGGAAAAGATGTCTAATTAAAAGATGTCTAATTACAGCACGGGAACTGCAACCTCCTCCATTACCCAAAGTTCAGCAGTCCCTTGTGCAAGTGGCACAAGCCTGGGGAGAGCTACTGATGCAGATGAGGGGGCTTCTACTCAGAAAAGAGTCCGTATGCATCCCCTCTATGGGAAAGATAAAAGTCCTGCTCTCCCCAGCAGGAGCAGACCATGGCCTCTGGGGCTAAGTCTTCATTGTATTTCACATAAGCATTTATTGATACATAAGTGAGGATCCAAGAACTAGAATAAATAGTAATGCATAGTCATATCTTCTTAGTAACGCCCACTATGAATTGGGGTTTGGGCCTAATCCCATTCAGACTCCAATACTAACTGTAGTCGTGGTGTAACAACAACATGAAAAAACTCTGCCCCCAACCCTTCCTTTGGGAGCTGGGTTCTGCTGCGTGCTCCACACACTGGCTGTAAGCAGTGCCAGGCATAACCCTGGCCAGGGCAGTCATGACAGTAGGAGTGGTGGCTGGTGGTAAGCAATGCCAGGTCTTGGGGAGGGGGCATTGGTGGCATAGTAACTGTGATGATGGGGAAGGAGGGAGACATTCCTGTGGCTGTGGGCGCCCTAGTATGCAGAACAGCAAATCAGCAAATATTTGTTGAACTTCTATCTTTGGGTCAAGCTTTATGATACATGCTAGGGACATCAAAGTAAGAATAAGACATGATCCCTGCCCTTAAGAATCTTTAATCAATCTAAAATAAGAATTAATCTTTAATGAATCTAAAATAAAAAGCTTTTTAAAAAAGCTTATACTCTAGGCAGAGATATGAGACGTGCATAAATGAAAAGTTGAAGATGAAGTGAAAATAGTATCAGACTGAGGGTGAAGAGACCTGAGTTTGTTATCAGCCCTGAATGGTGGGTCCCCGATCTGTAAAATCAGGGAGCTGGAGTAGAGGACTGTAAGGTTCCCTCCCAAGTCTAGAAGTCTCTAGGAAGAGCGTGAGTCATAAATATCCAGTAGCAACTGGTAAGAGTTATACTCTGATACAGATGACAATGCTAGGTCGGGGAGGGTTTCCCACAGGAGTAGAGTCTTGAAGGAGGGACAGGGTTTCTGCAGACAGTAAACAGAAAGGGGTCCCCAAAGGTCCCCTCCTTTCATCTCAGTGCCCCATTGTCCTAGGGCTCTGTGCCTGCGGTAAGACGGCATGCTCGCAGACAACACTTACTATGCCTCTAACTTCTGAAAGGCTCGCTGCTACCCTCTGAGTCATGCTTCCATCATTTCTCACACAGACCGCTGTAACAGATCACTGGAGTCCTGCCTTCTACTTTCGCCCTCAAAGAGTAGCCAGTGGTATTTAAAAAAATTAATCAGATTATGATTCTCTGCTGCTTAAAACGCTCCAATAGCTTCTATCACACTCAGAACACAATCCAAATGCCTGTATTCCTGTATCCTGCGCGTCTGGCCTTACCTGAGTGCATCCTGCCTACCTAGCCAACCTCGTTTATCACCCTGACTCCCACCATCCCTACACTCTGGCCACACTAGAGAGCATTCTGTCTCAAGCCAGTGAAGGTTGCCCTACCTCAGGGCCTTTGTTTGCACTGGCTGTTCCCATGCCCAGAAGGGCCTTCTTCCAGCTCTGCTCAGATCTCAGTTCAAATGTCATTCTCTCAGACTGTCCCTGGCCTTCTTCGGAAGTAGCATCTCCCCCAGTGGTTTTCAAACCCTGATCCATGGCGGCAGCTCAGGAGCTGCCACTGGGAAGGAGGGCAGGAAGTAGAAGAGACTCCCAACCCTCTCTTCTATTTGGCCAGAATAGCTTTGATTTGATCTGTTTCCATGTGAAATTTCATTGGAAGACAGAATTCCAGTGACATAAATATTTTTGAAAATCACCGGCTTTGTCCATCTGCAAGGGGAGCTAAGGTATGTCATTGGAGGAACTGTCCTTTGGATGGCAAAGTCCAGTGGCTGCTCTGTGGGTGGCAAGGCCATGCTGTTGGCAGAAACAGCAAATTGATCTCAACCCTCTTCCTGCTGGTTCTGGAAGGGACCTCAGACTCCTACTCAACCCAGTCCTCCAGGCAGCTAGCTGGAGCCAGCCAGTCGCAGCTGGTTGGAATGAGAAACGAAAACTAATTACCCTTTCTGTGCCAGGACTCTCACTGGCATTGGCTCAGAGTTCAGGAGTCCACTTAGAAGAAGGGATGGCACCACCCCAAGTAGCTGCAGGCTGAGAGCTGTGCTGTTAAGACCTGCTGACACATAAGCAGCAGCACCCTGCAGACCCCTGAGCTCCAGTGTCCCCGTCTGTAAACACCTGTGAGTGGGAAGGCATGGCCGAGGTGGGGAATGGGCTATGTAGACACACATGCTTCCTTTGATGACTGTCCCCTCCTGAAGCTCTTTCAGGAATCACATCCACAACATCACCTCGCAACTCCCATCTCTGAGCCCTTGTCAACACCTGGCTGGAAGAGGGGAGGATAGTCTCGGTGCTCTGGACCTGCTGCTCCCCCAGGACCCCTTCACACTGTGAGTGTGAAAGAGAGGAAGCCACTTTCATGCCCAGATTGCCCACTCCTTGTCCCAGCACCAAACATAGCTGCCTCCTCCGTCTCCTTCACATTCACATTGCTGCCATCCCTCATTAATATTTCTCTGGTTGCCAAATATTAGCTTCTAGTTTTCTTGCTAATTTTAGTTTTTTGGCTACCTGACACCTTCCTCCTGCTTGGCTATCTCTTTCCTCGGTTTCCAAGCTGCCCTGGCTCCAGGCTTCCCCCTCAGTCCTTACCACCCTCCACTGGTCTTTCCAGCCCTGCAGTTCCCAGCTCTCCTCTCTCCCCACATCACACGTCCTCGCTGGCAACATCCTCCCCTCCTCTGACTTGAACTCCCACGACTGGTTCATGTGATTATTTCTTTCTTTCTACACCCCATCCCCAGGGGCACGGTATATTCAAGGTGTTCCCTGGCCACACACAAATTTTTAGTGCTACCTCCATAAGCCCAAATTTCCGTAAGTTCCTGACTTATTTTATTCCTTCAAAGTCTTGCTTCCCTAGTAGGATGACTAACCATTCCAGTTTGCCTGCAATTTGAGGGAGGATGGTGCCTGGAACATGGGACTTTCAGCCCTAAAACTAGAAAGTCCTGGGCTAAGAGAGTCCAATTGGCTACCCTCTCTGCTGTTTCCTCACAGTCCCGCTTTCTACTCTGGGGCCAATAGGTAGTGTTGTAGTGACGACATCAGTGAATCCCTGCTTGAAAGTTAGAAAGCACCACGTTAGCCAGAGGAAACAGAAACTTGGATCCCTGGAATGCGTCGCTAATGTTAGAAGTGCCAGGTAGGGATAGCACTGTTGGGGAGCAGCTAATTTTTGCCACCCTGAAATGTCACCAGGGAACAAAGAATTAGTCAGCCAACTCAATATTGGCTCTTTCCTAGTACCACCTTAAAGGTTAATGACCAAAATATTTCTGAGTTGATATGCAGAGTTACGGAGCCAACTCCCTGCTCAGCTCACTCTGAGTGCTAATTGCAGGTGTATAAGGTGGACAAGGCAGTGCTTCCTGTGTGCTTGTTGCTGGATTAGCCTACACAGAAAGGGGAGGCTAGAACATGTGTTTCCACTCCGCTTAGGGATTCTCAGAGAAGCCACGGCAGTCATGACACAGCAATGGACGCTGTGGAGAAACAGCATCAAAATTGAGGCCTCAGGCTAGGCAGCAGAAATGCTCTTACTAATTCAAGAAGCCGTCTCCTAGGAAACTGAGGCCCTCACGAGGCTTCTCACAGAGATTCAGGGCAGTTACACATTGTGTGCACAGGCATTTGCCCAAATATCTAATCCTTATGTGACCAAGTTATGCCCACAACTTCACTGGTGCACAATTTCTACAGGTTTCTAGATCCAGATATCCATCTGTGTGACATTTTCTGCTCCCAGGAATGTGGAACGGTGTCTGCGGATCCCCAATCCTGGCTTCCTCTCTTGTTGCTATGTGGAGAGAGGGCCTATGTTCTGACTGGAGCCCTACAGGTCGCTGCAAGGCAGGCTCTGCAGAAACACCCACGTGGCTGTGTATCAGGGAGGTCAGAGAAGAAGCAGCCAAGTCCTCCATGAGACACCTCCCTCTATTCCCTCTCCAATCTTTAAAACCAACAAGAACCAAATCAGCAAACAGAAGGAGAGGGCCTCCTCCTTCAACAGTGGCACATCCGTCCTGGGAAGTAGATGATACAAAACCCTGCCTTTGCTTAGATTAAATGCTTCAGCCGCATTTAGCTCTCGAGAGCATTTTACAGCTTTGTTCAGACCTGCACGGAATATAAATTACTGCTGAATTATACACGATTGCATCATCAGCACTCAACAGGCAGGTCACAGGGTTTTACATCAAAGGCGCCTTAGGGATTTGTCGGGATGAGGCAGGGGAGGGTGGATGTGTTCAGAAAGATAACATGCTGAGTGGGATGGGGCTCTGAGTTGGGGCAAAAATCACTGATCATTCTGCAAGCTGTGCAAAGACTCCAGGAGGACTCTGCCAGGAGTGGAACTCGGGAGTCAAGCCTCTGGGGCAAGCAGGGTTTGTGTTCCTGAGGCTGTGTCTATACACGACACGACTGCTCTGCACCCAGGTGTGAGCTTTCCACAGCAACACAGCATCCCAACTCAAGCGACTACAGGGACTGGTCCATCCATAGAGGCTGGCCTCACTTCCAAAGAGAATACATCCAGATTCCTATCCTAGAACCTGGAGTCTTCTCCCTTGGTTTTTACACATCTACGGATGGCCATGGAAACACAGGAATTTTGCCCTTGAAAAATTCACGTTGAAACCCTAACCCCTAGTATTTCATATGTGACTACATTTGGAGATTGGGCTCTTAAAGAGATAATTAAAATGAGGCCATTAGGGTGGGCCCTAATCAAATTTGACAGGTGTCCTTATAAGAGGAGGAGCTTGGGACATACAAAGAGACACCAGGTGCGTGCACACGCAGAGGGACGGCCTTGTGCAGAGGCCGAAGAGGGAGGCCATCTGCAAGTCAAAGGAGAGAGGCTTCAGAGGAAACAACCCTGTTGGCACCTTGAGATTGGACTTCTGGATTCCGGAACTGTAAGAAAATTAATTTGTAATGTTTTAGCCACCTGATCTGTGGTATTTTGTCATAGCATCCCTGACAAAGTAATACAATAGGTGAATATACAATAATTGGCTTATTAATATTACTTTGCAACACAGGATGAAATAAGAATATCTGTGTGGCCAGACCTTGTGGCCATCCTCTAGCCAGAACATGCATCTGACATAGCCACAGAAAATAATACCTGTTAGGCATCTTGTGTTCTTTTTTTTTTTTTTTTCTCCATCTATTCTCCCTCACCCAGGTAATTATGCTCACTCCCACTCAGCTCCCTTCAATCCATTTGTTCTTTTGGGTGTAAGTTTAGATTGGATCACAAGATCAGTGGCCCTGGAAGACTCTACACTGAAGCTAGAGCCTTTACAAACTTCTGAAGCCATCCCAAGGACTGAGCAAATGGAAGGGGACATTGGCAGCGTGTTCAAAGGGTTTCATTACAATGGGAATTTACTAAGGTCAAAGTGCCATTGTCCTGTCTCCTAGACTGGAGTCTGAAATTCTCATCCTCCATGCAGTCTACACAGTCTTTGAAATTACCCATTATGTTCTAATCCTAGTCCTGAATCTCCCAAGACATCTTCCCCAAGTATGCCTAGCACGAGATTATCCACACTTTTTCTGAATCTTTAAAATTTTTATGGTCCGAAACAGCAAGCTACCAATTAATTGCACCTCCTATCCTCTGTTTGAGCTTGTGCTCAGCCAGCCTGTGAATTTCTCAAGAACTGGCGTGGTGGTGTCTCCTTTGGTATCCCACACAGCACTGAGCATTCAATCCATGTCACTTGGACAAATGGGATTTCTAGGCTGTGCAGCTTATAACTAAAAATATGAACATTGGCCGGGCGTGGTGGCTCACACCTGTAATCCCAGCACTTTGGGAGGCCGAGGCGGTGGATCACCTGAAGTCGGGAGTTCGAGACCAGCCTGACCAACATGAAGAAACCCTGTCTCTACTAAAAATACAAAATTAGCCAGGAGTGGTGGCGCATGCCTGTAATCCCAGCTACTCGGGAGGCTGAGGCAGGAGAATTGCTTGAACCCCGGAGGCGGAGGTTGCAGTGAGCCGAGATCACGCCATTGCACACGAGCCTGGGCAATAAGAGTGAAACTCTGTCTCAAAAAACAAACAAACAAACAAACAAACAAACCAAAAAAACATTGAAATCTAAAGGAGAATGAAGTAAACACACTATGCCTTGTCCCCTCATTCCCCTTTCTTAAATTGTTATGTGATTGCTGAGGTGTTTGTGCATTATATTGCTGTGTTTGTGTGTATGTGTGTGTGTGTGCGTGCGCACAGGTGCATGCACCCATGCACGTACACACCTTGTGTTTCAATGGACACCTTGGATTTTGGAAAGCAGTTTTCTTTTTTTGCAGGACTTCAGCATCAGAATAATACCCTCTCTGCAGGATTATTTTGAAGAGCCATAATAATGAATGTGAAGAGTTAAAATTGCTTTCTACATGTAAGGTATAATATTAGAAATGGAAAGCTTTAAGTGAGATTGAAGAAAAATTGTTCTCAAGGACAAAAAAAAAATGTTTCCTGTTTTCATCTCCATCACCCACTCCATTCTCCTTCAATCCCACCCCAGGTTTGTAAATGCTACTCTGGGGAGCAACTGCTCTCAACAGAGAACAGAGGAAGTGCTTACTCAGGACCCTTCATTCTGTGGGCTTTGTCAGAACCAGAAGCATGGAACTTGGAAGGATCTCAAGATACACTTCTGAGACAGATCCTCCTTGGTAATGGAACTTATCTCCTAGATCTAAGAGTTTACAGCCTCCAGTGGGGGTACATGATGACATTGGTGGGTCTGTGAAGAAGCTTGTTAGGCTCATATCTCAACCAGTCTCTACTAAAAAATACAAAATCAGCCGGGTGTGGTGGCACGCACCTGTAATCCCAGCTACTCAGGAGGCTGAGGCAGGATAATTGCTTGAACCCGGGAGACGAAGGTTGCAGTGAGCTGAGATCACACCACTGCACTCCAGCCTGGGCTACAGAGTGAGATTTCATCTCAAACAATAAACAACAAACAAACAAAAAGTAATAAAAAGTTGAGAGAAAAGGTCACCATCCATCTAGAAAGGGATATATGACTCAAATAGATACTGTCCTTCTTCCTACTTGACTTTCCCATCACTTTCAACCAACACTGCCAACAGTGTGGTGTGTACTCTTTCCATTTTTCTTTCTGTTCTTATACATTTTTGTAAGTTTTATACCTATAAAATCATACCTACTCTTCTGTATCTGGCTTTGACCACTTAATGTGCTTTTGATAACATTCCATGCCTATACATCAAAATCTTAACCACAAAATATGTTACACTGCATGCATGTACCAAGTTTACCATTCCTCCACACTGATGGATGTTTGCACAGTTGCATGTTTTTCAGTATTACAAAGAATCCTGCAGTAAATATCCAAGTTGGGGACCTTTTGTAAGTGCTACAGAGGTTCTGACCCTGGCTTCTCTGGAATATAGAGCTGCCATTGATGGTTACCCCACACTTTCTTATTAAATGACTGTGAGAGTGGCATTTTTATTAGTTTTAATCTACATAGCATACACTCCTTCTTTCTTCCTTTGGTTAAAACATCACCACTATTCTTTCTTATGAGGAAGCCATTCTGTAGTCACAGTGATTAATTCAGGCATAGACTGAATTAAGTTCGGCCTCAGTTTCTGTATCTTCTGTATCTCTTGGGGTTGCTGTGAGATTATACAGATCTACACATGTATACACACATACATACATATATATGCCTATGGAAATTATATATATACACCTCTTTATATGTGGGTATATTAGGATATATACAGCAAATAAATTATGTAATTGACATAGTCATCCCAAGCTAAATAATTTGCTGAAGGTCTCAAAGCATGTGACAGTGCAAACATTTGATTTTGCTGTAAAGCCTCAAATTATTTGGCTGCAGAAACATCTGAGAACCATCCATTCCACTTGCTTCCACTGCTTTCATTAAAAAAACAATCCTCCAGGGGAAGTAACCTCTAGCCCACTCCACTTGGCCCACCTGGCCTTGGATATTTCATGCTCCCCGTGAAATGAAAAGTTGTGAAGATCTGCTATGAGCTTTCTATATAGGATGGGAAGGACAGTTCTGGAAAGGAAACAAATTAAGAGTGCACCATCCATATTCTTTCCAAGTGAATCTTTGCAGCTTCTTATCCATCTGGGCCTTGGTTCAGAGCTGAGAGTTAGTGGGATCCAACTGGCTTCTTAACGAAACTGAGAGTGGCACCTACAGCTGTGCAGTAAGGAGCATCCTCAAGCTGTGATTAGTGTGCTTCCAAGAGTGAAGCCACTTAGAGCGTGCCATCTTCCTGCCCCTGCTTTTCTTCTCTCACCTTCTTCTAGCCAACTCTTTCTGGTGAATGACAATGGTCCGTGGAGCAAACTTGGAGAATCTGTAGGGCAGAGGGAAACCTTACCCTGGGTTTCTTGCTGGGAACGAGACTTACAATAATACAGAACTTCCTGCAGACCTTTTCTGACACTGCATCTTCCTGGTTGCTCTGGCCATTCATCTTCTAGGTACCATGCAAGGCTTTTGCAAAGAAAGCCGCATCACTCCCCCAGGGCTGGCATGAGGCCCAGGACACACAGATCTATCATTGCATTTGAATTCCTGTTTTGGTAGTCATAAGGTTCTCTTGACCAGGGGGTACATCAGGACAGCCTGTACCAGCTTCCTGGTAGGGGAGCTACAACATACAAGGGTGTGGTTTTGTGGAAAGTGTACACTACCAAGAATCTGGTCCCATCCTTGCCCATAAGTGGGCAAATCACTTCATCTCTCTGGATCATGATCCCTTTAACCATAAAATACAGGGGTAGGACCAGATCTCTATGGTCCTTCTTTTTCATCTAAATGATCCTATGACTCTAGATATTGGGGTAAGAAGGTGCCATTCTCTCTGACTTGCTCTAGGACTAGCTGCCACTTATTTTGTCAAACATGAACTATCTGGAGAGAGGCTACTGCTTCTCACCTCCTGACATGCACAGAAGGGGTGGTGGATGAGACCATTAGATGTCATTATTTGACATCAATGTGCATATGAGGCTCAGCTCTAAACTGCCTTGATTCTAAGCATGGAAGGATTGGGCCCCAGCTGTTTAAGTGTCTGGAATAAATTGTGTCCTGAATGAAATCTCTCCGGCTTCTGCCCTATCTGATTCAAGCCAATGCCATGTTAATTAGTAGAGGGAGAAGCTTGGGGTGGTAGCCAAAAGATCAGGCAAGCCTGCCACCTGGTTTGGCTATGTTTCCATATGCCCAGCACATTTGTCAGCTTGGCCCTAGCCTTTCTCTGAGATGAAAACCTAAACCCAAGTGAATTTTGCATGCTGTCACCCCACCACTGGGTCACTGAATGCATACATAGCTTTATATGGATAAATCATTTGCATGTAATGTTTATAATATGATAGACATTGTTCCAAGAGCTTTACAAATGTTAACTCTTTTAATCCTCGAAGCAACGTTGTAAGGTTTAGATGAGGAAAATGAGGCACAGAGAGGTTAAATAATTTGCCTGAGGCCACACAGTAAATACTACAGCCAGGATTCAAACCCATGCTTTAGCCACTTTTTAAGTTGCCTCTCATCACAGCAATTTCATGTACACCTGTATGATTGTCTCTCCAGTTGCACTGAAATTAATATAAGCAGAGAATCTCTCTTCTTCTCCAGTAGGACCCTACACACAGTGGTGTTTAAATATGATTCATCAACTAGCTGGTGAGATTGGAAGAAGAGGGCTTATCATTATCCAATGTGGCCCCAAGGAGGTTCTGAGGGCCCTTCAGACTCAGGCTGAGTTGGTAAAATCTGACTACTTCATAGAACTAGGGAAGCCTATCACAACCTGTACACAACTTCACACATTATTTGTGTCAGGTAGAAGGGTGACTCCTTCTGAAGGGACACGAGTTTTCTATAAGGATTAGGATAGAGAGGTCAAGAAAGGAAATGAATCAAGATCAGAGCACTAAATCTCTTTCAATGAGAATCCCTGTAGCTTCTCAACAGGTCAGGGACTAAACCAGTGGACAGAGGAAGCTGGTGGTCAGAAGAGGGCCCAAAGGAGCTCAGCATGGACTTCAGCCCATCAGGAATGTCCTCTTCTCCCTTCAGGCCCTCCCCCAAGCCCTCTGCCTTGGGAATGGGTCTCTACCTGGCAGCCCTTTTAGCTCTACTTTCCTCTCGGGGGTTTATTCGAGGAATGAGAATTATTGACTCATCTTCCGCACCCTTCTGAATTCAAACTCTAATGAGAAAAGAACCACAGAAAGGAGGCAGATGAGGAGAAATATACCAGCTCTGTTACTGACAAGTCTACAGTGGCAACTGTGGCTTGTTCCATTGTCCCATGGCCACAGTCAAGATCCCCAATACTTTCTCTCCAGGTTTACATTTTAGGAGGGAACGTTTGAATCTGTAGAGCAGATACACTAACCCAGAAGTGTTGACTCATATTGGTGGGTGAGGAAAGGAAAGGAAAGGAAGGAGAGGAAGGAGAGGAGAGAGAGGAGAGAGAGGAGAGAGAGGAGAGAGAGGAGAGAGAGGAGAGAAGAGGAGAGGAGGAAAGGAAGAAAGGTCCCCAAAGTGGCCTCCTGAAGCTGGCCTGGGTCTTGGGCCCTGACCCCAGGAAGGCTGACCACATGGAGACGTGAGCAAGGGGAGGGGACCCAAAGGGTACTGGGCCCCACGTGCTTGGCTTTCTCTCCCACCAATGTCACCATCAGAGAAGGCAGTCACTTCTCTGTAAGGCCTTAAAAGCTGGAGTCTGCATCCTCCTAAAGAGAGGAGAGAAGTTTCCTACTTTATGACATGGGGTCTAGATGGAATGCCGAGGTGAGAAGAGAATGGCTGCCCCACTTCCCTTAGCCATGCTAACTCAGGGGCTATAAAAAGCCGTGAGCCAGAGGCTTTTGGGAAATGTGATTTTGATCGAACTTATCTGAAAATGTTAAGAGCTGAGCCAGAGGGGTAATTATATTAATTATTATTTTAAATAAATTGTGCCTGGGAGTGTGGCAGAAACTTCAAGAAGAGATTCTTAGGTTTTGCTAGGGTGGCAATGGGAAGGACACAGCTCTTGACATTCCCTGTTACCCAGGGCCCAAATTGGAGGGTCAAATATCATACTAGATTTAGATTTTAACTTTATGTAAAGCTGCTTAAGCTTTTTTTTTTTAGATAAAAGGGATTTTTTGCTTCATTCACAACAGAGTTTAGTTACATAGGGATATATAAAAATGGAAATCTATTAATGACATGTGAAATCCTAAACTAGAATGAATAAATAAAGACTTGGCATACTGCTTCTGAAAAGTTGCTAGTTCTAGGTCTAGGAGCAGTTTCCTTTGATAGATGGACATTGAAAGCCCTTCGAGGGGCAATGAGAAGAACGGGGCATTCCTGCTTCAGCCTCAACCATTAGCTCCCCTGTGAGGCCTCTTGACTCCCCAGCAGAGGGAGGCTCCCTTTGTCCATATTCCCACAATCTGCCCTGTTATAGCACTTGTCATGGGCTGCTCTGAGCACTTACGTGCCTCTACCACTTGCCTGGGCAGGCTTTAAGGACAGGGACCATACAAGTTACTATTTGAGTGTCTTAGATATTAACACAATGTCTAGCACACAGTAGGTATCCAATCAATGTTTACTTAGCTGAACTTAGTTTGTAAAGCAGATAATTAAGAGTGTGATAGAGTTGTTTCCAAATATTTGAAAGACTTGGAGGAAAAAGGCACTGGCTGTAATTTATGTCACTTTAGCAGAAAGGACCCAAGGCCAAGAAGTCAAAGTTACCAGAAACCTTAAAATAAAGATGAGCAAAATAACAACCGGAGTCACCCACAAGGCAGGGAGCCCCTGCCACCAAGGAGGTTTTGACTCAGAGGAAAGCTAGGAAATGACTAGATCACTACTGTCCAAGACACTCACAATGAGGCAAATGCCATCAAAATGGAACAAAGTGAGGTCTGAGTTCAGAGGAGGAGTCTGGGTCTAGGTAAGATCATTCAAAAAGGTTTCTAGAAGACGCTATCTGTAAGTTGAGCCTTGACAACAGCTTCAGGCTTCAATAGGCAGAAAAGGGTGTCATGGAGGCAGTGACAGTCAGTCGCTGGGGTGACTGGAACACCTGTGGTTCATGGGCCTGTCTGAGACATGAGACAAGATTGTGTCTGACATTCAACCCCAGGCTGGGGACATTGGCCTTTATTCTCTTAATAACTGGGAGCCACAATGTATTTTTTCACCAGAGAAATGATGTAAGTGTACTTTAGAAAAGCAGTATGCTGTAAAGGATGAATTTAGTGGAAAGTAGGGAAATGAACATTTATAGAGTGCCTACTCTCTGCTAGATATTTTTTTTAATATATTAACTTGTTTTATCTAAACAACAACCCTACAGGGTAAGCAGCACTATGTCAATTTTACAGATGAGAAAACGCAGGCTCAGAGGTTGCCAACTAAGTGGTGGGACAGAGATTTCCACCAAGGGCTAAATGACTCCCAAACTACTGCAATAGTACTAAGGGCCCAGATGGCACTCAGGGAATGGAAACAAATGAATGAGCTGCAAACAATATTGCAAAGGAAATATTGGCAGATGCTGGCAATTGATGGAAAGGTAAGGGTGAAAACGGAAAACTGGAAGATGACTCAGGTAATAGACCAATCTGCAAGGAAGTGAAGAAAACAAGCTAATTTGCTGGAGGAAGGGAAAGATCAGAGCAGACATGTGTTGGGTGCCTACAGTCAGTCAGGCACTTAGCATGTACTCAATAAACATAAAGCACATGCATAACGTATATAGAGAAAGGACAAATCCGGGTCAAAGTATGTTTGAGGTTCCAGAAAGGTGGAGATGTCTAGAAAGCATTTTTAAAACATGAGGCCAGAGCTCAGGAAAGACTGTTTCATAACATGTTCCAGATTCATTTGTGCAGAGATAATCATCACTGTGATGGTGGGTGTTGTTGACAAGCGGACATGTTTTTAGGTAAAAAGCAAAGAGAGTCAAAAGCCTATATTTATAGGTAGAAAAGGGCAAAGAAAACAGAAAAGGAAAAAGGAACAATCAAAAGGGTATTGTTATAGAAGACAAGAGATGAGAGTTTCACGAAAGATGGAGCTAGGTCAACCCTAGTGAGGTCAGGAACAGGACGGTCAAGGACAGGTGACAGGTGGAACAGCCAGGAGTAAGCACATCTCCAAGAAGCCAGCTTCCGAGACAGGGCGGGAACAGAGACTCCAAGAGATGAAGTGGGTTGGTAGTGGAGCTCTAGAAGTAATAAGTAAGGATTATCCTTTCTGCCTCATAAGCCCCAAGCTTTGCCGTTTGTCTTAAAACACATAAAAATGTTCATATATCCAGCTAAAGAGACTCATTTTCCTATTTCTCTAAGAAATATTTTATGAACAGAACCAGCTTCCTCTTTCTTGCCAGCCCAAGAACACTGCCCTTCATGTACCATGCATAATGAGATGGCCGTGTGGAGTCGTCTCTTACCTTACCAGGTCATGAGCTGTTTGAGGATCACAGCCGTGTCAGTAAGTTAATGGTTATTTGGAAGACAGTGCTGCATAATTAAAAGCCCTGGCTTCAGAATCAAATAGATTTGAGTCTGAATTCCAGCTTTGGGAATGATGTGGCCAAGTACCTTGTCCAAGGTACTTAAACTCTAAGCGAGTACTAGGAACTGCAAAGAAGGTAGGAGTCAGTGCTAAACTGAGCACGCAGTATTAAAAATGTACTAAGTGCTCACTACAGACCAAGCATGGTTCTGAGCATTTTGCACATCAACTCATTTAATTCTCATAACAACCGTACAAGGCAGGTATGATTTTACAGGTGGTGATACAGAGGTGTATAAAGGAGAAATCTGCCCAGGGTTGCAGAACTTTTGAGTCTGACTCCAGATAACATTCATTCCATCTGGCCCTGAGGCCTTTGTTAACACTTCGGTAGCAGAAGTGGCTCCATTTTGCCTTCTTGACCTGTCTTCCTCCTTCCTACCCCAAATAACATCTGCCTGCCCCTTGCTGGTGGGAGTGGAGGAGGACCCTCTGGCTTACAAATGCATGTGAGTAAGCCTGTGTTTTGGAGGCCTGTCCCTTTACCGCAGGTGGCATTCCCAGTAACCTTTTGTTTTATCCTACTGTCACAGGAACACAAAAGTAAGAATGGGTACCAGTCTGAAGACCTTAGATTAAGACTCCATCATTTACTTAACTGCATGACTCCAAGCTTGTTTCATGGCTCTCTGGGTCTAGTTTATTATCTACAAAATTAGGGTGGTAATGCTGACCTTAAAGGGCTGCTGAGATGAAAGGAGATAATGTTGGAACAGTGTCTACTGTTGACCTGCTATAGGTTGTCGGCTCATCTTCTTCCCTCTCCACCTCTTCCACCTGCCTCCTATGGGGGTTTTCAGGTCAAATGAGACCTTATCCTCCCTTTAAAGCTCTGTGAACTGTAAGGTGTTACCCAAAACATAAATGGCCCCCTTTCCCCCCTTTTTGGGTGACCACAAACTTCCTGCCCCAAGAATGGTGGATGGGTGGATTGGCAATGTCCTCTTTTCTGCTGAAACAACACAAAATTCTTTTGTTTTAATAATTTTGCACTTAAGGGTTTCAGTCCTGAAAAAGAAAACAGCTAATATATCTCTTATTGATCCAGGTATCTGGCTCCTCTCTACAATTGTGAGCAACCCTGAGGCAGAGATGGGTTTGATTTTATTTTCTCTTCCACAGCACCCAGGACGTAGTAGGTACTTAACAACTGGTTGCCCACTTCATGAATAACAAGCATTGGGCATGTTCAAATGGTTCACTAAAGTGGGGATGGGCTTGCCTCCTTCACAGCCAGATCTTGGAAGTCCTTGACCTTTTGATAGCATCTATAGATAGGGTGAGTGCATTTTCCAAACCCCAAATCAAGACACAAGGTATGAGAAATGATCTGATCATAGGAAACTATGTTTGAAATCAGGAGGACTCAGAAAGTCAGGGAGGCACAGTGGCTTTGCATAGACCCTCACTCCCCAATTATTTCAGACATGGTGAGTAAAGGCAAACCATTTCCTGCCTGTCCCAGTAGCCCAGACTCTGTTAGGATGAGCAGGTACATCCACAAGAGCAGAATTCATTTACAGCTCAGGCACTATGTTCATAGATCCTCTCCAGTGTAATGCTTTGAGACCTTCCCAGAGTCCCTCTCCCCTAGGCCTTAAAGGCCCCTGTATTGTACAGACTGCTGAATTGTTCAGGCTTGCCAGGCTTCGCCCACCTCCTTTGCAGGGGTGCATCATCTGCAGTGAGATTCAGAGAGATTGCCTGGGCCAAGGTGTGTCTGGCGGCTCATAGTGAGGGCTGCTGCCGAGTCCTTGCTCCCCAGCTCTCGATCTGGGCCAGTTCTCCGAGTCTCTGGTACCCAGAGGGAGCCAGGCACCCTCCCTCCTGTCTGCACATTCTGACTTACTCACTGAGAATGTGCTCTAAGCCTATCTCAGGGGGACCCTGTGTCTGGTCTGGTCTGGTCCGGTTTGCCCTGGTGCCCGGTGGCTTCGATTCCATCCTCCAGGCTCTAGACCCTGTAGTACATCTCAGCCATCAAGGATTGGATGTGACAAAAAGCCTCAAGAGGGCAGAGAGTGCCCCCCTTCCTTGGGTCAGGCTATTTTTGGTCACTTCTTACCAGTCTTTAACCCCTCTACTCTCAACCTGCCCCCACCCCTGCAATCAATGCCCCCATCCTCAGAGAACAGGAGAGAGAAAACTCCTCTTTGCTTTGACCTGCTTGTCCCTCTTGTTTCCTGGGAACAGCTTTTAAGTCTAATAGGAGGGGTCTCTCCATTTACTTCAGAAACCAGCATTTTTCTTTGATTTGTGACTTGTTTCAAGGGCCAGAAGCTTGCCTGACAACTTCCCTTTCTCTGAGGCTTACAAACCTCTGTAAGAGCATCCCAGAAGAGCCACGGAGAGGGAGACTTTTGAAATTACTTTAGAAATGACCTAAGTTTCCATAGCAATCCAGCACTGTGGAGTCATCATCACATTCCAGGTCTTTATTTCCACAGAAAGGGCTATTGGAGGAATCAGTCCCTTCTCGACAACCACTCCAGAGGTAGAGATGGTCTTCATCTACCCTGTCCCCTCTTCCCTCCTCCTGTTCACCCTCCTCCTGGCCCACCTTGCTTGTCTGTCCGTGGTATGGAAGCAACGGACCCCAACTCAGCACAGTTTAGTGATTTCCACCCCAGAGAAGACAGGGTCTTGTTAATGCTGACAGGAGGAGACCTCAGGGTGTCGGGGTCCCAGTCTGAGCCTGGACTGCATTTATTCAGTCATTTGGACATGTCCAGCATGGCTGTGGTGGTGGAGGCAGGCCAGGTGGGAGGGCACTGGGCTGGGGGAAATCACTCATCCTAAGTGAGAACTCAAATCGTCTCCCCCACCCTCAGTCTGGACACTGAGAACCAAAGCCTGACCTTACTGTCTACAGGAACATGGCTTTCCTATACAGCCATCTCCTTTACACTTCTGGGACTGTCCTGTGCAAGTAAATGATTTGATTGTTTCATTACAGGAACTTTCCAAAAGATCCACCAACACTTTCATCAAAAGCATCAACTGACAGCATGTGCCCCAAGATTCTCTGAATCCTTGGCCTCAAAATCTTCACCTTGCTGTTGCCACCAGTCCAGGACATTATCATTATTCTTACCCAATCATTATCTAATTATTCATACCCAACGTTAATCACATGTCCACATTGAAATAATGGCTTTAAATCAAACGTCCAATTCTCAATAAATTCTGATCTTACTCCCTCCCCTGGAGGCCCTGCCAAAGTTTTTCAAGGTACATTCTCTCTTATCACAGAAAGCAATTGTCTTATTAACAGCTTTTCCTGATTAACAGGTTGTGTTCTCAATATTTGGGGAGTAGCTTTTGACATAAGGAAAGAGGCACACATGCTTTGTGTGATTATTCAGTCATCAAAGGCAAGCGGTGGTCTTAAGCACAGCAGACTGGTTAGGGAGAAGGGGGTTTACAAGCAGAATAGAGACGAGATCTGGTTTCTTAAGATCTCTGGGAGCCCCTGCAGCAAAAGTCTATGGAGTTCCGGGCTCAGGGCATTTAAGCGTGGGACAATGCTAGAGGCAGAACTGGCTTCATGGGCATGTGATCTATGCAGTCGCCCACTTGCTTGGATCCTCTACTGTTGCTGTCCTGAAATTCTTAATCATGTTTGAACGAGACATCCTGGGTTTTCATCCTGCACTGGGCCCCACAAATTGTATAGCTGGTACAGGCTAGATGGTGCGGCTGCCCCTGCAACACCTTCAGGGGGCACATGCCAGCCCCTAACCCTGCTCGGGCTTCTCCAGATATGGACAGACACAGCACCCCACTCACTGGAACTGGGAGTGGCAGGTGGTAGAGAGGCTGACATAGCCAGAGAGGTTGATAAAAGTCACACGGTATCAAATGATTGCCCAGGAAAGAAGCCCAGGGCAAGCTGTGAAACAGATAGAGAGCAGAGCAAGCAGAATGCGGATGGACGCCCCTCAGTCCATCAGCCCCTGCCCACGCCTCTGAGGCCCTTAATGATCTGCTCTTGGCGGAGTCATCTCTGTCTCATTCTGCTCCCATCACGGTCATCCTCTCACTCAACTTCTTCAGACCCAACAGGCTCAGTCCTCTCCCAGGCCCCTTCTCCTTGCTGCTCATTTTACCTGGCATGATCTTGCCCCAAGTCTTCTTATGGCTTCCTGCCCCCTACATTCAAGCCCTGTTCAAACATCACCACCACTGATAGGCCCTCCAAGCCCTCTCTAACAACAGCCATGCCCCCATCTCTATCACCTTCCCAGCTTTATTTTTCTCCATAGTTCTTATCACCTAACATCGCACTATATTTTTATGGCACTTGCTTTTGGTCTGTCTCTCCAACTTGAACGTAAGCTTCCTGAGGACTTTATCCTGCTCTTCCCTGTATCCTAGGTGCCTCGACAGTGTCTGGCACATAATAGGCAATCAGTATTTATTGAGCAAACAAATAAATGAATGAGTACGGGTGATCAGTCGGAGAGACATTACCTGTCTAAAGATTTCTTCTTTTTCATCTCGATGGCATGTAGTGCGTTTGTGTGGCATTGGTAGTGATGGGATGATGCTGCTCAGGGCAGTGTCACTAAAGGTGGTTATTTAAAAAAAGAAGTACTTCAGTAGCTAAATAATAATAATAACTTAAAAGGTATTCAGCACAATGCCAGGCATTGTTGTGAGCCCTTCACATGTATTAACTCTGCAAGTCTCATAGCTGTGCCTGAAGTGTGTCCTGTTATTGGACCTCTTTTATAGATGAGAAAATTGAAGCAAGGCATGAAAAATGGATAAGAAACTTTCCTAGGGCCACATGGCTAGTCCAAGACTCTTTTGGTCCTGGACTGGTTCTCCATGACAAAACCATAATTCCCTCTTCAATTGGGTGATTCCACTTAACTAGGACTCTCACCCCCAATCAAGAGGCAGAGAATGGAAGACAGCTCATGTGCAAGTGTAGACAAGGGTTGGCTCTTCCCAAAGAAACTCTCTGAGATGCCTTCACCAACCATCCTCCTTTGCATTTCCTTCCAGGGGCTGCTCTGTCTTAGCATTTCCATCCAGAAAGCCAATGACAAAGACTCCTCCTGCTCTGGCGAACATGTGGCACTGTGGCTTTCCTGAAGGCTTGGCAGGCGAGTGATGGGGAATTCTGACAAGGCTTTTAATTGCTGACCAGATTTGGATTCATCTGGATAAGGCTGCTCCCTGTTCTCTTCTGAACCCCACATCTGTAGAAGGGGTAGGTCCCATTGGGTGGCAAAGGTGAAACTCCTTTGGGTCTGCCCCAGCTTCAGTGTGAAAATGAGGCCCTCCTGCTGCCTGGGTTACTGAAGTGGTGCATCCTGGCCACTCATTCTACGTGAGGTACATTAGGTAAACCCGGATGTTATTTCCTAGTCCTCCTGACAATGTGTCTTCTCCCTCAAATGTCTTTTAGTGACATGACTTACCCCCTCCCTGATTTGTTTTAATTGTAATCATCAAATGCTAATAAATATTGAAATCTGCACTTTCCAAGAGGCAAGATACGCTCCAGGGTATGAAGTAGTTTGTGAGTCTCTAATCAGGATTTTGAAAGAAAGATTATAAGACAAAAAGTCAAGAGATGAGTTGTGATGTTCTAGTGAAATCTCACATAAAACTATAAAAGCAGATTGGCAGGGTAAGAAGATGGGTTTTATGCCAGAGTTGCCCTTGATTCACCATGATAGCTCACAGATACTTCTCTGCCTATTAAAATGGACTTCACTTAGGCTATACATGTAACAGTAACAGCACCATTTATCAAGGGTTTATTGTAAGCCTGTCTCATAGTAAGTCATTAGCTTACTGAATATATTCTCCCTCCCCAAAATATCTAACTTATATGGTCCTTTTACTCCATGTCTCCCCTCTCTGACCTAAGAGTCATGAAGTTTGAGATATAATGCCTCCTGAACTTATATTAGGTTTGTGCAAAAGTAACTGCCATTTTTGTCATTACTTTTAATTACTTTGAAACATCATCCTAGCATGTTTCTAAGTACAGCAAGCTAGGAATAACAGTGGGGAAAGGCTGGTGGGGAAACCTGAATGTTGTTCTATAAGATCCCTTAAATCATTTTACTGTCTAAAAGAAACAGTCCTCCAGGCAAGATGGCCATTGCCTTGGACTTCTCATTTTAGGCTTGTATATTTTCAGAATGCCCAGGCCTCCATGAAGGTCTTTGTCTAGCAGCAGAAGAGTGTTATGCTGAGTGTCTGGGGGTTCATCACACAGCTGAACTGCTCTCTGGTGAGCTTGGTGGAGCGGGTATAGATGCCAGACATGTGGCATCATCGGCTTGCAAATCACTGCAATCACTCACACATAATAGCCTGAGCTTCTTTAGGGCATTCTCTTCATTCCCCCTGACTGACTGGGAAGGTATAAAAGGTCACACTGATCACAGGTGGTAGGAAAAGAAACTTTAATGATTTCCTTTTCTCATTACCACCCGTGCCCTTGGTTCTGGCCGCGGTCTCCTCCATATGCCCCTTTGTGCTTTGTGAAAGGAGGGAAGGGAGAGAGGGAGACACAGAGTGAATGACACATACTGGCACCCACTTAGAAGCCCAGAACCAGAGTTGTGCTAGTGTGGGAAGAAGCAGGGGCTGTGGGGCCCCTGCTTCTTCAACACGGGGTTGAACATGGGAGATCTTCAACACGGGGTGCCAAAAGCAGGGGCAGGGCTGGGGATGCAAGAAAGCAGGCTGGGTCCCAGGCTGGGCTCCAGCTCTCATCTGCCACTCACTGGCCAGGTGACCTAGGACAACTTGACATGACTACTTTTACCTGGTGACGCAAGGAAGTGGAACTGGTTGGTCTCTAAAGTCCCTTTTATTTTATATCTATGAGTCCAAGTTCAAGACAGAAAGCTCTTCATGAATTCAAGTGTAATTCATACTCTATCTCCAAAAAGAATTTGAGATAGTTTATAACAGAAGTAGATCCTTGGACTGTTCAAATAAAGACAACAAGAGGACAAGAAATCTTGTGAAAGGGGAGATGATTAGAATAGGAACAGAAGATAAGATGGGGTATTTTACTGAAGAATTGCTGCTCTATTGAGACAAAACCAAAATATTTTGTTTGTTACACACAATTCACTTTTCCTATATATTTGTTCCACAAATATTTATTAAGAGCACAGACATTGTTCCCGACATTAGTGATACCTTAGGGAAGGTATCCCTTCATGAAAGCAGACAAAGTTCTGGAGATCATGGAGCATATATCTAAGTTCAGGGAGAGAGACAGTGAACAAATCCAGAATGTTAAAAACATTTCAGATACCTAGCACCCAATCACCCATATCTTGGTTTCTGATACCTTTCTCTAATAAAAGGAAACAGAGCTCCTTGAAGAAACGGCTGATTCTAGGTCTAGGGCAGGAAATATATAAGATAAGCCTGCCAAAAACTAAGTGCTCCAACAAGCAAACAATAAAAAAGTAGTCAAAACCAAAACCCACATTGATGGGGGTATCTCAAACAGGCACAGGAGCCAACAGAAAGCTCTCCCAATGGCCAAAGCTGTACCAATGAGAGCAACAAAAGAAGGTAGTATTGGATTAAACCCAAAGTGTAAGATAAATGCTCATCAGTCCACACTGGTATAAATGACTGAATAAATTAATAAATGGGGGAGAAGAGACAGACCTCCTCCCACGCAGAAGAATTCCAAATTAGATAGCTACTCCATCCTACAGGAGCATCTCCATCGCAGCACTCCATCTTCACGCCCCATTCCTCAAGCGTGGGCTGCATGTGGTGACTTCCTTCCGAGGAAGTCATGGGAAATGGGGGAAAAATAATTTTACAGTGTGGAAACTTGAGAAACACATGATCAGGACAATATCAACAGTCATAAATCATGTTGAAATGATGTGATGAAAATGGCATTTTACCTCTTTCTCCCCAAAACCCCTAACCCAGTCTAATCGTGAGAAAAACATCAGACAAGTTTCAATAGAAGAGCATTCTACAATATGCCTGACTAGTACTCTTTCAAACTGCCAAGATCGTCAAAAACAAGGAAAGTCTGAGAAACAGCTACAGCTAAGAGGAGCCTATGCAGACTCGAGAATGACGTGCAGTGTGGTGTCCTGAACGGGATCCTAGAACAGAAAAGGGCATCAGGTAAAAACTGAGGGAATCGGAGTCAGCTGGGGCCGTTGGCTAATAATAATGTACATATTTACTCATTAGTAATAACAAATGTATCATAATCATGTAACATGTTAATAATACAGGGAACTGGATACAGTGGCAGAGGATACTATGGGAAGTCTACAATCTGCTCAATTTTTCTGTAAATCTAAAACTGTTCTAAAAATAAGGTCTATTAAAAATCAAACAAACAGAGGGTCTAGAGGTCAGAGATGGAAGAAGTCAGAGATTCTCTCTCTTGCTGGCCTTGAATAAGCAAACTTCCCTGAGTTCTGCAGCTGCAAGGAAATGAATTCTGCCAACATTGTGATCTTGGAAGAGGGCCTCAAACATCAGATGAGAACCCAGCCCCAGCTGACGCCTTGATCACAGTTTTGTGGGACTTTCCACAGAAAATCCAGTTAAGCTGTACCTGGGATTCTGAACCATGTAATCTATGAAATAATGTTTGTTGTTTTAAGCTCCTAAGAAATCAGCCAAAATGAAAACACCACAAACGTTTTGGAAAATAAAGAGGGTGCTACTCAAAATTAAGTAAAGTGTAGAGCATGCCTAGGTGGCTGCATGAAACTGGGTGGTCAAGAAAGCCCTCTCTAAAAGGGTGGAACCTGAATTGGAAAAATGAGCCATCCACAAGGGATTACAAGGAAACACTATGTGCAAAGCAGTCAGATCACTCCAGGGCCTTGAAGTAAAACTTTGGGTGTTCCAGGGTAGAAAGGCAGCCAGTGTGGTAGGAGTGACCCGACTTTAGGGAAAGGAACAGAAAAGGAGGTGAGAGGCAGCATGAGCCTGATTACAAACAGCTTCTAAAGAGGTGTAAGGAGTTCAGATTTTAAGTTCAACTGGAAGCTATTGGGCCATTGACAGTGGATGACTGACATATCTGATTTATGGTTTTAAGTAAAATTATGCTAACTGCTCTGTGAAGGACTGATTGCAGGGTGGCCAGAGTGGAGTCAGGGCGTTTAGAGAGGAGGCTCCAGCATTAGCCTAGACAAAAGATCATGGAGCCTTAGACCTGATTCGGGGAGGAGGTGATGGATGTCTTCCAGGGAGTGTGGGAGGGTGTGTGAGAGGGGTCTTGATGGGGTAGGGCATACGTTGATGTTTATGCTCATCTTGGGGATCCGTATCCACGAAGCAGTACTGAGGTGCACCCAGCAAGGGAATCACAGGAACTCATAGCAGTCACGTGCTCCCTTGCCTGCAGTCTTTCCCTGGTGGCATCCTGTTCCTGAGCTTCTGAATGTCACTGGTGATTCATCAGGCACACAAATGGTGTTGTGCCAGTCTGGGCGAGATTCTCCCCTGAAGGCCCTGCCAAAGGGAAAACTGGATCCCACTTGCCACCCCCGGCCTCCTGGTTGAGCAAAGCTGCCCTACTTAATTAATCATCTCCTCGGGGCTGAGCGTTCATTAAACAATTTGTTGCTAATTCTTTCCCAGGGTGCAGGGTGCCCCTACTTTGACCAGGAAATAGTTAAACCTGGAACAGAAAAGTGCCCAGCGCAGGCCATCTTCCTTCATATTGGAAGAGAGGAGAGGTTGGGGATAGAATTCTTCCATTTTCATGTTGGCCTTGGCAGTTTCCTCTGAAGTCACCTGCAATTTCATCTCTTGAACTCTTGTCTCCAAATTTACCTTCTTCATTCTTGCTGCCTCTTCCTGCTGTACCTGCTCCACATCCAGGCCTGGCCAGCTCCAGGCACTGCTGATGTTGTCCCCCCACCCTTCTCACTTGTAGCCCCATTTTAACCCTCAGGCTCCTGTCGGTGCTCGGTTATAGATGCCTGCAACCTGAGCCTGGGTGAGCAACCTGAGCCTGGGTGAAAGCTAAGGCCACGGGGCCTTTCTGTCCCACTTTGTGATAACTCTCTATGGTTCGAGTGGCTGATTGCTCTGCTCTATCTATGAGATGGCTGTCACAGGTGGCTTACTCTCCAAATTCTTCAACAGGCCAACCCCTAAAGATTAACTCCTAGAGAGCAGGGACTGGCCAGGTTCTGAGAGGGGTGGTGCTGACATGTCTCTCTGACATACAGGGTTCTAGAGGTCAAGGCATCATTTTTGGGTTGATGCCCCAGGCTCTCAGTTTGCTCTATCTGCTGAGCAAAGAGGCGGGAAGTGCAGCTTCTGTTCTAGTCTGCTCCTTCCCTAGTCCCTAGCTCACAGTCAGCAGATGGCAGCTGCCTGGGACTTCTGGACTCCCATAGCTGTGTCTAACCCAGTTGGAAAGAACCCTAACTAGAGAAGAAAGGGAGTGCCCTCCCACCCCTGAGAGAGTCATCTTCAAGAAAGACCACACTTCGAGGGACCAGCTCTTAGTGGCTTTGTTCTCCAGCCCCTTCTGTTAGTGCCTAATGGTACTCACAAGGTATGTGGACATCCGTTTTTTCCCCAGACTCTTTCAGGAAGACATGGCTTTACCTATGGACACAAGTAACAACGCACCAGGACAAATAAGAAGGCGACCTGATCTGTGGATGAGATGAATTTGCTCCATCCTGGAAGGTGCCGCAGTCAGCAAGAGGCAGCTTTTAGAACAGCAGCTTCCCCAGATCTTTCTGTGATGCTAACACTGTATCTTACAGGATGGTTTTGCCACTTAAAAAATAGATTGCATGTCCCCAAGAAAGCAGATTTACCTGGGACCCTCAGTACTAAAAGCTTGGATGAGCTTTCCCAGTAATAATCGAGGCCCCATCTCAGCCCTGCCCTGTCTCTTGCAGCATAAAGTATGGAGAAATAGTCCTTAAAAGTTGGAGTTAAAAAAAAAAAAACATGAGAGGTCTTGGCTAACCAGTTCATCCCTAGTACCATAAAATATTAGCGCTAGAAAGAACTGGAAAGTTCATCTCTTCCACTAGTTCCCAACTCTGGCTGTACATTAAGATCATCCCCAGAAGTTCCACTTGGATGGGTCTGGAGTGGGGTCCCAGCATCAGTATTTTTTTAAAAGCTCTCCGGGTGATTAAAGTGCAGTGGTTGAGAACCACTGCCTGGACAAAGGTAAGCAAGGCTCTCACTCATTCACCCTATAGAAAGGGGCCTCTGACTCCTAATTGAGCCCAGGGGCATTCAGAGGTCTTCCCCAGAGCCCTGTGCTTTTGGGAGGTGCCTCAGCACGGTCCAAGGGCAGGGCTCCAGGCACAATCATATCCCTCACTGCCCCCACACTCCATCCTGGGAGGGTGCTCACCAAGGTCTCAGTTAAGTGGGATATAGCCCAATGACCCTACCACAGTCACATCTGTTGGTCAACCACTGTCACCAAATTCTGTCCCTTTATTGTTTGACCAGTGATGTGTTCCCTGTCTGGAAAAGATAAGCCAGTGAATTACACAATCTCTTTCTCTGGAAGCTGGCTTCAACAGGCCAGAGGGAAGTTGTCAAAGAGTTGAAGAGTCCTGGAGATGTAGCACCTGGGCAGGATCTGAACCTTGTGCCTGGCATGAAGAGAGGGGAGAATGAAAAACCATGAAGGAGCCTCAAATGCCATCAAAGAAGTGGAGATGAAAGAAGCTGGCCCCCAGGGCTCACTGGATTCCTTATCTGCCCGCGGCCCGTTTGCTCAGCTTTTCTTGGATTCCTGGGAGACCTCTCTAGAGCCTTAGGAAAGCCTTGTTTTACCAGAGCCTGCCTTTATATATCCAAAAGAGTCTTAGAGAGAACACTCACTACAAACAGAGCTGCTCCACTTTTATCTTTTTATATTTTGGGGGGCTACATAAGATTTGGATTGCAAAAGGAAAACCAAAAAAGCTTCCATTGCTAAAATATAGTGTGGAAATCATCAAGCTAGTTTGACTCCTTGTTTCACTGAAGGGTATGCTGAGGCACAGAGCAGGGAAGCATGCCTGGTTTTGTCAGCCTCTGTCTCTGTGGGAGACCAGAAGGAGGAGTGTGGAAACTACTAGACAGAGCCATCACGTCCCCCTCACTCCCCCAGCCTCTGCCATAACCACAGGTGTGGGGCTCACTGAGGAGGCAGCTCTGGCATGGGGCATCCTGACTCTAACAGCAGACGGTTTTTTTAGCCCTGAGTGATTTTTCCTTGGAAAGACCCTGCCTGTCTTTGGCACAGAATGGCTGTGTTTCAAGGGAATAAGGGTAGACCTTCAATAAATTCAGAACTCAAGCCAAATCCCACAGCTCACTAACCCCCAAGATCACTCCATACACCTAGAGCAATGAACTCCTCCTGTCCCCAGCTTGACCTGCAGACAAAGAGCCAGCATGGCTCTCTCCTTCACCCTCTGCCCCTGTTCAGAAACCCAGAGCCTGGTGGCTCACAGAAGGGACCTGAGTTGGGTGTTTGCTACAGGTGCCTAAATTCTAACTGACATTTGTTTCTAAATGCAGGACTTACTTTTATTTCTTTCCATAAACATTTCTTTTTTCTTTTTCTTTCTTTTTTTTTGAGACGGAATCTTGCTCTATCACCAAGGTTGGAGTGCAGTGGCACGATCTTGGCTTACTGCAACCTCTGCCTGCCAGGTTCAAGCAATTCTCCTGCCTCAGCCTCCCAAGTGGCTGGGACTACAGGCACGCGCTACCATGCCTGGCTAATTTTTTTTTTTTTTTTTTTTTTTTTTTTTTAGTAGAGACGGGGTTTTACCAAGCTGGCCAGTCTGGTCTCGAACTCCTGACCTCATGATCCACCCACCTTGGTCTCCCAAAGTGCTGGGATTACAGGTGTGAGCCACAATATTTCTAATTCCCTCTGTCCAGGCCCCAATCCCCCTCTACTGAGCCCCACACAATCCACCCATCTACCTTTGTCTGAGGGGTAGATGGTGATGGACATACCCAGTGGTCAACTTCAGCTTGGGACTGAAACTCAAACCAGGAGACCAAAAAGCACAGTTTAGCTCTTACAGGGAAAGAAGAGACACAAGAGGAGTGGACTCACTGTTACTTCCCATGGACTGGACCCCTATTCCCACATAGTTGTGCAGTTCTCCTTATGTAGAATCCCTTTAGAGGGACACTGGAGTGGTCCTATGCACATGACGGTAAAATAATAGAGTAAGAGAGACAGATATAAGAGAGGGTCTAGTCCTGCCCCACCCCCGCCTTACTTGAAAGGGGGGCAGCTTCAGGATCCATAAGTCAGAGGTGAAGATAGACTTTTGGACGGAAAGTGCCCAGATAGCACCTGCTTCCAGCTTCCCACACTAATGCCCAGGGCCTGCATATAATGAAATGCCCAAGTACTTCCTGGGCTCATGCTTGTTCCAGGTCTGATATCTCCATCTGCCGTAACCACCCGTCTCATGATCATCTCCGTAAGTGTCTTTCTTCCACACAGGCAGTCAGCTCTGAGCGAAAGGTGAGGACCGTGTCTTATTTTCCTTTGTATCCCCAACAGCTGGTGCAGTGGTGAGGAGCTAAAAGCAACTCAAGAAGTGCTTGTGAACCAATGGATGAGTGAATGAGAACCCCAGTCACGTCATGGTCCCCTCTGCTGTGCCCTCTGGCCATTCTCCCCAAATTGTGGTAAACAGGACCCTGTCCACTGCCACCCACAAGCCGAGCCCGTAGCCTTACCTCCCATGAGGAAGAGCAGCCCTGCCACGTACTGCATAAGGCCTCGGTCCCAGCAGCAGCCCAGCACGCCGATGATCCAGCCAAAGAGGATGATGGCCACCGCCATGCCCATGAAGCCAGCCGTCATTCTGCGCAGGTCTGTGGGGAAGCAGGCGAGCAACAGTCAGCAGCAGAGCCTGGGACTGAGGGCCAGGGTATACCCCAGCCCTGGGGTGGGTGCAGAGAGGGAGTGGCCCTCCAGGAGCAGGAAGGCAACCTGCCCTTCTCAGATAGGAGCACACAATCTTTGCAGAGGGAGGATCCCCTGTGGTGACTCTATCCTTGTGTGCACAAACAGGCCACAGCAGTTTAGATCCTAAGCACAGGGACAGATCATCACAATATCGTGGCCATTTCTTCTATGCCTCCTTTGTGCCAGGCATAGCGCTGCCTAGCTATATATCTATCTCAACCTTCTGAGACAGGTACTATCTTTATTCCTATTTGCTGAAAGGCACACTGCTAGTAAGCGGTAGAACAGAGACTGGAACCCAGACCTGTCTAGCACTCCCAGCTTCCAAACACAGCATCACTCAGCCTCTCCAAGGAGCTGAGAACCACAGAAATGGGCTGCTGGATCTGGGTAGTCAGGCTGCACCTGCCAGGCTCTCCTGGTCTCACTAGGAGGTTGCAGGTGAGGGAAAGCTAACAGCATGGGGGGTCTGGTGTTCTGTTCCTTCAACTCTAAGCTGGCTCCTGGGCTTAGCTTTCCCTGCATGCAGGGCTGCAGGAGGAGAGCCACACTTCCTGCTCTCCTCTAAGCTCCAGAGCAGACCCCTTTCTTGCACTTACTCCATCTCCTCCACCCCCGGGTCAGCCCCGCTTTCTGAGTCAGGCCCTTCTCTGTTCCACGCCTGGCTAACCCATCAGCTCCAGGAGGAAGAGGGTTGTCTGGAAAGGCAGTATTTTTAGCAGAAGGGAGAGGGCAGAGCTGTTGCCATGGCTCAGTTGGCCACTCAGCATCTGGCTTGGCTTCCTCCCCAGCTCCCACCCCTGCCCTCCTGCACGCAGAGGCAGCCAGAGCTGCTCTCAAGCCCCCTACCCTTCCACGTGCCCACCGCACCCCAGCCCCCACCAGCTCCGGGCACACTTTCCTCATCCATCACCCCTTCTCTAGAGCTCAACCTTCTGACCCTCTGCTCATGCCACCCACCCCTCTACCCTTCACCAACACCCACCACAGCTCCCTGGGCCCTCTCTCCACCCATCCACATCTGAGCCTGTGCCCTAAGCCTGCCAGTGGGGCTCCACACAGGAGCAAAGCTATTTATCCTGCCTCTGCCCCAGGGTCTGTGCTTCCCAGGGGGTTGCAGAACAGCCTGGAGGATCCTTGGGCGTCCCTCTCTGTCAAAGGGAAGTGCCTGAAGCAAACCACATCCACACCCCGTGCAAGCACACCAGCTGCTGCAGCCTGCCTGGACAATCTTTTCTCAACCCTGAGAAACAAACACCCCACAGGTCTCTTTGGAGAATACCTCAGAGACCACATACCTCAAAAGGTGTCCAGGTCCCATCCCCTCCATTCCTCTCTCTCACTCCAGCCACCCCATGGGGAACCCCAGCAGAGCAAACAAAAAGACATATGGTGCAGTTTGGCTTAAGACCCCTCTGTAGAGGGATCCAGACCACCCTTCTTGTCCTGACATTGACCATCAGACACTGACAGCCCCCGGCCAGGGAGGAAGTTGGCCGGGGAGTGGGGAGAGACGGGGCACAGGAGGGGAACAGCAGCAGACCCTTCCTTCTGGTGAGGAGGGGCCTACAGAGGAAGGAGGACAGGGCTCCAGTCACAGAGGCAGAGATCTTTGAGAGCCACAGGGCAGGTTCCTGCTCTACTAGGGCCGCCCTTGTCTGCCCTGGCTGACCCGGGATGCCTGTCCCAGCCAGGTAGAAGTGATGCTTACAGTCACTTATGGGAACTGCCCAGGGTGCCTGATTATCATGCAGCACTGCACCCCCTGCTCATATTACCATATGTGTCAGATGGAACTGCTGAAACCATCGTTTGATCACAATAGGAGCTTGTGAGGCCAGCGGCCTGCGTGGGCAGCCACAGCCAGTCAGAGAAGGGAAGGTGCACTCCTGCCCCTTCTTATTGAATCATCTGTGCCGTCCTCTCCCTCCATCTCCCCAAATGCTGTCTCCATGGCCACCAGCCCTATACCTTAGTCCCTGCTTTCCCCACCACCACAAGAGACTCTGGAGTGACCGAGGCCTGAGCTGCCTTCTCAGTAGACAATGGTCCCCACTTGACATGTGATCCCATCTGGATCATCTCCTGGAAATGGGATACTCTACTACCAATGCTTCTACTCCCCATCATCTTCAAGGGCCAAAAGGTGGTGGGAAGAGGAAAAGAGAGAACAGCTTATTTTCAATGAAAAGAAGGTTTCCCTGTAAGGGGCTTATACTTCCTTAAACAGGATGTATAGTTTTGGATTTTGCGTTTAAGTATTTAATCCATTTTGAGTTTATTTTTTTACTTGGTGAGAGACAGGGGCCTAGTTTCATTCCTCTGCATATGAGTATCCAGTCTTTCCATTTACCGGAGCACCATTTACTGAAGAGGATGTCCTTCCCCCAGTGTATGTTGCTGCCTTTGTTGAAAATCAGTTGGCTATAAATATGTGGATTTCTGGGTTCTCTATTCTGTTTCATTGATTCATGTGTTTTTATACCAAAATCATGAGAAGTGTCTTTCAATGAATGAATAAAGAAAATGTGTTACATATACACAATGGAATACTATTCTGCCATGAAAGGGATGAAATGTTGTCATTTGCAGCAACCTGGATGGAACTGGAGGTCATTATGTCAAGTGAAATAAGCCAGGCCACAGAAAGACAAATATTGCATGTTCTCACTCATATGTGAGACCTAAAAATGTTGATCTAATCAAAGTACAGTAACGGTTACCAGAGGCTGGGACGGGTGTGGATGAAGAAAGATTGGTTAATGGGCACAAACATACAGTTAGAAGAAATAAGTTCTAATGTTTGATAGCAGAGTAGGGTAACTACAGTTAGCAAAAATGTATTGTGTACTTCAAAATAGCTGGAAAAGAGGGTTTGGAATGTTTCCATCACCAAGAAATGATAAATGCTCAAGGTGATGGATATTCTCAATATCCCGACTTGATCATTATACATTCTATGCATTTATCAGAATATCACACGTATCCCAAAAATGTACAAATATCTGAAACTGATAAAAATAAACAAACAGGAGGTATAAACGGTCAGCACATTCATCTTCTGCACCCTTCTCTTTTCGATGTGTGGAGGTTTCTTTCTAGGAGAAATCCTATCCCATTCAGCAGCACTAGACAGGACAACTTTGCAGAGTCCCACCTTGCTGGAGGCCCAGCTGTCACCTGGCTTTGCTCATTGGAAGGCCTGTACTGTTCCCCAGGCTCTGCAGACGCCAGGGAGCAAAGGTTCTGCCTGGGGGAATTAAGTGGACAATGGGTCAATAAGAGGTGTCCACCTTGGCCACGGATGGGAAAGTGGGCTGGGCAGAAAAACAAAATGGAAATGCAAATTAGAAAAAGAGGGAAGGTGAGAGTTGTTGGAGAATGAGAACAAAGTGTTTTACTTAGAAGAAAACAGAGGAAAAGGCAGAACAGCAGCAAAATGAAGACAATAATTCCTCTTCCAAAAGTCTGTGTTCCAGGTCGGGGAGGGGCTGTTGTCCTCTAACACAGATGAGGTACTCTTTGCCTCCTCCCAAAGGGCTTTGTCAGCAGAAGCTGAGGGTTGTGCTAAGCTGTTGATCTAGAAACAAGAATGAAAATCAGAGGCCAGGCCTGTGTATTTCCACTGACCTGGAAAGATTTTCACATCACCCTGAAAACCTTATTTTGCCAGAGCCGTGCATGAACAGCTGGTTACTTTGTCCTTAGACCTATGTGGTAACTCAGGGAAGCTGCAACAACAACTTATAAGGTAGATAGGACAAGAAATGTTCCAGTTTTACAGATGAGGAGAGCAATATCCAAAGAAATTACATAATTTATTGACAAATAATCTCAAAACCAGTGTACTACAAGAAGAGTGAGCTGCATTCTTGAGTTACATGAGAAAATAATGCAATTAAAGATTTCTGGGTTATAACGGCCGATTGAAAAAAATGTGTCTAGCATTTCCTCCTCCTAAACCAAGCCAGACTACAGTTAAGAGATTTCTTAGAAAGACGGAAGTCTTCAAGGATGGGGAAAATAGAAAAGGAGACAGGGATGACAACAACAAAAGTCTGCAGGGCTGACGGATGCTGTCCTAAAGAGTCAAAATTGGACCTAAAGAGTCAAATCTAAAGTCAGTATCAGAGAAGCTGAAAACCAACTTGTGGAATCCCCAAAAGGCTCATGAACTGGCACCAGCAGGTCCATTTGGATCTGGTTGTTAAGCAGAAGAAAGGGAAATAAAACAGGGATTTGGTGGAAGTTATTTAAGATGGATCTAGATTCCTACATCACCTTGGCCACTGCATATCACTGAGGGATTCCTCTCTCCCTTGACTCCTGGGATCAGGGTACGAGGGGGTCGTAAAACACAGTCCTTAGGTTTGGAGATCAACAGGTGAGGGTCAGCCAGCACAGTTGAGGGTCAGGGTATTGTACTGAAGTTCACTACAGCACCCTGATGGAGTTACGGACTGTGTGCATATGGATGTTGAGTTTTAGCATTGATCCCAGCTCTCTTCTACTTGGCTCTCAGACCTGCTGCCAGGGCTTTGCCCTCCAGCCTAGAGACTGGGAGAAGACTTTCTGGGGATGACCAGCACAGAGGAAAGACCTACAGACACTAGCAGTGCCCCAGAATCCGCCCCTCAGACCCCTCTACAATGAAGCCCCAGTTGAACTGGGGTTCACTCAGTGCCCGCAGGCATTTTTCAACATGAGCAGACAAGTAACCATCTTCATATATCTGAGAAAAGCCCATGAATGGGGAGAAAAACAGTGTGCAGAAACAAGTTACAGGGAGAAGAAAAAAATTTTCAAAATTATTTTTGATATCTGCAGAGAGACAAGAGAAGAAAGATATTGCCTCTGTGAAACAAAAACAGAATACTATTAAAAAAGAACTAGGTGGGGAACAAAAAGAATACCTGAAATAAAATAATGGGACCAAAATCTATGAAACTTATATACTCAATTCTAACTTATATATTAATAGTCCTGCCATGTTCCAAAAAAGACTTAAGCAGGCTTAACAAAACGCACACAGTAGAGTGGGATAAAAATAGTGATGCAGGGCTGGGCGTGGTGGCTCACGCCTGTAATCCCAGCACGTTGGGAGGCCAAGGCAGGCAGATCACCTGAGGTCAGGCATTCAAGACCAGCCTGGCCAACATGGTGAAACCCTGTCTCTATTAAAAATACAAAATTAGCCGGGCATGGTGGCATGCCCCGGTAATCATAGCTACTCGGGAGGCTGAGGCAGGGAGAATTGCTTGAACCCAGGAGGTGGAGGTTGCAGTGAGCCAATATCATGCCACTGTACTCCAGCCTGGGCGACAGTGAGACTCCGTCTCAAAAAAAAAAAAAAAAAAAAAAAAAAAAGATGCAGTGAAGGAGAGAAAAAGAAAGAAAAGGAAGATGAGGCCAGATATCACATTCACACACAAAACTTGGCCCATAAGGTCCTCAGAAAGGTTATTCTATCCCATATTTGCACTTAAAGGCATTAGACATTATTTCCATTGTTTAAAAAATCTTTGTTGCTTTTTATTTGCACTTGAGTAAGTCCTGATTGCTTCTCTGCCCAAGGAAAGGCCTGTGCATGTATTCCTGCCCATTCTCGTTAACCTATGTGTCAATCTCCTGTCTTTAGAGGTAAGAAACTGCCTTTTTATTTCTTTGTGATTGCTAACTGTGCCCACAGCAGTATTTTGTACTCAGGAACATATATATAGCTTGTATTTCTTTCCCCATCTCTTCCTGCCTTTTTAGAAAAGAAAAAGAAAAGAACAAGGAGGAAACCCTAACTCTGAGGCCTTGGAAAAATATGATGTGGGACTGGCCTAAGAATAATCCCCCTGGAAAGAGCCCAGAATGGTGAGTTTGACTCTGCAGGCAAAGGCCAAGATAGAGAAAAATCTCCTCACGAATCATGTCAGGCTTGAGTCCATTATCTGTATTCCATGACCCTAATGTTTAACATTCTAATTTTTGAAATGAGAAAGGTGCGTTTATGCTTTGTTGAATTGAGTTCAGGGTGGTGGAAAGGAGTGGGCAGAGGGAGGTTGATAATGAGGGAAGGTGGAGGAGGAAAGGCGAGGAGAACCATTAAATAGAACCAGAAAAAGCTGTTCTCCCTCATGGAAAAATTTTGATTTTGAAGTTTACACTCCTATTAACATTTAAATGGATAGGTATTGCTTGCAACTCTACACAGGAAACCAGGATATCTGCATTTAAATAAACACCACTTAGAGAAAGAAAATATATGGGCTGAATGTCTTTCTATTTGCTCTTTAAAGACCTTGCACAAATAATGATGATGACTGGGATTTTTTTTTCATGGAAAAAAAAAAAACAGAAATGGTGAGGGTAAGTATGCGTTAGACCTTGTTGCGATGGTAATTACTGGGGCTAGAGAAAGAAGCACATCAATACCGCTGGATTCATGGCCCCAGCAGCTAGTGCCTGTAGTGCTGCACTGCAGCTGGAGGCCAGCAGAGCCATGGTCCTCTGACGGCCACATGGGCACCTCCTGGGGAGGTCTGCTGGAAATTCTCCCTTCTGCATGATAGGAGCACGCGGCCTGGGTTACAAAGCAGGAGGGTGTTAGCTGCCCTGAGAGCCGGACATTCATTCACGAATTAATCAAGCCCTTAAAAATCAAGGTCACGGGAATTGAAGGGCACAGCAAAGTGGTGAGGGCAGAACTCAAGTGTTTTTGTCCTAAAGGATCAGTCGGTCTGGGAAGTAAGAGGTGGAAAGAGAGAGAGAGAGAATCTGCAATGAACCTGCTAGCCACGGGATCAACCAGGACAAGCTACTTCAAAGGATAGGGAAGATTCCAGGGCCCAATCACTGCACAGCAACCACCTCTGAAGGAAGTGGGGGTTTTAATTCTGGGAAGCCATATAGAGATGCAACTGGCAGGAACAGGAGAAATCAGGCTGTTCCCATTCAAATCCTGGCTCTTCCGCAGCCAGGGTGCTGGGAACTCAAGCCAATTAGTCCCCGTCTCTGGGTCTGTTTCCACATGTGTAAATGAAGGTTATGACAATACCTACTTCAAAGAGCTGTTAAGAGGATTAAATAAGTAAATATGTGTAAACTGCTTATAATAGTACCTGGCGCAATGCTAGAGCTATATAAGTGTAAATAGAAATAGAAGTCACCTAAATTAAAGCAATTCTCATTTTTTCATGTACTGCTACATCCCCCGAATTTGCCATACATGAGCACATAAGGTGCTGAGTAACATGTTGGGATATGCCCCTGATTAAGGATTTGGGACCCAGAGAAAGCAGAGTTCTGGAAGCTGTCCTTATGCTTTTCAGGTACCTGGAGAGGCCAAGGTGAAGGCATTACTTCTTAATTTATTGATACTGAGTTGCATCCACCCCAGGGAGCTGGTGCTGCCTATCCTCCGAGGACCAAAACAGCTGGAGGCTAAAGCAGCTAATAGCAGAGGCACCTGTGGCTATAGAGGCTGTTTGAACCCTGGGCTCTGGCAGTAAGCACTGCACTGATCTGGAAGGAAAAGACATGGGGCAGGACTGAGACTCTGCTGGGAAAGCATCAATGATTTAGTTAAGAAGAACTAAAACAGCGAATTCCATAATGGGAGGTTTTGCCTATGACTTTCTTCTAGGGTGTAAGTTGGTTCCGCATCATAATGTAATTATATATTTTTCACTTTTTTAATTGACAGATAACATTTTATGTTTTTATCATGTACAACATGATGTTTTGAAGTACATATACAAAATGCAAAGGTTAAATCTAGCTCATCAACAAATGAACTCACACAGTTATCACTTTTGTGGGAGGAGCACGTAACAGCTACTCTTTATGTATTTTTCAAGGATATAATATATCACCATTAACAATAGTCACCTTACTGTACAATAGATCTCTTGAAATTTACTTCTCCTATCTAACTGTAATTATGTATCCTTTGACCAATATCTCCCCATACCCTCCTAACCTCTAACCACACCAGCCTCTGGTAACCACTGTTCTATTCTCTACTTCTATGTGATCAACTTTTTAGATTCCACATATGAGTGAGATCATGCAGTACTTGTGTTTCTGTGCCTGACTTAGCATAGTGTCCTCCAGGTTCATCTATGTTGTTGCAAATGGCAGGATTTCATTCTTTTTTATGGCTGAATAATATTCTATTGTATGAGTGTGTGTGTGTGTGTGTGTGTGTGTGTGTGTATTACATTTTCTTTATCCATTCATCCATTGGTTGACACTCAGGTGATATGATTCCACGTCTTAGCTATTGTGAATAATCTAAATGAGCATGAAAGTGCAGATATCTCGTTAACATACTGATTTCAATTTCTTTGGGTATATAGTCAGTAGTGGAATTGCTGGATTGTATGGCAGTTCTATTTTTAGTTTTTTGAGGAATCTCCATATGGTTTTCCATAATGGCTGTACTAATTTCATTCCCACCAAGAGTGTATAAGGGTTCCCTTTCTCCATTTTCAGTACTTGTTATCCTTTGTCTTTGTTATAGTAGCCATTCTAACTGAGGTGAGATGGTATATCATTGTGGTTTTGTTACCAGCAGTGAATCCAGTGGGTCTACAGCAAACTCAATCCTTGCCTCCTTGGAGGAAAGAATTCAGCTGAGGGGCAGAAGTAGGTTTAAGGCTGAGGAAGAGACCAAGGCAAGTTTTAGAACAGGAGTGAGAGTTTAGTGAAAAGTTTCATAGCAGGGGTGAAAGGAAGCAAAGTACACTTGGAAGAGGGCCTAGCGGGCAACTTGAGAGATCCAAGTGCCCTGCTTGGCCCTTAAGATGGGGCTTTATACATTGGCATGGTTCCAGGGTTTCCATTTCTCTCCCCTTGATTTTTCCCTTGGAGCGGCTGTCCACACGTGGGGTGGCCTGCCAGGACTTGGGAGGGGCTGCACACACAGTGTGTTTACTAAAGTTGTGCACATCCTCCATGAGGCATTTTTCCCTTACCTGGTCTAGCATTTTCACAGGAAGGTCATATACCAGTTAAACGCTGCCATTTTGCCTCTTAGTATGAATGCTTGAGCCTGCTCACCCAACTCCTGAGATCTTATTGGGAAGCTGCTGTTCACCAGCTTCATCTGTTTTCTTTTTCTTTCCTTTTCTTTTTTTCTTTTTTTTTTTTTTTTGAGGTGGAGTCTCGCTTTTGTTGCCCAGGCTGGAGTGCAACGGCACAATCTCAGCTCACCACAACCTCCGCCTCCCAGGTTCAAGCAATTCTCCTGCCTCAGCCTCCCAAGTAGCTGGGATAACAGGCATGTGCCACCATGCCCAGCTAATTTTTTTTTGTATTTTTAGTAGAGACAGGGTTTCTCCATGTTGGTCAGGCTAGGTGTTTTCTATCTATTGGGAGACTGTCTTTCCCTGGCACCAGCTATGACCAATTATTATTTTATTAATAGAGAGACAGTTAACAACTGACTGGCCATCACCTGATGGTCACCTGGCATTCACAGGGAGTCCTCTCCTGTTCTGGTCATGTCTACCTAACTACCTGCTCTAACAGTTTTAATTTGCATTTCCCTGACGATTAGTGATATTGAGCATTTTTGTATATACCTGTTGGCCATCTGTATGTCTTCTTTTGAGAAATGTCTATTCAAAGCTTTTGCCCATTTTTAAACTGAATTATTTGTTTGTTTTATTATTGGGTTGTTTAGTTTCTTATATATTTTGGATATTAATCCCTTGTCAGATGTATAGTTTGTAGCTATTTTCTCCTATTCTGTAGATTGTTACTTCACTCTGTTGATGGTTTCCTTTACTGTACAGAAGCTTTTTAGTTTGATCCCATTCGTTGATTTTTGTTTTTGTTGCCTGTGCTTTTGAGGTCTCATATAAAAAAAAATCCTTGCCCAGACCAATGTCATGAAACATTTCCCCTGTTTTCCTCCAGTAGTTTCATAGTTTCAAGGCCTATGTTTAAGTCTTTAATCCATTTTGAGTTAATTTTTGAATACGGTGAGAGATAAGGTTCTAATTGAATTCTGCTGCATGTAGATATTCAGTTTTCCCAACACCATTTACTGAAGAGACTGTCATTTCCCTATTGTGTGTTCTTGACACCTTTGTTGAAAATCAGTTGGCTGTAAACATGTGGCTTTATTTCTGGGCTCTCTATTCTGTTCCATTGGTCTGTTTTTATGCCAGTACCATGCTGTTTTGATTACTATAGTTTTGCAGTATATTTTGAATTCAGGAAGTATGACATCTCCAGCTTGCTTCTATTTGCTCAGGATTGTTTTGACTATTTGGGGTCTTCTGTCATTCCATACAAATTTTAGAATTGCTTTTTGTATTTCTGTGAAGAATGTCTTTGGTATTTTGATAGGGGATTGCACTGAATTCTAGATTGCTTTGGGTAGGTATGAACATTTTAACAATATAAATTATTCCAATCCATGAACATGGAATATCTTTCCGTTATTAGTGTCTTCTTCAATTTCTTTCATCAGTGTTTTATAGTTTTCATTGCAGAGATCTTTCACCCCATTTGGGTAAATTTACTCCTAAGTGTTTAAATTTTTTGCAGCTACTATACTGTACTTGATTTCTTTTTCAAATAGTTTCCTATTAGTGTATAGAAATGCTACTGGTTTTTGTATGTTGATTTTGTAAATTGCAACTTTAATTTATTAGTTATAATAAATGTAGTATTAGTTTATTAGTTATAATAAATATAGCTTTTTAATGGAGTGTTTAGGGTTTTCTCTCTATATAACTACATAATGTAGTTATACTTAATAATTATTCTTATGTCAAAATAAGATAGTTTTTATGTTTCCATGAAAAAGTACATGAGTTGGAGCTTTGATCCCTAAAAGGCCCTTCAGAACTGTCCTCTGCCTCTCCCTGCATCACCATCTTTCTCTAAGCCCCCCATGCTTTAGTCACAACAAGCTGCCATTCCCCTTCCTCTTTCCATGATGACACTGTGCTCTCTGCCAACATGGGTCCCCACTGGCTCCATCTGTCAAGTTTCTCATCATCCTTGCAGAGTTCCCTAAAAAGTAAATGTCTCTGGGAAACTTCCATGGTACTTTAGTAGACACTCACATCCAGTCCTTGGGGTTCCTGGAGCAGTTGGTTGATATCACTACCACATCTTTTTATAATTATTTATGTCTCCCTCTCACCAATAAATTTAAGCTTGTTGAGGGTTGCATTCATGTTTGGTTTGTTTTGTCTTTCTAGTCTCCAGAGCACTGCCTGACATAAGCAGGTGCTCACTAAATATTTATTTGCTAAGTGAGATCACCATTCCACTCTGCAACAATTGCTAAAACTGTATGCACCGTGGCATAGTGTAGGGTGAGGAGAGCGGATCCACTTCAGTGACTTAAATATATTTGCAACTTAAAGTCAATTTTTCTCTTCTCCAATCTCATTTTTTAAAGCCAGCATTAACTATCACTTAATAATTCAACATAGTTTTTATTGTCTACAATGAAAACATCAACATGGGGCCAGATTCCAGATGACACACAGCAATAAAGTTTAATGAGCACATATGATAGCCCACAGATTAGGAACCCAACAGACATTTCTGCACTGTCCCTCCCCCAAGTCAGGAAGAGATAGGGGGGGAAGGTAGTTTCTGTGGAAACAAGAAGTGGTTTCTGGGTCAGAAGACAGGCTTGACACTTCCTCCTCCTCAGTCCTACCTCCGGATCAGAGAATTGCTCTAAATAGGGATATTATATGAGGCTGACATATACAAATCAAATCCATTGTCAAAACAATGAAAGAAAAATTGCAAAATTTGTACTCGCCTGAAGAAAGCTAGGTCAGCTGGTAACACAAGTGCCTGGAGGGAAGAAAGAAGGGGGTAAAACGCAAGACCAAGAGGCAGAGTCGCAAGACCAAGAGGCAGAGTCGCAAACCCAAAACTCACAAGAATGGCCCCTTTCTCGCTGCTAAGCCAACAGCAGAAAATGCAGAAGGGAAGGATGAAAGGAAACTGCAGCTCAGCCAACCAGGTGTGCTTAGGTAGACCCAGCTTGGAGTCTGGTTCTCTGTCCTCTGGCTGTCTTTACTGATGAAGACAAACTAGGTTGGTACAATCTGCTACCCCACCCCAAAGAAGCTTCCATTTCTCCTTCCCTATATCACACATCACTGAGAGCTGTGCAGAGTGCAAAGTGCAGGAATTTGGGGTTGCTTGGCAAGAATGTTCCACCAGAGGGTTACTACAAAACAATTAGAAGATGGGAGCTTTAAAACACATGGGTACCCTAGAGGGTGTTAGCCAACCCAGAAAAATGTTGCAGGTGCCTGAGATTTGGCTGATGGCAAAGGATTTGAAAAGCCTGGGAAAGGGGAAGATAAATAGGAATTAACACTGATTATGCATTTACTAAGTGCAGGCATGTGTTGAGCAATTTGCATAGCACATGTCAATTCATCCTCCCAACGACTATATAAGGTAGGCGCTATTTTTCTCATTTTGTAGGTTTGGAAATTGAGACAAAGAGATTTTAGTTGGCCAAGGTCACACAGCCAGTAACAGGCAGCTCTGGGAAGGTGTCTTGGTCTGTCCATGCCCTTTCTATTCCTCAGTGCTTTTCATGATCCGTGCCACTTCAAACCCCAGAAGGGAACTGGACATTCAATCAAATGTAATGGAATATTATTCAGCTATTAAAAGTATTCTTTTGAAGGACATGAGGAAAATTCATAAGAGAATATTAAATGAAGAATAATGCACAAGCCTACATTTATGACCCCCATCTGAGTACTGCGGGTGTATCTCTGTGCTGCCATGCATGTCTACCCACGTGGGAAAAGCAAAGGAAAAGTACACCAAATGTTAACAGGGAGGCTTTTTTGGGTTGTGATATTTTGGGTTTTGTTTGTTCTTTTCTACAATAAGGATGTGTTACTTTAACAATCAGCTTTTGAGTTATTTGAGAGATGTGAGCTTTATTGTTTTTAAAAAATTCCAAGCACGGATCATGAGGCAAACTGCACTAACTGGAGCTCTGATGGAAGAGAGGCCTGGCCACCGATTGCGTCTCATAAGTTTTGTCTTTTAAAAGACATATTGCCACTAAATATTTTCTTTTTACAGTGGAAGCTACAGACCTGCCATGCTCCTCTTTGGCCAACAGTGCGCATGTACTGTGGAGATGTTCACCTTTGGAGGCCTGAGCTTCCTTTACTTGGCAGCTCCAGTGCAGGCCAACACTGGCTGATTGCCAGGAAGGAGGAATGGGGCTCTAAAGTGTCAGGGCCACCATTGCCTTTTTTGCATGTGATGCTTTCAGTGACGTGTGCCTGGTTCCCTGAGTACCTGTTGTCTGACTATATCTCACACTTTAGTGGCAAGGCACTTTGGGACCATGCCGGAATCTCAAACAAAACTTATACAAATGTTGAGGTCAGGCATGTGGTGGCTCACACCTGTAATCCCAGCATTTTGGGAGGCCAAGGTGGGTGGATCATCTGAGGTCAGGAGTTCAAGACCAGCCTGACCAACATGGTGAAACCACATCTTTACTAAAAATACAAAAAAAAAAAAAATTAGCTGGGCATGGTGGCATGCAGCTGTAATCCCACTTATTCGCGAGGCTAAGGCAGGAGAATCACTTGAACCCAGGAGGTGGAGGTTGCAGTGAGCCAAGATCGTGCCACTACACTCCAGCCTGGGTGACAGAGCAAGACTCCATTTCAAAAAAAAAAAAAAAAAAAAACACAAATGTCACTATAGAAATCTTCTTACTCAAATCTGCCCCTTTAACTACTGAGGTCCATGGGAACAAAGCATGGCAATTCGTTTGAACAGCATGACAGCATGGGAAGAACAAACAAACAAATACTGAACTCAAGGCTAGAAGACCAGCATCTGAGTCCTCATTCTGCACATCCTGGTTGGAAAGCGTTGTATATGTCACAAACTCTTAGTTCTGAGCCCTCAAAGCTGAGACCAATAGATGGCAAGCCCCCTCCTCCTCCTCCATATTCTAAAGCTGAAGAGTCTAATATGGTAGCCACCAGCTCATGTGGGTGTAGAGCACTTGAATTGATACAGGCTGTAAGTGTAAAATACGTACCAGATGTCAAAGACTCAGCATGACTTTTTGTAAAATATCTCAATAGTAATTGTTTATATTGATTGCATGTTGATATGAGAACATCTAGATATATTGGATTAAATAAAGTACATTATGGGCTGGGCATGGTGGCTCACGCCTGTAATCCCAGCACTTTGGGAGGCCGAGGCAGGCCAGATCACCTGAGGTCAGGAGTTCAAGACCAGCCTGGCCAACATGGAGAAACCCTGTCTCTACTAAAAATACAAAAATTAGCCAGGTACCTGTAATCCCAGCTGCTTGGGAGGCTGAGGCAAGAGAATCACTTGAACCTGGAAGGCGGAGGTTACAGTGAGCCGAGATCACGCCACTGCACTCCAGCCTGGGTGACAGAGCAAGACTCCATTGCAAAATAAATAAATAAATAATGAAAATTAATTTTACCTGTTTCTTTTTGTGTCTGTAAGGTGGCTAATAGAACATTTTAAGTTACACATGCGGTTTGCACGATATTTCCATGGGACAGCACTGTTCTAAAGAGAGGCGTGAGACCTTGTGTAGAGCTTGCTACAAAGTGCCCCGATCTAGTTCTGCAACTCATAGTGCTCTCGCCGCCTTCAGTTTACATATAACAAGAGACCAGGAGATGGACGCAGAAGGTTGGTGAGTGACAGTTTCTTGCATTTCTATTCTCTCCCCATGGGAGCTTCCCCACTCCAGCCACTGCACGTCTCAAGCTGGTGGTAGCTGGCTCAAGGACAGAAAAAGGCCCTCAAGAGAACCACACAGAGAGCTATGTGCAGGTACTCTAGAATTTAGAGGACACAGGGGAGGGTGCCTAGCTGTGGCCTGAAACAATGAGGCCAGAGGCTGTTTCATGCTGCCTCTGGCAACAGAGCCAACACAGGCTCTGTGTGAGGAAGGATCCAGTGGTTTCTCCATGTACCAAGTGGATGCCAATGAAGACTAAACCGCCTTGAAAAGACTCCATCCTACAGCTTTGCCCATTAGCGTACGATCACACCAACAAGAAGAGTCTCCATTGTGAGGTAGCACCAGAAATGGGAGGTGAAGTGGGAGCAGAACCAGCTCAGCTGGAAGGTGTCCTCCCCACATCAGGAGACAATCAATGGTGCAACACCAATTCCTGCAAAGCTTTCCCAAAGGAACCCCAAAAGTCCTGTACAAGAGAGGGAGAGCCAGCCTTTGGGCCCCACCACATGGAGGGCCCGGAGAGCAATAACACCAGGCAAGTCAGAGCCTTGGCCTTTTACCTGTCCTCCTTTCACCAACCGCAGCCCTGGAGGAGCCAGAAGTAATAGGGTTAACAGGGAGCAGGTAGAATCGTAAAAATAAAGAAGCTGAACAGATCTCTTTCCGTATTGCAGGTTTCTAAGAAAATGTCAAGCCCGAGCTGGGAAAGGGAGAAGATGTAAACTAAATATTAATATAAGACTGAGGTTCCGATATTAGATCTGAATCAAATTTTAATACCTACAAATAAAAGCTTATGAATATGTGACAGTTTACCCCCAAATCTATGGAGTCTCCCATAGGTATCACCTAGGAATGGATATGGCAGCTCAGAAAGGATGGGCTTAAAAGGTTGTAGTGAGAAAAAAAAAAAAGTTGTAGGTACAGTCTTTTAAATAAATTGTTTACAGATGACCTTATGCAAGTCATATCCGAGACAAGAATGATATAATGATGATGATGATGATTATCATGATGATGACAGTGATGATGATAAAGCTAGGATTTCTGATGTGCTAGGCATGTTCTAAGAATTTTCTATACATTGTCACATTTAAATCCTCCCCCAGAATTGATGAGCTTTTCATTTCCCTTTTACCCATGAGATCATAAGGAACTTGCCCCAAGCAGGCAGCTTAGAAGCAGCAGAACTAGGGTGAGAATCTTGGTCTGACTCCAACCAAGGCCCACGCTTTTATTCACTGTGCTCTGTGGTCTCCTAGAGTCATTGATCAGATGAGATCTGTGAAAGCCCTTTGTAAACTGTAAAGTGCTACCACAAATGCCAGTGATGATTTGTGTTCACTGCCATGCTACGAGGCAGAGGAACAAATACAAGGCTCAGTGAGTATGACTGGTATCATCCAATGTGTATTTAACAGGTGCAGGATATACCAGTCTTTACAAAGTGGAAATGTGAGAGTAGCAACTTATTTTTTCCCCCAAAAAATCTTTAAATTCTAAAATTCTAGCAAATTCTGTTTTCTAATTTAGAAGCATGATGGAGAAGGGGCCTAAAGAGTATGTTCTTACCTCCATCCACATATAAGCAAGGATGTTTTCCAAAGCCCATTGCATAGGAGGGCAGGATCAAGCAATATGGCAGGAAAAATGAGGGTTTAGGGGTAGTGAGGACTGAAGGATACTAGTGGCTGCTGTCCTGGGAACGGGAGATAGCCTCTAGCTCCTTCTTCTAGTTCTTACTTTATAGAAGCAGGTTAATTTCTGTGTTTACCTGTCTAATTTCTGACATCAGAATAACATTCCTTGCTACCTGGAAGTTAGGGGGTAGACCAAATGACTCTGCCCCAGTAGTTGTGATTCTCAATGCCATGTATGTATGCAGTATGCCAGCCTGTCTTTATCTCAAGAGATGGAGCAAAATGTGCAAACTAAGAGAACATTATTTAAACACTAATAATACATCATGGAGCCATTTTTGAGGAAGGCTGAGGAACCATAAATCAAATCAATGATAACAGGTTTGTGTACCTCCCACAAACCTGGGAGTCACTGTGCCTGAGGTAACAGAGCCTTCTCCCCTCCCTCCTTCAAAGGCAGTGCTTCCTTCTCTCCACTCATTCCCTCTCCTGTTAAGGAGATGCTTGTTAGTAACCTGTAAAGATTGAGTGGGCTCGGTCGACCTCTCCTTTCCCCTGTGCCTTTCTCTGCAGCTCTATTGACTTATTTTTGAAGGCTATGTTGACCCAGGCTTTTTTTAGCAGATGGTTAAAGCTCATTCAAATAAAGATCTTGCCAAGAAAAGAAACTCCGTAGAAGGAAACTAAAGTCAGTATCTTACCTCTCACTTGAAAAAAAGTTTCATCAACAGAAATTCCCTCTTTGGGTTCATCCTACATTCATTTATTTATTCATTCAATGCATGTTTCTCAAGCAGCTGCTGTGTGCAAGAGGTGAAGCAGTGGACCTAACCGAATTACTGGCTCCATTAAACACACTTTCCAGAGAAAGACACAAACTACATGCATATTCATATATATGTGTATGTAGTGGGGGGGGGCAGTGATAAATGCTATGGAGAAAAAATTAAGTAGGTTGGGGGATGAGCTGTAATGAAGTAGATGTAGGAGAGTTGCTATTTAACATATGGAGGTCAAGAAAGCGCTCTCAATAAGGTGACATCTAAGCAGACACCTGAGGAAGGGAGGGAATGGGTATGTGAATGTCTGGGGGAAGAGTATTCCAGGTAGAGGGAACAGCAGATGCAAAGGCACTGAGGCAGGAGTCTGCTTATCATATTTGATGAATAGGAGAAAGAGTAAATGTTCTATATACTCCTGTGTAATGGTTTTTTTTGCCACGTAATTATTATAACATGCTGACTTAGAGCCATATAATAGATCGTAGTGATCTGTTAGAAACAAAGATATACTTGCTGTAACCAGCTAAGTTCTCTTTCTGGGAATAAATACATGTTCCAATTTTCCATCCTGATGACTAGAGAAGGGGATAGAGATTTTTGCTCAATTAAACTGCTTTTAATGAGGAATTCACTTGGTCAATCACTCACCAGGGACTCCATATGCCATGCTTAGAGCTTGGATTTCATCCCGAAGGCCATGGCAAGCCACTGAAGGAGTCTAAGCTGGGGAGAAGCTGGTTAGGTTTTTGTTTTCTCTAGAAAGGTGACCATGGCTGCAGAGTAGAGTTCTGACTGGGAGGAAGAAAGTCTTAGAGACAAGACAATCCCACAAATGATGAAGACCTGCACTATAGCAGAGAACAGGGTTGAGAGGCTGAATTCAGGGGATAGTAAAGCAGTCAGACTGTTAGGAATTAGTGATCAATTGAATATGAGAGAAGGGGAAAGATGAGCCACTGATGACTCCCAGGATTCTGGTTTGGATGATGGGGAAAATGATATCCTTGGTGATGTCCTTGACCAAGACACAGACTCAAAGAGGAGACCTAGAGTGTTGCCTTTCTTTTGGGGTTTCTTTTTCTTTCTTTTTTTTGGAGGGGCATGATGGAAAGCAAGGACGGGGCCAGCCGCGGTGCCTCACGACTATAATCCCAGCACTTTGGGAGGCCAAGGTGGGTGGATCACTTGAGGTCAGGCGTTCAAGACTGGCCTGGTCAACATGGTGAAATCCCATCTCTACTAAAAATACAAAAAAATTAGTTGGGCATGGTGGCTCATGCCTGTAATCCCAGCTATTCGGTAGGCTGAGGCAGGATAATCACTTGTACCTGGGAGACAGAGGTTGCAGTGAGCCAGGATTGTGCTACTGTACTCCAGCCTAGGCAACAGAGTGAGACTTCTTCTAAAAATAAATAAATAAATAAAAATAGCATGGAAGGACAAATCTCATAAGAGAAGAGAAATTTGTCAAGTTTAATTCGTTAAGTGCCTAATACACACCTAATTGGAAATGCCCTTTATGGCACTGGCTGTACAAGTCTAGCACATAGGGGAGCAATTATTACTTGAGATACTGACTTGAAAATCACGTAGTTAAAGCTGTAGGATTGAATGCCTGCTTTTCGAGAGATGGAACATAAAGTGAGAAGATAAGAAGGGTAAGAATAGAATTTGAATACCGACATTTAAGGGATAAGAAGAAGAAGAGAAGGAGAATGAACCCAGATGACCTAAAAGTGTAGGGCAAACCTAGCATAAGGGTCACCATGGAAGTGAAGGAACTAACAGGTTTCACTGATGGCTAATGTTACTGGGATCAAATAAGACATAAGATCATAAAACCTTCAACTGCAATTTGCTGAGTGCTGATTGTGTGCCAGGCATTGTGCTAATGATAGGAAGCATGGTTTCTACTACAGCATGTTTTTTTTCCTGCGTGGCCCCTACTAGATTTATAACTAGAAGAGGTCCCCTGTGACCTTGTCAAGGGCTCTTTTAGTGGAAGTCAATTTCATTGGGTTACTGGGGATGAGTGGGAGGTAAGGAAGTGAAAGTCACTCCTAACTAGTATGCTTTCAAGTAGCCTGGCTGGAGAGAAGAGGAGGGAAATGGAGCAGCAGTGAGTGTGGATGGAACACAGAGTCAGGGAGGACTTCTCTTTTTTATAAAGGATGTAAGACTTAAGTATATTTCTATGAAGAGGAGAAAGACTTAGCAGAGAGGATGAACCTAATACCTGGGACTTAACCTTTCCCATGCTCTGAATCTCATCCAAGTCAATATAGCAGACCACAGGCAAACTGAGGGAAGCTCTTCCTGGTTCTACTTGATAAACGTGGACAGCAGAGTTCAGCGGTAAAGGACACTGCTTTGGAGTCAGACTGTCTGGACTTAAGCTCTGGATCTACCTCTTACTAGTCATGTGACCTTAATATCATTGGGCCTCAGTTTCCTCAGCTCTGAGAAGGTCTAATAATAGTACCTATCTCACAAGATTGTTATGAGAATTATACTTGCATATTACTTAGAGGCTGGCACAAAGTAACTGCTATGTAAGTGCTCAAAAAGGCTTAGAAACAGACACGCAATGTACAGGTACACCCACACAGGCACATTCAGTGGAAGGCGCTAGTGGAGAGTGAAACAAGAGAGAACACAGCTTGCTAGGTGGGGGGTAGGGAGAAAAGTGGATGAGTTTACAGGTGAGAGGCACCTTTCCTCTTCCCAAGTCACTCCCAGCTCCTCTAGAATCACCCGTTCTGTAAGAAGTGCCAATCATGTAGCATCACCGTGGGTGGGACCCCTCACTTAGTGCCCATTCATTCATTCATTCACTGACTCATTCATTTGTTCATTCACTGAGGTCTATCTCTCAGTCAGGTATTATTCTAGGCCCTGAAGAGACAAAGATGGGTAAGACACCAGCCCTTCTGTCTTGAGAAGGCCGCTGGTCCAGAAAGCCTTGGGGTTCTCTTGTTGTGTTCTTTCCTACTGTTCTCCCACATCTTAGGCAGTCATCCAATTGTTTGGAGAACAGAGGCTGCATTTTTTTCTTCTTTGTGTCTCTCACAGCATCTAAGACATAGCAGAAGCTCTAAATCTCTATGGGATGAAGGAATCCATCTATTCCATTTGGTAGGAGCATGAATGACTAGCAGCCCACAGTGTCTCTCCTGGATGATGAGGTAGCAAGGGAGGAAGGAGCTGACATTTACTCAGCACTTACTATGTGCCAGGAACCGTCGACAGTGCACTGTACACAGCTCACTTACAGGCAGATGATGAGAAAGGCTTTTCTATTTGTTTTGTTCAAAAGTGATGTCTAATGGCTTTGCTTTTATGTTTTCCAACGCTTTCCATTTTGCATGGTTTGCTTTCTATGCTTGAAGCGTCTCACATGACTGGAAACATTTTTCATGCTTCACGTGTAGTCAGTCACTGTTGAATTTTGCCGGTGTTTTGCTGTTGGGTCTTTTGTTAAGTAAATGCTCGTTATGTACTCTGTGTCTGGTTCTACAAGAGACAAGCATCCCCACCCCGTTAGCCCCATGTGTGCCAATCTCTCCCTCTGCCCTTGATGTTGTCTTTGTTCTGTGGCAGGCTATCGAAGCCTGCTTGAATAAGGTGCTCACTAATGAGGCCAAGGTCATTGGCAGATATGTGAAAATCCAGAACAAAATGAGAAACATTTGGGCAAAGCCTTTGTTTTTCAGTTCTCCCAAAGGAAACGGTGTGTTTGATTTACCTCCAAGTTGGAATAAAACTAAATGGATCGTGGATTTTTTAAAGTATGATGGGTAAAATATTTAAGGCAAGATGTTTATATATTGATAGCCAGCCTGTTCTGCTCTCCAGGTGATTCCTAAAGGAGCAAGAGGCAAGATATTTCTCTGAAACTAGCTCATGGAGTCTTTATACTTCCTGTGTCCTCCTACTCAGTAGCACAAAATAATTCCCAAGTTCAAGATTTATTTCTGCCTTCTGGAGACATGGTCTCTGTCACTGGAAAAGAAAAAGAGTCAGGGCCTTCCGTGCTTGTAGGATTTGGATGTAGAGGTGGTGGGAATGTCTCTGGACTTGGGACAGCACCTCCGATGTCTATGAATAGGACGGACTCACTGGTGTGTCCTCCACATGTTCTTGAGGAAGTTAACAAGGCTAAACAAGGAACTCACTGTCCTGCCTGCTCAGAAGACTCAGCACAAGAGAACACACAGCAAGACTCAAAGTTTTGGAACTGCAAGAAAGCAGAAACCTGGCTCCTTCTGGCTCTCAGATCTTATGACTCAACAAAGAATTTAAAAAGAATATTCTCCCTATTGAAAGGTGAGAGTTTACATTTATATAAGCTTATAATATTACATTGTGCTTTAGCTTCATTCATATATATTTGTAACTTACATGAATCAGAAGTGCATTTCTATGCATCTTATGTCTATCACATCTCCATCAGTGGTGCCAATCTTTCTCCTGGGCTTCTGATCCACATCTCTCACAGCTGATTGGACATGCTAACCTGAGTGGTCTGCCTGTGCCTCTAATTCAGAACTTCTAAAACCCAGTTTCTCATCTTCACTATCAAAGGGCACATCCCCTATTGATGACAATGGCATCACCATCCTCGCAATCTGTCTGTCCCCCAAATCTCAGGGACATTTTGAGTTTCATTCCTTTTTGTCCCTGGATTTCTGATAGGTTGCCAAGTTCACCTGATTTTGCCTCTACAGTAACTAGATTTTGCAGCTCCTCCTCTCGGCCCCTGGAGATGCTGCCTCTGCTCTGACTCTGCCCTTCTTCCCTTGAACCCAGGCAGCTCGGCATAGTCAAGTGAGCCTGAGCTTCAGTTTTCAGTTTAACACTGTCTCTGTCGCTTTCTGCCCTGTGACTTTCAACAGGTCTCAATTTTCCCATCTCTATGGACAGGCGGTAAAATGAGATAGTTTACATGAAATGCTGTCTGGCCCTCAGCAGGAGCTCAGTAAGTATTGGTCTTCTTCCCTCTTGCAGATCCACTCCCCAGAGTCTGTCTTTCCAGAGTTTCTCTGCTCCAATTCATTTCATATCCTATTGCCAGATGACTTCTGCTAAAGCCAACCTCATTCTCTCTCCTCCGTGCTCAAGCCTTGTGGCTTCCCACTGTCTGTCAGAGTGAAGTGCACACCAAAGGCCTAGGTTTTAGGCCCTTCCTGTGTGACTCTCCTCACCAGCACAATCTCCTTTCTCTCTTCCCTCCTTCACACACTCAGTGCCATAGCCAACTGGGCAGCTGGCTCACCCTTCTCCATGCCCTGCTTCATGCCCTGCTTGTCCGCAGCCTTTGCTGACGCTGGAGAGAAGGCACTTCCTCTCCAGCCTTGCAACCTTCTAGCTCAGCATGACCCTTAGCCCTCAGAAAGATACACTTATCTTCTAATGACATGGAAATGATCAACTGAGCTTGATTTGTAGCAAATAATAGAATAAATAATAACGCACACATATAATTGACCCAACTTTTGGAACTCTGCAGGGATCATTTAATTTCTCAAAGTTAGATAATGTTTATGTGAAGCAGATGCTACTACTAAATATATAAATACACATTTATAATAACTTAGTGTATTTGTGGGTATGTGAGTATAGATAGGGAGAGAGATGCTCAGAGAAGATGGAGATAGATATAAGCTAGACAATAGCTTTCTATATAAACATTTACATCTTTCTATCTAGCAAATTAGTTTGAGAAGGAAAAGTCATTTGCAGATACTCTCTAGTGAAGTATTAATTTCCAAATGTTATCGGCTGACCAACTATATCCTTTTATGTAAGAAGCATATTGCAGACATTAAATACTCTATTGTGAAGACTGAAAACGACCTAAACTATTCCAACAATTGGTATATGGTTATAGAAATTATGGTATACTCACATTATGAGCTATTACACAGCCATAAAAATGATGTTTTTGGGCTGGGCGCGGTGGCTCACGCCTGTAATCCCAGCACTTTGGGAGGCCGAGGCGGGCGGATCACAAGGTCAGGAGATCGAGACCATCTTGGCTAACACGGTGAAACCCCGTCTCTACTAAAAATACAAAAAATTAGCCGGGCGCGGTGGCGGGCGCCTGTAGTCCCAGCTACTCGGGAGGCTGAGGCAGGAGAATGGCGTGAACCTGGGAGGCGGAGCTTGCAGTGAGCCGAGATTGCGCCACTGCAATCCGGCCTGGGCTAAACAGCGGGACTCCGTCTCAAAAAAAAAAAAAAAAAAAAAAAAAAATGATGTTTTTGGAGAAATTAAGTAATGTTGGAAAAAACTAGACATGAAATTGTATGTTTTATCTGCTCCTGGATACGTAATTATAATGATTATAAACACTAATGATAATAATAAGCAAGAAAAAAAGACCAAAAGGAAATATACCAAAGGTTAATAGTGGGAGAAGAGAATTTTCAATGATTTTTTTTATTCCTCTTTATCGTTTTCTGTGGTTTCTAAATTCCCCACAATAATAAGTATGTGTTGCTCTTACATCAAAGAGGAAAATACTTAAAACATTATTTAAGAACAAACACAGAAACAAACAAATGTCCTTGAGCTTACATAAGGAATATAAGGATAAAGGAAGTTCAAACAGCTCTTTTCAGCATCGTCTGCGCAGAAGCTGTCCTTCCATGGAGGCATTTGGATTCCACAAAGAAAGTTTTCTCATCATCAGCAGCCTCTGTGAACCAAATACTATCAGCAGCTGCCTGCTAAATACTCTGAAAGACTTGACTTAGAGGAAAATGACCCAAGAATGCCAGAAAAAAGGATCCAAGGTCTTGCAAAAGAACAGAGCACTTTTTCTTTAACATCTCTGTCCATGATTGACAATACGCATGGGCAGAAGTCTTTTTAATTTTATTTTGCTTTTCCTTAAGATCCTTAAGGCTGTTATGCCATTTGTCCATGAGGCAATCTTTTGAGTAGGTCTCTTTCAAGAATTGGAATATACACAGGAATCTCTAAAAGAAGTATCAATGTGACTCACAACAATTACACATTTACAGATACATGTTGGGATTGGGGGAAGAAAAAAAAGTTGTGATTTGGAATCAGTTTTCTATAGAAAAATAGAAAAAGGAAACGCAGATACCCTAAACAATGTATCAGCTGTAAAATTCCTGAATGTCAGGCAGAGGATGGGGGTGGCATACAATTGCTTTACACATGGCACTGTGAGTGGCGCATAGAAGGGCTCAGGTAAAATTCATGGTTGGCGGACCAACGCTTTTCATAACATGGAAGATCAAAATGACACTGAGGTAGAGCACAATCAACTGTGCTTCTCTGTGACATCATGAAGCTGAGCATTCTTCCAAAGATCTAAAGAAGAACAAAAGACTTCACCAATTACAGTGATGCTGTTAAATTAAAACTAGAAATCGAGACTCTTGAGACCCAAAAGTGTCTGAAGTCAGACTGCTGGGTACGAACATTGGCTCTTGTCAGACTGTTTATCTCTATGCTTCAGTTTCCCCCTCTGTAAAATGGGATTAATAGCAGTGCCTCCCCTCAGAATGTGAGAGTTGAGGGGCTCACACATAGCACATACTATGTGCTCCACAAAGGTGATCTATGTGGGGCACTGAGCACTGGGTGAGCCTGACTCCCCCGAGCTCCGCTGAGCACTGCACGTCGCTGGCAAAGCCATTTTCTTTTCCTTCCCTCATCTGAATCTATCCAAATACTCTCTAGCAAATGGTTCAGATCAAATAAAACTCAACATTTTGCAGAATCTAAATGTATAAGTGGAATTTTTTTTGTCAATATACATCATGAATTGTGTTGTCAACCAATTCAGGCTGGTGCAACTCTCTTGGGCCCATGATCCCAAGGCAGAAACCTAAGAGATGGTCATGCTGCTTCTCTTCTGAACTTGCCTCCACTCTAAAGCCCAGATCACCTTTAGAGCAGGCTCTTGAACAATTTATATCTGGATGAGGTTGAATCAGAATATTCAAACGTTGGTTAGATTTTACACTTCGTTCCTGCACTCTCCCACTCTCATCCTAGGGTCTTGCGTTGTGTCTTGTTTCATAAGAATGACAACATTGATTCACCACTCACCATGTGTTGAATAAAACACTGTTCTAAGGACTCTCCATTTAACTCGTTTAATTGTCGTAATGACCTTATGCTTCAGAGATGGCGTGGAGGGACGCCCTGCCCTATGTGGTCACTTCTTACTGAACAAAGACAAGCTGACACAATCAGATGCTCTTTGGGGATACAGGACTATGAAGGGCATACTGAAAGGGCAGCTTATTCAAGCTCAGCCTGAAACCCAAACAACACTGAGTCACAGTTTCTGCAGAGTCCAACCTGGGAAGCCCTGGGACCCAGGGAGAATACGGTTTCCCTGCACCCTTCATTCCCTCGCATCCTTGCAACAAAAGCCTGTCACTAAAGACAAGCCAGACCTGCCTCCTCCCAGTAACCTGAAACAGACTCACCAATACAACCCACAAGAATCAAAAGATGCTGGATTCCTTAGGTTCAGCAGCTTGTCAACCTATTTGTAAGAAAAATGTCAACCGTTTTAAATGAAGTTCAATTAGCGAGTTTGCGCTGATTGTTTTATTTCAGGCTGAGCACTCTGCCTCCCACACCATCTCCATAAATGTGCTGAATGAATGGGTGAGTTGAGTTATACTTTTAAATTGAATGCGCCAAACAAACACGATGATTTTTGTGAACAACCCAAATTATACATAATCCATTTTTTATATCCTAAAGCTAAGAGAATGACTTTGAGTCAATAAAGGGAGCTTTTAAAAAGTTATTTTTACATTTTTTGGTTTTTTACAAATGCTCATTTGGGGCTTTAAAAATGTTTTCATGGTGGTTCCTTCCTCCCCCTTTAAAAATTATGTTTATACATAACATAAAATTTACCATTTTAACCATTAAAAAATATACAGTTTGATGGCATGAAACACATTCATACTGTTGCGCAACCATCACCACCACCCATTTCCAGAACTGTTCATCTTCCCGAACTAAAATTCTGTCCCCATTAGGCATTAACTCTCCATCTTCTCCTCAACCCCTAGCCTCCACCATTCTAATTTCTTTTTTAAAATTTTTCTTTTTTTATTTTATTCGAGTAAAATGGCAATCATCATGAACACCATTCTAATTTCTCTACGCATTCAACCACTCATATTAGGCATTAACTCTCCATCTCATCCTCAGCCCCTAGCCTCCACCATTCTAATTTCTTTTTAAAAATTTTTCTTTTTTTATTTTATTCGAGTAAAATGGCAATCATCATGAACACCATTCTAATTTCTCTATGCATTCAACCACTCATATGCCTTAAATGCATGGAACCATACAACATTTGTTATTTTGTATCTGATTAATTTTACTTAGCATGTTCTCCAGGTTCATCTATGTTGTAGCATGCATCGGAATTTCAGGCCTTTTACAACACTGTAGTACAATTGATTATCTTCATCATTTTCAAGTTACAATCCAGTGCCCATGGGGGTCCACTTTTAATACGATCGTCATGGCAACAGCAACAAGAGATTGCATGATATACACAGTCCTCTCAACCTTTCAAAGTTCTTTCAGAGTTTGTGCCAAAAAAGAGGTGAGGAGGTTTGGGTTAGGACCTGGCTCCGCTGAGGACTTTATAAGTCACCGCACCTCTGAGGCTGCGATTTCTAGGTCTCGGGTGACAGGTACCAGGCCAGAGGATGTAGGTGGATTATTACAACCCATTACCCTGACCTGGGAAAGAAAAGAAAAGAAAAGAAGGAAGGAGAGAGAGAGAGAAAGGAAGGAAGGAAGGAAGGAGGGAAGGAAGGAAGGAGAGAAAGAAAAAAAGAAAGACAGAGGTGGGGGAGGGAGGGAGGGAAAATAAAAGAAAAGAAAAAAAACAGAAGAAAAGAAAAGAAAAGGACCAAGGACACAGTCTCAAGGGAAGTAGCCAAAGTGATAACAAAAGGCAGAGCTCGGAGCCCTGACTTGTGAAGGCGTCTGTTCAGGGAGTTTTGTTTGGTGGGATTTGTTACATCTGCATTAGCAAAGCAGTGCTCCTCTAGGCTGGCAGCTGCGATGCTGAGAGGCTCATTACGCAGACCCAGACTCCCCGCTGAAGTCCATGAAGGCATGCCAAGTCAAAGCAAAGTGCTCGGAATAGAAACACATGCCCCTTTTTACACTGGGGAGAAATCGGGAAATTTTCCAGGAAACAGGTGATGGGGATGTTGAGATAAAAAGGCAGGCACAGAGCAAGGATGTGCAAGGCAGGTGGAGGTGGAGGAGACAGGCGGCCCATGGCCTGGCGGCTGCTGAGCCCAGGGCTAAGCAAAGACAAAGAGATGGCTCCAAGATACATATGTCACCCGGGGCTCAGCAGAGGAGAGAGGCTGCAACTCAAAACCCAAGGAAGAAAGGGTGAGTTTGAAAGGAGTTGAGAGCTGGAATCCCACTTTGTGTTAATTAACAGAATTGTGATTTGCCAATGAATGCCCAGCAGGGACGATCATCTGCTTGATAGAGGGGCCCAGCTTTCCTGATGGAATATCAAGTGCATGAGCCATGAAATTACTTCTAAAAAAAAAAAAAGACAAAGACAGTCAAAAAGGACAAGCACTTGTGTTTGCGTACTGGAGGAACTCTTGCTGTTCTCTTTCTTGAAGAAAGCAGGCTAATTACAGAGACCAGAGATGAAACAAAAATATTCAACCATATCATCTCTCCCAGGAAAGGAAAGGATGCCAACTAAAATAAATTAATAAAAATACCAAATATGTGTGGAGCACTTACAATACACTTGGTGGCAATTTACTTATACTATCCCACGTAATCCTCACAACTCACTGCCATCCTCATTATACAGATGAGGAAACAGCAGCACAGAAAGATTAAGTAACTTGCTCAAGGTCACACAGCAAAGTAGAATCAAAACAAACATTCCCTTGTTCTTCCTGAGACACTCAATAGCTCTCTGGTGACCTTTTTTTTAAAGGTCTAAAATGCAGTTAGCAAGAGTCCCAAATAAAATGCATCTGGGAACAGTTTTTCTTCTCTCCTCTTGCCAGCCATCTGCAGTGGCATTGCCCATTTCTCCCACAGGCCCTTTGTCCTCTCACATGATAGTGACATGGGGTGGCCTAATTCCAGCTGACAGTACGTGCATCGAGTCTCTGCATCTTTCCCCAATGCACACCTGATCTTGCTATTCCACACCTTGAACTCCTTCAGTGGCTCCCCACTGCTTCTAGAAGGAGATCCCAGCTCTTCTGATATGCAAGTCAAGACCTTCAGTGGCGTGGCTGCTGTTTTGCCCCCTGGCCTTTTCTCTCATTGTTTCCTGCCTCCCTGTCTCTTGCACACAAATACACCTTTCATGACAGTCAGATCTACCATGAATTCCCCAACTCATGGAGGCTCTCAGCCCTCCCACTCTCCTACCCTGTGCCTCTTCACCAGCTGTTTCTTAGGAATAAACTCACCTCCCCTTTCTGCGTGGTTGACACGTCTGGGACTTTCAGAGCCCACCAGGGGCCAACTCCTCTGCAAAGCCTTCTGTACTCAGCCAGACTAAGCTGGCTTCTTTATTCAGTTCCCCATACCTATCTCTATTCTAGTTCTTTCCACACGGTGTTGTAAAGGTGTTCTTTACACACTGCATTCTCTCTGCCCCCATGCTCATTCATTCATTCATTCATTCATCCACTCACTCACATATGCAAGCTCCATTCAGGGCAGGAACCACAACTCTTTCTGATTCAGTCACCATGTCTCAAGCCTCTAATACAGTGATTCTCTCAATGTGATCCCTTGCAGCAGCCCTGCCACTCTGGGAAACTGGTAGAAATGAAAATTCTTAGGCCCACTCCAGACCTGCTGAAATGAAATATCTGGGGGTGGGGCCAAGCAATCTCTTTTTTCACAAACTCTCTGGATTGAGACGTACTACTCTAATACAGTGCTTGGCACATAATATTCAGCACACGTGGGATGAAAGGATCTGCAGCTGTCACTAGAAACCAGCCACCCCAAAGCCTCAGGAGGCCTCATGTTGCCCCATCCTCCTCAGGGAGATGAACAGACATTCCTGGACTAGCTCTCCTTTCTTGCCCAGGGATTATAGGTTCACCTTTTTTTTTTTTCTAGCCCTGGTGCTGCTGACAACTAGCTAGGGGACTTCGGAACAAATGAAATCACTGAATCCTTGGGTCATGTGGCATTTGGAAATCTAATAAATCTCAGTGTCAGAAAATGCAGGGATGAGGCCCAGTCAGTCCTGGCTCTTACTGAGCGATGTGTGTAAAGTCTCTGGTCCTCCATTCCTTTTCTGGAAAAGGAGACCTGCCTACATCATGGGGTTGGCATGTGTATCAAATAAGAGAATCTATGTAAACGTGCTTCTTCAACTTTAAAGCATCATATACATGTTAGTTACTACTGACAAAATGAGACAGGCTGGGCCATCAAGTACCAAAGTGTTCCAGCTATAAAATTCTATGATTCTGTGAAAATCTAGATAAAATTTCATTTCAACAAATGCTATAAAAAGACATGCTTCTCAGAGTGTTGGATCATGATGTAGGTTCGGGCATCAGATTGGGTTCCAATAGGCTCTAATGCTTCCAGGTGTGTGACACAGGAAAGTCAGTTACCTTCTCTGGACCACAGTTTCCTCATCTATAAAGTGGGTCATGATTACCACCTACCTCCCCAGGGTTGTTTGAATATATGTAAGCTATTCAGACGAGATCGGGAGCGTTCAGGGTGGTATGGCCGTAGACGAATATATGTAAGCTATTCAAAGCATATCAGAAGCATTCAATAAATGCTGGGAACCATTCTAATGCAGTATTACTATTATTCATGGTGCTATTTTCATTCCTGAGGGGAAAAGCACATCCAGGAGCAAGCAATCTACAAAGAAGAAGCATAGTTAATCTTCTGACTACGTGACACTGGGTTGTACAGTTTTTCTATGCTCCAGACTGTGAAATACAAATTATTTTGTTTTGGTTTTATTTGGTTGCTGCAGACATCAAACAGGGCAGCCTTTCAGATTCTTCTGTCAGAAAGTTCACCCATGGATGCTAAACAGCACAGAGCGTCAACAGCTCAGAGCAGAAGCCAGCAAACTTTTCCTGTAAAGGGCCAGATAGTAAATATTTTCAGATTTGCAGGCCATATGGTCTCTGTTACTCAACTCTGCCACTGTAGCATGAAAACACAATAGGCAATATAGGAAGCAATAGGTATTCCTGTATGGGACTGGTGGTGGGCTGGGTTTGGCCCATGGGCCATAATTTGCTGACTGTTGGCTTAGAGAAACAAGGATATGAGGTGATAGAATGGTGGTCCCTCCTTGCCCCATTTAAGATACTTTTTTCCCCTTCCCTAATTCATTACAGTGAAACTGGCTATCAACTCTATTTTATCTCTAGTTTATGCAACCTGGAGGTGCGAATTCTAGAAATACATGCATTGTAACAAAACGCCACTTCAACTTCAGAATTTGAGTCATGTGGCGCTTGTTATAGGATCTTTACCTTAACAGATGACGTTCGAAGGTCTAGCATTATAAAACAAAATTTTTTCCATGTCTGCCTACACAAACTGCTTCTTTCTCCTCCTACTTAGAATATGATATATTTTGGTTAAGTAAAACTTTAAGTGCACCACAGCCATTTCAAGTGATCTCTGTCTTTCTAGGAGTTAGTCACAATTATGGAAATATGGTCCTTTTGATCCAGCATATATGCATAGTAATTGTGTAACAACATCAGTGCAATGATAAGTAACCTCAATAAACATAGACACAGCTCTCCAAGTGATGTGGGGCTGAATTAGTAGTTGTTTGTCCTGTTAGAAGTCCTTAGGATTTATGGGCAGTGAAGGGAGTTTTTATTTCACATCCAACTCTATCATAATCTGGGAGAGAGGATTAGGGGTTTGGTTAAGTACAGGGTCAAGATGGAAGGCAGGGAACAAAGTCATCAATGGAAAGAGGCAGGAACTTCCTCACACTCAGGGCAGTGGCTTCATGGGATACAAGATGGGGAAGAGGCCAGAATGCAGAGAGATGGAAGCCAGAGCCAGGGACCTTCCTAAGAAAGGAAAGAACAGAAATAACCCCTACAAGTTGCCAGGAAGCTAGACAAATCAGATTTTGGAGGTACTGCTCAGGGCTTCTGACATTCTGGTAGTGTAACATTTAACATACAATGTGCAGTGAACAGATGTGAGCTGGAAAATGACAGGGTGGAGAGAGGTGGGTGGCAATTTTATCTGCCATTTGAACCTGAACAGCCCAGTTTTAGGAAAACAGATAAAAAACAATAAATAATGCAGCACACCTCCTCTGTGTCCTGTAGCAATGGGCTTCCATTTTAATGAGGACTGAACACAACAGAGACATTTTGATGCCCTGACACATCCATTAAAATGGAAATCCATCTGTAGAGCCTTTCACAGCTACTTCGTGACACCAGGAAGCCCCATCGCCACTCCAAGGAGACTCAGAGGTTTTCATGGTAGTGCAAGGGGGAGCCCCACTGACATTTTCAAGGCCCCTGCCTCCTCCTTTTTTGTAGACCCTTTCCCCTCTGAAAGGCAGGGGATCACTTTTGTGCACCTGGGCACTCTGGGAAGAGGAACAGGTGCACAACCTGGTGAAGGAGTCCAGTTGTCAGGAGTCTGGGTTTGGTTTGTGTATGATGTGGGGAGGACAAAAGTGGGAGGCTAATCACCACATAATTAATCCTCACACTTGTATTAAAGAACTTTTATATAAGTTAGTTCATGTGATCCTCACAGCCTGGGAGATAGCTGGGAGTGTGTTTTTCTCCTCCTTAAGTTAGGAAACTGGCCCCACAGTCAAAATCAAATAAGGTCCATGTCAAGGTAAGCTCCATAGGCAGCTTATGACCTTGTCTCTGGACTTGGGGAAAGGCCTCCATGATGGTGAGGTCCCCTCCTCTGGCCCAAGGACATGTGGTTGATGGCACTGTCCTAGCCAGGCCGAGCCCTTGGCATAGATGCCAGGTGGCTGGCTGTCTTTGGGCATGAGTCAAGGTATCTGAAAGCTCGATTGCCCAAACAGCACCAGTTTGTCCGAGGAGCTGCAATTCCTATATCCCTATGCCCTCCACTGGATTAGTACTCAAGGCCTCTACGTCTGGCTGTGGTTCAAGTAGGAGAGGGGAGGGTCACAGATACAGGTTAGTTTCCACTGGAAGAAATTAGCATGAAACAGCTCCACAGAGGAAGACACATGGAAAAGCCTGTGCTGATGTAGGAGAGAGAGAGGGTAGGGCCTAAAAGGCCCAGAACAGGAGCTCCGTGTGCCCACATACTGCAAGGGGGTGGACGGGAAACTTCACCCCTAGCCTTGCCCTTGGGCTGTTGGGTGCTGGTCAGAGGGTTGTTCAGAGCAGTGGATACAGCGCTGGACAAGACATCAGGATACCTGGATCTCAGTTTGAGCTGTGTCACTAAGCAGCCAGACAGTCTCAGAAAAGGCAGGAAACTTCTCTGAGCCCCAATTTCCTTATACATAAAATGGGTGTAGTGGATTGAATTTATACCAAAAGATATGTGTAAGTCCTAACCCCTGGTGCCTATGAATGTGACCTTATTTGGAACTAGGGTCTTAGCAGATGTAATTAATTAGAGTTGTAATTGAATGGAGGATCTCGAGATAAGTCGTCCGGGATCCAGGGTGGGCTCTAAATCCAATGCCTCTTACTCTTAGAAGAGAAAGGACAGGAAGATCTGAGACCCAGAGACTCAGGGAAGAGGATCACGTGAAGAGCAAGGCAGAGATGGGGTGATGGTGCCACAAGCCAAGGAGTGCCTGAAGCCACATAAGCTAGAGGCAGAGGCGAAGAAGGATCCTCCCCTATGGCCTTCGGGGAGAGCACGGCTTTGCCAAGACCTTGCCTCTGCACTTCCAGCCTCTAAAACTGTGAGAATAAATTTCCGTTGTTTTTGTTTGTTTGTTTGTTTGTTTTTGTTTTTGTTTTTGAGATGGAGTCTCACTCTGTTGCCCAGGCTGGAGTGCAGTAGCATGATCTCGGCTCATTGCAAGCTCCGCTTCCTGGGTTCACGCCATTCTCCTGCCTCAGCCACCTGAGTAGCTGGGACTACAGGTGCCTACCACCACGCCCAGCTAATATTTTGTATTTTTAGTAGAGATGGGGTTTCACCATGTTAGCCAGGATGGTCTCGAGCTCCTGACCACGTGATCCGCCCGTCTCGGCCCCCCAGAGTGCTGGGATTACAGGCACGAGCCACCATGCCCGGCAATTTCCATTGTTTTAAGGCCTCTGGTATATGACAGGTGGTTATGGCAGCCCTAGAAAACTAACACATTGGGGGTAAACACCTTATCCTGCTTATTTCCGAGGAGGAACTCAAAGGATGGACTGCAAAGGAGCACCCTTTCTGAACTGCAGGGGACAAAGTAGTGAAGTGATGCATTTTGAGGGAGAACCTCTGGTCTTTCTGGAGAAATTTGTGTCTGTAATAACTACTCATGACCACTTCCCTCCTTGGGTATTAGGCACTTGCCAGGGACAGGAATTTTCTGTAACAATAGACTAGCTATTAATGATTGAGGGGGACCATGTACCAGGCATGGGACTAAGTACTTGATGTAGATTTTCTCACTTTGTGCTTTCATAGCTATGTGAAATACAGACCATTATTATTCCCATTTCGCAATGAGACACAGATATTGAGCATCTTGCCCAAGATCATAGTAAAGCAAGTGGCAGAAACAAGACTCCAGTCAAAAGAGTCTGAGCTCTTGCCTGTCTTGTGAGGGTGGATAATAACCAGGCTCTCTCCCTGTAGGGGCTGAGCCGTTGGGAGCTCTGACACTTCTTATACTGATTCCTGCTGTGAGCATCTACACTATGCCCAGCACTGGAAAAGGCCCTGACACTTGATCAGATTAAATCATAAACCAGCCTTAGTGTGTCCATTGACAGAAAAGAAAACTGAAGCTCAGAAAAGGCAAAATCAATGTCCAGGATCACACAAGTAGTAGAGAGAGGGTCTGATGAGGCCCCCGTGATACCAAACCCTCACTCACTCCACCATCACACATGGCCGGCTGCATGAACCACTGCCCCGCTGACCTCTCCGGAGAGCCTGTAGGAAGGCCAGGGGTGAGATAACTTTGTCACGGTGTTTTGCTTTGGCCTTAACAGCCTTGTAGGCTTATCTCTGGGGCCTCTGTGGCCTCAAAGCCAATCTTTCAAATAGCCACAAACTCAGGGCAAATGAAATTTATACCAGCCACAAAGAAACGAATGCCCATGTCCCCATTTCCTGTTTGGGGCCTGCTTCCATAGGATTACGGAAAATAGCATTTTGAGAGAATGCTGCCAAGGGCAGTAGGTTCCTCTTTATAGCAGTTAACTGAGAAACAAAGGAAAGCTAAGTATCCACATGTCTCTATTCTACTCCCTCTGCTACTAAGCCAGAGCCCTCTGCAGATTTGCAGTTGCTGTCAGCACTCAGGCCTCCAGTGCGCAGGCAGCCCCAGGCCTCACCTTGGAGTGCCTAAGTGCCTGTCATCACAGGTTGGTGGGGGCTAATTACAGACCCAAACTAGCCAAAGTTACAACATCTATCTCTTCTAGTCCATCTGTCAAGGTCCCTTCACCTCTGACCTCCCGTCTTCAGGCAACTGCCCATAAATTCACTTCTCTCCCACCCTCCATCCTCTCTCCTCCCCTTGCTCAGCTGTGTCTTTGCCTGGAAGCACCAGCCCGCTTGGTCCTAGGGTGCTGGTGGCTTGGCACGCTGAGGTATACCAGCTGCACAGCCAGAGACAGCAGCACTTGAGCTCTACCAAGATGCAGCTCCCACATGGCAGGTGAAAAGTTAGCAGGAATGAGCAGCAGGGGGAGGGAAGGAGGAAGGCAGTTATGAAAGAGACCGGACTCCCATCTCTGCAGAATGCACAAAGGGGGCCTACACCCACGCTGGCCAATACCACACACCAGACAAGGGGAAAACGGAGTGAGCTAAACTCGCAGGTGCAAAGGAGCTTCCTCAGCAGCCTTCTGGCCCTCCCATGCTGGAATGGATTTTTCTCTCTCCAGAACTAGAATAGTGTCCATTGCCTGTGCGGCTCCTCCTTTGTAACCCTTCCTTGGAGTGCCTTTTAGTGTAGTGAGCGGGTCCTCCGGAGGGCAGGACTGTTGCTCACCCTTCTTTGTGTCTCCCTGGCACCGTGGAGTACCTTACACGCTGCAGCATTCAGTAAATGTTTGCTGGTGTTATTAATGAAAGAAAACATTGCTAAGAACATCCATCCTGGCATTAGAAACAATCGTGCAGGATTTGGAGATGCAGCAAAGGACTGATTGCAGGTCCTTTTACTATAGTGCTGTGGGAGGGGTGTTTACCCGGAGTTATCTGATGTTTTAGGGGAGTGCACGTTGGTTCGATTTTTGCTATTTACTATTGATTAGGATATTTACGACTCCATCAGGGATGTTAACTTTTAAAAAACCAATAGCCAAGTAAATTATTCCATCCAACAGCAAGGCAGATGCGTATGGTCTGTAGAGACACAAATGATTTCTGTCCTGTAAAAAAGATAACTGCAGGCTGGGCACGGTGGCTCATGCCTGTAATTCCAGCACTTTAGGAGGCCAAGTTGGGAGAATCTCTTGACCAGCCTGGGCAACATACCGTAACTCCATCTCTAAAAAAATAAAAAAATAAAAAAATAGCTGGGTGTGGTGGCATGCACCCGTAGTCCCAGCTACTTGGGAGGCTGAGGCAGGAGGATCAGTTGAGTCCAGGAATTTGAGGCTGCAGTGAGCTATGATCGCACCACACTGTGCTCGAGCCTGGGTGACAGAGCAAGACCCTGTCTCTAAATAAATAAATAAGAAAATAAAAGAAAAGATAACCCCTGTGCTTAATGTTTATTGCCCAGTGGTACCTGAACCAATTTTATATCTTACCTAGCAATCTCATTCTAATATATTTTAAATGTTATTTTAAATGCCTTTCCCTATGGAAGGAATAAACTCTTGTTCTTTAATGGTCTTAGAATCAGTTTTTTACCATCTTAGTGGGTTCCCTCATTCATTCATGAATTGAATATATTTTTGAAATGTACTCATTCTATTTTATATGAGAGTCATGTTTTTAACTTTTGCAAAATGATGCTTTGACACTGGATAAACCTGAGGATGAAGAAGAGGCTCCCAGGCTATAGCTACCCTAGATCAGCAATGACCCACTGGAGACTTGGACCTTTAATGACCACTGGCCCACACTTTTATTGCCCCTGATAAGTGCTTCCAGATAGTCATTCTGAAGGAGGAGATGCTCAGGCCTTTGGAGAAGATCTCAGAGGCTAAAAGAGAAGACATGCAATATTGAGACAACTGGTTACCATCTAAGCTGGGGGGCAGAGAAGACAAGCCAGACGGGTGATGGTGACACACCATGTCCTTGCACACTCTGTGTTTCTTGTGTGTCCCACCAGTGACTCCCTGTACTTAGAATACTTCCCCACTCTACTACTCACACCTCAAGGCCCAGATGAAAGGTTACTTTCTCCTGAAGCCCTCTTTGACCATTCCTACAACCCACGAAGAGCAGGCTGCAGCCTTCTTTGTGAGAGTGTTAAGGAGGCCCTTGCTTTGCAAAAGGATTTAAACACCTTTTGACAGAATTACGTGAAAGACTTAACTCTGATGTAAAGCTGCCAGCTGCCTTAAACAAGAGTATGGGTGAAAGGCACTATTCTGGGAATGGGTGGGTGTATTCCCTGCCTCAAACAAGGAGGAGGAGGAGGAGACAGGAGGTTCTAGGAAAGATGAAACAGTCTTGGAAAAAGAAGGGCAGAACTGGCCCAAGCTAAGGGATACATACCTCCCAGGGCCCCAGTTGAAGCAGTGGCAGCAAAATGCAAATGTGTTTGAGAGAATAAGCCAGGGGCAAGAGCATCTTGAAGTTCAAGGAAGGGTGAAATGAAGAGAGTATATAGAAACTTCTCTGTACTTTTGAACCTCCGTCTTAGGTCATTTGGACATATCTTTGTCTTTGTCACCTGTTGAATAGATGCAGGAAAGATAAAAAATATGAGCAGAGACCTCTGCTAAGCTTGGTCCAAAACTTTAGAACTCCCAGTATAGAGGGGTGGCCTTCTACTAGAAGAATCCCTGCAGTGATGCATGACGACCCATAGCACTTGGAATTTCATGTTCTAAACATCTGTACCCATGGGCTCCTGGAGATCAAATATCAGCTTCTATTTATCTTTGTGTTCCCAGAACCCAACACAGAGTTTGACACATGGGAGACTGATTGTTTGTAAAGTTCCTGAATATGAGTTTTTCTTGGCCACTACATTTTCTTTTTAGATGGAGAATACCGGTGCACTTATTTTCAAATATAGGAAGGAAGAAAGGGAGGAGCAATGAAAATTTCAAGACCCAAAGTAAGACATAACTTTAAAAAGGAAAGGAAAGTAGAAAATCCCTAGGGCCAGCAGAGGAAAGGATTCATAGAGATGTAGAGAGCCCTTGCTGACTTAGCAGTCTGGAAGCCATCTGATACTCCCTTTAATGTAGTTTAAGGTGCAAACAACGAAGGCGAACAAAATGATGCCCATAAACCATCTTTGGAGAAATGCAAAGACACATGCTTAGAAAACAGGTGTGAAATGACTTGTTCTGCAAAGACCCAGAGGTGTCTAGCAAGCTTAGTTAAGGACAAGCCACCCTCCTTGGACATTTGTGATTATTGAGAACATTTCATTACCATAGACTCCAAAGAATGGGCACCACTTTTTACTTCTACTATACTGGAATGTTATGAAAAAAGCACTAGACTGGGAATCAGGAGACCTGAGGTCTTGTCATGATTCTGCCCTGACTATATATCAGCTAATATATTCAAATATGATGCCACCACCCTCCATATTTCCCACTAGCTTCCCCACAGTGCTTACGCTAGCAATAGACTCCAGTGTTACCCAAGTCAGGGACAGACTGAAGGCCAGGAATCCAGTCAGACAGCTGCAGCCAAAGTCCAGGTATAAGGAGAAAAGCACTTCAACTGGCCTGTGCCGTGCTTTGAGATAAAGGCAAGGTCTGAGTGGGGATGTGTGATAGGCATCTGAAGATAAGAAACAAGAAAATGGGAGGGAAGTCAGGATGGAGGAGATAAATCTGGTCAGAATTAGCATTGATATGAAATCTTTCCAAAATTAAAAAAGAAAAAGCAAAGGAAGAAAACAGGTGCTGAATCTGTGCTGTCCGCATATTCAGAGCACACTGATTACCGCTTGATACTTTCTAATTGGGATGACTGGGGAGACGGCGTATTTTCCCACTGATGAAGATGCCCTTTGAGCCATCTCTCCTTAATGCCTCTTCTCTGAAAATGTACCAGGAGCTTTAATAATGACAAATAGTGGGGTTACTGCCCTTCCTCTGTCACCTCCTAGCTTGATGATCTTGGCGAAGTCAGTTCATCTTTCTGGGTCTTAGATTCCTCCTCTGTAGACGGAGACGGTTGGGCAAGAGCTACCTGAATCACCTGCCAACCCTGGGCTTGCTGAAGCCCTCCCACAGTACCCCCTGTGGCTTCCAGAAAGCTCAGAGTTTTCCATCAAATTATTCCAGCAAATCACATTTCCTGCTTCCTGCTGAACAGTCAAATTTACCTCCCATGTGCTCTTGCAGATGTCCCAGTGAAAATACCACACTGGTGTCTGAGGCTTCAAACCTTGGGAACAAAAGAAACCTCATTGTGGTGGGAAAGAGAGAAACAGAGGGGATGGGAGGAAAGAAGTGGAGAGGAGGGGATGTGCTGTTCACTGCAGCTTCCCCTGAGTCAGCTCCTGTGCCGTCCTCCTGTTTCTCTGGGTATTCCCCAGACTCCAAGGCATAGGAGCTGGGTCACAGCTGCTACCCAAGCAGCACAGCAAAACAGAGGATCCCTCCATCCTCAATGTTCCCAGATGTCCAAGGTGTTTCAGAAGCAAAAGGCATGAAAAAGGCTTCTCCTTTTCAAAATGGAGATATAGAACTCAAATTTAGCCTCCTGAAGGAGTTGCCATGAAGTTCTAGACTGTAAAAGTCAGGCAAAGGTCTTAAATATCCTAAAGTTTGCTTTTGATATCGCCCTTAACCCTGGTCAAATCCTCTTTACAGAATTCCCCATGCACTAGAAAGTTGAGCTGTACACACTGGGACACCCCTCCCCAAACTTGCCTTGGTGACCTCTCCTACCTGCCCACTCCACACACCACTACCAATCTCCTGACTCTGAAAATGAACTTGACTCAGAGCCTGGTATAGCTGAGTTGGACCCCTTCCCATTTTCCCTGCTGCCCTGATGCCAGAGGGGCCAATATCACAGCTCTAGCTCTCTTCTGAGTCCCCATTTGCCCGATAACTACTGCAGCCAGGCTCTGGGCTGCTGGGGACAGTGGGGGCAGAACTTCCTTGCCTCTGCCTCGGGTGGGCGAAGAGATGCATTCTTGTCATTACACATGAGGAATTGGAATATAGCTTCCTATGAAAGTATTCCTAATGGCAATTAAATTCTATATTAGCCAATAGAGAGAAATAATCAGACTTGGGGTGAGAAAATCAGGGGCAGTAACTAAAGGATTTGCTCATATCACATAGGTAGCTAGTGACAGAGCTGAAACCAGAATCCAGGGCTCCTAACTCCCAGCTCAGTTACAAATGGGCTGACGGGTATTTACTCACTGGCTGGAGAACCTGTCTGCCATTCATAGCATGATGCCTATCAGAAAATGTGTTCCAAGTTCCAAGTCACCTACTATGGAGAAAATCCAGACCATGGCTCATTCTAAGTTGGAGGCTGGTGGCTCTGGGTAAGGTCCGTCCGTCTCAGGGCTTGCTGGAGAGGTCTGACTCAGGGAAGTGACGTTACTCCTGACCTGATTTGCCAACAGAGGGATCTTCACAGCACAAATGGCCTCAGGATTCCCATGTTAAAGGAAGTCCAAAAATTACTCAAGAGAAGAACCTTTTCTTGTCTCTCAAGGCTCTGCTTACTTAAATTGGTTTTTATTTTTCCTCTCTCACTGTACCATTTCTGGGGGAAAGAAGCTGGATGAAACAGTTAATCACTATGATTTTGGGCAGAAAATTCCACGATCTCATTACTTCAGGCACCAACTGAAGTTCATCTTCTGTGCAGCCCTCAACCTTCAATGAACGTGAGCTGACCCCATGGTGTTCTTACGGTGATGATGGCAGTAATAGTGACACTATTCCCACATCTCGTTTCCCTCCTCAACAATGCTCATGGGACAAAAAACCAAGCTCAATTTTGATGACATTTTGTCCTGTTGGCTCTCTTTTTCTCTCCTGAATGAATGACAATAATCACAAATGTCTTGGAGAGCTATTGTCCCCATACAGAATTGATGGTGAGATTTCAACAACCCCCAACCCTCAGCGACTGTTGAAGTGTGTTTTTTACCAGCTCCATTATCACTTTGTCTCTCATTTCCACTCTGCAATGCTGACCTTCTTTATCCTCTCTCTGGGCTCATGTGGACATCTAACAGACTGCTAAGATGGGTCACTGTGCCCACTGTCTGTGTCTTGTTCCTTAAACCTTATCCCATTTTTCTCTTCTTTGAGGCCACATATGGAGCAGCCTCTAGCCTGTGAACAGATGCAGATATTATGATGGGAGGAAGAAAGGCAGTGGTCAGCCCAAGCGTGGGTTGAAACTTTTCTAGTCCCAGCGCTGTCGCCTCATCTTTCTGAGGCTCTGTTTTCCACTCTGCAGTATGAGAGGCCCAGACCCGTTGAGCCCTGAAGGTCATTCTGGCTCTCAAAGACCTTCAAGGCGGCAAATGCCGCAGAACCAGGGACCCCTGCGGCACAGCAGAGTAAGTATGGGGCGCCTTTGGGAAAAAGGCAGGCGAGTGGCAGGTGGGAGTAGGCATGGGCGATGGGAAAGTGGTAGGGTATTTGCCTCTTTTAACATGTTGAAACAGATTCTTACTCTTCTTACTTTGGATTTTGGGCAGCAAACTCCTGGGAGGGGAGGCACGCAAGAAGACTGGGAACAACTTGGGATGCCCAACAGGTGAGGCGTGCTGGCCTGACAATGCCACTCTTTCCCTGCTGTGATGGCATGGCCACCCCCAACCCTGAGCTGTTGCCTGGCTCCCCACCTCCCCTCTCTGAGAGAGCTGGTGAGCACCCCCAAGCCCCTTGCATCACTCTCTCTCTCAGGGCATGGCCAGATGCAGAGCTGGGAGGATCCCCGTATCTCCTTGAATGACTAAGGGTGAAGATAATTCTATTACCAGTAATAGTATGTTGTAAATTTCCCAAATCCACCTGTTAATTAGTGCCGCCCCCTCCCTCTCCTCCTGAATATGAAGCAACGCTGTATAATCATGGCATTTTGTGGGTGACGCTGTTTATTATATGTGGTATTTCAGTGGTTTGTGTGGGAGAAAGGATGAATTATAGCTCTCTGGTTCCAACCCATTCCCAACCCCCATGCCCATCCTTCTCTCCCATTCCCCTGATATAGAAATCCATATGTGTATAAATAAGCACATGAATATACAGTGCTGATTTGCCATTGACTGAGGGGGAGCAGAGTGTGGTGGAGTGAGGACAGAGCCAGACGCCATCACCTCGGGTTCTGGAACCACTGAAGACTGGCAGGGAGGCCTTGGGGAGACCTCTGATGTCACTAGGCTGCAGCTTCCTTGTCCTAAGAAGAGAGTAACCAACCAGCTCTGCTCCTCCTCTGAGCTTCTGAGGAGATCCAAAACAAGGAAACTCTGGAAACTGAGCAATGCTATCTACTTGTGAGGTGAAATTCTTTTTGATTTTGTTTTTGAGACAGGGTCTCCCTATGTCGCTTGGGCTGGAGTGCAGTGGCATGATCCCAGCTCCCTGCAGCCTCAACCTCCTGGGCTCAAGTGGTCTTCCTGCCTCAGCCTCCCAAGTGGCTGGGACTACAGGCACTCATCACCAAGTGTGGATAATTTTTTTGTATTTTTTGTAGAGATGGGGTTTCACCATATTGCCCAGGTTTGGAAATTCTTAGTAACTGCTCTACACTTCTGTGGATTCCTTCTGTAGATTCTCCTGGAGTATATTTGCAGCCAAATTTCTATGGATACTAAGGGACTAGAATCAGGATGATTAGATAAAAACAAGTAGGTGTCCAGGGGTCAGCAGTGGAGGACTGCCCAGTGTCTGGACAAGGCAATTGGAAACAGGAGTGAGAGGGTCACATTGCAGGTGAAGAGGCGGCAGGGTACTGAGGGTAGACAAAGAGAAGCTGTGAGATCATGAAAGGTCAAAGGGATCATAGGTGGTCACAGAGTTCATGGGGAACACATAGTTAAAACATAGAACAAGAACTTTAAAGCAGGCTTGTATGCTGGAAGACATTCAGAGTAGTGAGGCAAAAGAGGATTTGGGGTGAGATATAGCTGAGGAGAAAAAATATATATAAAAAGAACTGTTTATGTCATTCCTCTATTCTGTATCTTAGTAGAGTCTGAGAATATGTAAACTAATATAGCATAGATGCAAAATGGAAAATGACAGAACTTGCTCAAAATACCATAGATCCACATGAACACTGGTGTTGGGAGAAAATGATATCTATGTCAGGGACTGTATCCCTGGGTCGGAGATACCACACAGGTTATTATTCTACACAGGGGCTATGATTTGGCTGGTGTTCTCATGCATTGTGGAAGATGAGGCATTTTATAATGTAACTTACTATCCCCAAAATAAGTTAGATATTATTGCCCCAATCCTATAGATCAGGAAACTGAGGTTCAAAAACCTGTAGATAACTGATCCAAGGCCACATTGCCAGTGACTGGCAGAGCTGGGCTTCAAACCCAGATTCCACTCCCAAGCCACCACACAGGAGAGGGTCTTCGTGATATTAGGTTCACATACCAAGGATGTGGGGAGGCCATATCTGAATCAAACCCTTTTAGGCCCAAAGCCTAATTTCTTGCCATGACACTAAATCTCTGTAGACAAGCACCAAGACCAGCAACAGGCGGGGGTGAAGAAGCTGTCACGGAGGTGACGCATTCTTTCCAGTCTTTTCAGGGTTTCATGGAAGGTGCAGAGGGCACGGCTGTGATTGTTAGGGGAAAAACCCCTTACCAAACTCTGTGGAATCATTCTCAACACAAAAGCAAAATCCTCAAGAAACCCAACTGCACGTCATCAGGACCTCAAGTGACAGAGCTTGCCACTGATTCACTGAGGAAAAAAAAAAAAAGAGGAGTTTCCCTTGAATGTGTCCAGTCTTTTGAAGGTAAAAAGAACATAAATAATGGAGGGTAAACATCAAAGAATGAAGCTGTCCCTTTGTCTAAAGAAGAAAAGAAATATTCTAGGCTAATAAATTCCTCCTAAATGAAAGTTAAAAGCATGTCTTTGAATGAATTCCCCACAATGGAGTGTTGTAACCTTGAAATTCACTTGTCTAGTTGGCCTACCCAATATTCTCCATGCCCCAAACACGGCTCCCTGAAGGAAAGCAAGGGTATGATCTGTGATAACCACAAGCATAAACAACCAGGAGGAATAAAGTTGCAGTTTTCTTGAGATTATGAGAACATCTTTGCAAGAGATTTCTAACAATGTCGTCTCTCTTTGGACCTTTCTCTTTCTCTTTGGAGCAGCTGCTGGTATACCCACTAAGTCATGGGAGGGGATGGTTTCCATGAAGAGCACTGAGCTCTGATCTCATGGTGTCCAGAAGATAGAAATCTTCCCCTGCTCCTGACGTCTTAGCCACATGCCATGCCTCCTTCTTTCCTGGAAGTCCTCTGGCTCCTTCCTTCCTCTTTGATCTCTCCCTAATTTGAACAACTGCTACACTTTGTACTCTTGGTTGAAAGCATGGATTCTGTCGTTATTTTGCTTCTATTAGTTTTCTTTCTCCTGGTTTCAAGTGCTTTATATTTCCTGTGACTTCCCCTCGATGCTGAGTAAATAGTTGTCTCTCAGTAAATACACTGCTGATTCAGTGACAGATTAAGAATTTAAGAGTTCTTGGTTTCACAGTAAGCTAAAGACAGAGCTGCCCTGGAGAAGAAAAACACCCCTCCCATTTCGCCCCAGGAGGGCTGCCTCCTTCCCCAGAAGCAAGTTCTCTTTACCAAAGAGGAGAGGAAGAGCCCCGCAGAAGAAAATGAGTTATCATACATACTGTGAATTCCCAGCATCTAAATGTGCCACAAAAGCACAGGCTAAGATTGCTGCAACTGGTGCATTATTTACTTTAAGTAACAAGGCTTGGAGATGGTGAATGCAGAACCTGTGGTTGCTTGGTAATGACTACTCTGTCTTTTTTTCAGTTATGTTGAAGGTTGGCAAGAGTATATGACAGATGAAAGCCCCATTAGAACCTACATCTAGTTTGCCTCTGAGTAGGGATTCATTCTTGAGTCTTCTAAATCCACCCACCAAGAGTTAGATTATGGCTCCCAGGGACCTAGAGAGATGCTGCTGTCCACTGAGCCAGATTTGATCTTTTCTCTCCTGCTCAAAACCTCCAGAGACTCCCTTTTAGCTACTGGATAGAGTCAAAGGCCTGCCATGTGCGATCCTTGGTTACTGTATTCCGGTTTGGAAAAAGAAACCCAACCATAATAGACATTTGGGGGACATTTGTGCACATTAAAAAATGAATGAGGCATGGGTGATGTTAGGGAATCATAGTTCACTTTGTTGGATGTGATCATGGCAATGTGGCTATGTAGGTATGCTGATGTATGCAGGGATGAAGGGTCCTGAAGCCTGCAATTTACACTGAAGTGGATGACTGAAAATCAAACTTTTTGATAGGTAGGCAGAGAGGAAGAGAGAAAGATGATGTTAATATGGCAAAATATTAGCACTTGTTAGATTTGGATAATGGATTTCTCTGTTCACTTCAGAAGCATAGAAGGATAAATTTTCTTTTAAGCAAATAAGTATCAGAATTTTGTGCATGATATGGAATTGAGTGTTAAAGGTCAGAACTAGGATATTATAATCTTTGTCTCTCTATCTCATACTATATGTAAGATCATCAATCAAATTGCATTCTAGGGTTAGGTAGTTTGAGACTTGTTTTGTTTTGAATCTGAGTGATCAGTATATAATTGTTTATTGTACTTTTCTTTCAACTTTTGTACATGCCTAAAATTTTTCATAATAAAACAATATGGCAGTTTCTCAAAAAAAAAAACCATAGAATTCCACTCCTCTGTATATTCCCCCAAAAGTGAAAGCAGGGATTCCAACAGATATTTTCATAGCCATGTTCACAGCAGCATTATTCACAATAACCAAAAGGTGGAAGCAACTGATGTATCCGCTGACGGATGAATGGATAAACAAAATGGGGCACGCACATATAATGAAATGTTGTTCAGCCTTAAAGGGAAGAACATTCTCACACATGCTACAACATGGATGAACCTTGAGGACATAATGCTAAGTGAAATGAGCCACTCACAAAATAACAGGCGTGATTCCGTGTATCTGAGGTCCCTAGAGTCAGCAAATTCATAGACACAGAAAGTAGAGTGGGGGTTACCAGAGGCTGGGGGAGGGGAGAATGGGGGAATTCATGTCTATGGAGGACAGAGTTTCAGATTTGCAAGATGAAAAGTTCTGGAGATGGATGGAGGTGATGGTCGCACAGCAATGTGAATGTGCTTAAGACCACTGAACTGTACACTCAAAAACCGTTAAAAGGGTAAATCTTATGTATATTTAACCACAATAAAAAAAATCACTTCAAGCCAGCAATGGTGTGTTTAAAAGTATTTTTAAAGAGTTGAAAGAGGCCGGATGTGGTGGCTCACGCCTGTAATCCCAGCACTTTGGGATGCCGAGGCGGGTAATGAGATCAGGAGATTGAGACTCTTCTGAACAACATGGTGAAAACCCGTCTCTACTAAAAATACAAAAATCAGCCGGGCGTGGTGGTGCCTACCTGTAATCCCAGCTACTCGGGAGGCTGAGGCAGGAGAATCACTTGAGCCTGGGAGGTGGAAGTTGCAGTGAGCCGAGATCGCACCATTGCACTTCAGTCTGGCGACAGAGTGAGACTCTGTCTCAAAAAAAAAGCAGGGGGTTGAAAGAACAAAACTGTCACCATAAACAGTAAACTACAGCCTGGCCTTCAAGACCATCTCAGCTCTGCCAAGGGTTTCCTGCCCAGCCTCTTTGGCCACTTCACCATCTCTAGCCCTGCCCTCTGAACTCTCTCTTCCTTTCCCATCTGTCAAATCGCATTCACTTTCTGCGTCAAGCTCAGATGCCATCTTCCTTTTAAAACCCTCCCTCATTCTCCCTACCAGAGTGATTCTTTCCCTAATTCCTGCCGCATATTGTTTGTATTCTCCATAAATATTTGTTTGCTCTTAAAAACAAAATCAATGTTCAGATACTGGCCAAGGCTGAGTACACTGTGTATATAGTTCATCTGAGATTCCCTGCAGAGGTAGAGAAGCATAAATTTTCTTTCAAGAAAATATGCACATTAGAAAGGTTCTGAGTAAAATGGGATTGAGAGCTAAAGGTCGTAACTGGGAAGTTATGATACCTGCCTTCAATCCCAAGCTATGTCTAAAATGTCTAATCACATGTCGTGTCAGAACGGGGCAGGTAGTTTGAGAATTTCTGGCTTTGAAAACGCAAAGGCAAGGTGAACCAAATTGTAGAATGTGACATGCGTTCTTCAAACCCCACTGGGATACCAGGCGGCCCCTGGAAGGGCTGGGGATGAGGCCAGCCCCTGTGGAGTAGGAGAGGATTTCAGCAACCAGTAAAACTCACTTGATTCTGAGTGGGAGCTGATCTGTCTGAAACCACAGTAAAATGTTTTTGTGAAATAGGAAACAGAAATAAACAAAAAGCTTGTCACTTGAGAATAGAAACCACCAAAGCCTGTTCATAGTAGAAGAGTGTAGGCCTGGGGCTTAGAGCCCCCAGTGCCTGTGATAAAAGAGTAACACAGAGCCACCTCCCAACTTCACATAGAGGGTGTGGCCCCCAAAGCCCAGGAAAGAAGGAAGGAAGGTCGCAGAGAGAGGTATGATCTACCTTTTAACTCAGTTTTGGCTTGGCTTCTCTCATTCTGTCCTTTCAGCCTAAATAATTCCCTCTCTTTCTTTCTCTTTTTTTTTAAAAAGGGAATTTTAACCTGAGAGGAAATGGATTTTAGTGCTTGAAGTATTTCTAGGTGAAATGCAGCTACAATGTCCCTTAGTGGTAATTGCTTGGGCCTAGAACAAGACATTTTCCAGCCATGTGCCTGGTCCCTGAAGGCTGCCTTCTGTCAGAGACTGCTCGGTTTCCAAAGCAGCCACATTCTTAAAAAGAAAAAGATTCTCCTTTTCTAGACATCCCAGGCAGACCTTCGAGGTGCTCATGCCAGTCACCCCTCTGAAAGACCGGGGTCACTAGGAACAGCCTTTTCCCCCCAAGTCTCTGAATGACTCCCTATTCAGACTCAAAGATTTCTTGTAAAAACCATAGACTCCACATAATTTTCCCATTTAGATTCATTTAGACATCTCCTAATAATAACGGCTTTGACACTGATCAAGGACAATTTTGAAAGTAAAGGGGGCTGTCATTCTATTGATGACTTTGACAGCTTGGTGCTGCCTCGTGACAGCTGCATAGTTGGTGCACTAGTGTGTTATTATTGGCTCATCAGAGATCTTAAGATCATGGGAACATCGGGGCCTCCCACACCCATCAATCTTCCCAGCTGTAAGTGATAAACACATAATAGCTATCACTGCTCTTTCTTTTACTATACTATGTTGTGTACAGATGTACCTTCTTTCTTCCTTTAGGCTGTACAAATGGAAGTCTAGGCCTGGATATGACCCAGTTTCAAAACCAATCTACTAGACAGACCACTCCAGAGTCCAGAAGGGGCTGTCAGGAGAGCACATGTGACTTACTCATTGTGGCAAGCTGGTAATAGAGAACAGATACCCTTTCCCTTCTACGTTATCCATTATATGTAATTGACAGAGGAGAGCCCAGAATAGCTACGTGTTTTTTACTATGCATTCTGTACTTGTACCTCTTGAACCTAACGTGAGTAGTGGTATCTGGAAGAAGTGATGAATTTGCTGGCATGTTTCCGCTGGCTGGAGTTTAGGGTTTGGAGTTTGTTTCTGCCAGCTTAAAGAAACCCAAAAAGGCCCAGTTCCTAGATCCTGTAGATCAATAAGTGGTGACACTATACTAGACTCGGTTGGACTTTGGAACCTAGGAAAAGCTATTGAAACCTTACTGCTGCCAGGAGTAAGGTACCACAAGTGAGCTTTTGGACTGTCCCAGGATACTACTCATGCAGATGAGTTTGCCAAAGTGGTAACATTGCACCTTCCTTAATAAAAATTTCAGGAAGCTCCAGGTTATTTGATTTAACTCATTTTTGTTTGTTTATGTATGTAGATCTTTGGAAATGAGAGTAAGTCTTCTGACCCTATATAAATCAGCCCCAAACTGTGTATAAAACATCCAGCATCATGTAACTTCCAAATGGCAAAGGAGTTGAACATGTGAAAGCCAGTGCTCACCACTTATGTTGCAGTGATTGGTGGGAAAAAATTAATGCCAACCCGGAGTAGTTATTACTCTAGTACTTTTCAATTAGCTCTTTAACCATTTCTAGGATTAGGTTTTGGAGATCACAACCTGAGTCTTCTGACGGGCAGGAATGGGTGTGGAGGCTGAGGGAGGGGAGCAAAACAACCTCAGGAGGAAGAAAGAATTAATCTACTTTCTCATTGTTTAGAAGAATTCAGCATGAATCAATTAAAGTGACAAGAATATTTTTTACCTAGAGGAAAGTAGATCAATCTTTAGTGAGTTCACAGTGATATGCACAGCAAAACAGGCGGTATTATTAGAGACCGTCTTCTTTGAGTAGAAAGCGTGCACATGCTTTATCTCAGGCAGATGTCTCCATTCGAAGCCTGACTATTAGTGACATGAGTGGGGTGGTCCAGGGCGAGTTCTTACGGAGACCCTACGATGAGCCTGGCATTCTGGCAAGTCTGGAGGAGCCAAAGACACACCTGGGCTTCCTCCTCCTAACCTCCAGGAACTTTACAGCCACCTGATACCATGCTCAAGCTGAAATAATACTATTTGAGTAAAGAAAGCTGCTTCACTGACAGACATGTCGTATAATGTCATCTGCGGTCACAACCTCACACCCAGGAAGACACACACACCCCAGAATCTGCTGATGAAAGCTCAAAGGGTGTGCGGCTTGGCAGCCAGAGCAGGTGACAGCAGGTAAGTGGACGAAGGCAGGTTTCAGTGCAGGTGGGGAGAGAGTGAGGGAGTGGGCTGCCTGCGGGAAAGGGGGAGTGGCCGACAGGATGACCACCAAGGCGAGGAGGAATCTGCAGGAGTTCTGGGTTCTGTGACAGAAGAACAGAGCAAGAGTGGGTGGATGAGAGGCCCAGAAACAGAACAGTTGTGGGTGAGACATGTGGAGATGGAAGACAAGTGTCAGGCCACAGGGAAGCGCAGCAGGAGGTGGGCAGGTGGGCAGAGGGAGGCCACCCACCGGGTGACAGGAACGGGGGTGCGCAGATACGAGAAGGCTGAGCGCTTCCTCCTTTATTAAAAGGAGTCTGCTAAATATAGCTCCTCGCTATGAAAACCTCTTCAAAATCCTGATTGACTATGGCATTTAAAAAGACAGGAATGAGGGGGGATTTGTCTGCCCTGAAATCCATTTTAGATGGGGACAAAATGTTGTTTTGTAATTTACCTTATTAACTGGATATAAAATATGGATCTCTAGGAGCTCAGAAGAAGGGGTAGAATTTCTTCCTCTGACTATAATAAATTATGAGGCATTTAGGGGATGCCAAACTATCTTTTCTATGGTGATTGTCTCAGTTTCCCTATCTATAGAATAAAAATGCACCTGTATTATGGCGTTACTGTAAAAATAAAATGAGAAAGTGCATGTAAAGTGTTTAGCCTGATGTCTGACACATAGTACATGCTCAATAAAGCTATGTAGATATAATCTAAGCTCCTTCCAACTCTAATAGTCAAGATTCCATGAATTCTGTCAAAACTAGTCATATCTTCCTTCAAAGCAGGAAGACTGTGAATGCCCTGAGATTGCATGCAAATTTGAGATTTGGGAGAAATGCCTGCCTAGCTCATGATGACTTCCCCATTGCTAGGAATGGCCTCACCCTCCACCACTGGACCCTCATAAGCATCCCAACCTCCTGGAAGAGCCCACAGATTCTGACTCAAGCTAGAATAATTTGACTTCTTTCTTCCGGGATTTTGAAATTTGGGGCAGATATGGGCACTGGGGATTATTGAAGCTGAGTTACTGATAGTGCATCAGAAAGAGAACCCCCAAACCCCGGCTGCTGAGCCCCTGGAACTTCCTTGCCCTCATCCAGGTCACTTTTCTCTTATTCAATTTCATGAGCCACCCCAGGATCCTTCCCTTGATTAAATTAGCCAGAGTTGATCTCCACTGCGTGCAAACAAAGGACAGGCCGAAGATAACGCAGGTATATGCATAGTCGCAGTGTTTGGAAGAAGATCCACAGCTTTTGTAATAGTTTCAAAGTACTCATGACATCCCCCTAGAATGTTTAAAACCCGAGAATGTTCTCACCACAAAGAAATAATAAATGCCTGAGGTAATGGATACACTAAATATCTTGATTTGATCATTATACAACATGTATGTATCAAAACATCAAATTGTACCCCATAAATATGTGTAACTACACAGCGTGTCCAGAGAAAACAAACAAAAAACCAAGAATACAAGACCTTCATGTAAGGTAATAGGCAGCTCCATAGAAAGCAAAAGTAGCACTTCATTTCACTCAGTGGAAAGCAAAGTTCCTGAGAGCAGATTTTAATGCTTCTGACTTCTCCCATATTTCAGAGTCCAGGGAATACTGCCGAAGTTTCTGCAAGGTCCCCAAACAACCCTTTGTATAGAATGGCACCAGTGGAGGCATTCTACTACAAAGGGTCATCACCCAGGAGAGAAAGGAGCTGAAGGAGGAAACAGGGAGGACTAATTAAATCCATGACAACTCCGAGCCCAGAAGATGGGAGCAAAGCTTTCAAACCCCTTTGGCCCCTCAAAATCTCTGTTTTTTAGAGGCCACCTGCTCATAAGGCCCAAGATTTCTGGTCCTCTTGAGTTGATGAATGAATGCTGAGAAGTGCTGAAAGGTAGAGGAATATTGTAGCAAGTCCAGCGCTTCACAGAAAATCTGTCACCTTTGTGTGATTTAATGAGTTCAGAAAGAAGCCCCAGAAGAAGAGTCCAATCTCTCTGCAACACAACCAGGCCCAGGTGGGGCCAAACTAGCAGCTGGAATCATTTTTAAAGTTAGGGTGGTGTAGAGAGAAGAAGTTATCTTCTGTGTTGTCAGGGAATTGCTCTTCTTGCAGAAATAGAAGTGGACCCAAGGGACTGGTAACAGCTGTTCCTAGACTCACCTAGGCCAGGGATAATAAGACCAACAGGTGGTCCAGGAATAACAGGAAAGGTGCTAATGGTGCAAGTTGGATTTATGTCTTGAAACATGGCTGAGAATAAGCAGGATAAACAGGTAGAACTGGATAAAAAGGTTGCTGACTCCTTAACAAAAAGGATGATGGGAAACACTGTTTGCTAATATTTCGGTGAGCATTAATGATATGCGTTTGGAGCCTGGAGTTTTCCCCACTATTTGCTCTAGGTATGAATTACTTATAAATAGAGTTCACAGTTATATGTAATGTTTTCTGAATTTTTCAATGTACATTTTTATTTAAAAAGCCCAAATATCTGGGTTGTGTGGACTATCCCTGAGAATCCCCATCGTGCTTACAGAAAGACATTCTACCCGTGAGAATGCCCCTAGAGCAGACCATCTTATGGCAGGGCCATATTATGTATACACAGCCCAAGGGGACTGGTTCCCTGTTAACGGTTATTCTTTCAACATACTGTTTGATTTCAGAGATGGACACATTGCAGCTACTGAAGAGCTGCCATAATTAAGGACCATGAAACATCAGGAACAGTGTCATCAGATTTATCTGGAAAAATACGAAAAGTGGGAAAAGATTCTCTTTGTAGTAGAAAAAAATTGGGTGACCTAAAAGCCACATACATTTAAGTTTTGATGGTTAGTTGGAGCGAAGAATGTTTTGGGTTTCATTTTGAATTCAGGGGTACATAACAAATGTAGAAAGATGGTTTGGTTTATCTAAGAACAAAGAAATGTGGAAATAGAAATAGAAGAGTACTAGCACGCTCCATAAGAGAAGATGAGTAGATCAATTATGCATTATGGATTTCCACACTATATAGAATATCAAAATACTAGATCAGTGAGATCTCTAGAACTTGATCTGTAGAAAGCAAATCCCTGAGAACAGATTTCAATACAATATAGAAAGATGGGTAACTCTGCCAGTAAAGTGTCTCCTCCACATGTTGAAAATAAAAGCTACCAATGACTTTCTTCACAGATTTGGAAAAAAACTACTTTAAAGTTCATATGGAACCAAAAAAGAGCCCACATTGCCAAGTCAATCCTAAGCCAAAAGAACAAAGCTGGAGGCATCACGCTACCTGACTTCAAACTGTACTGCAAGGCTACAGTAACCAAAACAGCATGGTACTGGTACCAAAACAGAGATATAGACCAATGGAACAGAACAGAGCTCTCAGAAATAATACCACACATCTACAACCATCTGATCTTTGACAAACCTGACAAAAACAAGAAATGGGGAAAGGATTCCCTATTTAATAAATGGTGCTGGGAATGGCTAGCCATAGGTAGAAAGCTGAAACTGGATCCCTTCCTTACACCTTATACAAAAATTAATTCAAGATGGATTAAAGACTTAAATGTTAGACCTAAAACCATAAAAACCCTAGAAGAAAACCTAGGCAATACCATTCAGGACACAGGCGTGGGCAAGGACTTCATGTCTAAAACACCAAAAGCAATGGCAACAAAAGCCAAAATTGACAAATGGGATCTAATTAAACTAAAGAGCTTCTGCACAGCAAAAGAAACTACCATCAGAGTGAACAGGCAACCTACAAAATGGGAGAAAATTTTTGCAATCTACTCGTCTGACAAAGGGCTAATATCCGGAATCTACAAAGAACTCAAACAAATATACAGGAAAAAAACAAACAACCCCATCAAAAAGTGGGCGAAGGACATGAACAGACACTTCTCAAAAGAAGACATTTATGCAGCCAACAGACACATGAAGAAATGTTCATCATCACTGGCCATCAGAGAAATGCAAATCAAAACCACAATGAGATACCATCTCACACCAGTTAGAATGGCGATCATTAAAAAGTCAGGAAACAACAGGTGCTGGAGAGGATGTAGAGAAATAGGAACACTTTTACTCTGTTGATGGGTCTGTAAACTAGTTCAACCATTGTAGAAGACAGTGTGGTGATTCCTCAAGGATCTAGAACTAGAAATACCATTTGACCCACCATCTCATTACTGGGTATATACCCAAAGGATTATAAATCATGCTGCTATAAAGATACAAGCACACGTATGTTTATTGTGGCACTATTCACAATAGCAAAGACTTGGAACCAACCCAAATGTCCATCAATGATATACTGGATTAAGAAAATGTGGCACATATACACCATGGAATACTATGCAGCCACAAAAAAGGATGAGTTCATGTCCTTTGTAGGGACATGAATGAAGCTGGAAACCATCATTCTCAGCAAACTTTTGCAAGGACAAAAAACCGAACATTGCATGTTCTCACTCATAGGTGGGAACTGAATAATGAGAACACTTGGACACAGGAAGGGGAACATCACACACCGGGGCCTGTTGTGGGGTGGAGGGAGGGGGGAGGGATAGCATTAGGAGACACACCTAATGTAAATGACGAGTTAATGGGTGCAGCACACCAACATGGCACATGTATACATATGTAACAAACCTGCACGTTGTGCACATGTACCCTAGAACTTAAAGTATAATTTAAAAAAAAAAGAATTATCTTACTCTGTTTTCTTGTTTATTAAACAAGCTAGACTTTAAAAAAAAAGAAAGAAAGAAAGAAAGAAAATAAAAGCAATGCTAAAAGCAGCAATTCAATGCCAGTGTGAACTCACGCACTATCAAGGAAGTAAAGGTTGGGCTGCAGCCTCCTACCCTGGCCCAAAGCTTTGCCACAACTTGGGGCATAGCAATGAGTTTGCTTTTCAAGCTCCCAAATTTCCAAGGAGATTGGGGTGGGAGAATGGGGCAGTGATGATAAAGATATCTGAAAGGAAGGCAAGGAAGTTTCTGTGGATTCACACTGGTAAATGTTGCTGTGATTTCTACATTTGTTAAAAGACTCCAGAGATATAAAGGAACACCCCTTTGCTAAGGCATTACTTTGAGTTGTGTGCATTGTGAGGTTTGTTTGTGGGACTGAATCATTTAGCTAGTGACATACCCAACTCAACGTGTTACTGTTGTTTTCTCTTTGTCATTACATATATATTAATATTAACATGCATAAAGTGATTATTTTTTAAAATTGCCTTTCTTGTGAAATACAGTCCACTAAAGAAAGGCAGTGTTAATGCTGGTAATAGATGAGAAGAGGTCTTAGAAAATGGAGTTTTGTAATAAAGTAAAAGTAGAATATTAAATTTGGCAGCAGATCAGACACATGAAATGACAAGTTCACTTATATGGACTAGGAAAATTAGAAAACATAATTTATGAGTGTTTCAGTCAGTGCAGAAACTGTAATTTATGAGGGATCTTAAAATAACAAGCAATATTCACAAATTGGTGGATTCTCAAAGGTCCTGGGACCCATCCTTTAAAATCCCACAGACTCTCAGCTCTAGGAGAGGGCAGGCTTTGTCTAGCACTTCACAGATTCCTGTGCCTACAGTGATGCCTGGCACACAAGAGGTGGAGAGACAGCCAGCAGCCAAAAAACACAGTGCCTAATGATTCATAATGAGGAGTCTGGATATTGACCTAAGCGTAATAGGACATCTTTGGGCTTTTGTACACAGGGGACTGACACATGATTTCTGTTTTAAAAGGCCACCTTGGCTGCTATATGGAGAACAGATGATAGGAGGAGCATTGGCAGGAGGTAGAACAGTTCTCCCTATGGAGAATAATGGGCCAATGAGGGATCATACTTCGTTGAATGGGAGAGGAGAATCCAGCCCTGTTGGGGCAAGTTACATTTGAGATAAATATTAGACATTCTGTGAAGATCTCAGTTAGACATTAACTAGATAGCAGACGGTATCTGATCCTGGAGCTCAGAGAGTAGGGTTGAGATTGAAATCTGGCATGAACAAATGGATCTCTGAGGCCCACTCTCTGTATTAAAAATGGGGAACATTCTAGCCAAAACAAAATAGATGAGTGTAAATACATTCAGTGCCCCTCAGATAAAATAGAAAATGTACCATCCTTGTGGGCAAAAGGGGGGGATCTGAACTGTCATTGTCCTAAGACATAAAAGTCGCTCCTATCCTTGCCAACCAGCCCTAATTACACAAAACCTCAGAGAAGTAGTTAGGGCTTTTTAAAAATATAGGCAATGTTGGCTACTAAGGCCCTCAATTTTTTTTATTCACTTAAATATATTTGAGACTCCTTATGTCCTAATCAAATAAGGTTGGTGGGATATCTGGAAAGAATTAAGAGAAATAGGACTCGACTTTTGAAATAATGACATTTAGACAGAAGTATTTGGAGCTCAGGAAAGAAAAAGAAGAAATATAAAAAACAAACACTGCTTCTTCTAAGGAAGGACAAATTTCACACAACACTTAGTTCTCTGACAAACCAAGTGTGGCACAGGAATATCAAATGGAAATTACTTCTTCTACTACTACAGGGAAAGAGTCTACATCTTTATTATGAATAAAAAACTAGAATTATCTGTTACTTGGCTTAAGGATCTACAAGAATTTAAGAGATGTGAGCAAGGCCATGAGAGGAGAATTGGAAGAAGCTATTGCTTATTAACTACAAGACTTTGATACAGGTGGGGGGTTTCACATCACTGAATTCCATGTAAAGATTACAGTCACATCGATGCTACATTTGCCCCAACTTCAAGGACTGGGAACTCTTCCATTTGTCTCACCTCACTCCTCTGCAGTATTATGAGACAGTGAAGTGTGCATACAAAATATGCTGTGTAGGCAGGTAAGATGTGAATTGTGTTGTGGTTATGGGGTGGGTACGGGGAGACAGTGATGGATCTGTTATCAGGTACTCAGCAGCCACCATGTTAGCCTCTGTAATCCCCAGTTAGGTCTGCTTTCTTCTAGATGTATATTTGAATCTGAAATTTCCTAACAGACTGAGAGGTATAGCCTTCTTTCCCTGCCTCTAAAATGCAGAGATTAGCATGCTGAGACTACTTCACATCCATGCCATGATCAGCTGAAAAGATCTACTACTATAGCTGAGAATGACTGTAACCTATATGAATAATTATCTCAAGGATCAGAATGATAAATGCATTCAATCAATATTTGCTTATAGGAAGGCACAGAATACTCCCCAAAACAAACACATACACACATATAAATAACAACAACAATAAGCAGTTGGATTTCCACTATTAAAAAGGACATAGAATTCTTTTTTCCCCAAGTTTAATCAAACTACTGGACCTATACATAGCACAAAATAATCCTGGTAGTAAACAACATATTCTACTTGAGCAAGACACTTAGGAAAATGTATATTCCAGTTAGGAAGGCAAAAACACTAAAAACCTAAAAACTTTTGGAATGAAAGTCATCAAGTTTAGATATTGCAAAGAAGGGGTATGGGATATCATTTTCTAAAGCTGCAGAAAGTTTTTTACAATTGAATATAAGAAACATAGAGTCTCCTATTCAATTAGGAAGGTCTTCACAAAAATAACAGAATATGACTTAAAGATTAGATTTTGTGCACAGTGAACAAATGCTGACATAACTGACTTTCTTGCTGTCCCTCACTAAGAGCTATAGAACTACAATCAGTTCTAGGCTAGTGAAGTAGTCAGCACCAATGTGTGGGGACTTTAATCAAGTATTCCCCAAAATACACATCTAGACCTCAACATTTTGTCGCTGAAATATGCATTTTTAAAATTCGACTAAATTTGTTTTTAGATTTATATTTATGGGTAGAGGGTGGTGAGCTAAGCAACTTCTTAGTCTACATCTAGAGTAGTAAGAAAAGATGGACAGAAAAAGCCATTCAATGTAAAATTCTGTAAATTTACATTCATTTCCAAAGCCTCTAAAGGTAAAAGGATTTTCTGGTAGAATTGTAATATACTTGAGACATCCCCCAATTTGAGGAAAATCTCCTAAGAACTGTTTAGTGTTAGCCTGAACCAGAAGCCTTCACTTCTCACATTATAATACTCATAATGAAGAAAGGAAGAAAGGGAGAAAGAGAGAGAAGGAAGGTGGATGAGAGAGATGGAAGGAAAACGGATATAAGGTACCATATGAATCTATGAAGCTCTGTGTCCATGGAGAAGACCCCATCTAAATATCATGAAAGGATTCTCATGCCACAGAAAACTGAATGGCACAGCACACAGCCCTCTATTGGGCAAAGTTGCGGGAAACCAGCAAGGCCTAGGATTAAAAATAATAACAAACCAAGTTGTTTTGAAGATAATGTGACTGCTTTGGTTTTGCTTCTCATGAACCTGCTGAGGGGCACTCTAGACATTTTATTTTATTATTTTAGACAGGGATTTACTCTGTCACCCAGGATGGAATGTAATGGCATGATCATGGCTCACTGCGGCTTCGGCCTCCTGAGCTCCAGCAATCCTCCTGACTCAGCCTTCCGAGTAGCTGAGACTACAGGTGCATGCTGCCATGCCCAGCCAACTTTTTACATTTTAATTTTTTTTTTTTTTTTAGAAAAACAGGGGTCTCACTATGATGACCAGGCTGGTCTTGAACTCCTGGGGTTAAGTGATTCTCCCACCTTGATCTCCCAAAGTGCTAGGATTACAGGCATGAGCCATTGTGCCCAGCCTACAGTCTGGCCATTTTAGAAGGCTCCAGAACACTCTGTTAACTGGCAGTCCAACAGAGCTTATGGACTATATGGCCTGTCTGAGCAGAGACTGGAGAGAGACTAGGATGCCCCTGCATGGCTCTCCAAATCCGGAGTGGCTCCTTTTGCTCTGTGCTTCCCCCAAGCAGAGGATGTTTCTGAGGCCCCTTGGTGCCCCTGTTGTGCACCGTGAAACAGACTGCTGTTATGTCACATAACTTGCACATCTAGGGTGCCCCCAAGGGCAATTCTGAAATGTTTCGTGGCTAGTGGCAGCATATCCCATTTCCCAGAGTGGGAAGGGATGTCCAACAGGGAAGAGAAGTTGGCTGGCAGTTTTCTTTCACTCTCGCTACCATCCTTTCCTTTTTCTTGCAGTTTCTTCTTCAGTAGCAATGAAAGCTCTGTGGAAATAAAAAATAGCCCCTCTAAGGGAGGACTACCTCTTGAATAAAGTGAAATGCATGCTTTTCTAATTTAGCCTGGAACAGATCTGCAGGTTGGCAAAGGTCAGTATGTAGCTGTAGAGGCTAAACAAGGACTCTGGGCTTTATGCCCCAGGTACCACCTTCGCTTAGGAGCCTCTCCCTCAGTACCATCTCCGGCAATGCCACCACCCTAGTGTGTGCTGTTAACCAGGCAATGCCTCTTTCAAAAGTAGCCAAAAATTAACTCCTCTTAGCTCAGCTAAAATTAATGAGTGCTCTGGTTTTGGGTGGGGGCAGTGGGGGAGGGTTCAGAAAAAAACCATATGGGCTGAACTCAGTGACTCATTTCCAGAGAATAAAGTATGGAAAGGGAAAAATAGTAACTTCAAAAAATAGTCACTAGAAAAGTAGTGGAGGGGTCTGGAAGACACTACCTTAACCAGGTGATCAAGGCTAACTTCACCAGCAATAAGTCATGTCGATATCATATAATGCAAGAAGAGCACTTGACCTCCATGGTATGACTCACAAAGCCTGTAACCCCGGTCTAACTATGAGAAAAACATCAGACAAATTTAAAATGAGGGACGTTCTACAACATACCAGAGCAGTATTCTTCAAAACTGTCAAGGTCATGAAAAATAAGGAAAGGCTGAAAAACTGGCACCAACCAGAGGAGACAAAGGAGACACGATGACTAAATGCAGTGTGGCTTTGTGGAACAGAAAAGGGACATTAGTGGGAAAAGGGATGAAATCTGAATAAAGTTGAGAGTTCAATTAATAATAATGTACCAATGGTAATTTCTTAGTTTGACAAATGTATTGTAGTTATATAATATGTTAACAGTAAGGGAAATGGAGTGAAAGATACACAGGAACTCTCTGTACTTTCTTTGCAACTTTTCTGTAAATCTAAAATAACTCCCAAATAAAAATTTATTTAAAAAGTACTCAACTTCCAAAAGAACCAGTAGATCATCATATAAAATGAAATCTTAATTTATTTTTGATATGTTTTATTTATAGTGATTTCTTTCTTTTTTTCCCTTTTTTCTTTTTTTAAGATGGAGTTTCACTCTTTGTTGCCCAGGCTGGAATGCAGTGATGCAATCTTGGCTCACTGCAACTTCCACCTCCTGGGTTCCAGTGATTCTCCTGTCTTAGCCTCTTGAGTAGCCGTGATTACAGGTGTCCACTGCCACGCCTAGCTAATTTTTTGTATTTTTAGTAGAAACAGGGTTTCACCATGTTGGCCAGGCTGGTCACGAAGTGATTTCTTAAAATAGAAGCAGGGAGGCCGAGGCAGGCAGATCACCTGACATCAGGAGTTCAAGATCAGCCGGCCAACGTGGTGAAACCCCGTCCCTGCTAAAAATACAAAAATTAGCTGGGCGTGGTGGTAAGCGCCTGTAATCCCAGCTGCTAGGGAGGCTGAGACAGAAGAATCACTTGAACCCGGGAGGCGGAGGTTGCAGTGAGCCGAGATAGCTCCATTGCACTCCAGCCTGGGTGACAAGAGCGAAACTCCATCTCAAATAAATAAATAAATAAATAAATAAATAAATAAATAAATACAGAAGTAGCCCCCATGGATTACAGAAAATTACAAAATATAGACAAGTAAAAATTAAAAATCAAAGCAAACTATCACATTTCTACTACCTGGAAATCAGCTGTTACAATCTTAGGGCATATTTTCTTTTTGGCTCTTTTCCTAATATATGTGTACATATATATTTGTCAATATGAGACCTTAGGTTGCACACTATCCTACAGCAATTTTTTCCAGTCAATGATTTCTTCTTTTCCATTTTAGTACATTTTCACATCATCTAATACTTTTATCATATTCAAATTTCTCTCCAATTTAATCTAATCAAGGATGATTTTATTTGATTGTCATGTCCTTTAAAATATTTTCAAATCTAGCAAGTCCTCCCCATTGACCCTGATTTGTGAAAACACCAAGCCAGTAGTCCTGCAGAATGTCTCAGCTTCTAGCAGGTTGGTGCAAAAGTAATGGTGGTTTGTGCCATTAAAATATCAAGAACGCCATTACTTTTGCTCCAACCTATTGGATTTGTGTGATTGCTTCTTCGTGGTGATGCTGAGCTTGTTTCTCTATCCCCTGTATTCCCTGACACTGAAATATCTATCTAAAATTTTGATGGATTAATGTTAAACATGTTTGTCAAGAAGACATCGATGGTGTTCTGCAGTTGTATTTAATTAGATCAAAGACATATAACATCAGGCTGTTACATCATTAGCGATGTTATGGTTACTGGATTACAGTGATATCAGTCTCTTTCCTATATTAGAGTTATGTTTTCCTCTTTAGACCAGAAAGTAACCTGTGTAGTTGGTATAATTTTTGGTAATATAACAAATGTTTATTTCCCAAGTAGGTACATACCCAGTGATTTTCCTGCCAGTTAATAATACTTGCCTAAACCAATAATTCCGTTGAGATTGGCAAAACTATTTTTTAAATTCTTCTTCTTATTATTAGCTGGCTTTCTTCTGTAAAGTAGAACATTCCCTCATCAACAGGGACTATTTGGTTACCCTTAAATATAGTTCCTTACAGAAAGGACAGGAAGTCTGGCTGAAGCATTTAAAAGACTTGCTAAGCATTAAGGAAGATCAAAAGGGAGACAAATGCTGAAGGCATTACAAATATAAAATAGAAACTTGCTTCGGCTTACAAAGATTAAGATAGGTCCCCAAAGGACTGGCACAACTTAGGGTCATCTTGCCTTAGTCCCCAGGTTGCCAGCTCTGGGGCTACTTCCCCGTTGGTCCCATATGAACTCCTGCAGGCCGATGGCCAAGAGGCCTGTCTCCTTCTGTTGTTCACCCAAGGCTTGCCCTCTCTGTTTCTATTTTATGTCTAAGAGGCTGGCCTTTTCCCCAAAAATGATCTCCCCTTGTAAGTGAGCCTCCCTACCTCCTAATTAATACAGCAGTGTATTAAATTCTTACAGACCCACAACATGACCAATTCTAAATACACCACAATAACCATGGCTTCCTAAATATAATTTAATAACCGTAGCCTCCAATAACCCAGAATTATACAGAGTAACAGGGGGCTCATTTCTTCATGGCTTCCTTAACAGAAAATGGTGGAAGAACCCCTGGAGTCAAATACTTTCCCCTGGAACACAACGATTACCTACTACTATAATAAGAAACAGGATGTAATGCAGTTTGCTTCTAACACAGATGTTAGTCCTGTCTGCTAAAATCAGCATCATAAAAGGTTTCTACTATATTTGTAACTCTCTGTCTTTTTCATTTAAAAATAAGGGTCTGACTTTGACAATCTCTACGCAGGTGCAGTCAAGATGGATGCAATGGAAGGACTCACTTTTTGCAATTCACATGGCATATCACAATGACCCTGAAATGATGGGGACAGTATCTTCAGGCTGCAAGCAGTTTCAAACATGGACCACACTGAAACCTTTCCATTGTGTCAGAGTCCATCAAGTTTATATAATCATAGGCATAATTTACTCCTAATTATTAAAATCACAGAAAGATGGAACAACATTTAAGTGTTTTAAAGGAGCAAATGAAAGCAAATGGTCATGACCATCATCCGGTAAATCAAGTGAGAGGATGAACTGTTCTTCAAATCTGCAAAATCTTGAAGGGAAAGTATCTGTCAGTATCCAAGGATACATTAAATTACGAACAAGAAACAGCATAGAAACAGGAAGACAAACTCTCAAATCCCAGCCATGGGACATGGGGACATATATCTTAAGACAACTACAAAATGAATACTGAAGAGGATGCAGAAGGTGTCGTGTGCCCTGGGATTTTGTAAATGCAGTTGGTATACTGCTTCATTACCTTTGGCACACATGGAGCCTTAGGAAGGCAAGGTCTCCAGTAATGATCTCATCTATCAGATTAAATTTTCACAAATTTAGTTCAAATACCAAAGATGAATCTATAGTCGCACAGAGAAAATTGCCTACAAAAGTAAACACCGGAGTAAAATCAAGTGACAAGTTGCAGGTTTGAGAAAGGAAGTCCCATGAATGCTTAAGTAATTGTCACATGGGGTGGCATGTGCGAGAGCACTCGGGAAGAGGCGGTTTCGCAGATGGAAGAGACTCTGACGCTGTATGCGCGTGGGGTTTTTAAGCTGTGCTACTGGGCTCATTCTCACTCCAAGTCTACCTCTAGGCCAGCTCTCTCCCCTGAACAATCACTTGTTCTCACCCACCTGTGTATGCTTCTCTCCACTCCAATGCACACAATGAAGAAGAGGTGGGAGAAGGTTGTATGCACAAGAGTGTGAGTGTTGTCTATGCTGCGTATCTGTGTGTGTGTGTGTGCATGTGTGTGTGCCTAAATAAGTATTGTTTTAAAGAGTGGTTAGCCAAATAGGGCATCTGGCACTATGGAGCACCAGGAAATCATCTAAGAGATGTCACAGTCTCTCCCATTAGAGCCACAGACACACCTGCTGGTGGAATCCCGTTTAAATGCTGATTTCAAATCAAGAAGCTTGTATGAAGCCCCACCTCAGTACCACAAGGCTATGAAGAAGGAGCTGCTCCTGGGCGTTTACAGTCCCGGACTTCACATCAGAAACACGCTTACCTTGGTGACCCAGCTCAGGGCTTCCCATGTCATCAGCTACAGGGTGGATCTAAGCTTTCTCTTCATAGCCACTCTTTAAGGAATAAATGGAAGGAGGGGAGGGCCTATTGAAAATCATGGCCATTTCCTTGTCTGTTAAAGTCCATCCCCCAGAGTTGGATTTCATGCCTAACTAAATGTTTGCCCATGTGAGGAATTTGGGGGCATAGTTGTGAGTCCTCTTTCACAAAATTTAGGTTCACATTTTGACTCCTGAGCAGAGGTTTAAATATTTTCAATTCCCTGCCTCTGGACCAGCCTGTAGTGAATACTGTGGTGTGCTGCCCAGCTCACCCTTCAGAACCAAGCCCTCCCTCACCCAGCTATGGGCAATGTTGGCTGCTGTAGGCTCAGTGGAGGCTGCCTCACCCAAGGGAATGCCCCTTCCCCGGGAGCAGCCTGCCCAATGTGTGTTGGGGGGGTGGAGGGTGGCCGTATTAGGCCTGATCCCCTTGTCTCAACTGGGACTTCTTAGAAGGCCACCCAAGCTCTAGAGCACCTCATAAGTTGGCAAAGGCCTTGGCTGCAACTGCATGGTAGTTCACCCTCCCACTCTGAGCAGTCCTGCTTCCTTCACTCCTTCCAGGCATCGTTCCCAAGAGCATCCCCTGAGAAGCCCCCTGCATTCAAATCTCAGTCTCGTAGTGTATTTCCCAGGGAAACCCAACCTTCTGCAAGTACACTTCCAACTGTGGCTCCATACTGGTCCTCAGGATTTGTTGTTGTTGTTGTTTGCTGTTGTTGTTGTTTATTTGGGTCCGAGGATCACATCTCATAGACTTCATCTCATCTGTAACCTTTCTCTCACCATTTGCTCTGGCCTCTGCCTATTCTCAGAGCTTGCACCACAGCAACAAGAATACCAGAGTTCCTGTTTCCAGAGCACTTCCAATATGCTGTGAACTGCAAGAGGTATTTCATATGCAAGATCTCATTTCATCATTGAAGTCCTGAGGGGAAGGCCCAATTAACTCTATTTTTATATAAAGTGACCAAGGTTCAGAGAGATTAAATAATTTGCCCAAAGTCACACAGCTACTAAGTGTCTGAGCCAGCGGTGGACTCCAGGCTGTCTTGACACTAAAACCAATACTCTTAATCACTAAGCCATTTCCCTCTCCTTTTTTCCATCCCTTTTAGTTTTCATCACCCCACCCCATTCCTCATCACCGCTGCCTCCAGTCTTCTCACAAGCCTGGACGGCTCAGATGTGTGGAAGTCATCTAATCATTTGGGTTCCAAGTCTGGCTCTAATAGTAACTCTAATCACCAAGTTCTTATATTTACGGAAGACATCCTCAGAACTACACATAGTTTTCAAAGCAGTTCTCTGCATTTTCAAAGCAGTTCTCTGAGGTTTTGCTCATAATTTTAAAATAATTAAACTGACATTCTATATGGGAACATAGACACTTCCAGCAACTTCTCTTGTGTCCCTTATAAAACCCATATAGATGAGGAGGGAGGTTCTATGTGATTGTCCCCTGGGGTTGCAGAAGAAATGGACTCTGATCAGAGAGGCAATGGGCTTTGGGAACCTAGAATGTAAGCAGATATATGCATTTTATAATGTAACTGCTGCATGGAAGGCAGTCCCACTGAGAAGGTAACATTTGAGTAAAGACCTGAAGGAGGTGAAGGGTGACTCACAGGGTAATCTGCAGGGAGGGAACTGCCTATGCCAAGGTCCTGAGCAAGAGCGCACCTGGCCTGCATGATGAACAGCCTGGAGATCTGTGTGTCCCGAGCAGAGACAGCGAGGAGAGGATGGTGGATAATGAGATGCAGCTGTAGGTCACCAAGAGAAGGGAATGATCCATTCTGTCCAATGATGCTAATAGGTCAAGTGAGGGGAGGACTGAGGACTGGCTGCTGGATTAGCAATGTGGAAGTCATTGGTGACTTGGCCAAGGGTAGATTTTGTGAGGGAGTGGTGAGAGTCAGACTAGAGTGACTTTAAGAGGGAAACGAAGTAGAGCAACTGGTACCAGTGAGGAGAAGGCAACTCTCTGTAAAGCTTTGCTGAAAAAAGGAGAAAGGATGTGGGGGATTAGCTGGCAGGAAACATGGGTCCAAGTGAAGACTGTTATTTAAGAAGTGAAAAATAACAGATAATTGTACACTTCTGAGATTGACCCAATGGAGAAAAGGAAATAAAGAAGATGAGAAGTGGAGCACTGGTAGAGCAATGTCTTTAGTAGTTAAGAAGAGATGGGATCTAGCTAGGAGCAGAGGGACTGGCTTTAGCAGGGAGGAGAAGGGGAGGAGAGGTTGTGTAGGTGGACAGATGGGCTGAGTGGCCTTAGCCAGTGGCCACTTGGTATCCTGGCCCTAGTGGTAAGTCTACCTCTAATGCAGAGAGGTATGCTGGGGGTCACAGCCTTCAGACCTTTAGTGTTCTGGTGTCATGCATTCTGTTCTCACAGAAGAGATAAGAGGTAGCTGAGAGATCAACATATCTAGTTTGTTTCAGCCTAGTGCCATTAAATCCCTTTTCCTTCTTCCTTCTAGCCCCACTTATTCCGTATCTACAGTGTCTTAGTCTGTTTTGTGTTGCTACAAGAGAATACTTGAGGCAGGTAATTTTTTAAGAAAAGAGGTTTGTTTGGCTTCTGGTTCTGCAGGTTGTATAAGAAGCACGGCACTGGTGTCTGCGTCAGGTGAGGGCCTCAGGCTGCTTCCACTATGGCAGAAGGTGAAGGGAAGCCAGGGTGTGCAGATCATTTGACAAAAGAGGAAGAAAGAGAGGTGGGGAGGTATCAGGCTTTTTTTTTTACCAACCAGCTCTAGAGGGAACTAATAGAGTGAGAACTCACTTACCCCCAAGGAAGGGCATTAGTCTATTCATGAGCAATCCAGCCCATAATGCGAGCACCTCCCATTAGGCTCATCTCTAATATTGGGGACCAAATTTCAACATGAGGTTTGGAAGGGACAAAGATCCAACCTGTAGTACACAGTAACTTCTGTTGCTTATAATTCAGCTTTGCTCATAGATCTGCCTACATGGGAGAAAACAAGAGCTGGTCACATAAGCTAATGAATATTTCCACCCATGTGCCCATTCATCTGTCAGTGCGAGTACACAGTACAGTGTTCTGGTTTTCTACATTCATCCCCTGAACCTGGTAACCGTGCATCCTCTCAGAAAAGAGAGATCCATATTCAGAATGCAGACAACATCGGGCTTCTGAGCCGCATGACTGAGAGTCTTGATCAGTGGTCAAACAGCAGATGTCCTTGCCTAGGTGGAGACCAATGTGCATATCCTCTGCATTTGCCATGTGCAAAGAGGAACGCTGTGTTTCTTCTAATCCTTAGGAGCAATTACACAAACTCTAAGGGGTCACCCTGGCAGAAATGATCCTACTAAATATTGGCAAATGTCACAGAGCCAGAATCTGCAATGCTTTGCAAGTCCTGTCCAAATCTCTTTCTTCCTCCAAGACTTAGCACAAATCCTTGTCTTCCAGGAAATCCTACTTAACTATATCAGTCTAAACTAGCTCCTCCTTCTGAGCACCAATAAAAGTCCCTGTCTATTATCCGTACAAGAACACTTTATCACACGTTGTTTTACCCAACGTGTTGCATATATTAGTCTCTTTTGCTGGATTAAAAGCTCTTTGAAGGCAGATACCATGTCTTATGCACTTTGCACATTGCAAAGCTCAGCAATGTTCCAGGGTGGTTCATCTGGAAGAGTAGCTCAGCCCAGCCCTGTCCCTCTTGCCAAGGTGTTCCTCAGCTGCCAAAATGCACCTCACTCCCTGAATTGCTGGTCAGTTAAAACCGCAGATCCTCACTGCCTTCTCCTGGGTCTCTTCACCACCATTCTTAATATCCTGAAACTGGGCCTTCTGTCTTAATAATCTCTCTGCAACGTTCCATTCCTTTTCTCTCTGCTGCCACCCCTGCTATGACTTCTCCCTCTCTGTGGTCCAGTCACACACACTTGGGGGGTTCCTCCCGGTTCCACTGGAGCCAGGACCCTCCTACCTGGGGCAGGCCCCCCTTGCCTCAGGCCTGTGAGTTCAAAACCTACATGGAACCCATTGTTATTTGGGAGGACTAAGGACTAGGTTGGCCTTGTACTGAGAAAAAGAGAAACAAAATAAGCAGCAATTTTTTCCTTGTTGTTGCTTTTATATTGTTCTCTTTATTTGTTTCTCTCCAAGCTGTTTGATTCTATGGGCCTTTTCAAGCAATAGAATATTTCCCCACTTGCCAGGCATATTTCCATTTTATGGCTTATTTAAAAGTTGTGTTGAAAAAGTCATTGTGGCTATAAGGTAGGAAGTAATCCCGGCTCCAGGGGACAGAAGGAATGACCCACTGGGATTCTGCCATGTCTGTTCCCAAGAGTGAAAGTGGCAGAATGTATTTGTCTGAAGTGAACTTCTGTAAACCTGGGCTCACAGCCAGTCTGCAGAGAGCAAGCTCCATTAGGAACGCGGGGTGGAGGTGCTTCCCTGCTCGGCATTCTTGCTCAGGGAAAAAGCAAAACACCTTCCTTTGAATTTTCCACTTTGCTCAGACATACAAACAAGGAAGCACACAGGAGGCCAGCCATTTTAAACAGCTGGAGAAGCCCAGAAACCCTGCAAGGAGTTGCTGCTTTGAGAGAAAGGCAGAGCCAAAGAGATCAACAGAATTTTACCTTCTCTATGGTGATATTTATTTTCTTTCTCCTCTACATAAACACACACACATACACACACACACACACACACACACACACACACACACACACACGTCGGCGCGGAGAGACAGAGAGAAAGAGAGATGAGACTGGAAAAGAATAATAATGAGAGGAAATTATACTAGGTAGTATCACTTAAGAAACTACATCTTTATTAATTCAACAAATACAAACAAATACTGAATATTTGTACCTTATGGGGAATGGGTGGGTCCACTGGGGAAAGAAATACCAGAGGAACAGTTGAGAAGCCCAGTTGAGGCTGAAGGGATGTTTACTTCTTTCCATGGCTTGCAAACCTCTTCTACTGACAAGTCTACTGGGAAAGGGGGGTGAGCAAGAGCCCCATACTTTGTTCTTAGAGTGGGCCCCATCTACAGGAGGGGCCCACGGCCCACATGTCAGTCTTTCCCACCAAGTCAAACACTCACTAACAACCCCTTCCTTGAGAATTTTTCTTTGTTCAGACTCAGATGTAAGGGAGCAAAGCAGGAGCGGCATGGTCCTCTAGTGAGAGACCCAGTTGAAGAGACAACCACACAGAGGGGATCCGGGAATGTTTTCATACCATTGGAAATTCTGAAGTAAAAAAGGAATTTTTCAGCAATCTAACAATATGTATCAAGAGCCTCACCTATATGCCTCTTTTACTTCCAGGATTTCTATGATAACCAGATATGCATCAACATTTATCCACAATAATGTTCAGTGCACAGATCCATCGGGAAAAATCAACACAAAAGAAATGTACACACTGAGCATGGATAAGAAGCCCCCTGTAGTAGAATTGTATTCAGTCTTTATGTTTCATATTCTTGAAGTACTTTTAACAGTGCAAAATTTTTGTGATATAATGTTACATTAAAAAATGGAATCCCAAGTATATAGGCATAGAACCTGTTCATGTAAAAATCCAATGAGGTGTACACTTATGATAAATACACTTTATGCACTTTATACCTTACAGCTCAGAGAAGTTTAAAACATGCAAAATAGTATGATATCAGTTCAGAAGAGTGACTAGCAGGGTTTCAGATCATTTTTCCTTTTTGAAGCAGAGTCTCACTCTATCGCCCAGGCTGGAGTGCAGTGGCACAATCTTGGCTCACTGCAACCTCCACCCCCCAGGTTCAAGCAATTCTCCCACCTCAGCCTCCTGAGTAGCTGAGATTACAGGCACACACTACCATGCCCTGCTGATTTTTGTATTGTTAGTGCAGATGGGGTTTCACCATGTTGGCCAGGCTGGTCTTGAACTCCTGACCTTAAGTGATCTGCCCACTTTGGCCTCCCAAAGTGCTGGGATTACAGGCGTGAGCTACTGTGCCTGGCCCCTTTTTGTATTTTTCAACATGTGCCTGCTCTTCCAGAATAAGCATGGCCTCTGCCTCCTTCTCTTGGGTCTTGGGCCTTTCAGCCTTTATGCTCTCCAGCTCCCAAGTCCTGTCTTCAGAGCTTCAGACGCTCCAAGGTCGACCTGCTCTAAAGGTCTTTGCATTCGTGCTTTCCTCTGCTTGGAACCCCATCCTCTCCACCTTCCCTTGGTTAACCACCTCTCAGCTCTCAGCTCAAGGTCCCTGTCCCATAGGAAACCCCTCAGTCTCCTCCCTCTGCTTCCCAAGAGAGGAGGTCGGGTTATACTCCACAGTGTTCAGCATAGCCTGAAATTATACCTTGTTTCTATAATTATTTGTGTATTGACCAATAAGATCTTGCAGTTTTAAGAAAATGTTTTATCTCACATTATACTCCCAGGACCCAGCATCATGCCTGGGTCCTAACAGGAGCTCAAAGGGTAATTGTCAGCTGGGCGCAGTGGCTTATGCCAGCACTTTGGGAGGCCAAGGCAGGCAGATCACATGAGGTCTGGAGTTCCAGACCAGCCTGGCTAACAGGGCGAAACCCCATCTCTACTAAAAATACAAAAATTAGCCAGGTGTAGTGGCACATGCCTGTAATCCCAGGTACTCAAGAGGCTGAGGCACAAGAATCGCTTGAGCTTGAACCCAGGAGGCAGAGGTTACAGTGAATCGAGATCATGTCACTGCACTCAAGCCTGGGTAACAGAATGAGATTTAGTCTCAAAAGAAAAAAAAAAAAGGTAATTGCTGAACCAGTGAATGGAGTACCTTCCCACCCTGTTATCAAATAATTGGTTTGTAAAAGAAATTCCTACCTTTCGAGAAGGACAGAAAGAGTCCCTTCCTCCCTCTGCTGGTCCACTGGGCTGGTGCTGTCTTCACAGGCCCTGGCCACCCACCCCTGCCCCCCCCACCCCTCCCCCCTGCTGTCATGTGGCTCCCCCTGAATGGCAGCAGCACAATCCCTCAACAAACAACGGAGGGACATAAATAAGCAGCTGTCCATCAAGGAGCAGCTCCACCACCCAGACCCTCCACATTCAATTTAGCATCAGCAGTCTCCTTTAGGGAGCCAGGAGATTGAATAGTTTTCAGGTCCATAAAACAGATTATAAACTGTCACAGAAGAGTTGCAGGGTATACTGTGGGCCGGAGAGCCTGAGCAGCCCCTAGAATGAAATTAACCAGAGGTTAGCCAAGGAGCCCATCCAAATCGGATGAAGGAAAGGACGTGAGTGGGAGAGGGGAGGGACATCTACATTCTGGAAAGGAAGCAGAAGTGAAGAAGAAAAGCAGAAGGAAAATGGGGCAGAAAAGTAGAGAGGGAAATGGCCGTTAAAGAAAAGTTATAGAAAACTAAACAAAATGGCCCCATAAAGAGGATAAGAAGAAATCCAAAGACAGACAAGAAAGGGCAGCTGGGAAGACAAAGAGGTCGAAATGCCAAGAATGCAAAGAAGCCCCTCCCCAAAGCAAATGATCCCTGAGCACATACAGACCAGACATGCACGTTTTTAAACCTTCAGAAACAAAGAGGCCTTAAACACAAGGAAATGTATCCTTTGGTCTAACAGGCAACCAAGTCAGGGAGTCAGCATGGATTTGAAAAGCAAAATTCCTTGAAACAAATTTGTCGTGACCCTTGCATAGCGTTTATTTTCTTTGGGAGGGAAAACAAAACATTCATTTCCCTTTCGAGCCAGAAGTCACAGACATGCTTTCAGGAGAGGGAGTGGTCAGGAGAGGAAAAATGAGAAGTGTGTCAAAGGATCCCATCAGCAGGCTCTTTGGTCTCCAGGGATCCAGTAAACAGGTTATTAATAATAAATGCTACAAGCTTTTATTTTTATGATAGCTCCAAAGGAACGCACATGCTCAGCAGTCATCATCTCTGACCTTACCACATCCCTTCCAGGGTGAGAACAAGCACTAATACAGCCATAAAGGCGCTCTATGCTTTATAGAAACGTTTCTCCCAACATTATTGCATTTGATCTGCTCCAAGAGATGGGAGAGGCAGACAAAAGATGGAAGTGACATTCTGAGGGTTAAACGACTTGCCTGAGATCACTGTTGCAGGGTGAATTGTATCCCCAAAAAAGATACACTGAAGTCCTAATTCCTAGAACCTGTGACGGTGACCTTATTTGGAAAGAGGTAATTAGGATGTCAGGTAATTTTTGTAGAGGTAATTAGGATGTCAGGTAAGACGAGGTCATACTAGAGTTGTGTAGGCCCTTAATCCAATATGACTGGTATCTTTATAAGAAGACAAGAGACACAGACAGACACCTGCAGACAGAATGTCATGTGAAGACACGGGCACACAGTGAGCAGACAGCCATGTGATGGAAGAAAGGCAGAGATTGGAGATATGCTGTAAGCCAGGCCAGTCCATTTATCTTCCACTGAAAACAGAAACTTATGGTGACATTGATTTAGCTCTGTGTCAAGATCTTTACATACATTTCCTCTAGTCCTGAGAACATCCCTACAATCCCCATTTTATAGACAGGAGAACTGAGGCTCAGAGGGGTGAAGGAGATGGGCCCCAATTCATACAGGTCCTAAGCACCCGGCATATGAATTAAAACAGGCTCAATCCCAAAGCTGGTGGCCACCATCTCACAGCACACTGCGAGGGCATCAAGTCAGAAGCGTCCCCTGGAGGGCTTCAAGCTTGTCTGCCTCATTTTACAGATGTCCTCTATCTTTGCCAAGGTCACACTCCAATTTAGTTTCTAATTGACATCATAAGGGTCAGTTTGAACCCAGAACGTCTACAGCAAGGGTTTGAAGACAGCAATGTGGTTGGAAAGAGGGAGCATTCTCAAAGCTGCATTTACCCAGTGTTTTACATAAGGCTAAGAAAATGCCAAGTGTCCATGTTAAAGAAATGAGGAGATGGGGTTTCTGAGACGGGCCTACAGGCCCCCCAAGTCAGTCTTTGCCACTATCACTAGGCTACAGATGTGTTTCGTTTAGTCCAGAAAAGGTTTTAAAATTCTTTTAATGAGTTACAACATCAATAAGTCAGGAGGCATTACGTTCAAATATGGACTTCCAGATTTTATTGAAAAACCAGAAGATGTGGCAACATTTGGCCTATATTCTCACACAGCATCATGAGTCAAAGCTGAGAAGCAGCAGCAGGCATTATCCTCAGTCCCCTCCACTCCCTATTGCCCCACGCAGAGGCTGAGGGAATTTCCCTTTACATTACTCTTACAGGGCTGCTTTTCTGACATCCAGCCCACTCCATTCTTTGGGTTACCTACCTGGCCTGTAGTGTGGTCATTTCACTGTGTGATCCCTGGCCCAACTTTTTTTTTTTTTTTTTTTTTTTTTTGAGACAGAGTCTCACTCTGTCACCCAGGCTGGAGTACAGTGGCATGATTTTGGCTCACTGCAACCTCTCCCTCCTGGGTTCAAGCAATTCTCCTGCCTCAGCCTCCCGAGTAGCTGGGACTACAGGCACGTGCCACCATGCCCGGCTAATTTTTTGTATTTTGGGTAGAGACGGGGTTTCACCGTGTTAGCCAGGATGGTCTCGATCTCCTGACCTCAGGATCCGCCCACCTTGGCCTCCCAAAGTGCTGGGATTACAGGCGTGAGCCACCGTGCCCAGCCCCAACTTTTTAATGTGTTCCTAATACTTGGGAACAAATATCTGGGAGAGGTATTTTCTTTGAAAGGGAGTATAGCCCAGAAGCACAGTACAATTGAACGCATCTCTAACTGAACTAAAATGATACAGCTACTGGGAAATTATTTTAGGGCAGGAAAGGGGAACTGCTCACTTTGCAAAGTAGCATTTGAAGGAGTTAGTCATAGGACAAGTGAAAAGAGGCCACATTTTTTGTTGTAGGCAGAAAACACATAAATCTATTACTTCTAGAAGATGGAAAGCTGTAACTACACCTAAACATAGTATAGATACATTCATGGGTGAGAAAAGCCTAAACAGATATTAGGAGTAAGTCAAGGTGATGTATGAAGCCTTCTTAACCTTTATTTTTTTTTCAATTTTAAATTCTTTAATATTTAATATTTTTATTTTTTATTTTCATTTTTAAATATTCTTATTTCTTTTTTATTATTTTATTTATTTATTTTTTAGAAACAGGGTCTCACTTTGTTGCTTAGGCTGAAGTGCAGTGGCGCAATCACGGCTCACTACAGCCTCAACCTCCTGGGCTGAAAGGGTCCTCTACTTAACTTTGAGAATAGCCTCAGGAAGGTTGAGCACATCTCCTGTGTGTCCAGGCTTATCTTTATTCAAAACAGCACTTTGTTTCAAATGAGCAACTACAAGAGACCTAACTTCCACAGAACTCTCTGTTTTCCACTTCTGAAGATAAACGAAGGACAGAAGGGGATAATTCTTCGTGACACACCAACCTCATCTCAGGAAAACATTCAGCCTCAGAGAGCAGAAATAGCACTGCAGTTAGAATCAGAGAATTGCGTTCAAGTCCTGGTCTCCCACCCATGAGCCTGACCCTGGCCAATCACTTCACTGATCTTCAATTTCTCTCACGTGAAAATTAAAATACTTCCGTCAACTCCAGAAGGTTACTTACTGGGAGGGTCCTACAAGGCCACGTGTGGAAGCACTCTGTGAACTAAGTTACGATATCTTGAGAAACTGACACCCAAAAGATATGTGCAATAGACTCAGGGAAGAAAGTGATGTGTGATGTATTTTGCTCAAAATATTTTGGCTCTCAACAGCAAGATCCTAAAGGAATTCTTAACTGTTTACTAACCCAGCAAAGGCGAATCCCGAAGGTTTGTGCCAGTCCCATTCACAAGTCACAACATGCTGACTCACATTAACACTCGCTCGCTCTTTTTTCCAAGCATTAATGAGCTATTTGGTGTTAGGGCCCTTGGGACTTTTCCGATGATTTTTGTCTCCTTTAAATTTTCCGCCTTGCCAATTTTCCAGAATCCACTGGCATGGGAGCTCTCGGCCTGCTCTGTCTCCAGAGGACAGACCCGTCTTTATCTTCCCAGCCTTTGCTATACCTGCTCAAACAATTTCCCTTTGCCATGGTTCCGGCCATATCTGACCTCATGAGCACTTTTCCAGATGGCCAGCCAGAGGTGTGCTGTATCTGGATGACATGCACTGACCCCTGAGTGTCTCTGTCGCTCCAGGAGAAATGGCTACAGCCCGGGTGGTTTCCTTTCCACTTCTCCTGTAACTTTCAAACTGCTCATTGCATCTCTGCCCAGCTGAGGTGGGGGAACTCACAGATGCTTTCCCAATTAGTCATGGATGTCCAGATTCCAGGCCCTAAGCCAGTCCTTCAGCCAGAATGCCAGCAAAGTTATGATGCTGACCTCAAAGCACCAAATGCCCCCACAGAGTGATGATTCTTAGATTTGACACTTTCATCATAAAATTATCTAGTCCTCCTTGTTCCACAGAGCACTTTTCTTTTAGTGGATATATTAATTGTCTGACCAATTAATAGGTCTTTTTTTTAAAAAAAAAAGTGCATGTGTTATGCTTTCTTGCTTAGGAGAGAATCAAAGAGGAAAGCAGCGGTTTTATAGGCACCATGGGGACAGCATTTTACTATGAAGCATGAGAGATGATCAGGCTGCAGGCAACTTGTCTGTACACTTCAAAGCCAAAACAGGTCCACTTTGTCATGACTATGGTGCCATATGTTTATTTTCTTGCATTGGAATTGAGTGATTTTTGTCCCAGCAAATGGCCCTGGTGGGGCACCCTCTGCCAATACAAAGTAAAGGGCCTACTGCTGACACCCAGGACTTCCTCAGTGCCAGACGAAGATTGCAAATCATATCTTAATCTGTGGGGCCTGTTGAAAAGCACTAATTGTGACCTCCAGAATTCTCTGCCATGACTCGATGCGCTAATTAGCAATGGCATTTGTCAGACTAGCTGTCTTAGAGGAAAGGGGTCTGGAAAGCTGAATTAATTTAGCCATTGCCACGCACTAAAGATGTTTTGCCTTGTAAGAAAAATCAACCTTATCACCTTCCCTTTTCCAAGAAGGGTGAGTTTGAAAGTGTCACAAAGACAAATTTCCATTTGTGGTCTGTAGTACAGTTATAGTAGGGTTTGCAAATTCTAAGGCCTACAGGTGCTGGTAGGCAGCTAATTTTAATGATGAAGTGGGCTGGGTGTAAGAAACATGCAGCCTACTCTATCTTTTCTTTTGTTTTCCTACTCTTGAGAGAGACAGTCTCAATTATGAGAAAAATAACATTGCAAGAGTGATGATAGATAAACTAACACTCAGCCTCGGTGTCATGGAGACAATCAAGAGAGGGTGATGGTGGCAAACTAGAGAGAACACATGAGGCTAAAACGGGACAAGGGTTACTCTGCTCTGACCACTGTGTCATGCAGAAATATTGCCAGGATGTCATGTCATGCAGGCCTAATATTGCCAGGATGGCTAATTTTTAAAAAGAGATCAGAAACATAGATTTTTATGTAAAATCTCCTGATTTTTAAATGTTGGCAACTAATCTTTTAAACATGTAAAGTGTGTACATCAAACAATACACATCTTACCAAACCAGGACCTCTCATTCTCCTCTCCCCCAACTGTGCTTGGACATAGAGAAATTGAAGATTTTTCCATTTCAAAGATTTTTTTTTTAGTACTGGTTTTACAGGACATTCTTCAAATTACTTGGTGCTCCATTTGGGTTGCTTGTCTACTTCCTGCTTCCCCACCCTAAAGCCTAGAGGGATGGTGAAGACAAATGGCCCTGTGATACTTGCTTCTGATACAACTCCAGTAAAGGAGCAAGGACCACCAGCCAGTGGCAGGACATTCCCAAGCCAGTGTTTGAGACTGGCCTCTCTTGAAATACCAGACTGCTTCCCTTGAAACAGTTATTATTCTGACACACAGTCCTGGAAAATGTACATGAGATGCCCCTACCTTTCCTGGCTTAATGCTTTTGACCTTTTCTTCTGTCTGCCCAGAGAAGACCTATTCATTGATTGTTCCCTTCTTGGAGGCCTCTTCTGGCTGAGTGGCCCAGTGATTAATGTTCTCTTTGCTGACTGGTCTTACAGCTCCCAAGAATTACCAAATCACTTTTTTTTTTCTTCCACCATGGAGTATTGGATGGTATTTTGTTCCTAAAAATGTCCTCTAAAATGTTTGATTCTTACTTATCAGTACACCTATAAACCAAAACGTAGAACTTGATTCCAACCTAAATCCCAGATGGAAATCACAGTTAAAACACTGTTTTATTTTAAGCCCAAATCAGTTAAGAATGTGTTTGGCTGCAAGTATCAGAAAATCTGATTTATGAGAAGTTGTTTCTTTATCCTACATAACGCTAACTCTGGAAATGGATTCCTACAGAGTTAGTGAGGGCAAAGAAACATTAGGCTGCTGGGTCAGCATTCTGTGTTTCTCTTGACCACTCCGTCATACTTGTCAGACAGCTACAGCCACTGCAGACATCCTGCCTGTGCACTAGCATGCCAAGCAGGAAGGAATGAGCGAGGAAAAAAGGCTTACTCTTTGTGAAAGCCTGGCCTTAGATTTGGAATCAAAATCCTTTCTGGAAGCCTCCAGAAGACATCTTCTTTCCTCTTATTAGCTGCAATAAGAGAATACCTACAAATATCCTTTGATGCATGGAGGCCAAGAAAAGGAGTTTCTATGAGAGCAGAATGGGATTACCATGGCTGGCTCATATCAACTATGACTCATTCCCCAAGGCTGCAGGAAGAACCTGCCATCCCTATCTTCCCTTCCCTATCCTTATCTGAACAGAATCAGGATTTTGTTAGTAAGAAAGGCATGGTCATGTGGCTTCTATGCAGGTAAAGCATGGCACAAAGCTAAATTTATGAAATAAATATAAGTCAGTTGTCAGAGTGGGGTGATGATATGGTTTGGCTGTGTTCCCACCCAAATCTCATCTTGAATTGTAGCTCCCATAATTCCCATGTGTTGTGGGAGGAACCCGGTGGGAGATAATTGAATCATGAAGGCGGTTTCCTCATACTGTTCTCATGGGAGTGAATAAGTCTCAAGAGATCTGATGGTTTCATGAAGGGGGAAACCCCTTTCGCTCTGTTGCCAGCCACCATGTAAGACATGCCTTGTGCCTTTCGCCTTTCATCATAACTGTGAGGCCTCCCCAGCCACGTAGAACTGTGAGTCCATTAAACCTCTTTTTCTTTATAAATTACCCAGTTTCTGGTATGTCTTTATCAGCAGCATGAAAACAGACTAATACAGGTGGCAGGCAGTAAAGAGTTCTGAAGGAATTTCAAGAATACGACTGGCCAAAAAATGTAGTCTACTCATAAAAACAGCCCCCAATTCTGGACTGGATAATTGAAAATGCACTCCCTATTCACAAGAACTCCAAGATGGACCTGGAGAAATGGCTGATCGAGCCTGTAATAAGAGGATGTGATCCACTGTGAGTCAAATTGTTTCAGTAACCCTTGTAAGAATAGCTTATCATCACGATTGTTTACAGTCATTATGGTTAGAGTAAGCTAACAATTGAGTTAATGATAATGGGTCAATTAGGAGAGATTGGAGTACAGGTTTGGATGGAGTGAATCCAAGAGGCTGAATGAGAGCATGGCAGTTACTATAAGAAAATGGTAAAGAGAGATTCAATACAGAACTTCAACAATACCATCAAATGTGTTAATTATGCAAGACTCAACTACAAAGAGGACACCGTGCTGGGAGGCTATACCCTGGGGCAGAAATGATGAACACATCTCACTAAGACCAAATGTACTCTGGAGAGTCAGGAAGAAAACAAATCATCAATAAAACACTGAGTGAAAAGGTATTTTTTCCCTTTTTTCTTTTTTAGATGCTAGTGCAAGTTTCTTGGATTTTATATGAAAGTGTCTCCCAAATGGAATTTCTTGGGGCTAGTTCATTTAAATGATACATGTAGCTGCTTCCTACCATTTTAGTTATCAAAGCAATGGTTTCATCAAAACCATTTTATGAAAAGCAGCTGGTCACCTGGTTAGTAACTATGAACTGTCTGTACAAGAGTACGTACAGAGGTGAGTGGGTGCATGTGGCACGTGTGTGAAGGACTGAGTAGCTGGGAATGACTTTTAGTAACTAATAAAGCTTCTGAAAATCAGAATTCTGTATCTATTGATGATTTGTCTAAACCCCATCTCCCTGAGATCTAATAGTTACAAAAATATTCCTTTTTAATGGACAGTTATAAAATCTAAACATCATTCTCTATTAAGGGAAAGCCAGATGGCTCAAACAAGGGAATGCTTGCCGACTTATTAGAATTCTTTGAGAAAGGAAGTAGGCATCTAGATAAAGAGGAACAAAATGTTAGTCATTAAGAAAAGTTGGGAAACTTTTATGAAAGAGCTCAATGGTTTTTTAATTTATGTAATGAGTTTTCATGGGACTGAGAAGATAGGGTAGGGTTGGAAGTTCATGTATACAAAGAGTTGGTTTAGGGAACAAAGAACATCCCTGTCTCTGGGTAGAGAAACATAATGTAAAGAGCTGGTTTCTCAGAGATAAGCTGCAGACCAGTACTTTTTTGCATCTTTATAAATGATGTTGAGGGGAAAAGACATAGAGGTTTCTTGTAGATGAAACTGTGTGGGGAGAGGAACAAGCTATTGAGAAAAAGATATAGGAAACACTTGTAAACCAGTGCAATGGGCAAATAAAGAAGCGGGGAGCATGCATCTTTAAATAGCAAGGCAATGCATTTCAATATAAATGATAACAACTTCCCATGTGAAATTAGATACTGAGTATCTGTTAAGAAAGGATGTTTCCTGAGGATACCAGGCCAGTGTGCTGCTAGGGACCAAGCTCAATAAAATATTAATCATCAGCAAAATATATATTGGAAATAAGGCAGAAAGGCCTACCTTTCCTTTATATAAACAATAACATTTCAGTTTCTTAAATGCTATGCTCAATTCTGTTCTCAAGAACTGGGGCTCTAGATAAAGGGCAGTTAAAATGGTTTCCAGGATATATGAGCTGCTGTACAAAGACAGAATTCCAAAAATCTTGGGACTCTGTAGTCTGTAACACAGGGATTCTTCACCTGTTTTGCACCTGGACACCTGTGGCAGTCTAGTGTTCTTATGAATGCCTTCTCTGGATAATGTTCTCACATGTACAAAATAGAATACACTCTACAACTAAGAAAACTCATAATAATGCTACCTAGTTATCAAAACACTTGTATTAAAAATTGGTGATGTAGTGATATATGTGTTTCTTTATTCACACTGTAAGTAACAAGGGCTGATGGCAGATATACTAATTCCATAAATTCGAAGTAGTGATGCATATAAATGATATTTAAATACACCCGCAAAAATTATAACATGATATGAAAATATCTGTGATGCCTATTGGTGGTATTTTTAATGGAAGAAAATACTAAATTAAGATGCAATTTTTCCCTTCCAAGTCCATGAATCACCTGTATTTCTCTCACAGATATCTTAGGGGCTGGGGAGCCCCAGGCTAGTGCTCCTGCTATGACAGCAAGGGCTGAGAAAGACAATGATCTATGCTTATCATGCAATGAATAATGTACATAAAACAAACTTATTTCACACGTCCACAAACAAGAAGACAGGTGGGAGAGAGGGCATACAAAACACAAATGAGATGAGTTTAGGATCAAAAAAGGGTAATTTTACAACAAATTTTGTAAAGATGTACACCTCATTATTTCTGTAGGTGGTACTAACTGGAAATATGAAAAGATTCAAAAGGGATTTGGACAAATTTGTCAACTTTAGCTACAAAAGGCTCCTAAAAGAGAAGAGCTTGAGGCAACTTAACTTTTAAGGCTGACATTAGGGAAAATAATAGAGCCCTCATTTGAGGATATTATTTGCAGCAGAAGAAAGTTGGAGATGGTGGTTCTGAACCAATATTGCAATACTTTTCTTCTTCTTTAAGAATCTACTCTTGTTCTGAATCAGTTTCTCTTTTCACAATTAAAACAAATTACAATGCAATCCACCATAATTACATAATGGGCATTTCCTCACTACCCCAGCTTAAGGGGTCTGTGTTCACAGTTATTGATTTAGGATATATTTTATGGACCACAAAATATCATGTTTGCAGTGAAGTGGGTAGAGAGTGACTGCAGGATCCAGAGAATATGTTGGAAGGAGGGATGGTATGAGGTCATAGTGCCAAGGGTAGCAAGATTCAAAGGTAGTCAAGTTCTGAGGCAGAAACTCTGAGAATCAGATCAATGACCAAGAGGCCATTTGAAGCTGTCCAAGTTGCTGAGTGAGGCCACTCAGCAACTTGGACAGCTCATCCTGAGGCAGAGACCACCCCCCCGCCCAACCCCGCAACTATGGTCTGACAAGGTCTAATATCCACAGTCTATAAGGAAGTTAAACAATTCAACAAGCAAAAAGACAAATAACCCCATTAAAATGCGAGCAAAAGACATGAACAGATTTCTCAGAAGACTACACATAAGCGACCAACAAACATATGAAAAAATGCTCCACACTGCTAATCATCAGAGATATGTAAATCAAAACCACAATGAGATAACATCTCACACCAACCAGAATGGCTACTATTAAAAAGACCAAAAAAAAAACAGATGTCAGTGAGGTGTCAGAGAAAAGAGAAAGCTTATACACTATTTGTGGGAATGTAAACTCGTTCAGTCACTGTGGAAAGCAGTTTGGAAATTTCTCAAAGAATTAAAAATAGAACTATCATTTGACCCATCAATCCCATTACTGGGCATGTACCCAAAGGAAAATGAATCATTCTACAAAAAAATACATGCATTTGTATGTTCATCACAGCACTATTCACAATAGCAATGACATGGAATCAACCTAGATGCCCATCAATGACGGATTGGAAAAAGAAAATGAAATGTGGTACATATACACCATAGAATACTACACAGTCATAAAAAAGCATGAAATCATGTCCTTTGTAGCAACATGGTTGCAGCTGGCGTCAATATCCTAAGAGAATTAACACAGAAACAGAAAACCAAATATCACGTTATCAGTTATAAGCAGGAGCTGAACGCTGGGTACACATGGACATAAAGATGGAAACAATAGACAATGTGACTACTAGAGTGGGGAGAGAAAGAGGGAGTTGGGAAAGGAATTGAAAAATGACCTGTCAGGTACTATGCTCACCACCTGGGTGATGAGTTCAATCGTACCTCAAACCTCAGCATCACACATACCCTTGTAACAAACCTGCACATGTCCCACCCTGAATCTAAAATAAAATTTGAATAAAAAGCACAGGTGATAAAAACAAAACTAGATGAATGGGACTATGTCAAACTAAAAAGCTTCTGCAGAAAAAACAACCCTAACCTGCGTTGAATGCATCGGCATTGAATGCCCATCTGTGTTGAATGCCCATCTGCATTGAATGCCAATCAAGGCTCACCTGGCTCCACCTAGTCCTTCCTATCCAGCACATACACACCCCACCTCACTGAAGAATTGGCATAGTTATTATAGCTTCTTCTTCTCTTTAAGAAAATCAGTGATTTTCATCTGCTCTGCATCTCTCTCAATTCATGGCAGGTGCATGACTGATGAAGGGATTATCAGTCCATAGGGGTCCCAATGCTTCTCTAAGGCTCCACCACAAGGAGGGAAGCCTGACTGGTCATGGCTCTGTTTTTCTTCCCCAGATTTCCCATCCACCCCTTTGACTCCCTTTATTTCCTGAGTTAGTCACCAAGTCTGAACAGCAGCCAAAGCCCTGACAATATTAGCAAGAACATTTGATTCCCTTCAATAAAGCTGGAGACGGCCCTAGAAAGTGATCATTATTCACCCTGGATCTCTCTCTGCTTTCCCAAGGGACAGCCCTTCATCCCTTCCATCACCCCCACCCCATCACAGCAGCAGAGAGCCTGGTGGAGGAAGCTGTTTACTTTGGTCTGGTTGCCTTGAGTGAAATGTTTTATTAACATAAACAACTTTGATTCCTCTAAGCAAAACAAAAATAAAAATAAAAACTCAAAGGGGAAAACTGGAATCTTAAAATAAGCAGCTAGAATCTCTGAAACATTTTGCTAAACAGGATATTCAAAATCAGTTCACAGAAAGGGGAGAAAAGTCAGAAGACACTGGAGTCCTGAGGAGATGAAAGGAAAGAGAGAAACTCAGTGCAATGTCCCAGGAGGAGGTGGTGCAAGTAACAATGGCTCAGGAACAAACAAAGGACACAGAAATGGAACTAAAGGGAGTGAACAAATAGGAACCACGAAACCACAAAGGTGGAGAGTGTGGGACATAAAGATGGGCCACTATGGTAGGTTTCTAAGGCTTAAAAGGATTTGACTTTGGGGGTTAATAATAGAGGAATATGGTTGAATAAGTAGGAAGGGGATACGAAAGAATACAAGAAACTGCTCCCAAAAGAAAAGACTTCAAGGCCTGAGCACACACACATGTGAACACATACACTCAGACTCCTGAACATCTCATTTTCCTGGTCCATACTGGAGTGAGTAAGCTGCTTCATTATTTTGTCAGAACTGTCTGCTGTGCCAAATTTGAGGTTTCAGAGTTGTGGCAGGAAGTGGAAGAGAACTTACTGTGCATAGCATAACTGCCTCAGCACTAGAAACATTTCTGCCAAATACAATGTATTTCTCTGATACATAAGTTCTTTAACATTCTTTGAGGATATCTTATTCTAAAGAAAAGAAACCAAAAATGACAGTATTTTGAAGTCTATATTAAGCTCAAAACATAACATACATTCATACTCAAATCATATATATTGCTACTGCCTCCTGGAGACTTTACGAGTTGCAGACCATAAACTGTGGAGCCCAAGAGTGGGCTAAAAGACTGTAGACTCTTTAAAGCTTGCTCTAAGGATTTGGGCTAGTTCTCAGATTTGCTTTGCAAATAATCAGATGCCCACATTTCATTCTCTCATTTGATCCTTTTAACACTATGAGGTAGACAGGGGTAGGTTTATTCTTGTTTAGCTAATGAGGAAACTGAAACTCTAAGAGAGAATGAGACTTTCTCAAGGTCAAATGGCTATTAAGGGGCAAGGCGGCCTCTTCTGGCATCAAATTCAATGATCATTAGAGGATACTTTGCTGCCTGTCCATTAGTATAACTAAAATGAACTTAATATTTTCCACTTCTTTCTGGTTTGATTTAATTCATTCCATTAATATTTATTAAGTACTAGTTGCTGAATAGAGAAGGCTGAAAAGATATGGTCACTGTCTTAAAGAAGGTTACAGAGATTGAACAAAACAGAACAAAGGCAATGATGGTGCAGTGTGATCCTAATAGGAAAGGAGCAATGGGGCTTATGCTTGAAGTAGGAATGGAAGTCTGAAGTCATCAGAGACAGCAGTAATAGTGTATGTTTTGAGTATCATATACAGCTTCTAAGTAATTTTGAGAATGACCTGCCCTCAAAGAAAGTTACAGGCTATAGGCAGACAAGTGGGAGAAGAGTGGCTCTTGTCAAAAGGAACAACATCTATGTAAAGCAAAAGATTTGAGAAAGATTGGCATGTTCAAGAAACTACCAACAGTTCTGTTTTCCTTGAGAATAAAATGTGAGATAAGCCTGGAGAGACGGTGGGGTGAGGGCATGCCAGCTCAAAATGAGTCTTGTGTTGCATGGAAAGATCCTTAGCTGTGAACCTTTAGGCTGGAAAGATCCTTAGGAGAATGCTCATGAGGGCATTCTTACTATGAGCATGTTGCATGGCTAAGTTTGCATGTCAGAGGACATTCCAGTTGGAATGCGAACTCAGCCGATATGTTGGCAGAGAAGGAGAGATTGATGTGAGGAGACCAGCAAGAAGGGTGTGCTGTAGTCATGGCAACAGATGAAGAGGACTGAACCAAGGTGGTGGTGGAAGGGATGCATCCAAGGAGGCATTTAAAAGCAAAATCCACGGGACTTTGTGTTTGAATGTAGGGGTGAGGGACAGTGAACCACCAGAAACAATGCTAAATAATTTGAAAACAACTGTGAATGCCTCAAGAAGAGAAGTTGTATTCTATCCATCTTTGGTTCTCTTTTTTCTTACTGAGCCTGGCACATTTGGGATACTCAACAAACTTCTATGAAATCGTGTTGTTCTCAAGTCTCTTTTTTTTCAGGTTGCATCACTTTATTTCAGAAATACAGTGATAGTCATATAGAGCCACATAGCGCAGGGGGAACCCACACAGCTGCCTCAGGCAGCAGCAGCCTCCTTTGCAGCTTTTCTCTCCACCAGCATCCTCTTCCTCTGTTTCACCAGGTACTTCAGAATAGCGGACTCCCAGCCGGGCGCGGTGGCTCATGCCTGGAATCCCAGCACTCTGGGAGGCCGAGGCGGGTGGATCATGAGGTCAGGAGTTTGAGACCAGCCTGACCAATGTGGTGAAACCCCGTCTCTACTAAAAATACAAAAAAAATTAGTGGGGCGTGGTGGCGCGTGCTTGTAATCCCAGCTACTCAGGAGGGCTGAGGCAGGGGAATCACGTCAACCTGGGAAGCAGAGGTTGCAGTGAGCCAAGATCGCACCACTGCACTCCAGCCTGGGTGACAGAGTGAGACTCGGTCTCAAAAAAAAAAAAAAAAAATAGTGGACTCCCTGGTCATGATAGCGGTCCTGGCATGCCTTGGCCACCAGGGTGAAGGGTTCCAGCTCCTTGGCACAGTCTGTCTGTAGCTCCCTCCTTAAGCCTCTCCTGGATGAGGTCAACAATTTCTTGACTGATTTTGTGGTCCCTTCTCCATTGCATTTCAGCTCCAAACATGCACAAAACATCCTCCTTGCATTCAATGATGTCTGGCATGTGGCGATACTCCCAGTGGTAGTAGTAATACCTTCTTCACATGCTGCCCCTTTATAAACTCTCTCTCACAAAGGCCATGAGGAGGTCAAAGGCCTTCATCAAGTAGGTGATGGGTTTGGGGAGCAAGGCCTGCAGCGAGGGCATGGGGACTTGGGGTACACATCCTTGTCCCAGCTCTCTGGCATCGTGGTGGTGGGTGGTGGACTCCACTCCTGGACATGCTGCCCTGGCCTCTGTCTCTCTGTCCCTGTCTCACAGCCTCTCAAGTCTCTTTCTTATTTCTTTCTGTTTGCAGGAGCATCTTTGAAGGTGGGACATACCACTTCATTATTTGTTCATTTCTTATCTCTAAAAAATACCTGGTTCAGTGATCTGAAGTTGGGGGGTGCTAAAAAGGGTCATAAAATTGGTAGGACATTTTTTCAATTTTTAAAAAATGAGATGAGAAGATAAAGTAAAGTAGACATTCAGATTGATGTAAAATGGTATCAGCCTTTGGGAAGATTCTGAGCAAAAATGGCCACAACCATTCTATTCTCCCTACTGTATCCATATTCCTCCAAAGGTGACTTTGAAGCCCCTCTTATCAAGGGGTGGGGTCTTTTTCTCCACCCCTTCAATGTGGGCTGATTTTGTGACTTACTTTGAGCAACAGAATACAGCAAAAGTAACCTTGTCCTTGCACACCTGTGCCTCACACACTGCTGCTCTCTCTCAGAAACCTGCCAAACTGCCATGTAAACAAGCCTGGACTGGCCTGCTAGAGGCAGTGACCAGCCGTTCCGGCTAAGGCCATTCTAGGCCAGCCTGCCCTCAGCCAACTTCAGCTGACTGTAAATGCATGAGTGACCTCTTGGAGATGAGAAGGACTGCCCAGCTGAGCCCAGATCACACTGCCAACTCAGAAACTTTTGGTCTAAATACATAATTGTTACTTTATGTCACGAGAGTTTGGGGGTCATTTGCAGCAAAAGCTAAAGATGGACTATCTTTGGAAAAGGAATAGGTGAGACACTCTTCCTTGGCTTTCTACATCAAAGGAGATCAGTGCTTCAGAGGAGATCAGTTCCAAAGACACTGAGTTTTAGTTGTCACACTGCTAACATCACTTCCTGCTGCACAGCACTCCATCCATCATCCATATGGAGGTAATATTTGCTAATAAGAATGCCAGAGGATGAGCAAGTCATGTGTTCTAGGAGGGCCCCAGGTACAGTTTCACCAAGCCAGGGATAGGGGTTATTCTTTGACTCTTTAGACACGACTTCTATAGTTTTTAAGTGATCAAGGGCTGCTTGTTACTAAGTATTGCTGCTTTGAATCACGGGAATCAAGCACTATAAAACCTTCAGGGAAGTCTTTTGTTTTGTGTGTGTGTATGTAAGAAAAAGAAAACAAAAATACACGTTAAAGGTATATATGACCATTTGATGCACTTTTCTGTTTGTCTGAAATATTTTGTAATTTAAAATTAAAAAATTTAACCTGGTAAACATATATTACATTTTCTTACTATAATAACATTACTTTAATCATCTCCCTTACACTGTTCCCAGGAGATTCTATGTGAATATTGCTTTTTCTGCTCACTGCTATGTTAGGAGATACAAGGTCAGCAGCACCATATTTAATATATCCCTCTTTTATAGCACTTCATTTATTTATTCATGTTTTCAACAAATATTAATTATCTTCTCCATACTAGGTATCGTTTCGGACAATAATGATACAGCCCTGAACAAAACAATGTCCCTCCTCTCAGACCTTACATTCTAGTGGGGGAAGATAAAATACAAATAAACATGTTACGATGCCAGGAGTGATATATACCATAGAGTGAAATTAACCCTGGTCAAGGATTAGAAAGGCATGGAGAGGGCTTTTCTCGATGGGATGGTCAAAGAAGGCCTCATTGGTGAAGGAAGGAAGAGTTCAGCTGGGCCTGAATGAAAGGACACTAGAAGACAGAGCTCTACAATGTAATCAACTGGTTTTCTTGTGTTTTTTCGGTTCATTGTGACATCTGGAAGGTAGATACTGTGTCTTATTCATCTCTGTAACTTCAAGCCCAGCACAGTGTCAGGCATATAGGAGGCACTCAATCTTACTAGATGGATGGATAGATGGATGGATGGACAGATAGATGCATGGATGGATGCATGCATGGATGGATGGATGGATGGATGGATGGATGGATGGATGGATGCATGGATGCATGGATGGATGCATGGATTCTTCCTCAGGGTTTCAGCAAATAGTGAGAACTCAGTAAATAAACAACGAGGGGGCTGCCTTCTCCATGAGGCTTACCCTGACCATGCAGTTTAACACTACATTCTGCCCTGGCTCTGCCTTGTTCTTCCTATCCAGCACATGCCCACCCTACCTCACCCAAGAATTAAAAGGCCTTGACACTGTTATTATAGCTTCTTCCCCTCTTTAAGAAAATCAGTGATCCAACCACTGGCACTCCTGTCCCCTTATTCTGCTGAATCTTTCCTTTGTTCCATGAAACGATTGCCTTCTGCCATAACAGATAATTGACCTATTTGTTTTGTTTATTGCTTCTCTGTCTCCATCACTGGAGTGCAAGCTCCTGAATACAGGGATCTTTGTCTGTTTTGCTCATTGCTGCAACCCAAGCACCTCATACAGATCCAGCACACAGCAAGAGTTCAAAATACGCATGTTGAATATCTAAATGTGAACCCATCCATCTCAGGGTTTCCAGAGCCTGATCTAAAGCGTGTCTGGGCCCCTTTCCTGTCTATCTTCTCCTGCAATACGTCTGCTTTTAGGATGATCCATCGGTCATTTTTTCCACCCAGAGATTGTAGGTTACTCCCATGACTAATGTGCATATAAATATACATAGTGTCTTTTGACAATCTGAACATTCCAGCAAGCTCAATACAGAAAGGAAATATCAGTACAAATAAATACTATATAAATATACTCAATATATAAATCAGAAATAGAATACTTTAAAAATACTGAACACTTCTAGTTTATAAGTAAAAGAAGCTGGATTGTTTATTTATGAACCAATAACAATATCAATTAGCTACTAAATAAAGTGCAGAAGAAAAGTCTAGTGGAAAGATAACAAAATATACATAAACTATATTATTTGTTATTTCTTGATCTTTTTCCTTTGCTGTATGTCAGTCACTGTGGGAACATTTCATGGTCCTGTCAATCAGCGATACCCTGCCGCCGTTACCCAGTCATGAACCCCGCCAGTCACTCTGTCATGAGCTCCGCCAGTCACTCTCAACAGGATGCTGACAGCTTCCACTGTCAGTTCTGCTCGCTAATGCTCTGATTTTTTCTGTAACCTAGTTGAGGTTTCATTAGCTTAACTAGACTAAAGATATCCTTTTTCAGACAAAATCAGCCGTCCACTCAGGGTAATACACATTAATTACAATTGCCTCCTTTCTTTACAGGTCCATTTCAAACTCCTGTATTCTGATTTCTTTGTAACCTAGTTAAGGTTTCATTAGCTTAACTAGACTGGAGATATTCTTGTGGGTGAAGATTTGCTTTCAGCCTGAAATTATCCACACTCTTTCTTAAATGGCTACATTTTCCTCACAGTCTAAATTAGATTAACTAATTTCAGACTGCTCTCCCCCTAAATTACAATTGCCAAGATGGCCCAGAGATGGTCTCCTTCTTCCAGAAACCTGTCTTTCTTCTAACACTTGACTCCCCAGTCGGAATGCCGTTCCTTCACAGCCTCCTCACCACGCTGCTTCTCCCCAAAAAAGCCCAGCACCCTGTAAAGACCACATGAATCCTGTCCATCTGAATTACACGTTGGATGCAATGCATTACATAGCTTCTGCAATGGCGAGTTTAGAAAACTGTCACACAATTTGGGCTTTATTACAAAGGAAACTTTGCTTCATTGATTTTGTGACCTTATTTTTCAGTAGAAAGAAATAACTGCGAAATTTGGAAATGAACCAACAAGAAACAACGATAAAAAACCAACCCGCTATCGTAAAACCCAAGATTTTGGCTAAAACAAAACAAAATAAAGTAAAATAACCTGGCTGATAAAATCTCACAAGGACACAAAAGCATATGTAAGCATTGTTGCTAAATGTGGTTAGATCTGTCTAAACCCTTTTCTCTCCCAGCTAGTAAATATTGTTCTGTACTCATTGAGGTGGACCTTTGGAAATTAAGTTTTGAAAGGTTCTATGACAGAGGCTATTGGTGAAATCATCTCTCCTAGGTAACTACTGTGATAAGGCAAGATTGTCCCAGTTGTTTGTCCTGAGGTCGCATTCATTACATTACACACACTTTCTACTTAAGTGAATTCCACAGTTGGTGGTGCGGCAGAGTGGAGAGGTGGGGTACAGACAGAATAAAGTGAGGTGAGGAGGACAGGAAAAGGAGACAGATGAGGAGACAGAGAAGGCAGACGGGGGGTGGGGGAGATGTGGAGAGTAAGAGACACAGACCACACACTTTGTGCTTGTGTGGACAGACTAGGATCCAGAAGAGGGCCATGAGCCTATGGGCCCCAGAGGCATCTCTAGTTACCATGACTCCCTCAGCCACGAGCATCTTGCTACATGGAGCATGATGCTAGTGCTTAAAGATAAGTATTTTTGCACAATGTGGCTCCTAAACGCCAGCCAATTATGTCATAGGATGTTCAGCTGAACAGTGGTCTGTTCCCACACCAAAGGAAAACCAGCTCTGCCAGGAGACCCGAGAGACTGTATGCCTGTCTCCAATGTGGCATGGCCCAAAAAGATTTCCAAGGGAATGATTGATCTTACACCCTAACTTTAGAGTCTGCATACAATATCATGGCCCTCCTCCACACTACATTTAAATTTGAAGGAAAATCTAAGTAGAACCTGATCCAGAAGATTCCTTATGGTGCAAGACACACCTCTCTTTTCTTTATGAGTATATTAGGCTGTTCTCGTTCTCGCACTGCTGTCAAGAACTACCTGAGACTGGATAATTTATGAAGAAAAGAGTTGTCATCGACTCACAGTTCTGCAGACTTACCAGGAATCATGATGGGGAAGCTTCAGGAAACTTACAATCATGGCAGAAGGTGAAGGGGAAGCAAGGGCCTTCTTCACATGATGGCAGGAGAGAGAGAGCAAGGGGGAGGCACCACACTTAAACCATCAGATCTTGTGAGAACTCCATCATGAGACAGCACTAGGGCGATGGTGCTAAACCACTAGACACCACACCCACAATCCAATTACCTCCCATCAGGCCCCACCTTCAACATATGGGGATTACAATTCCACATGAGATTTGGGTAGGGGCACAGAGCTAAATTATATCAATGAGTAATTTACTTTGTTATGGAAATTTGCTTTCTAATTGTAAAACATGTAATCCTATTAGCATGTGTTTGTGTGTGTACCACACACTGTTGGTATATACATATCCATGTGGCTCTTTCTTTCTTCTCTCCTTCTGTGTGGAAGAGAATCATGAGGACTCCAAAAAAAAAAGCAAAGAATTAGAGGTGTGTGTCTGTGTAGCAGTGTGTGTGGAGTGTGTATGGGTACACATATGTCCATTGCCTATGTGTGAGGTGGCTGGAGTGAGAATAGGGAAGAAGTACAGGTAAGGGCACATGATACTTATAAGGTCCTAACAAATCTTACACAAAGCTGACTATAAGTCAAGCCCTGAAGGTAGGTACTGTCCTAAGAGGGGCTAATTTTTCCAGGTAACATTTAGATAAATTAGGAAAGAAGGAAGTCTGGTGATAACATCAGGGTTGAAGTAAAAGTTGTTGAAAATAGTCCAAAATTACACCTAGGTCTTTATTTTTTAGTATTTCTCTATCCAATTTTCTATAGCATGATTTACTGTTTTTTATATTCATCTATTTGGGTAAAGAGGTTTTTTTGTTTGTTTTTTGGTTTTTTTTGTTTGTTTGTTCTTGAGATGGAGTCGCTCTGTTGCCCAGGCTGGAGGGCAGTGGCATGATCTTGGCTCACTGCAAGCTCCACTTCCTGGGTTCTCGCTATTCTCCTGCCTCAGCCTCCCGAGTAGCTGGGACTACAGGCACCCGCCACCACGCCCGGCTAATTTTTTGTATTTTTAGTAGAGACAGGGTTTCACTGTGTTAGCCAGGATGGTCTCTCGTGATCCGCCCGCCTCAGCCTCCCAAAGTACTAGGATTAAATAAATATAAATTTCATAGATAAGATCTGAATCATATGCCACAAAACAAAAGTTTTATAAGGTTTTATAAGTCCCTTATAAGGTGGTGGAAGATAAGAACTGGTGACGGCATGCCCAAATTGCAGGTCTCATTTAGTTAACAACTCTCTTAAAGTTTAAAAGTTAAAAATGCCAGTCTAATGTTAAAAATGGTAGTTAGTATAAAACAATCAGTAAGCATTTTTTAGTAAATACTTATAATTTGAGTTAGTAGTTAAACTAACCTCTTTAACTTTTTTCTTCGAGAGATAAGTGTTCGTTTTCACATGAGATCTCCTTTTGCATTTTCTGTGAAACACGAACCATCTGTACCAAGCCCATTGCAGGGTAAAGAGAATGACAAAATCACCTAATACTTGAACATAACAAGGATAACATGACCCTGAGGCACACAACACAGCTTGCTGTGTGATAACTCTATCATTCACTACAACGGTGCCATCTTTACTGTAGCTTGGCAAAGAAAGAGACTAGTACTATAACGATGAGGACAAACAAAACCAAAACAAAATCAAGGCAGAAGGAGATACCCTACTTTTCCAGAAACTCTCTGAAAAATCTTTCCTACCAATCTCAAATTGTTGATATTATCAATCTCGAGTTGTTTGCCTAAATGATTTTATCACAGAATTATTAACTCCCTCTCTAACTTTATTTGTAAGTTTTGGGGTTTTGACAATTAACCTGTTGCTGACTTTGGTACTATTGATCATGAATTTGTTCCAATCTGACTAGGGTTAGGTTAAAACGTAAGGTCTCTTCAATATATAAATGGAAAAGTGAGAGTTGGGGGTATCCCAAGCAAAGTAGCAATATATATGAAATATATCTGTAATTTTTTACTTGCTTTAGGACAAAATTTCTTTCCAAGCTCTTTTTCATGACATATTTGTATGCGACATGCTAATTATGACTAGTTTTAATCTCTTCATAAAAGTAGAACCTATTTCTTTACTACATCTTGTTAGCTATTAACTCATGCTTAGTAATTAAATAATGGGTAGCATCAGAGATGTGGTCCTGTTCATTTCTGTCACTTTACAACCAAGACCACCAAGTCCTGGAGGGTTTACTCCCACAGCTTCCACAGCCAGCCGGTGGCAGAGCCACAGTTAACAGACAGCTCGTTCTGAGTTCCAAAAGTTTGAAATCTTTACAAGCCCCAGTAGTATTCAAACTGATTTTTGAATTCCTAGGGGCCTGGTGTGTGTGTGTTGGGGGGTGCTGTACCTTCTGTGTCCATCTTTATTGTTTTATACTTTGTTCCTCCCTCTGAGAGGTCTTTTGATGAAGGGAAGAAGGAAGGGAGGAAGGAAGGAAGGAAGGAAGGAAGGAAGGAAGGAAGGAAGGAAGGAAGGAAGGGAGGAGGGAGGAATGGAGGGAGGGAGGGAGAAACTAAAATCCCAGCTTTAAAAAGTCTTAAAATTACATTTTTAAAAATTTCAAAGTAAAAAGAGTGCCTAAAATGTGTGAGAAACTTATAACTTTTCATTATAAAGCAGAACTCAACATTAGTTGGATCCCTTCAAATGTCATCTGATGAAGTTCAGTGACTGAAGGGCTATCGGACCAGGGGTTCTGAGCTCAGGCCTTGAAGTCAGAGATCTGAAACCAACATCTTGAACTCTGTGGCTAAGGACCAGTTACTCAATCACTCTAATCCTCACTGTTCTGATCTTTAAAATGGGACTCATAAAACCTTATAGCATAGAATATTAAATGAGATAATCCATGTTAACTGCTGCTGCTGTTGATACAACCATTATTAAGCTGTGTCACCCTTAAAAGTAATGGCAAAAACCACAATTACTTTTGCACCAACCTAATAATTCCAGAGAATTTTAGATCAGCATATAGTGAGGAGCCAATATCTCATATACTCCGTATTTTAAAATCTGTCACAATCCAAGCTGTCCTTTCCTCTGCAGTATGAATAAGTGGTTTTATTTTGTTCCCAAAGAGGTTTGAGAATCACAGGCCAAGATCAGGGATCCTCTGGGTTGCAACAGGAGATCAGGGGCTTGGGCAGCCAGCCCCACAGTTCTCTCTAAGACCAAGTCAGAGCACAAAGGCTTAAAAAGAGTTCCCGGCTGGGCGCGGTGGCTCACGCCTGTAATCCCAGCACTTTGGGAGGCCGAGGTGGGTGGATCCTGAGATCAGGAGATTGAGACCATCCTGGCTAACACAGTGAAACCCCACCTCTACTAAAAATATAAAAAATTAGCCAGGCTTGGTGGCGGGCGCCTGTAGTCCCAGCTACTCGGGAGGCTGAGGCAAGAGAATGGTGTAACCCGGTGGGGTGGAGCTTGCAGTGAGCCGAGATTGCACCATTGAACCATTGCACCATTGCACTCCAGCCTGGGAGACAGAGCAAGACTCCATCTCACAAAAAAAAAAAAAAAAAAAAAAAAGGTGCTCCCATCACAGCTGTGGCTATAAGAGCCTGATTCTGAACTAGGCAGCTGCAGGAAGGTCAACAGTCTGAGCACCAATCTGGCCTTATAATCTGAAGTTGCAAATGAATCTGACAATGGGCCACAGGCAGACATGGGGAGTGCCACCCCACAGGCCTCTCTGGCTTTGGAAACTCATAATCTGGCTAGGAAATTCATAATCAGAATCCCAGGACTAGGGTGAGGTCATGGAGGTGTCCTGTTTCATTTGTCTGCTTCAGCATAAATACATGTTTACTGTGCATGGCTTTGTCATACGCAATGCAAGGGCGAGTGGTACGGGGATGAATCAGACCTACACGGTCCAGAGATGTGAGTGAAGTCTAGGGCAGCAGTTCTTAAATGCAGTCCCCGGACCAGCAGCGTGAGCATCGCTTGGGAGCTCATTAGAGATGAACCTTCTCAGGCCTCAGCCCGGGCCTAGTGAATCAGAAACCCTGGGGGTGGGCCAAGCAATCTGTGTTTTCTCTCTCCTGAGCCATCCGGGTGAGTCCCATACAGCTAAAGTTTGAGAAACAGTGGTACAGGATGTTTTCAAGAGGCGCAGCTAGACATGAGCAATGGAAAACAAAATAATGACAGGAAGTTGGCATTCTATTAGGATAGGCATCACAAAAACTTCATGGTTTGAAGAACCTACCGACAGTGGGCAGAACAGTCAATCAAGCTGAGAGAAACTGAAGCCTGACTCGACATGAGATAGGTCAGAGAGTTTCACACCTCACTGACTGCGGAAACTCGAACGGAACAAAAAACAGGAATGATTAAGTTATCCGTATGTGAGAAGAGTCTGGTGAAAGTGGATACTCAGCTTGCTCTTCTCTCTGTTCAAGGGAGGAGAATTTGCTAAAATTTACCTTAAAGAAATTCTTTATCAACCAAAGGGCTACGCAACCACCTAACAGGTGAGCCTAGCCCAAGTTTTCTGCCTCCCTGAGGGTCATCAGGAAGACCTCGGCTGGAAGGAGGAGCTGGATCTTGAAGACAAAATAAGCAAATTCCTCAGCCCCTCCCAAGAGATTCCTCACTCAGAATGTCTGAGAAGGGGTTCTGAGAAAACGAATTTTTTTGAATATGCATTTTTAACAAAGGATTCCACCTATCATGGCTTAGATGATCCAGTTTGAGAAATACTACTTTAGTGATTCACTTATCCACATCGGGAAGGTTAGAACCAATGATACTGAAGGATCCATTATTGCTCTTTTATTCAACACTTTGCTTATAAGTTATATTTTGGGCCGGGTGTGGCTCATGCCTGTAATCCCAGGACTTTGGAAGGCAGAGGCAAGCAGACCACCTGAGGTCAGTAGTTTGAGACCAGCCTGGTCAACATGGGGAAAGCCCGTCTCTGCTAAAAATACAAAAATTAGCCAGGTGTGGTGGTGCACACCTGTAATCCCAGCTACTTGGGAGGCTGAGGCAGGTGAATCACTGGAACCCAGGAGGCGGAGGTTGCAGTGAGCTGAGATCACACTACTGCACTCCGGCCTGAGTGACAGAATGAGATTCGGTCTCAAAAAAGAAAAAAAGTTGTATTTTGACGTAATTTGTACATTCCTACTAGAAGACATTGGAGAAGTCAAAACTAATTTCTGAAGTGGGAAAAAGTCACTGGAGCCCCAAGTGTAGGAAGTGTCCCAGGTCAAGGTAGAACAGGGCTAATGGAAAGGCCAGGGAAGATTTCTGGGCTTTTCAAGACATGAGCTTTGCCATAATTTTTTTTTTTCTAGTTAAAAGGAGATGCATTTGAAATTCAGTCCCATTTCTTCTAAGTAAATGACTAAAATGATTAATCACTAAATTGCTAGACAGGAGAGTTGGCAGAGCCCTTAGTGGTCATCCCAAGCAGCCTCCCAGCCACTGCCTGTCTGCAGTGAAGACGAAAAACAGTCAGAAGATGGTCGGTCCGTGGTTTAGAAGGATCTTCCTCAGGGGGAGCTGAAATCAGCACACTTCCTTTCTCAGAGAGAAATGAGAGATGAGTGTGCTGCCTTCAGACTGATGGGTTGATGCTTTTCTTTTTTAGGAGGAGAGAAAAGGTGATGAGAAATCAAAGAGAAACCCCTTAGGTAAAATGGGACTGGGCAGAAGAGAAATCCTTGCTCTTTTTCCTTCTCATTTTCCTCCCCACACCTTCCCGGCTCAGTAAACCAAAGCGCTCACTAAGTTAAAGTAGCACAGTGTGGAGAGAGGAAAAGAAAATCTCATTTTGTTTTGTTTTTGAATCCTTAGATGTCATCTTATTCCTTCATTTTTGTGGCCTTTTGTCTCTGCCAGTTTCCATAGAAACAACAACCGGCAAGCAGTTTGCATCCCTCTCTCCAGCTTGTGTGCAGATAACTCCAAACGGGGTCAAAAACAGCTCTGGGTTGAGGAAGAAGGTAGAAGATGCACATCTATATTTGTGTGTGGATTTGTTGTGAAGGTGCATATATATTTCCATGCATTGAGCTCCCTCAATATTTTTTGGCTGCAAACTTTTTTTTAGAGCTTATCTTTCTTTCTGATTTGGGGGAAGGGAGCGGTGAGTTTCATATTTAGTGACAAAGCTGAAACCAAACAGATACATAATTCATACATTATTGAAAAAATAAGAAGGATCAGATGATGTTGCAGAAATAACAGCATACAGTATTCTGTATACACCCGAGAGGGAGAGAAGCTGTTTTCTAAAAGTGTACTAGGCTCATGCAATATTTATAAAATCCGTCAATGACCCACCAAACGATCAGGTACAGTTTCATGTCAAGGTATGATATTTCTTTTCCTTTCCTTTTACTTTTTACTTTAGTGTTTTTCTGTTGCACTGCTCCTGATGTGCTTTGTGCTTTCCTTAGATATTTTCCTGAAATGAAGACTGTGTTACCAACAGGTGGTGGTATGGCCACAATCGGATTCCTCTGAGGAGCACACAATATCTCTTGATATAGGCGACTTTTGACAAAAATTGAAAGAAGCATGACTTTACCTCTTTGAAAAACATAAAACCTTCTTTAAATGGAATGTTATTAATACAGCTACATGTGCCAAATTATAATAACAAGATTTATAGATTAAATTTCTACAGCAAACTGAAGAAATGAGTATCTCAGAAGAAACTGGTACCTGTGTTAGTTATCTATTGCTGCTGTAACAAGTAATCGCAAATTTAGTGGCTTACAACACAAACCGATTATCTTACAGTTCTGTAGGTCAGAAGTCCAAAATGGGTTTCACTGGACTGAAATCCAGCTGTCAGCTGGGCTATGCTTTCACGGGAAGCTCTAGGGACAAATCTGTTTCCTTGCCTTTTCCAGTTTCAAGAAACTGCCTGCATTTCTTGGTTCATGGCCCCTTCCTCCATATTCAAAGCCAACAGTGTAGCATCTTCAAATCTCTCCTAACTTAATCACATCTTCAAAGTCCTCTTTTCCATGTAAGATAACATGTTCACAGGTTCCAGGGATTAAGGTGTGGCTATCTTGACAGAGGGTCATTATTCTGTCCACACAGTACCTTTTTCATCAAATCATGCCTAACAATCATGTTTTAATTTGATCCTGGTTTTACTCCAAGACTGACAAAATGACCTTTCCAACTTGTCCTAAATCCTGCCATGCAGACAAATATCCTGCTCTTTGGCCTCAAGCCAGGCTGACAGCAAATGTTTTGCAGTTTCTACTAACATGAGCCCATTGCCTCCAGGGCAGTCTGTGCTGTCCCTGGTCCTGCCTACATTCTCCCCCAGCTTAGACAGGTGCTCTCCACTGCCTGTCCCTACACTTACAGCATCAACGACTGGTTTCTGCCCCAAAGGCCACATATCCTTGAAGATGGGGTGAGAATTTGCTTTAATGTTTACATTTTCTTTCATGAACCACATGAATGTCCTCATTTTTCTATTCCATTTTATATTTGCACCTTCCACTTTATGAACTCCCTAGTTTTAAAAAATCTCCTTTGCTAATTTTCATCCCTTTTAGCAGATCTTTTGCTGAAGTGTAGTCTTGGTTTTCTGACCCCCTGCTTGGCCTGACTTCTGAAATCTGCACTTACTCCAGTAGCTGGGACAGTTGGTTTCCTGAACCATTGCTGACTTGCTCCACCTCCCAACTGCTGAGCTCCACATGCCCCACGTGAGCCCATCTGCTGCAGCACACTGCCCATTCTCTGGGCCCTGTCCACTGAGGCGGACGAGAGGTGGCTGCCCTACCCCTCCTGGCTATGTGAGCTGTCCAGTGTGGAAACGATCACTCCCCACCTGCAGACACCATCCCTTGGAAGGGCCATCTTTCCACTCCTCAGGGACAAGAAAGCCAAAGAGATAGAAAGCAGCCCCCAGGGAACTTCGCTATAGCCATCGCAACCTGGTATGAAGAAATTACCCCGCTTGAGGGCTTATAATTTACAATGCACACTACATGTGAAGGCCCCACAACCTGTCTCACTCTCTCACAAACACACGCATACACATGCACACCTTCTCTCCCCAACACCCGCCATGGAAGTCCCCACATATTTCTGAAATAACAATTTACATTTTAATAGGCAGCTCTAGCTTCTAGGTCAGAGTAGCTCCCCATTGCACAGTTATTTGTGATGGGCAAGAAATATACCTAGAGCAAGCTTTTAAGGCCCTATTTTCTAAAATATAAAATAATGTGACTTTTTATGCAGAGATGTCATCATTGGCCAGCTTGAAGTGGTTTTGACAGTGAGAGGTGGAATTATCAAGTCAGCTGCCATACCCTCTGCATACCCCACCCACCACACTGCTGCATAGGCCAGTGGCTGGCCAGGGGGACAGTTTGGTCACTGCCCTCCCTGCAAATTCATACTGCATACAGTGTCCCAAACTCACTCACAGTTAAGCCATCCATTGTGGTACTGATGTCTGAAATCACTAAAAAGGGAGTTTTCTTTTTCTTTTGTTCTAAATAAGGTAAGAAAATAGACATCACCCCTGCCTTTCTCCCATCCCCATCCAATATCAAATAGAGGGCAGGCACTCTAGGGTTCCAGGCGTTTTCATTCTTAACTATTTTAATAAGATGTTTCTGGCCAGAATAAGAGTGCCCTCCAGCTCGAACCCCAAAGATTGCTTTTATATGCTGCTTTGATTGACAGGGAAGAAAACAAAGTTGAGAATAAATAAAAGTTCAGAGAATGCTCAATTACATAATTGACTAATCTACAGCATTTCTCCGCTGATTATAATAAACTTTTAAACAAAATAGACTTATTAATAAAGGCTTTAACTACATCATGACCAAAATTCTACTTTCCTTCCCTTTGTTATACCTCTATTGCTCTAATTTCTATCACAGATTTTCAAAAATAACTTCGCTTTAAAAAATATCAAATCGGCCGGGCACGGTGGCTCACGCCTGTAATCCCAGCACTTTGGGAGGCCGAGGTGGGTGCATCACGAGGTCAGGAGATCGAGACCATCCTGGCTAACCTGGTGAAACCCCATCTCTACTAAAAATACAAAAAATTAGCCGGGCGTGGTGACGGGTGCCTGTAGTACCAGCTACTTGGGAGGCTGAGGCAGGAGAATGGTGTGAACCCGGGAGGCAGAGCTTGCAGTGAGCCGAGATTGTGTCACTGCACTCCAGCTTGGGTGACAGAGCGAGACTCCGTCTCAAAAAAAAAAAAATCAAACCATTTTATGCTATCTGCTGGATCTCTTTTGAATATTTTCCACCTTTTTTTGTTTGCAGTGGACTAAAAGGCTTTATAAGAGCCCCATGGGCCTCACTGTCAAAATGACAAAGTATGCACTGACCTATATAGGAAAACATACCAGACACACAGACAGATACAAAAGCACACACATAAATATCCTGAAAGATGTAGCCAAAAGTGTTGCCAGAACAGAGGCTTCATCACCACTTATTAACTCTATGACCTTGGGCAAATTATTGAGTATCTCTAGGCCTTAAACTTATCATCTATACCATAAGCTAATAATACTGAAAAATGAAGCTAGTGATATTTGAATATATCATAGAGTTTTTTTGACAATTACCTGAGTAAATTACATGTAAAGCATTTACAATAGCACTTGGCAAGTAAGCCCAATAAGAGTTTCTTGCTGCTGTTTTTAATGGAGATGGTGGTAGTGGCAGTGGTAGTGGGGTGGTAGTGGGGTAGTGGTAGTGATGGTGATGGTGATGATGAATATGGTGGTGGTGGTGGTGATGGGGATGGTGGTGGTAGTGGTGATGGTGGTGGTGGTGATGATGTGATCATGGTGGTAGTGGGGGTGGTGGTGGTGGTGGTGGTGATGGTGGTGGTGGTGATGGTGGTGGTGCTGGTGGTGGTGGTGGTGGTGGTGGTGATGGTGGTGGTGATGATGGTGGTGGTGGTGATGGTGGTGATGGTGGTGGTGGTGATGATGATGGTAGTGATGGGGGTGGTGGTGGTGGTAGTGATGGTGGTGGTGGTGATGGTGGTGGTGGTGGTGGTGGTGATGGTGGTGATGGTGGTGGTGGTGATGATGATGGTAGTGATGGGGGTGGTGGTGGTGGTGGTAGTGATGGTGGTGGTGGTGATGGTGGTGGTGATGGTGGTGGTGGTGGTGGTGGTGATGATGGTGGTGGTGGTAGCGGTGATGGTGGTGGTGGTGATGATGATGGTAGTGATGGTAATGGTTATGATGGTGGTGATGGTGGTGGTGGTGCTGATCCTAGAAATGATGGTGGTGGTTGTGGTGGTGATGGTGATGATTGTAGTGTTGGTGGTGGTAATGGTGGGATGCTAGAAGTGATGGTAGTAAGAGTTATATAATGTGTAGTTCATTGGACAATAGTGTATGAGCAGTATAACTATGCATTTATATAATTATATTATTTTTGAAACATAGCGTCCTATTGATATCATCCTTATGATAAAACTAAGATTAACTGAGCCAATCCTTGTGTTAGGAACTTTACAACATTGGTTCTACAAGTCACAACAGCCCAAACAGGTAGGTGTTACTAGTTTTATTTTACAGATGAGAAATTAGAGACCTACAGTAGTGAAGTGAATGACCAAGGCCATGCAGTGGACAGTGGCACAACCAGGATTCTGTCATTTAACAAACATTCTCCTCCTGACTGATCTCTGAAAAGCTCAGCATTTCCCACGCCTGGTCCTACAGTGAAAGAGGCGGGCAGGGATGTAGACACCTAGAGTTTAATAGATGAGGAAATGGAGGCAGACAGGCAGGAGGCCAGGGAGTTAGGACCAGAATGCAGTTTACACGTGGGCAGGAGTAGAGAAGCCTGGAAGTACAGAGTGGCCAGGGTGGGTAAAAAGAGTCAGGATGAGGAAGAGCAGCAAATAAAGTCGTGTAGCCCAGGATGACCAGGGCGGGGCCAGCGAGATTCTTCCAGTTGGCACGTAACAGCGACTCTCCAAGTCTGCCCGTGGCAAGTGACGATTACTCTTTCTCAGTTGAAAAGACTGTCAAACATTTTAAATTACAATTGTCAGTAGTGAGACGGTGTTTCATCATGTGAAATGATCTAAAGCTGTGAAGCATAAAGCCTTCTTTAAACAACAAAGTAATGGCTCCCTGCAGAGAGCTCAACTTCACGCATAGAGCCCGGCTTCCTTTTCCCAGAGACACTTGGGGAAAAATTAGCAAGTTTCTCCAGATTTAGGAAAAAAGAACATGGCCTCAGAACTACCTAGGACACACACACACCATCTCCCCAGCCTTCCCTCTAACATCACCCGAATTTCTCACCTGGAATGCCAACCTGACCCAACAGAGGTGACCACAGATCTTTGCTATGAACACATCTGTGATGCCAACAAGATCCCATCAAATTGCGCTAATGGGGGAGAGGTGAGGCAATGAGAAGTTTAAAGGGGGGAAAATAGTAATCCCAAACTGTGCACTGTACTGTTACTGTTTTCATGAGCTTCTCATGAAAACTTCTCATGAGCTGGGGGAATTTGGGTGGTCCTCTCAGCTGTTGCCTTGGGCTCCTGCACAGGGTGCCTGTCCAATTGTCCAGAACCAAGACTATGAGGAGAGATCTGGTCAAACCCAGCTTCACTTCCCATCTGTTCTCAAGACCCAACTTCTAAAGCAGCGTCATTTCCAGAGCGCCCTCTGGGAGCAGAGTGCCAGCACCAAGTGCTGAGGCAGAAGAGAGGAAGAGAGACAGATAGGGACCCTGGTGGCAGGAGAAGAGGGTTGACCTCAGTGCGTAGGTCAGGAACTCTCTTGGAGGAGAAAGCTGAGCTGAGGGTCCAGGTAGCTTCATCCCCTCTGCCCATCTCCTAACAGTGCTGCTTGTTCCTTCTGCTGGGCCAGACTCTCTCGGTCTCCTGACATTAATTTCCCTCCTTATCCAGGACTCCATCCAGGCTGCCCCACCTGAGCAACTGTGCTGTGGCTTGTATCAGAACCATGGAGGCTGCACTAACCAAGCTGTTTATATCATTGTCTGCTATTGATTTGGCAGCCCCAGGAGAAACTGCAGGCCCCTCGAGGGAGGAAAAGATAAAGGTGAAACAAAAGATCCTCCAGACTGGTTTTTCTCCCCACTTCTCCTAGGACCTGCCCTGGATTGAGAACCGTTTTCCAAATCTTTACCAGCTGCCTGGCAGCTTGCCACAGATCAATAAGTCTTCTTCAGAGTTCCAACTTGCAAAAATATTTACTGTACATAATTTAATAGAACCCTCTCCTGGATAAGGAGCTGACACTTTTAATTACCTGGATCAAGTGCTCTCCTTCTATAGGACATGGCATACACATGGCTCAGAATGCCAGCTACACACATTTCCCAGGCTTTTCACTCTTGATTTGCAAAGAGGAGGAGGATGAGGGTCTATGGGATGGTGACCACTATGTGGGGCTTTCTTCACCTACCCCCTTCAATAGATCTTTGCATGCTCAAATACAGACAGCTTTTCCCCCCTGTTCCCAAGGAACTTGGTTGTGTATCTTCTCTGGGACTCTGCCTAGGGTAGCTGGCCCAGGATTCATCTTCTTCAGGTCCCTGCAGATACATGACTGCAAGTGTGCAATAGGAACTGGCCACAACAGCCATTAATAATAGCTAGCATGTGATGACTACGTTCTATGAGACAAACGTAGTACCAGACTCACAATATACTTCATTTCTAAGCTGCAAAATAAACCTGCATGGAGATGTTATTATGCCCATTTTTCAGATGAGATAACAGAGGCCCACATACATTATGTAACTTACCCAAGGACACCTACTCATGAATTGCTGAGACAGGACTCGAACACACATCGGTCTGACCAAAACCCTATACTGCATCTCAAGCCCATCCTGAGCAAGTGCCACACATTTCCAGAGAAGCTCCAGAAATCAATACTGGTTTCTATCCCAGGGTTGTGTGGAGTGAAGACGAACAAATACCAGACAGTTTTGGAGACTGGCTTCCTCAACTCTTTCAGCCTCTTCCCCCTAGGTTTGGCTTCTCTTCCAACCCTCCTCTTCCTGGGCCCTTAGAGCAGGGGTTCCCCCTGTTAGGAAGCGGGCCCCACAGCAGAAGGTGAGCTGCAGGTGGGCAGGTGAGTGAGCATTACCGCCAGAGCTCTACCTCCTGTCAGATCAGCTGCGCCATTAGATTCTCATAGGAGCGCAAACCCTATTGTGAACCGCACATGGAAGGGATCTAGATTGCGCGCTCCTTTAGAAACTCTAACTAATACCTGATGATCTGAGGTGGAACAGTTTCATCCTGAAACCATTCTCCGCCCTCCACCCCAGTCCACGGAAAAATTATCTTCCATGAAACCAGTTCCTGATGCCAAAAAGGTTGGGGACTGCTGCCTTAGAGGACTTCTACTCAGCACCATGGACAGAGTCTGGGTCAGCTCTGGCCCATTCTGGTCTGTGCTGCTGCTCCTCCAGCACCCCTCCTGTACTGCCACAATGGTCAGGAGGCCATTTTGCAATGCAGGCATTTCTCTCAAATGCTAATTAACTTCCTCTGGCATCTTAGACAAAAGCAATCCTGGGCAATCATATTCTGCATGGCACCTAAAAATTTGTGGGTGTACAATAAATATTCAGCTCCTAACAACAATTCCCACACTTGCTAATGATTGTGTGGGAGCATTTGGTTTCATAGGCAGAAAAGCCAAATAAGAGATTGCTGAAACCAGAAAGGGAATTATTAATTCAAAGTAGCTGTGCTTGGCTGTGACAAAGGGCTGATGCTGGGGAAGTGAAGAGGGTAGAAAATGGAAACCTCCATACCTACATGAATTGTGAGTAGTCCCAGACTGGCCAAGGCCTACCAACTAACGCGTGATCAAGCTTTATCAACGTTTATGTCTAACGCTGTTTTCAACACCATAGAATTTGAGAGCTGGCTATTTCACTGAGATGTCATTGAGATCTGGAAGAAGTAGATGTTAATTCTGGGCCACCCCTAGGGGCTGCTGACCTCTAGGAACAAGGAAGGGGCTGGGTAGAGAGGATATAATGATAAACTTGAAAATTTCTCAAAATGGTGGATTCCAAATGGATGGGCCAACTCTTCCGCTAAGCGCTCTTGGTGTGAGCAAAAGGAGATCCCTGCAACCTACTAAAACTATGCCATCCAGCAAGCAGGAAATGAACAGCAAAGCACCAAAATATGTCAGTTCCCAAAACAATGAATGAAGCACAGGCTGGTGAGTCTGGAATTTAATTTGCAACACTCACTACAAGGTGGGGAAACACTAAAGAAACCTGACACATTTTGCATATTCCAGGTGAGATGGGCAATAGATATATTTTGGTGCAGAGAAATAGAGTTGCAGGCAGGAAACAAACTGATCTGCATTTCATGCCTCTATTTTCTGGGCAAACTCAACTGTTACCCTCCTCCCATATGCACATACTGTTGTTTTGTATAATGTGAAAACAATATCTGGAAGAGATGCTTGAAAACCTTCACAGACATTCCCGTGACATTCACATGATGAGGGAGCTAGAGGAATGGACGATGAAGGGAGTTGTGTACAGAGGAAAAAAAAGTAAAAGCTCATGGAAGAATGGGGTCATGGGTTGCAGAAATCGTGTTGGCTGCTGATTGGTCTGAATGAACAGAATTCTTCAACGGAGCATGTTTCTTTTTAGGTGTATCAGTACATCTATGAACCATATGATGTTAACAGCAGCCAGTTGAGGGTAGTGAGCCGACGGAGGCTTATTTTCCTTTTGTTTATAAGTATATTCTAATTTTCTGGCAATATAATGTATGTAATTAAAAGAATGAGAGTTAAAAATATTTGGAATGTGAATCTGAATAACTGGCACCTGCTTTATATATTAATGAACAAAACTATGCATGAAAGTTTGGAAGAGGGTCTTGGCTCTTGGGCAGCAACACAAGACAATTCAGAACCATGAGTTCAGTTAGACTGACTTCGAATGACAGATGTGAAGGTCAGAGCTGTGAAGATGGACAGTCACAACCAGGAGGTCATCTCCTCACTCACTGGAGGGGTACAGGTAAGTGTCCTGAGAACACAGGGGAAAACCAATCCAGAGGACACAGCCTCAGGAGGCAATGTTCCAAAGGGAGACATAGGAGATTCTGAATAAAAAGACAAATGGGTTAGAACACTGAAATGGGTACAGACACAAAGAGAGTTACAAAGAGACCAGGAAGAAAACCCCAAGGTCTGCCCCTGGCCCTGGAGCCATGCAATCACTGGCCCAAAGCCCTCACCCTTTCTGAAGGTTCAGCAGATAGACACTTGCCCTCCATCAGGCTCACTGCATCAGCCACTGAAACTGTCATCAAATACCAGCAAATTCCTTTACCCCACTTCCACTTCCAACTACCCCTCCCCATTTCCTTCCTTTCCCTTGCAGCAAGGCTCTTCACAAGAGATATGTGTGGTCATTATATCCAATTTTTTGTCTCCCATTTTTCTCTGAAACCAGTACAATTACATTTTTGCTTCCTCTACTTCCCCTAAACTCTTCTTATCAAGCTCACCATTGCACTTCATGCTGCTAATTCCAAGGGAAGCTCATCGGTCCTCTTTTTTCTTAACCCACCAATAGCAACTGTTGCATTTCCTCATTTCCTCCCCTCAAAAGGCTTTATCCACACAGCTTCTAAGCATCACACCACCAGGTTTTCCAACAACTCACAGACCACAGATTTTCCATCTACTTTGCTGCTCGTCCCTGATCACCTTTGCGTCTTAACTTTCAAGTGCCCAGGATTCAGTCCAATACTTTTCTTTTCTACTTACATTTACTCCCTTGGTGTTATCATCTATTCTATGGCCTTAGAGACCATCTGCATGCCAAAGACTCCCAAATTTATGTCTCCAGTCCCCATCTCACATTGAACTCAAGACTTGTAGTCCACTTGCCTACTTAATAGCTCCACTAGAATAGCCAATAGGCACGCCAAATGTCAACACCCAGCACTTCCCCTATAAATCCAACCCTTCCTGCTTTCCTCTCAATCTCAGTTGATGGCAATTCCAACTTGCAGCTGCTAAGACCAAAAAAGGCTTGGAGGCATGCTTGACTTTTCTTTCTCTCACACCTAGTCTATGAGCAAAGCCTGTTGGCTCAACCTTCAAATTAAAGGCAGAATTTGACTACCTCTCATGACCTCCACTGCTACCTTCCTGGTCAAAGCCCGTCATCCCTTGCCTAGATTATTACAATCACTGGTCTCTCTGTTACTGCCCTCTTCTCACCTCCAGCGAAACATATATGTTCAACACAGAAGCCAGAGTGATCCTGTTAAAAGTACAAGTTGGATCACATCATTCTTCTTTGCAAAGCCTCCCAGTGGCTTCCCACTGAAGAGTTTCCCTCAAATCCATCAGTTTCTACTGATCTACCTTTCACTTCCATCTTCTCTGATTCTGTGTCAAGACCATCCACATCCTCCCATATTATTCTCCAACCAGCAGGTAGTGTTTTCTCTCTAAGTGAGAAATCTAATCACATTACCCTCCAATTAAAAGCCCTTCAATATAGACTGGATAAAGAAAATATGCTACATATACACCATGGAATACTATACAGCCATAAAAAGGAATGAGATCATGTCCTTTGCAGGAACATGGATGGAGCCGGAAGTCATTATCCTCGGTAAATTAACACAGGAACAGAAAACCAAACACCATATGTTCTCACTTATAAGTGGGAGCTGAACAATGAGAACACATGGACACAGGGAGGAGAACAACACACACTGGGACCTGTTGGGAGTACATGGGGAGGGAGAGTGTCAGGATCAATATTAACAGCTTATGCCTGTGGGGCTTAATACCTAGGTGATGGGTTGACAGGTATAGCAAACCATCATAGAACATGTTTACCTATGTAACAAATCTGCACATCCTGCATATGTATCCCAGAAGTTTATATCAAATTAAATAATTAAAATAAACTTTCAACCAAAAAAAAAAGCCCTTCAATAGGATCCTACTGCCCTCAGGGTGAAGATTAAATTTCTCAGGGTTACCATGGCCATCTTCACCATGCAGTGACAGTCCTAGTGTATCTCCTGGCCACAGGCCTTGGTGAGCACATTCAGCTACCATTGATTCTGTGTCCACCACGTTCGTTAACCTGTCATTAGAATACTTCCTGATGAGTTCCCCTCTTTGTGTGAGTGTCATGTCCCCAGCCAGATTGTTTTTAGCTCTTTATGAGCTGGGATCACATCTCCTATTTTATTTTCTGTCCCTTTATCAGTTCCCTGATAATAGCAGGTCACTTGATACTTGTTTAATTAACAGGGCAGAACAGACTGTGTAACTTGAGTAAAGGGATGCTGGGTAAGTGTTTCTGGAACACAGGTTGATTTTCTTCCCCCAACACATCTGCAGTGGCTATTATAAAATGTTCTGTAGGATGGTCAATGTGCTAGCCATTCAGTACAACTAGTTTTTCCATTCTTTTGAACAAAAACACCAAGAACAAATGACTTTACCTGAATATGTTGCAATGACAGAAAAGCTTTATCCTGTGGAAGAGGAATAAAAGGCAACTCTGCTGACCTGATAAGCCTCGGGACAAAAGGATGATGATTTGATACGGTGGTTCAAGAGGCTGTACGCTGCCTTGCAGAATCTGTTACCCAGTCATGGGAAAGAATAATGAGAATGGCAACCGTGATGGCCAGATAGCCAGAGCCCCAGCTTTCTTCCTCTTGTCTTGTATGAGGAGGGTGCCCAGGACGCTGCCCAGACAGACACTTTTACAAATCCACACCCCAGGTAGGGGGTGGGAAGAGTTTGAGGGGTGGCATTACTCCACTCATTTCATCATGTAATGTTTTAACAAAACTTCATGGTATCTCTTGCCAGATATCTCAGGTTGGACGCTGGAGGGAAGTAACAGATGTGCCCCTCAGGGAATTTTAGGATATCCAGAATCAATGCCTCAAGTACCCTGCCTCCCATTCCAAGGTTTCAGGGTTGATTCCAAGAACACCTAAGGGCAATTGATCTAAAGACATTATAGACTGGGGGGGACATGTTAATTTATAAAGAAGGCCAATCAGGAAGGAAGCACAGCATATCAAAATGATCTGAAAGTCATAAGACCTGATTCTCACCATTAATTAATTACCTAAGTCACCTTGAGCTATTCACAGAAACTCTCTGAGCCTCACCTGTAGAAAAAGGAGCTGGAAGTATAGCTGATCTTATACTAGCTGTTTTCAAAGCCCTTTGCAAGTCAACAAGCCTAAGATTCATTATAGGAAAAGAAAATGAAAGGCACCTTTGGCCTAGGTCATTTAACCTGGGAATGGTAGATGACACTGGCCAGCCTCCTTGGCCCATGTCAGAGAAGATTTGTGACAACAGCTTCAACGTCTTCTGAGCAGAAGGAAAGCTTCATGCCAAGTGTTGCAGAAGGATATGGCACAGGGTGAAGAGAGAGAAGGTTACAAACCAGTGCGAGGACTCACAGGGACTCAGATACTCCTCCCCTTCTGTTCCTGGGTTAGACCCAGAGACCCTGAGTGACCCAGTTACACTTTCAGTGGCCCAGCTGTCTCATCTCTTAGGCAAGAGCTCTTCCAACCACATCAAAGTGACTTTTTTAGGCTTGGAACTCCCTCCCTGAGTCTCTAGCCTCCTCCAGAGGTAAAAGAAAGGATTGAGGGTGGGGAGAAGCCTATTTATTTCTCTTCCTATCAGAAGATACTGTGTCTCACAGTTCCTTCTCTTATTCCCCCATTAAAAAAGGTATTGGATAGAACATACCACTGTGTGAAGTTTGGACAGAAACTCCAGCTGGCATTCCTCTCCGTCATTCCAGTCACAATAACGGGGTCTGTGCCTCCAGAAGAAATGTGATGACCAGAAAGGAAAATAGATACATTCTCCCTCAGGAGCCAACCTTACCCCTATCTTCTCCATCTGGGAAACAGAATTGAGTATGCAAGTGAAGATCTTGTGATGCACTTATGAATGATACCAGGTCCAGTTAAGATCCTTGAAAGATTCACTGCTCCACTTCTCAAGCTGGCTAAATACTCCCAGTGCTAGCCAGTACTCAGGGTCTGTGCCTGGAATGCATGAGGAAGCCAGGCAGAGAGAGCTCAGCTTGGTGCCTCTCCAACGTGTTACTGACTTACACTTAGTGTTCATGCTGAATTACACACACTCTATATGGATGTGGTGCTGGTTTAGAAGTTGTTTTCAACTATAATGCAACTTTAATAGAATATCTTCTATTAAAAACACAACTGTGGCTTGGTGCAGTGGCTAAACTCATCCTTTTATAGGGAACCCACAATAATGACATTAATTCATTCAAAAGAACAGAGCCTTTATGACCTAAACACCTCTTGAAAGTCCTACCTCCCAACATGTCCTCAGTGGGATCAAGTTTCCAACACATAAACTTTCTGGGACACATAGAAACCAAGCATACATCTTGTCCTTCTTATGCCCCAAAAAGGGATTTGAACATGTTTTTATATAGTTGTCAAAATTCATGAAATCTATAACATCAAAAGTGAACCCAAATATAAACTATAGACTTTGAGTGATAATAATGTTCCAATGTAGGCTCATCTATTATAACAAATGTACCACTCTAATGGGGAATGTTGATAGTGGGGGAGGTTGCGCATGTGTGGGAACAAGGAATATATGGGAACCCTCTGTTCCTTCTGCTCAGTTTTGCTGTGAAACTAAAACTGCTCCAGAAAAATAAGTTTATTAATTTTTTTAAAAACAGATTTGAGCTCTTTCTACACTCTCTGCCCAATATTTGACATTTTCCTCTGGCAAATCTGTCTTTCCCATTATGGGATTTTTCTGGGCAGAAAACTTCATAAACTCTATACATCATGCAAAGAGGCCACCGTCTACCCAATTTAGGAATAGTAAAAGACGTTTAAAAGAAAAACATTTTAGTCTAGAGAGCCTGGGGAGAACCAAGAGAATAGCACTCAGCTTGAACAATGGCACAGAAAATAGGGCTCGGGGAGACATATGGAAAGAATTTCATGGTTTGATCTAGAGTTGCATGGCTCAATACAGTAGTCACCAACAACACATGGCTATTTATTTTTAAATGTGAGTTAAATTAAATTCAAAAGTCAGTTCCTCATCCCACTAACCAAATATCAAGGGCTCAGTAGATACATGTAGTTAGTGGCTACCATATCGGACAACACATATAGAGAACATATAGAGAAGATTTGCATTGTTGCAGAAGGTGCTATTGGACAGCACAAGTCTAGAATGGGGATCAGCAAACTTTTCTATAAAGGATTAGCTAGTAAGCATTTCAGGCTTTGTGGGCCAAACCATCTCTGTCATAACTACTCAACACTGCTTTTGTAGTACAAAAACAGCCATAGACAATATGTAAATGAAGGGGCATCGTTGTGTTCCAATAAAACTATTTATAAAAACAGGATTTGGTCTGTAGTTCAAGTTTGCCAAGCCTTGGTTTAGAGGAACCATTCTTAATCTATAATAGGAACATTCGATTCCCAGGAGGCCTTAATTACTGTGAGGCATCTACCCATAGGCACTACAAGCAATCATAGCTTTAGACTAAATAACATGTCCATCACATACCAGTATCTTTATTTATCAGAATACCTCTGTATTATCATGAGTAATAAGATACAAATTCATTTCAAATCACTACTGTTTTCAAAGGAGCATTTGTCATTGTGCATTATTCTCAGAAATGAACCATGAATTTTGTTTCTTTTATTATGTTTCTCTAATACAAGTAATGCATGTTTGGTTCAGAAAAATGAGAAAGCAAGATAAAAAAGAAAGAAAAAGAGAATTACCTGAGTTTCTACTCAGGAGATTTTTAACCATTGTTAACATGTAATTAAAAATACATGGTTCCTTTGTTCACTGCTATATTCCTGGTACCTAGAACAGTGGTGAATGCATGGTAGACAATAAATATTCATTGAATTTTAAAATGTCTGAATATTATAAAAATAGGGTTATTCACAACTGTACTTCAGGAATTCTATAAACTTTCTGACTACATTAGCAATGCTGGCTGTATTTGAGAGTTTCTGCAGTGACTTACAGTTTTCATTGGATTACCAAAGGTGTCTGTGATCTAAAAAGGTGAAAAAATACTCAGTTATTCCCAGGACTAAACCTACAAGGTCTTTACATTTCTGTCTATTTATGACTGAGCTCCATAGAGAATCAGACTTTTTTTTTTCCCAGGGCTGTCTTCCATGACTAATCAAAGTCATCTATCTGGATTCAAACCATCCCAGGTGGAAAAGCTGCTTGGCTTGAACATAATTCACTCAGGAAAAATGGAGGAGGGGGCTTCTGATGTCACTTTTCCAAGTCTGAGAACATGGACCAGTGTAAAGAAAAAGATCCCCTGTGGCCTTCCCAAGAAGTCCAGGCTTGTTACACCTTCTCTGGGCCCTGTCAGTGCAGTAGGCTTGAGCATCATGCTGATGGGGTCAGACCATAAGCCCAATCCCTATGGAGACCAGGTAAAACAGAGGTGCCAAGATTGGCACACCTAAGGTCAAGCATCAAGTGCTGGCCTTTGGTCCCTGGGGGACAGTGGGAGAATGAGTATCCTGGGGATACCCTTGTTGTGGGTAGGCAGCTCCTGGGGTGACAGACAAAAGCACAGCATCAACAATAAAGAGTTAACACAGAAATGCAGAAGTTTTCTTCCTCGAGATGCTTTTATAATCTGGGGGCTTGGGGGGATGACGTGAGATTTACAGCCCCCATTTAGAGTTCTCTCAGGCATTTTGCCTGCATCTGCTTCACAAAGATGCATGTCTAGGTTCCTTTTCTCCATCTTTATATTACAGCACAGTCAAATCAATGCCATTAATTGCTAAGTGTAAAGGACTTTCTGATGCCTAATGAAACCTTCAGCAGGCTCCTTAGAAGCAGTTCTATTTATAGATCATACATTTTCCTGGCCTCCTTCCCTTATCACTAAGAGCATGGGAGTAGGAGGCAGGATTTTTTTTGCTTCTGAGAAAATTGTCATCGGCCCCTCACACTTACTCTCCACCTGGAGTCCTAATCCCAATTGTGACATCCTAATCATTTCCAAGAGCAACCACGATGCTGTCACAAAGAGCAGATTATGATTTCAATTGGAGAGTGTGGCTAGGAGCTAATCATGGTTTCGGAAACAAAAGGCCCTGTTTTTATGCAAAGGGACATAGTTACAAAGAATCCACAAAGACAACCAACCAAAAATGTAATCGATGATGAACAGATTTATGGCTAAAACAAATGTGTGCGTGCACACACACACACATACAAGTAGCAAATGATTCTTGAAAGGGATGATATGCTCTGATTAAAAATATGATGAGGAAATCCCCTAAAATCTAACAGTTGCATTTCTCAAAACCGGGAGGCAACCTGTGCTTTAAATGAGAAGAGCTGTAAAGAGAAATTGCTCAAAGGCATGGGATGCTGCATCCCAACGGTCTTTTGAGTCTGAAACTCAGCTCCTGAAGCCCCTCCCAACCCACTACCCTCACACCAGGAGCACTTATCTCCATCTCAGTTAATGGCAGCTGCATTTTTCAATCGCTCAGGAAAAAAAAAAAAAAAAAAAAAAAAAAAAAAAAAAAAACCCTGGTCTCCTCTCTTGCTCTCACACTCCACATCCAATCTGTCAGCAAATCTTGTTGGGTCAAAATATATCCAAAGTCCTATCTCTTCTCATCATCTTCCCTGCTGTCACTCTCCCCAGGCTGCTACATTCTGCTACCTGGAATATTCCAGTAGCCTCCTGTGTCTCCGCCTCTGAGTTTGCCCTGTCTTCAGGCTATGATCCTATGAAAATACAATTCATATAATATCTGTCCTCCGATCAAAGCTTCTCAATGGCTTTCCTTCCAAAAGCCAAGGGCCTAAATGATCTGCTTCCCCCCTACGTTTCTTACATCATCTCCCACTAAGCTCTCTCTTACTCACTCTATTGCACGTTCACTGACCTCCAGGCAGTTTCTTGAATGTACCAGCATCTCGATGCCTCAGGACATTTGCACTTGCTGGTTCTTTGCCTGCAATTTGCTTGACCCCTTGTAATCCCATGGCTAGTTTCCTCCTGTCTGTATCCAAAAGTCCCCCACTCTCTGAGGCCTTCTTGACAACCCTTCTCAAAATCTGTTTCCATCCCCTCTTCAATACTTCATATCCCTTTCCATGCTTTTTTTGCTACTTTGTACTTATCACTACCTAACATACTTTATCTTTTATTTATTTATCTTGTTCATTGTCCGTGTCTCATAGTAGAATATAAACTCTATAAGGGCAGGGATTTTTGTCTCTTGTTCATGAAGAACCACTGCTATAGTGCCTAGCCTAGTGTATGACACTCAGTAAATACTTGTTGAATATATAAATGCTAAAATACAGTACTTGGCACTCCAACTGTTAATTACAAGTTAATAACAAAATGTAATGGGAAAAGGATTAGAACCACCTAAATGCCTATAAACAAGAAAATGGTTAGATAATAATACAGCCATAAAGTGATACGCTATGCAGCCCTTAAAATAATGATGTAGAATTTACTCACTAATGTGGAAAGATCACAACACATATTAAGTCAAATAAGAAGGTTGAAAAACAGCAGGTATGTCACCCCAGTGTAAAATATTATGAGCTTGAAACATGTATGTATCTCATATGTTTATTATAAAACTCCATTTGTATGTACATGTATTTGTGTACCCAGATGATAGAGAAGAGAAAAAGAGAGAGGCAAATCAGCCAATCTTGGTAGAAGAATTTAAGGAGATTTTTGCTTTCTTTATTCCTTCTGCATTGGATTTTCTACAACAAGCAGTTTTTAAACAGAGTATTTTTAAAGAGGGCTTTCTCTTTAACATTTACCAAGGTTTAGCTACCTGCAGAGAGCCTGACTAAACTTAACATTCTGTGAAAAGCAGCATTCAAACCATTTCAGTTCAACCTTCCAGAAGCTATTTGACAACTGGCACTTCAGAATTCCAAAGGAAGATATATCTCCTTCCCTTACAACAAAAGGGCACATAAGGAAATGGTAAAATACAAATAAAAATTTAAAAAATCAGGACCAGAGAAAGCACGTTAATAGCCAGAAGTCTAGCTCACTAATTAATGTTTCTTGAACCCCAACCTCAAAATACAATGGGGCAGGGGGGTTTAGGGGAGAAGAAGGAGAGAGGGGAGGAGTCCTCACAAGAAAGCCTGTGCTTTCCTAGCCACCTGCTCTCATTCCACCCTCAACCTCTCCTTTCCTGGACACTCAACCTCAGTCGAAGGCCATGTTCCAGGCAGGCTGGGGTAACCAGGTTTGTCAATACCCCATGCACCTCCAAGCCTTTGTTCTCGACACGTCCCAGCCTTGAATATCCCCTGTCCATCTGAACTTGCTAGAGTCTTCTTCTGCCAGGAAGTTTTTTGACCCCAGACTCCTATGACTCTGTATTCTTTGTGTTCTTTGTTTGTTTGATTGATTGATTTTTAAAACGGAATCTTGCTCTGTTGCCTAGGCTGGAGTGCAGTGGTGCAATCTTGGGTCACTCCAAGCTCCACCTCCCGGGATCAAGGGATTCTCCTGCTTCAGCCTCCCAAGTAGCTGGGACTGACTACAGGCATATGCCACCATGCCCGGCTAATTTTTTTTTTTTTTTTTTAGTAAGATGGGGTTTCACCATTTTGGCCAGGCTGGTCTCGAACTCCTGACCTCAAGTGGTCCGCCCACCTCAGCCTCCCAAAGTGCTGGGATTATAGGCATGAGCCACCAGGCCCTGCCTACTCTTTATTCTTATAACATCTCTAATGGACACTGAAGTTATACTCCTCGGCATTGTGATTTCCCATCATTATTGTTAATGATAACAACAAAAAAGGCTACATTTATTGAGTTTCTACAACCGAGCAGGTAGTAAGGATGTATGATGAATGAGACAGGCTGGTCCTGGACCTCAGACCATATCAGATCCCCAGCCAATCTGTAAGCGTCTAACTTGATTTTACCTTCTCATTTCCCAGCACAAAACAGAACGAGGAGCTCCACAAAATATACGCTGGCAGTAATAGTGATGAGCACAGGCTGCCTTTGGTCAGTGGGAAATGGCTTCTATATCTGTTTGAATACAAGCCTCCTGGGTCCTGTAGCATCTTCCTTCATGGTTGCACGTGAGACTCACCTAGAGAGCTTTTTTTTTTTTAATGTTGGACAAGTAGATCAGAAACTCCAGGGCAGGGCCTGGGCATCCATGCTTCTTTAAAAGCTGATTTTAAAAGGTGGTTCCAATGGGCTGCCAAGATTGAGAACCTCTGCTCTGGTCTCAAGGTTTGTCATATGGCAATTATGAGCAGCTCCCCTCTTTCTTTGGTGTTCTATTCAGGCCTGGTACTCTTAGCAGAACAAAATTACAAGTAACGGAGCCACGGTTGAGCCCTTAAAGCCACACTCAAGGAATTGTGGCAGGCAAGGGTAAGAGAAAAGGTGAGAAGGAGGACATGGCTGTAGGCGTGAATAGTGACCACTGCCTCCTGACTGCACTCTCTTACTCGGCTGTGGCTTCCTTGAGAAGTCTAGTTTCATTCATTGGACTCCAGTGACCAGCACAGTGTGTGGCATGCATGACACCCAACAAATGTCACTTGAAGTCCTACTGTGCACACAGGTGTTGACACGTTAGGAAAACGATGCCCATGCCTGTGAGGGGCAATCTGCTTTGAGAAAGGCCATTGGCATCTTGGGAAGGTATGCCCAATTTTACAGGATGTTAAATCCTAAAGCATGGCAGCCACCATACTGATGATCAGTTAAGCTTCCTTGGTCAATTCTAGAGATCATCAGGGATGTGTGCTTGGTGTTGGCTACCTCCAGATGCTAAGTCTCACCCAGGCTGTAACTGTGTTCTTAACTTCTCAATAGAGGGGAGTCACACAAGGAAGAACTGCATGCACTTAAGAAGTGTGTGCATGGAACAAAATCCCACCAGTGGCCGTGAATGGGGTGTATTCTCAACAATGGACTCTTAAAGAGTAGGTCCAGGTGGGAAACAAACTGAAAAACATCTCAATTTCTGCAAGGTTCCACCCACCTGAAAGGCCAGTCCTTCTCCAGGCAGTTCACAAGATGGGGTGCCACAGCCTGGAGCTTAAGAGCAGGAGCTGGACTCAGATAACCCAGGTCTGAATCCCACACTACTTATTACCTGTATGACCTTGAGCAAGTTATCTTACCTCTTTATGCCTCAGTTTCCTTTCTGTAAAATGGGGACATTTTACAGATAATACCTCTATCATAGGATTTTTTGGTGATTAAATACAAGGCAATATCCAAAATACTTAACAAATGGTATGGCACCAATGTGCTGAGTGAATGAATATATAAACAGATGATGACTGAATATGTAAAGCGCTCCAGAATTAGCTCAGGATGGAAAATGGGCCTGAGCCTCCAGGTGTGAGGGATTTCCTGAGCTTCAGGAGACAGAAAGAGGAACCAAGGTGAGACGGGCCAGACACTGAGGCCTGTAGAAAGACACAGCCTTTGAACTCACAAGGCTCAGAAATCCTGAGTCATGTTTCTGCTTCCCCAGAGGTCACCTCAGTCACAGGTGTTGGCTCAACTTTTCCAGCTCAAATATGCATGCCTGGTGGAGTTCTCTGACTCATATAATGGCCAATGTGTTATGAACACATACGTTGTGCTGAGCCCCTTAATATAAGTAATCACCACTGTATTAGTTTGTTTTCACACTGGTATAAAGAACTGCTTGAAACTGGGTAATTTACAAAGAAAAAAAGGTTTAATTGACTCACATTTCCACATGGCTGGGGAGGCCTCAGGAAACTTACAATCATGGTGGAAGACAGAGGGGAAGCAAGGCACATCTTACATGGCAGCAGGAGAGAGAGAGCATGTAGGGGAAATTGCCACTTTTAAACCATCAGATCTCATGAGAACTCCCTATCATGAGAACAGCATGGGGGAAACCACCCCCATGATCCAATCACCTCCCACCAGGTCCCTCCCTCAACATGTGGGGATTACAATTTGAGATGAGATTTGGTGAGGACACAGAGCCAAACCATATCATATCAACCACACTGATCCTATGAGTCAGGTTTAGTACATCCCCTTTTACAGATGAAAAACAGCGGCACTGAGATATTAAGAAACTTGCTTAAGGCCACACAGCTAGAAAGTAGAAATGCAGAGATTCTAACCCAAGCACGCTTTCTCTAAAGCCTATTTTTCTGAACTCTGTGATAAGAAGACAAACCCAGCCTGGCCAACATGGTGAAACCCCGTCTCTACTAAAAACACCAAAATTAGCCAGGCATGGTGGTGCATGCCTATAATCCAGCTACTCTGGAGGTTGAGGCAGGAGAATCACCTGAACCTGCAGTAAGCTGAGATCATGCCATTGCACTCCAGCCTGGGCAATAGAGTGAGACTCCGTCTCAAAAAAAAAGAAAGAAAGAAAGTAAAGAATACAAACACTTTGGCACAATGAGGGAGGCTGTTTTTCAACGGCATGCTTCAGAAGTTAGCCTCTATATTACATCTTTCCACCATGAAAAAATGCCTAAACTCCCCCCAGGCCTGACAATGGATATTAAGCAAATGAGTTTAAACTAACAGAGACACCAAAAGGCCAGTGAAATAGGCACAGGTATTGCAACTGTCAAGCTCATAAGCCTGTTGAAGGCAGGAGGGAACACCTGAGTCTTCTGCCTGTGGGCCCAAGCTCAGTGCTACAAATGGCCAGAAGGTTCTGGCCAGGGCTGTGCAGTCTGTCAATGAGGCACTATCTTCCTACAGGAAACCTAATGTAAATCACTGCTTTTTGAGACAGGTCGTTAAAAGCCAATTTATTTCTAGAGTGACTCTCCTATACTCTTGTTCTAAATACAGTGGTCCACTAGGATTGCCAAATCTCTTGATTTTATGCTACTTCTAAGCCTTCTGCTTTGTACTTTGCTTTTTTGGAGATCAGCTAGAATCACATTTTGCAGTTTTTGACAATTCTCTCCAACCATCACAGTCACTATTTTTTTCAATCACTTGAAACTTGGTAAAAATTGTTCATTTTTTTTTGGCAGAAATATCTCATATTCAAGCTTGGATCCAAGGTAAGCATTTCTGGCACATATGGTTAAAAAAAGATCTCTTTAACTGAATTGAGACAACATGGGAAACACACATTCATTTAGCTCTTTTCCAAAAGTTGATTCCTAGCAGTTTAACAATATTCGACAGTATTATTCTTAGCACATGTGATAGAACTGTTGTTGCTCTCTATAAGGTAGCAGATATTGTAAGATCAAGATGAGCTGTGAATCAGACAGACTTAAAGCAGCAAAATTCTAAGTGTCTTGGTACAGGCTTCTGAAGGGGTGGCATAGGTTTAGCTATCAAACAACTGGGCAACACAGCACGGGTTTGAAGAGATGAGGAATATTTTAGTCTCCAATACATCTTTATTTCTCATTGAGTGACAAATGGTATTTACCTTAGTGTGAGTGAAAAGTTTTAAAATCAGATAAAACACGTATTCAAAGAAATGAAAGCTAAATAAAAACTTGAACAGTTTCCTGAAACCAAACACTTGGGTTTTCCCCCCACTAGATTAATTCAAGCCAGCTTGGATATGTGAACAACCAAGCTTTGTAGCATTAAAACACCCAATTATTGATTTCGCAGCCCCATTCCCACTCTCAAAATGGGTTATAAGAAAGAATGGCCAGCCATCATCATACTTTATCTTTACAGGCTCAACATTCAATATACTTGTGTGACATTTACATAGGGAACGCCATGTTGTAGGCTCAATGATCTGTTACTGAATGGACAAATGGATGGATGGACTGATGGACAGAAGGATGGATGGATGGTCATCCAATAATACCCCAGGCTGTGATTATACTGCAGTCATTACCACAAGATCTGAAAAGAAAGCTTATTCAATAATTGTTTTCATTTAAAATAAATCTATAATTCCCTCCCCAAACACCCATCTTCTTTTTTTAAGCCAAAATCTAATAAAATAAATTAAAATAAACATTAGGTGGTAGACAAATGCTTCTGGCATTTTACACTTGTGGATATTGGCAAGAATCACATTCTGCAGCTTTTGATACCTCTAGGCAACCATCGCAGTTACAATTTACTTCCCAATATACATCAAAACAATTGAGACTTTGTCACTAAACCCTTAATTGCTGGCAGAACCAGATGAACTTGAGTCTTATCCCTAGATTCTGGTTAAATGCTCTGTTCTAACTCACTCTGGATCATATCTTGGAATAAAATAACTCCTAGGACTGGGTTATGGTTCTGGAGTTTCTAATCAGTTTTATGCTGAAAGCTTGATCAGAGCACACAGAGATTCTTTATCTTGGCATCCTATCACTCCTGGACAGACATCCTCAGCATTTTGGCCCCAGGACCACAAGTCATCTTGGCCTTAAAAGTCCTCCTAGTGTCTCCTGGACACCAGCAGTTTTTCTCCAGGTCTAGCGCTAGTGCCACCTGTTTTAAGTTGTTTACGCTAATTAAAGACATAGCCTCAGCCTGACCTTCTTGCTTGCTCATCAGCTAGAAAAGCTCTGCTGTTCTCACTGATGCACCTGCAGCCAGGTGGGCAAAACAGAAAGGTAGGATTATAACCAAAAAGGGCCTTTCTTCGCTTCAGCATGAAACCCTGACACTTCTTTTTTCTGACTCAGAAGGCAACCTCCCACTCTCTTCCTTAAGAAAAAAGTAAAAGTCCCCTCCCTATAGGCATCTCCAAAAACAGCTGTGCTACTAGATGCTGCTTTTGAATACAATGGCACTTCCTGCCTTGACCATGGCTGCTTTAACAGGAGCTTCTTCTTGCTTCTGTATGCAATACAGCAAAGTTTCAAGACAGATGTAGGATAAACTCACAGTCACATGGTCTATGTCTACTAAAGGAAAAAAAAGGAAATATTTAGATTGGAAAGTTTGGGTCATCTTCCTTGATATATCTGAGTTGAACAAGGATATCCAGCACCAAAGCCAGAACTGGGGAACTGTGGCAAATGCCTAACCATCATTCCCATTACTGGAGTGTTTGTACCTGCATGCAAGGCCAGCAGCATCCAAAACTGCAGGAGAGGCAGTTGTGTGTCACAAAAATAAAGTGACACAAAATTGATGAGAACAGCCAGTTTTATAAACATACCAACTTAAGAAATGAGTTTTAAGACAAGGAAAATGTCCAGCTGCAGGGAGTTAGGAAAAACATCTTGATGAATAAGAGTTTGCTACTATTTACTCAATGACATCGAAAACAGACACCTGTCTATGAACCCCATGGAGCAGGAATAGTGCCTGTGTCCTCAGCCCTTAGTAGGTACTCAATAGATACTTGCAAATGTCAGAGGTAAACGTGTGGGAAATGTGTGTTGTATTCGTGTATGTGTGTAAGTGTGTGGATGACACACACACACACACAGCAGTCCAGAGGCAATTTTTCCAGGCTGTCCCAGAGTTTGAAAGACTCCCCCTAGATCACTGCTCTGATTCACTTATAATCATCATAAATCAACTCTCTGACTTAGAATTCGTTTGCCTAGATGCCTTGATACCTTCCACATACAATCCTAGGAAATGGATATAAACATACAAATTCCTAAAGTTTGTAAGTTAACTGTGAGTTAATACAACGGAATGCTGCTTTTATAACCAGCATTTATAGGTTTGATGAATATCAATTTCCCCCTCAGAAAAATGTGAGCAATTAAATCAAGCTTCTGAATTTGCCAAGCAGAGAAATAGGCCCAGCCCCACCAGCCAGCCAATCTTGTCTTTCTTTAATATCCTTCAATGCAAAAGTCAACAGGGCCAAGTTGTGCCTGAATCCCGTTTAGCAGCTGCTGTGTGCAGTATTGCTACTTCCTTCCCTCCCTAGAGTTCAAACATATGACCACTGGCAAATTCCACCCCGGGCATCACTCTCACAGGCTCATCAAGGAAAATGAGCTGACATGTCTTTAGCAACAAGGATCCTATTAGGAGGCCTCAGCTGTCAATCATACATAATCAAGCTCATAAACGATAAACAGCACTATTTTTTGATGAGTAAAACTGTGTTTTTACATACTGATGGGAAGTTGGGAGGGAAGAACAGTTTAATAAATAAGTTTGTAAAATAGCTCTTTGAAATACAGGCTTTCTTGATTAAAATAAGGTAGAAGTCCCAGATAACCTTAAACTTCATTCCGCACTCTAGTGCCAAGCAACTCCACATGTCAAGCTCTGTACCAGGTAATAAGCGGGACACAAGAGGTAAGTGGAAGGCTCTTGCCTTCAAGAGCTTATAATCACGTCAGGGCCTTAAAACATGTAAATGAAAAGGGAAAAAAATCTAAATCCAAAAGATGCAAAAGATACCAGAAAGTATGGGATTAAATGTAACCTAAGTGCAGAGTATCAGTGTTGAGATGAATATTTATAGAAAGTTTCATGAGAAAATAGATCCTAATCTAGACTTTGAAGAAGGGGTAAGATTTGCAAATGAGAAGAGGAAAGTGAGAGGGCATTCTAGACAAGGAAACTAGCAAAAGCATAGGTGTGGGACAGGACTGCCCTTGGCGTGTTCCAGGGACACAGTGTCACTCAACTTGACTGGAGGTGTGGATTCACATTGGCCTGAATCAGAGTTTTTTAATGATGGCCCGAAAATGGTAGACTTTAGGCTGCTGACAATGGTAAAGAGTTTGCACAGAGGACCTGGTGGAGGCATGAGGGGATTTCAGAAGATTAATCTATCTGACAGAGGTGCAACAGAAGTTGGTCAGAGGCTGGCAGAAAGATCAGTTCACAGGCAAAACTTCAGGTCTAACTAGACTGAGACAGGTAAGGAACATGAAACAGATTGGAGGGACATTAAAAAACTATGATGCAGGCCTGGGCAACTGATTGGATACATGCCCCAAAACAGAACCAAGTGGCCATAAGCCTTGGCTTTCAAGGTTGAAGCACATCAGGAAGAAGGCTCAGATGTGGATGGAGAAGGATTTGATCAATTTTAGGCAGACTGGGTTGGAAACAATAATACCTGTGATATGATTGTGATACCTGGGTAGAAATGGCCACTAAGCATCTGGTCCATATTCTGCTGGAACTTCTTAAAAGTAGAGCATAGATTGGAAATATCTGATTAGAGCTGATGACTTGGCCATTAGGGTGATTGAGGTCTCAGTGGGAGGAGAGTCTGCAATGAAGGACAGAGTAAGCATCCAGGAAAAGTGGAGAGACACAAGAGCCATTGATGGACAGAGAAGGAGCAGTCATAAAGGTAGAAGAGAAGCAAGATTAGACATTGACCTATGGCCAGAGGAGCAGCAGCAAGGATTGCTGAATAGGAAAGATGAATGAGGATGCCCAAGAAAGGACACAGGGCCTGAGCCAGTGAGTTCCTCAAAGTGTGTCATCTTGGGAGACTGGTGGGGACAGAAGCTAGACCACAGGGGCCAGAAAGAGATGGGAGGAGGAATGAGTATGTGGTGGAAGGAGAGCACTGATATAAGCAACCACACGATTGCTCACATGGCCACAAACATGGCAGTGACTGCAATGGCATAGCCAGCCAAGAGTTTCATCCCTGCCCCATCAGAAGGAACCTTGTCCTGTCCCCAAAAGAGTATAAACATCCTGCAATCAGATCCTCTCTTTCTTATAAGGCCAGCCCAAAATCTTGCAGGAGAAAAATATTCCATGGTACCAATGATGTGTGAGAGGCCTGAAACCTGTCCTCCTGAGAGTTGAAGCCATATGGCTGCTCTTTCTTCCCTGCAATACTGATTCCAGTTGGCAGGGGTTAAACGTTCCCAAGAAGGAGAGAGATGAGAGAAGAAATCTCCTGGGTTTCCAAGCAAAGAAGCTATGGCTGTTGCAACTAAATGAAAGAGATGTCAGGTGGTGGTGATACTCAGCCGAGGCAGAGGCTGAAACGGCTGCGCCACAGGCAGCCAAAAGTTTTTGCTTTGTGTATTTTCACCTCATTGCTCTCAGATCTCACTGGAATCGTTTAGTGGAAGCTCTCTCTCATTCTTGTCTGCTCCCTATCAGGGACTGGATTTCAATCAGTGATTTTTGCACATGCTGATTTCTTGGTCTCATCAGGGGGGTCCTAACAAAAGTGTGCCTCTACATTTTTCTGAAATAATGCCCTCCTTCCAAAGACGCACATCAATAATGCACAAAGTGCAAATGCAGAATTTTTTTAAACATAAAAATATGTCCAGTTTGCCCACGGGAAGCCACATCTCCATTCTGCTTTCAGACTGTCAACTCACAGAATGATCTTGTAGCAAAGTCTCTGCAAAGGGCAGCCAAAACACAGAGAAGGAAGCAAAGCGTTTAGCCAAGGGCATACAGTGTTTGGAGTCCAAGCCTCCTTTTGGCATAGAACTTTCTCTCCTAATTGTGTAGGAATTAATGCCTTCATTCTAAAAGTCTGCAAAGTTTCCTCAAAAGAAAATGTCTGTGGTCTGTTTCCACAAGTTAGCAGGAGGCACTTGGATTAGAAGCTGAGAATGGCAGTATCCTAGCAGGACTAGGTTTTATCAAGGGAAAGGAGACAGATCATGAACATGGGGAGAGCAAGAGAGAGCCTAACTTCCAAGGAGAGCCATGAGGGTGAGAGCAAACCGTGAGAGAGCCCAAGAGCAGGGAAAGGGGAAGTTCTCTGATCAGCTTAGTGGTTGCCAGAAAGGACATGGTGAGGACATGGACAGAAGGAGTCATGGCAAAATCTTCTATTATACCCCTTAGCAACTGCAAACATTCTTTCCCACTCGGTCAGTACTAGAGTGACAAGTGATGCTGTTTCACTTTTTTCTGATTTTTAAAACAGTGACTCCAATCCCTCCAAATAGAGTTTTTAAAAAAATACTTTCTCACCTTCCAACCTTTGTGTCAGAGGCATTTGAACCAGAGCAACTCCATCTAGAATAGGGCCTGGGTAAAATAAGGCTGAGACCTACTGGGCTGCATTCCCAGACAGCTAGGCATTCTTTATCTTCTCCCTCAAAGATGTAACTGGCCTAAATTTGGACATCTGTTATTTAAAACTTTAAGGTGCTTATCTTAAAAGAACTGGCCCCATTCCAATCAAATTGTGTCTTTAGTTAATTAAAAACATACAATAAAGAGCCAATTCTGCTCAAATGAGATGTTTGAGAATTTACTCTTTGAAAGGCTTCCACCTGCTTTAGAAACTGCATTTACCACCCTCCATGGACCACCAGCAGAGGATTTCAATTCTACTGCTTAGTTGTTGCCCTACATGATCTGCAGGTGCATCTTCCTATGAATGCAAATCATTGAAGCAAATTTAGAAACTGTTTTGGAATATGTGACCTTTGGAGATTGACTTTGCGAGTTGAATACTGGGGAGGCTATTTATGGAATCCTTACACTGAAGCAATCCTCAGAAACTCTTGTCTCCCAAAGACCTCTCAGGGCCATTGAAATATCTACGGGTTAGAACTTTATTTCCCAACTCAAAGAACATTCTTTCTCCCATTTTACCTTTCCTTGGGACCTACTCTAGTGCTTTCTCTTTGTTAGCCACAGAATAGCTTCATGATTACTCAAGTTTCTCACTGAGATGTGAATCCCTTTCTCTTAACCATACCTTTCTGAAAATAGAGCTCAGAACCACTTTGTTAACCAACCCATTCACTAAGACAGAAAACTCTGGAAGAAGAGCACATTGAATAAATTGGATTCTGCAGGGGAAGAGGGAAGATGATGTGTTCAGTTCAGACCATGTTGAATCTGAGATAAGATATCCAACCATTAGGTAGTTGGATATTCACTTCAATTTCAGAAGAGAGGTCCAGGTTGAAGATTCAAATTAAGGAGTGGAGTCCACAGCATATGGGAGGTAATGGGAAATGTGAGAATAAGTAAGACCACCCAGGAGGTCTTACAGAGTAGAGGCCACAGGGCCCCACCTTGAGGTAGGGATGGCAGAAAGTAGAGAAGTCATCTTTCTCTCTTTCAACCTTGGTTTCTGATTGTATTTCAACGGTGCTAATCAGTACATTCTTTGGGGATGCATCCCTTGACTCTGTCCAGTTGTCACAAGCCTCTCTTCTACATCCTAAATCCCAGTTCCATTCAGGTGCCATTTTCTCTCTTAGTTACATCCTCCTCCCCACTCACTCCATTCAGCCAGCTCACAATGCCTTCAGATGACTGCTCAAACTTTGTCCTCACTCTCCCTTAAAATCTTTCCTAAACTGTTTCACCTCGGACAGATGACACACAAATACCCACAATGGGTTTTAAGGCTAACTGAACAAAATTGAACCAGAAAAAAATAGTTTTTTAAAGAAATGTCTAAGCATAAAGACAAATGGTAGAAAATCAGAGAAGAGAATTGGTAGATTTAACCATACAAAATAAAATAGCAAATAACACTAAATCTAATATAAAATTCATAGTACAAGATGAGAAACAAATTTGTAGCAAATATTACAATGTTAATATTCAGAATTTATATTTTTGAAACTCTAATAAATTAGTTAGAAAACCAGCAATCTAATTGAAAAAAGAGCAAAGCATATTAGCCAGTATAAAAGCACTCATGTAAATAGATGATCAAATATGAAAAAATTAACCTTTCTACTAATTTAAAATTAAAACAAGAGGCCATTTTTCACTTATTAAATGGGACATTTTTAAAACTTTATTTTAGGTTCCAGGATACATGTGCAGGATGTGCCTGTTTGTTACATAGGTAAATGTGTGCCATGGTGGTTTGCTGCACCCATCAACCCATCGCCTAGGTATTCAACCCCACATGCATTGGCTAGTTATCCCGATGCTCTCCCTCCCACCATCCCCCAACAGGCCAAGGTGTGTGTTATTCCCTTCCCTGTGTCCATGTGTTCTCATTGTTCAGCTCCCGCTCATAAGTGAGAACATGCAGTGTTTGTTTTTCTGTTCCTGTGTGAGTTTGCTGAGGATAATGGCTTTCAGCTTCATCTATGTCCCTGCAAAGGACATGATCTCATTCCTTTTTATGGCTGCATAGTATTCCATGTGTATATGTACCACATTTTCTTTATCTGGTCTATGATTGATGGGCATTTGGGTTGATTCCATGTCTTTGCTATTGTGAATAGTGTTGCAATGAACATACGCGTGCATGTATCTTTATAATAGAATGATTTATATTCCTTTGGGTATATATCCAGTAATGGATTGCTGGGTCAAATGGTATTTCTGGTTCTAGGTCTTTGAGTAATTGCTACACTGCCTTCCACAATGGTTGAACTAATTTACATTCCCAGCAACAGTGTAAAAGCGTTATTTGTCCACAGCCTCGCCAGCTTCTGTTGTTTCTTAACTTCTTAATAATCACCGTTCCAGGAAGGGAACATCACACACCAGGGCCTGTTGAAGGGTGGGGGACAAGGGGAGGGAGAGCATTAGGACAAATACCTAATGCATGCAGGGCTTAAAACCTAGATGATGGGTTGATAGGTGCAGCAAACCACCATGGCACATGTATACCTATGTAACAAACCTGACCATTCTACACATGTATCTTGGAATTTAAAGTAAAATAAAAATAACAATAATAGTAATTGCCATTTTTACTGGCATGAGATAGTGTCTCGCTGTAGTTTTGATTTGCATTTCTCTAATGATCAGTGATGACTTCTTTTCATATTTGTTGGCCTCATAAATGTATTCTTTTGAGAAGTGTCTATTCATGTCTTTTGCCCACTTTTTAATAGGACTGTTTTTTTCTTGTAAATTTAAGTTTCTTGTATATTCTAGATATTAAACCTTTGTCAGATGGATAGATTGCAAAAATTTTCTCCCATTCTGTAGGTTGTCTCTTCACTCTGATAATAGTTTCTTCTGTTGTGCAGAAGCTCTTTAGTTTAATTAGATCCCATTTGTCAATTTTTGCTTTTGTTGCAATTGCTTTTGACGTTTTTTGTTACAAAATCTTTGCCCATGCCTATAGCCTGAATGTTATTGCCTAGATTTTCTTCTAGGATTTTTATAGTTTGGGGTGTTACATTTAAGTCTTTAATCCATCTTGAGTTAATTTTTGTATAAGGTGTAAGGAAGGGGTTAAATTGGACATTTTTTAAAGATAACAGCTAAAAGTTTAGAGAAATGGGTACTGCATATACTTCTGGTGTTGAGTAACTGAAGAACCCTATTTCTCTAACCCAATCCTAAAGGCATGATGCAGACAAGATCTGTGTGCAAATATAGTCAGTTAGCATTATTTATAGTAGTAAAAACTTTTAAGTAATCTATAAGAAATCTATAGGAAATGACAAGACACGGATAGGTAATTTGTGGAAGAATAACAAATAATCAGTAAACTTTTTTAGTTTATCATCAAGTCACAAGAGAAGATAAAAAATTAATATCTATCCCTAATCTATCAAAGTGGAAAATAAGCACACATAATCATATTAAGGATGTCTACATAGTAGGTATAATAAAAAGACCAGAAGAATATTCACCAAAATGCTAGCAACAGTTATTTTTGGGTACTGAGATTATCAGTGATTTTTATTTTCTCCCTAGTGCTTATCTATACTTTCCAAATGTCTACAATGAACATGTATTACTTTTGTAATGAGAGAGAGTATTATGTTTTCAACAATATACTAGTGAGAATGGAAAATTCACATGCTATTTAAAGAGCAAAAGGCAGAACACGAGACAATATATAAAGCAATTTGATACCACTTAGGTATATCTGCATTATGTACAGAAAAATAATGAAAAGAGATACACCATACAAAGCTTTGAGTGGATACCTGTTGGTTGTGGAGATACAGGTGATTTTTATTTTCTTCTTTAATTTTTTCTATACTTTTCCAAGTTATTTTATAATGTAAATGTATTATTGTTGCAATCATAAAAAATAAAATGTGTTTGTTGAAGTGTTTTACTCTTCCTGACAACAAAATAAAGCCTCTTGTAGTTCAAGCTGAAGCTCTGGGCTCCTTTCCTCTAAAAAATTCACTTAATCCACTTCCTGAGTCCTCCCCTGGAGTACTCAGTAATCAGCATGGCTTTATACCATGTTTGTTTGACTTCTGTGTTTTTGGGTCAGTCTGTAATGTTAAATTGGGAAACACAAATATGACAAAGGTGGCCAATTACAACAAAGGCTGGGGATTCAGGAGCCGGGGTCCTGGCCCCTCCCCACCCAGCTCATGGCCCAGCGTCGGGCAGGTTGCACAGCCTCTTTGGAACTCAGTTTTGTCATCTTTAAAACAAGAAGGTTGGGCCGGATGCATGGTTTTCATGCTGTGTTCTTTGGGGAGCTACTCTACGGTGATAGGAGACCAACTGGGGTGGGATTTCAGGCCCTGAACCCCACTCTCAACCAAAGCAGCCCCACATGTATCTGTTTTACATATTGGGGTTCTACAGAAAAATGTGTTGAGACCGGGCACAGTGGCTCATGCCTGTAATCCCAGCACTTTGGGAGGCTAAGGTGGGAGGATCTTTTGAGTCCAGGAGTTTGAGGATGCAGTGAGCTATGCTTGCACCACTGTACTCCAGCCTGGGGCACAGAGTGAGACCCTGTCTCTAAAAAAAATTACACACAAATGGTTCTGCTTTTAAAAAATTTTTTGAAACTACAGGTGAAAAATGTACAACACATTTCCAATGTTTCCCACAGAGCTTCCCGCCCCACCTGTCAGCAGACTGGTTCTATCTCATCTGACCACTGAACTACAAGTCTGATGACTCAGAATTATCTCTTTCAGCTGGAGTTCCACTTCATAGTAGGCAGATGGTAAGAGTTTGGGTCTTAGAACCAGAGAATCTGAGTCTTGTTTCTGCCCCTGACATTTATTTGATGTGTGACTTGGGGCAAGTTATTCATCCCTCCTTCCCCGGCTTCTTCATCTTCAAAAGGGGATACAAATCAAATCTCTACCACAGAATGTTATAGACACAATAAGACACAATAAGTGAAAAGTGCTTTATACAAAACATCTGCTCTACAAAGTCAAGTTATTCACAGTAAAGGTAATCACAAGCCCTACACTTGTATTCATTCATTCAAAAACAATCACTAATCATCCACTAAATGTTGGTTCCATATTTCTAACAATGTGACCAAACTTAAAGACCCTGCTAGGCTTACATTCAACATGTCGATTAAGTGAGTCATGTAGACAAAGCCCTTAGCCCAGTGCCTGGAATATAGGAAGTTAGCTTCCCCTACCATCAACATGTACTGAACATGGGTTGGTTTCCTAGAAAATAAAGAAAAGATTGAAAGATTGAAAGCAAGTGTTTTCTTACTTCCTATTTATCCCATTTTTAGGAAGGCTAATCTCTGTCCTTATGGGGAGAGTCAGGGAGAACGGGGAGTGCCCCTCAATCACACCCATTAGTTCAGAGGTCCCGTGACCCCTCAGTGCCTCTGAAATGCCGGATTCTGGTATATATGTGCTCCGGCAGAGTCTGATGGGAGCCTCCTGTTGGCCTAAGGGTGGGGGCTCCCAGAAAGGAGCCCTACTGAGGAGGAAAGCATGTAGGGGACCCAGCAAGTGAGTGGCAGCCGCTGCCAGGATCCCCTGCCGGTGCCATCCCCTAGGGTACCTGGCCACAGAGGTGGACTAGCACCCTTCACAGATTGCTAAAATATACCCGTATGGAAATTATCTATTACAAAAGTGATAGTTAATCCTTGCTAAATTAATCCATTTTCCATTTTTAAAACAAAAATATTGCCCCCTTTAAATGGAAAAAAGTCTGATTTCAATAGTCAGGCTAAACTTGGTTACAGTCCAAGCATTATAGTTCAGAAAAAAGTGATATAAAAATGGTACCAACATCCCCAATTTCTATGATTTAGCCAATCAATCAATATCTGAAAGGAAAAATATGTACATTATATATGCTCAACATGGTGTGAAGGGCTGCTGAGTCAGAAAAACAAAATAGAATAAGATCTCTGTCCTCAAGAAAACCCCAATCCATTTGGGAGACAAAGCCAATACCCAATAAAAAATGAAGACAGTCCCATTATATATGGTGATATAATTAAGTACTAAATTGTGTGGGACAGACCACATAGTCTGCAGAAGTTTGGGAAAGTGGAAGTGGCATTTGTATGGAATGAAGAAGTCAAGGAAGGCTTCCTAGAAGAGATGGGAGTTTATTTATGGCTTGAAGGCCAAGCAGTGTGACGTAGGTATGAGTGTGGTTTACTTTGGGAAGATCAGGACTGGGAGTCACTGTGGTTTTTTAAACAGAGGGATGGCACAAAGAGAACAGAATACAGCAAAGACGAGGCTTTTAGAAGAAGGCAAGGTGGACTGGAACAGCCTTAATTAAGGAGACCAGAGAGACCAGAAAAAAAAAAAAAACAGACTCTCAGAACCATGGAAACTCCATGTATTTTTGCCTCTAACCTCTTCCTACTTGAAGCTGCTCATATTAATAAACCTACAAGAATGACTTATACTAATAATGCTTGATTTTTCAAAGCTAATTAGGCATAACACAAGAAAGCCATACTCAGAAAGCGGACACCTTTTCTAGATACAGAATTTCCTTCCTGTGACTCATGGCATGAACCTGTACCTTCAGATCCCATGTGCATTATTAACACAGCCACAAAAACGCATCCCTCCTCTCCTTCCCCTTCAGCAAAGGGCATCCCTCCATGATGGCCCCTCCCATGTGCTTCTTTTAAAGAGCACAGACAATTACTGAATACTGATGAGCAGGTGAAAGAGGATTTTGCCTCTTACTCGCACTTGGCATCTTCATTCTTTCTGATTTGATTGGGTTTATCTAGCCTTTTAGCTGCAAGAGACTAGGCTATATGAATGACATTAACGGCAGCCAAGGAATCTGGAATGTGAATTCAATCCTATTAACTTCAGCTCAGTTGACCAAATATATCTAGCATCTACTATGTATAAAGCACATGCCGGATGCTACGTGGTATACAGATCTAGAGGAGACAGTCCATGCCCTTGAGAGTATTTCAAGAGACCAGACAAAATAACCCAAGTACATACATGGCTACGACACCTGGCAGAAAATGAGGAGTGCAATGGGAGAGAAGCAGAAACATAAAGAGCTCATCTAATGGGAATTAGATGACCAGCATTGTGGAAAAGAGCAGGAGGACAGACCACCCATGATAACCTCGAGAAAGGGTTAAGATTTAGACCTGGAGAGGTACAGAGGGAGTATTGACAGGGATAACAGTAGGAAAAAAGGTGCATAAGAAAAGCACAGGGCCAGCCAGGCACAGTGGCTCATGCCTGTAATCCCAGCACTTTCAGAGGCCAAGGTGGGCGGATCACTTGAGGTCAGGAGTTTGAGACCAGCCTGGCCAACATGGTGAAACCCCATCTGTACTAAAAATACAAAATACAAAAATTAGCTGGGCATGGTGGCACTCGCCTGTAATCCCAGCTACTTGGGAGGCTGAGGCAGGAGAATTGCTTGAATCCTGGAGGCGGGGGTTGAAGTGAGCCGAGATCGCACCACTGCACTCCAGCCTGGGTGACAGAGTGAGACTCCATCTCAAAAAAAAAGAAAAAAAGAAAAGCACAGGGCCTAATCTGCAATAGCAGGTGGTGCATTGACTACAAGAACAGTGCCAACTCATTGGGTGGGTATGACAATTAAATGAGTTAATATATACATAGCACTTATAACAGTGCTCAGCCCCCAGAATGTGTTCTATGAGCATTGGCTACTACCTTTATTATGGTTGTTGCTTTACTACTATTACTAGGGTTATAATCATGGCTTTTACTGCTCCTTCTCTTTTGGGGCAGTGAAGTGATGGTAGAACCCGAGGCTGGAAAGGTGATTGAGGTTCATAGTTTGGAAAGCCCAATATGTCATAGACCATAAAATATTTTTGACAGAGCTTGCATGATCTGGGTTTTACCTGGGGAACATTAATCTGGCAATAGCATAGGACAGTGTGGAGTGGAAATAGATTGAAGGTAGAGACACCAGAAAAGTTATTCTGCTTGTCTGTTGAAAAAGTTTGGGAGAATCAGGACTGGGAGATGCAAGCGGTGTGAAAAGCATTTGCCCCATAGTGGGTGTGTAGTAAGGAGATTGTGAATGAATAAAAGGAAGAGATGGATGCCAGTGACATTGCAAACACAGAAATCACAGGACTTGCAACAAGTTAGATATGGAAAATAAGAGATGAAGGTATTGAAGAGAACTGGACTAGGAGGTGGCTAGAGAATTGTGCCACAGAGTGGTCAGATGGGGTGAAGTGCTAGAGTGAGGAGGAAGGGGAGATAAGGTGATGAAGAGCATGCTAAATCAAGATGATGCAGCAACTCCAAGGGCAACTGTGCAACAGGGAGTTGGGCAGCAGGCCTGAAGCCTGGAGAGGCTAGGGCTGGTGATGTAGAACTGAGAACCCCATAGATGATGGTGGTCACAGCAGTGGCCATGGTGGCAGAAGTAAAGCAGTGGATGAGAGCCCTGGAGACGAGAGTGTGCAAGAGAAGAGAAGGCAGCTCAGGATAGACCTTGCCTGGGGAAGGTCTGCATATGCTGGGCAGAAGGTGGGAAGAGGGTGGGGTGGCAGGCAGTGCACAGAGGCAATGGAGCAAATTTGCTCCTTTGTCTCAAAACAGCATAGAACCCATTCAGAAGAACGGAGCTCTGCCATCCTGTGACCACTCTGCCCACCCCCTTCCCCAAGCATCCACCCCTACATTCTCCTCTACCTCCATCTTTAATTGCCAGTACCTCACAGAGCATGTAAGATCTTTCAGGTGGGAAGATAAAAAGGAGAAATACGTAGTGCTTTTAAAAAATCGAACCAATTAATAACCACATACTGTAGCTGTCTGGTCTTCTGGATTAAAGGCAGCTTCCTTCATCAGCCCTAGATATTTAGCTCTTGCAATAAACATCAGCCCCTGAGTGGCTACAGTACTGCTGAAAGAATCTGGAAATTTACATCCAAAAACCTGATTGATTGAAATCTGGTTTCTACTATTTGCTGGCTGTGTGGTCTGAGACAAGTCACTGAACCTCTCATTTCTTTCATCTCTAAAATGGAGACAATGACACCCATACGTCATAGAGTTATTTTAAGGATTACATAGAGCAATATGTTGCATGCACTTTGCATAGTGCCTGACCATAGTAAGTAGTAGCATTTGTCCATTATTAATATCAAAGGAGACCCTGACAATAAATATGCTTTGCTCCTTTTTCCCCTGCTTTGGGAAGAACACTGCATTTTCTTACCCCCAAAACATTCAATGTCTTTGCCTCCATCAGGTGATGGGGATTGGTGGAGGCATAAAGTAGGAATCATTGATCCTAAAGCTCTCTCTCCACCAAAACCTGGTTGCACGTGTTGTACAGCCTGGGGAAACAACAGCAAGAGCAGCCTCAGGCCTCATCTCTCAATTAACAAGCCTCACTCACAGCTGAGCATGGCGCTCCTCTCATGAGCACGCAGCTCGTCAGGTTTGGGGAGGCCATCTCTGTAGGGTGAGCCCTGTCCGGGCAGCAGGACTCTGGCTGTCAATGTGAAGCCAGCTCCTGCAGCAGGCATTTCTCAAGGATAGAATTTGGATGGGTTCTGAATCTCCCCTTAATTGGAGTATAATTGTTTGATCCTTACCCAAGACAACTATTCATGGAAGATGCTGCAAACATGGTATTTGGCCTTGTACCTTCTGGAGGCTACAAGAATCCTGCTAACACAGGCGATAATTCCAGCTAGACACATTTCCAATCCCACAGAAAAGCTACACGGTCACATGATTGAAGAGGAGGAAGCGTAGCAATGGGCAAAGACAGGCTAACATCCCCACAACGATGCACACATCCAAAGAACGCCTGGCAGGAAGGAATGGCACTGAATAAAGATGTGATACCTCGAGAAAGAACCTAGTTGCAAATTGGTTAGCCATTTAAATGACCAAATTACCCAAGACATAATTAGGACAACATTTCTCCCCCTGGAACTCCTATATGTGAATTAATGAACCCTTCTCAGTAAGCCAAACCAGCAGCAATAGCATTTTCTTTGCCTCAAATCTTTTAAATCATTAATCCCTTTTCCAAGCTGGCATTTGAGTTTGCGTCTTCTGTGCCCGGAGGTCAAGTCTCTATCAGGCTGCCTTTTGCTCTCCGGCATGCAGTAATGCTGGGCATCTGTCAGGACAGAGAAATCTTTTCTAATTCTGTGTACACAGTGTTCCCAGGGAGGTAGTTAACACTCATGGAAAGAGCACTGGAGTGGGACAGTAGTAGATAAGTTTTGTTGGCACCTTGCAGCCTGCCAAGACTTTTTTTTCTACTGTGGTAAAATATACATAACAGCAAATTTGCCATCTCAACCATGTTTTTAGGTGTACAGTTCAGTAGCATTGAGTACATTCACTTTGTTGTGAAACCATCACTACCATCCATCTCCAGAACTTTTCATCTTCCCAAACTGAAACTCTGTACCCATTAAACAATAACTGCCCATTCCCTCTTTCCCCCAGCCAATGGCAACTACCATTCTACTTTCTGTTTTTATGAATTTGACTACTTATATAAGTGACTACTCAAAGTCAATTTGACTACTCATATAACTATGCATACTCATATAAGTGGACTACTCACATAATTGGAATCATACAATATTTGTCCTTTTGTGACTAATTTATGTCACTTAGCATCATGTCCTCAAGGTTCATCCATGTTGGAGCATGCATCATAATTTCCTTCCTTTTTAAGACTGAATAATGGACCATTGTATGGATACACCACATTGTTTTATCCGTTCATCTGAATCTTTGCATTTTAAAATTAAAGACTAGTAGTTATAAAACCTTGTTTTCGTTATGATAACATAGACATAGCACCTCACCATTTTCAGTGTACAGTTCAGTGGCATTTAGTACATTTGCCATCACCATCAGCCATCTCCAGAAGTTTTTGTCTCCCCAAACTGAAACTCCACATCCATTAAACATTAACTCCCCACTCCTCCTTCCCCCAACCCCTGGCAACCACACCTGCCCAGACTTTTTACTGTACCCAGCCTCAACTTCTTCGTCTGAACAATGGATGCTGTCATCACAGCCTCGAACCCAGGAGTTGTTTGGGTGCTCACTGCGTCATTTCCATTCAGCTCAGGACTCTCTTCTCTGTGGGATGAGGGCCCCCCGGGGCTCCCTTGAGTTCTTTCTGCACTGGTGCTCACAAGCAGTCTGTTGGTGGCTGCTGGATTTGGAGGACATCTGGGAACACGCACAGGTCCCACACACCACAGGAAAAGAGGCCAACACTTCCCACATGGCAAGGAGTGGAGTTGTTCCTGACCTTCACACACACCTACGAAACACTGCTCTTGGAATAATTAAACACACTTAGCTCGAGATTGGAAAACCAGGCACAACAGGAACGATCTAAATTTAAGTCCCCATTTGGCTTTCTTTCCATCACAATCTTTCTGCACCTGAACAAAAAGAGAACATGTTGCTGGTTTTGATTACTCATTATCTCCTACAAGAGAAAAAAAAAATTTACAAATATCACCCACCCAGCAGTAGAACATAAACACGTAAAACTACCTCTCCTTAAAGAGAAGAAAAATAAGTCCCTATTCAAATTAAGAATCTCACTTTTGGTAAAAGAACCAGTTTCAACTTTATATATTGTGCATGTTTATTAAAGTATAACAAAGAAGAGAAATTTCACGTAATTAGCCACCAGAGGATACCCACACAACCCCATAAACGTAACAGAAGCATATTGACAGTGGCATAAAAGGAAATGCTAATTAAATCCCAATTTCCTCCAAATACTGCCAGGTCTTTCAGGTATAAGCTCACTTCCTGGGTGGTGGAGCATTCTTTCTAACGTACCCACATTTCAGAGTAAGGTGCTGCGGTACTCAGAAGGATCTGGAACAAAGCCTTTTGAGCAGAGTTAAGTGTTCCTCTGCAGTTGGGAAGTACCTTGCACCACCCAGGAAAGTGGACTGGAAGCCAAAGAGAGATGTGGGGGAAGGGGACTTATTCAGGAGAGGCAGACAGGGCCAGCTGGGGAATTTTCTAGAAACACAGAAATGCAATACAAAACTAAGAATTGTGAGTTGGAAAGAAAATAAAATTAAGAAGGGTAAACAGAGATGAACATAGAAAGAGAAAAGAGGAAAGAGGGAAGGATGGGAATGGGGTCTGGCAACGGGAAGAAGTAGTGGGGTGGTGGCATTGGGAGAAAAGCTGGAAGGGACAGGACACTGGGATTCTGTGCTATCCTGTGTAGGTCAACAACCTTGATAAATGTTGGAAATAAAAGCTTTCCCCCACTCTCCAGGTTGTTACTTAGCTACACTTTGAAATCAGCCACAAATGATGAGAGATGGGAGGATCCGAGAAACTAAGAGGTGGAAGGAGAAGAAGCAGAAGAAGGGATCCAAGCTCGCGGAGAGGAGAAACAAAGGTTCTCACTCTCCTCCATTGTTTCATCAGAGAGAGGGGTGGATTGGGACAGGAAGGCACCTGAACTCTTTTTCTAGTGGACCAGGTGTGTGGCCCATCCTCCCTCACTTTCTCATTCATCTCTCCCACACTGAGAGCTCATCAAATAGCCTTTCTTCCTGAGGACTACCATTGCTTGATCACAGATACATGAGTCCCATGAGGACATGTCCTACAAGCAGCTGAACAGAAGCTAATGGGGCCAGTTGCCATCCCACTGGATTCAATGCCTGCCAGTGGGGCAGGCAACGGTGGCAACAGACACCGAGGTCATGGGATTGACCAACAAGACAAAGTACATCCTAGAGGGAGCAGCCACCACGTGGCTCCTCCTGATGGCTCCACGAACAAATGTGGATTGTAATTTTTGTGTGAAATATGTTCAATGTTGACATTGAATTAAAATACAAACAAGCGGGGCCAGGTATGGTGGCTCACACCTATAATCCCATCACTTTGAGAGGCTAAGGTGAGAGGATCACTTGAGGCCAGAAGTTCAAGACCAACCTGGACAACATAGCAAGACCCCATCTTTACAAGAAATTAAAAATTAGCCAGACATGATGACACATGTCTGCAGTCCCAGCTACTCGGGAAGCTAAGGTGGGACGATCACTTGAGCCAGGGGTTCAAGGCTCCACTGAGCTGAGATCACACCACTGCACTATAACCTGGGTGACAGAGCAAGACCCCATTTCCAAAATAAAACAAATAAAAGAAGTCACTCTGTGGACCTCACAGAACTGATTTCCAGAATTCCAGATTTTCTGGCCTATAAGTATGTGGCTAGGAAGAAGGGACAGAAGAGAGGACACCTTCATTTCCTCTCCTCTACCCCCAGTAGAAATTCTGCAGAGAACCAAAGGGAAAGATCTCATGGGGTTTTCCTATCCCGCTTAGAGAAGGGTGTTAGGGAACCTCCAGGATAAAGAACCTAGGAAGCTAAGTAGGAAGGAGGCAGGCCTGGCCAAGGGAGGCCTGCAGAAGGGAGGCCCTGAGGGAAGGCTATGGATCTGGAAGGTGGTGCTTCCGCTCTGCCTGAGGAGGGGTTTTGGGTGCAAAGAGTGACATTCTGGGAACCTGCTCGTGGATTGGAAAATACAAAAGACTACCGTCATTAATGTAAGCAAAACCCCATCTCTAATAAAAATACAAAAATTAGCTGAGTGTGGTGGCGCATGCCTATAATCCCAGCTACTTGGGAGGCTGAGGCAGGAGAATCACTTGCACCTAGGATGCGGAGTTTGCAGTGAGCCAAGATTACACCACTGCACTCCAGCCTGGGTGACAGAGTGAGACTCCATCTCAAAAAAGAGAAAAAAGAAACTGGCTTGGTTTCTAAGAAGAAAGAGGCAGAGGATAAATCCCCTTCTCTGAAACACCATTCTAGCCCCACCACCACCACCACTACGAGGCAGCTCTCCTTTTCCCCAAAATAGATCTTTTCCAGTGACATCTCTCTCTCACCCACCCCTCCCAGAAACAGCCTTCTACTCCCATCTCCTGCAGACAAAATCCCACATGTTCCTACCAAACTCAGGTGTGCATGCAAGCAAAATAGGGCTGGGAGAAGGCTGGAGTAGGGGTCAAAGTCCTGGCTTGTAAATGAGGTGATCTCTCCATATCTTTCTCAACTTCAATCTCTAACTGACCTTCTTTACCAAAAAACAAAACAAAGTTTTTGAAATTGGTATGTGGATTGCATATCTGCAAATGTGTCCAAGTGCATATAAGGAATTGGTCCTCTTTTCACCATATTTACTTGTTTACCAGATTCCTTCCCTCTAAGAGGTACTAGAAAAGCTAGTTTTTCAATCACCCTGGACATCCTTGAGATAGTACTGACCAGTCCAGGCCAATCTCTACTCTGATCCCATACATTCCAGATTAGTGAGATGAGAACTATTGGAGGCTCATGAATGTAAAATCAAGAAGCTTAAAAATAAACTTCTGAAGAATTCTACCCAATGTTGGTCTGCACAAGTTGTGACCCCAGATCTCTCTCCACTGCCAGCTACTCTATTGGAGTTCACATTGAAGATAATCGGGCCCAGCTTTGGTTTTAAAGGGAGAGGGCAAGAGGGAATAGGACAGGAGTATGTTTTAGCAACAAAAGCCAAAATTGACAAATGGGATCTAATTAAACTAAAGAGCTTCTGCACAGCAAAAGAAACTACCATCAGAGTGAACAGGCAACCTACAGAATGGGAGAAAATTTTTGCAATCTACCCATCTGACAAAGGACTAATATCCACAATCTACAAAGAACTGAAACAAATTTACAAGAAAAAATCAAACAACCCCATCAAAAAGTGGGCAAAGAATATGAACAGACACTTCTCAAAAGAAGACATTTATGCAACCAACAGACACATGAAAAAATGCTCATCATCACTGGCCATCAGAGAAATGCAAATCAAAACCACAATGAGATACCATCTCACACCAGTTAAAATGGTGATCATTAAAAAGTCAAGAAACAACAGGTGCTGGAGAGGATGTAGAGAAATAGAAACACTTTTACACTGTTGGTGGGACTGTAAACTAGTTCAACCATTGTGGAAGACAGTGTGGCGATTCCTCAAGGACCTAGAACTAGAAATACCATTTGACCCAGCCATCCTATTACTGGGTATACACCCAAAGGATTATAAATCATGCTGCTATAAAGACACATGCACACGTACGTTTATTGCAGCACTATTCACAATAGCAAAGACTTGGAACCAACCCAAATGTCCATCAGTGATAGACTGGATTAAGAAAATGTGGCACATACACACCATGGAATACTATGCAGCCATAAAAAAGGATGAGTTCATGTCCTTTGTAGGGACATGGATGAAGCTGGAAACCATCATTCTCAGCAAACTATCGCAAGGACAGAAAAACAAACACCACATGTTCTCACTCATAGGTGGGAATTGAACAATGAGAACACTTGGACACAGAGTGGGGAACATCACACACTGGGGCCTGTTGTGGGGTGGGGGAAGGGGAGAGGGATAGCATTAGGAGATATACCTAATGTAAATGACGAGTTAATGGGTGCAGCACACCAACATTGCACATGTATACATATGTAACAGACCTGCACGTTGTGCACACGTACCCTAGAACTTAAAGTATAATAAAAATAATAATAATAATAAAAGAAGCACCAGAAAGAGATTCCCTGTCCTATTGACATTGCTCCCACAACACTGCTTGGGCTCCTGAAAGTCCACTGTTACCCATTCATTCCTTTGTTTAACTTCTACTTTAAAGAAAGAGTCTAGAGTTAGACAATCTTGCCTCTACTATTAGCAATTATATCCTTAACCTCTCAGGTCACAGGCACTGCCCCTTAGAGTTGTTTTAAGGAAAACATACATCAGTACATACAACGCAAAGTCTTGGTCACGTTACTGCTGTTATAATAATAACAATGGTGGTTATTTCTTTTAACTCAGTAAATCTCAACTTCCCTAGGGATGTACCATGATGTACAAGTAAATGGTGAGAAAACAAATAGAACTAAGAACCACCATTGTAGGCTTTCTCCCTCCAGAACAAGCTCGAAGCACACAAGTTGCCACTGTAATATGAATATGTTGACTAATTAAGTGACTTTCTTCCATGGCTGCAGAGACCCTGTAGCCTGCAAAGGCTGTGTGGGTGAGATGAGAAAGATCTTAAAAGAAGAGAATAAAAGAGGAGATGGGAGACGGTGCAGAGAAAACACGCCTAAACAGACTTAAAATTCTGCCAGATTGCACTAGAGTGATGCAAGATGTCACCACTGGGGGAAACTGAGTGAAGGGTATATGGGATCTCTCTGTGCCTTTTCTTACAACCGCGTGTGAATCTAAAATTATCTCAAAATAAGAAGTTTTTAAAAGAAGTCTGCCAGAACCCTAGGTCTCTAAGACTCGATTAAAATAAATCTGTGTTCCCTCAGAGAGCTGGCTGTCTTAGCATATTCCCTCTAGACCAGGGCTTTCTGCAAGCAGGCACTGTTGTCTATTCATCTCTGCATCCTCAGCCTAGCATGGTGCCTAGCCTGCCATAGACTCATAAGAAATGTTAAATCTCCACACAAACCCTCTTTCCCAAACCCTTGCCCCTGAAGACCAGTGGAAAGTACTGCTTCCTGGCCGGGTGCAGTGGCTCACACCTGTAATCCCAGCACTTTGGGAGGCTGAGGCAGGTGGATCACTTGAGGTTGGGAGTTTGAGACCAGCCTGGCCAACATGGTGAAACCCCGTCTCTGCTAAAAATACAAAAATTAGACGAGCGTGATGGTACGCAACTATAATCCCAGCTACTCGGGAGCCTGAGGCAGGAGAATTGCTTGGACCTGGGAGGTGGAGGCTGCAGTGAGCTGAGATTGCACTATTGCACTCCAGCCTGGGCAACAGAGTGAGACCCTGTCAAAAAAAAAAAAAGTACTGCTTCCCCTTTGGCTGCAGTGCAAACATTTAGGGTTTTGTTGCATTTAATTTTTTTCTGCATCTTTGGAAACCTCGACTAGAAGAGACATGTGTGCGCTGCTGTCAGTTACAGACACCAAGCCTGGAAAGGTTAACACAGATGCAAACCAGACACCATTAGCATTGGGAGGTTAATGGGAACAGGGCTGTGGCTGGGCCGTCTTCAGATTTCTGGAAATGTGGGGACAAAGGTTCACCTCTCTTCTGTGCTTGTATTCCCTCTCTGCTCTTTCACCTGCCTCCAGGTTGGCAGCCAAAATACCTGCTCTAATTTCATTCCCTGCTCTTGGCCCCCGTGTGCTTTGTGAATTGCCTCTCTTGATACAAGATAAAGTGAATGAGCAGAGGAATTGGCCCCCTGCAGAAACCAAAGGCAAGGCCAAGCCTGTTTGCTAAGAAAACACTCCCCACTTACCAACCACAGCTCAACAGGTAGCTGCTGCTTCTGCCTCTTCATAGAGCCTCATAAAAATAATCCTTGAGCATCTGGGACCCACCAGACCCTGAGCTAAATGCACTCATGAATAAGGATACCTCATAAGGAATCCTCTTGGGAGTATATCACAGCAGGCCAAGAGACAGTTAATGCCTGGAAAAGACAAGAAAAAAAAATAGTGGATTACACCTGCTGGGTCACCAGCTCTGGGCTGGATGTGCAGTAGCCTCCTCTCACAGGCCTGCTGTAGAGGTCCTCTTTCCTCACCTCTCTGCACAGCTTCCCAAGCCAAATACCTAAATTCAATTCACTTAACCATGGTGGAGGGCACAAGATCTCCTCCAACCCCCATCTCCCTCATAGCCAGTGTTCAGGTTTCTGGAATCTGGATACCTTCTTCACCTGTGTCCAGGACCTCCCACAGAATAGCAGAGCAAGCGTGCAGGTGCAGACATCTGTCATATTTCAAGTAGGCTCCCAGGTGGGCAGCTCTGGCCATGGGAGACCCCACAAAAGGGAAGAACACTTCTCATCGTATCATCCCAAACCCATATTGAGGGCAGCAAGCCCCAAGCAGCTTCTCTATCTAGTGGTATTAAAACAGCAAAATTACCTATGCAAGCAGAGTTCTGACAAATCATATCAGATTGAAAAGGGCCCATGTTTGCCTGATGTCTCTTCACAGGTGAGGGCTGTGCACATGGCGAGGGTGCATTCCACCAGGATGTAGCACAGCTGAAAGGCGGAAAAGGCAGGGGCTTCTACAAGAGATTCTCTATTATATTCTATATGAGAGAAATGAGGGTAAAGTGAATAATGTTCAGGATGTACTTTCTCTCTATTCTCTTCTCTATATTCTCTCAAGGAGTCTGGTCTTCAGTGGGAGAGAGGTATGAAATCCCTGCCCCCTGAAACCAACTTTGTTTTTGCTGACTCAGACTGGGATCTTAGAGGACTGGGTCTCTAAAGGACAATCCCCTGACTCAGCTTGTTTTCCCCATGTATAAAGTCTTTAATTGGGAGTTTTAGTATAGTTAACATTTTTTGAAAGCTGTAACGGCTGAGAAAGGATGCTCACCCTGAGCCTAACTTTGTCTCTTTCAACTGCCTATTTCTTTCTGTTAAGCATCTTTATGTACATAGTCCAGCCAGACCTGCTTGCACCAGAGGCTGTCAGAGAGAAAGCTGGTGTCCTGCTGCTTCTTGCTTTGGGTCTGAGATCCTAAGTCTCAAAATAAAAGGCCTGGCTGTCTCAGAAGGGCTGCGTTCTCTTTTCTGTATTCAAATAGCTGAGATCAGCAGGGGTGGAGAGGAACTAAGGGGCCCTGAAACTACATCTTTATTTCTGTAATCATTGCAACTAATACTTGTAGACCACATTTGCAGTTTCCAGACTCCTCCTGTCCACATCATTTTATTTTATCTTACAGCACTTTGGGAGTGAGCAAGAACCATTACCCACAGTTTAGAGAGAGTAGCAAACTGGCCCAACATCCCTTACCACCAAGTGGCAAACTTGGGACTCAAACCCTTGTCTCCCCATTCAAATTCTCTGCTCTTCCCACCATGATGTGACCTATTTCTCCTGACAGAATTGCAGGGGGTAGAAATGTCAAACAGCAGAACCTTTGCTACCTTTCAAATTAAAAGCTTAAGAAGGAAATAACAACATAACAACTTCATATTCTTTTGGGTTTCCTACGTTTTTGATGGGACAATGAGATGCCTTCTATTATTATAGGTTTATAAAGACTTCCTACTCACTCTCTACATGCCAGGCATGGTGCTGGTTACAGGTTCGTAAACCTGACAAGCATTACACATAAAGCCTTTCTGCTATAGACAAAACTTTCTCCTCTGCCCTCCCAATAACAAATTAGAGAGAAGCAAAGAGAACCTCTGTTGTTCATCATGCAGAACAACATCAAGCAGTTCCTGGTGAATGTCCAACAGAAGACTGAATTGAGTGAAGCTGACATTCTTGATTCTTAGCTCTCCCATGGTCTCAACTTCCTTTTCTTTTTTCCATTTCCTCTGCCTGCATCCCACTCTTAGCCACCATTCCACTTCCCCCTCATCATTAGGGGCCTGCAGATACAGCTGTCATGCATAAGCTCCTTAGTACTTCCAATTCCAAAAGTCACTTTTTACCCAGAAAAAGCAAGCAAACAAAAAGGCACAAGTCAGGGGTCTTAACAGCCAAGTATATCATTCTAAATGAAAGGAATGCCAAAGACCATACTCCTAGTGAATTGCAGGCCTTCCAGGGAGAGAGGAAGAGCTGGAAACAGGTGACTACCTGGAAGATGCTCAGGTCTGGCCATGTCTGGGAAAAGCAGAGGAGCCCCCAGGTGGGTCCTTTTCTAGGGGTCCCCAGTATGATAGACTAAAGTCAGGTCTTGTATCTTTGAGGCCATTTCAAGTGTGTTTCATCTCCAAACCCCAGATGAGTCCTCCTGTCCAGATAAGAGTGATTTGGTTTCTCCCTAGTCTTGCCTCCAAAAATAGAACAATCTCTGGGATTGCGGTGGACCTATAGGTCTCTGTAACATTTTTATTTCACAGGACCCTTTTGCCATGACCCTGGCAATCTCACTATTGCAGGCTCAACACTTCCACAGAGCAGTAGTCAGAGAATTCAATAAAAAGAAGATCTGGCCGGGTGCGGTGGCTCACACTTGTAAGCCCACCACTTTGGGAGGCTGATGCGGGCAGATCATCTGAAGTCAGGAGTTTGAGACCAGCCTGGCCATCGTGGTGAAACACCATCTCTACTAAAAATACAAAAATTAGCCGGGCATGGTGGTGCACACCTGTAATCCCAGCTACTCAGGAGGCTGAGGCAGGAGAATCACTTGAACCCGGGAGGCGGAGGTTGCAGTGAGCCGAGGTCGCACCAGTGTGCTCCAGCCTGGGTGACAGAGCGAGACTCCATCTCAAAAAAAAAAAAAAAAAAAAAGATCTAAAAGCAAACTTCAGGGGGCAGAGGGGTATTCAAAGGTGAAATATGGGGAAGAAGCTGGAAGGATATTGGTTCATTAGTGATGCGAGAACATGGGCTCCCGGCCAATGACTTTCAGGACATGTGTGGGCTGCCCTCTTGTTTTCTTGCCCAGGGAGATGAGCTTGCAAGGGCAAGCTCATTCCTCTGTCCCAAAGATGAAAGGTGCTTGAGGAATGATTCTTTACGTCTGGTTTGTTAGACAAGATAAAGGACTCCTAGACAAGATGGCAAGGTGACAGTGAGAAGATATTTCTGAGAAATTAGAATAAACCAAAGAGGGGAAAATGTCAAAGAATATGACACAGTAGGTTGAGAAGGAGGGGAGAAATTCAACAAGTTTGCAGCTGTGCTCCATATGCATAAATATTCTGAATCTTCCAAATAAGAGCAGTGTTCCATGCTTCACAGAACATTTAAGTAAATTCTTGGTAAATTTTCACACAGGTGGAAGGAAACATTAGCGACCTGCAGTCATGGGGCAGGAGGTAGGTACATCTTGGTGCTTGGAGCTCCCTCCCATGAGGCACAGGATGGCTATTTGTAACCTGACAAAGCAGAATGCTGTCTTTCCATAATGTGTATCCAAGATGAAATAACAAAGAGCCAATAAGGAAAGGGAAAAGAGCAGGCAGGGCTTTGATATTTGAAAAAAAAAAAAAAAAATGATCTCTATGACATACACAAAACCAAGGGCAGACCCCCAGGGACCACATTTAGGTGAAGAGAAAAGGAGATGCCCAGCAAGTTGCCAAAATTCTGGTTGCCTCATGATGGTCTCAACAAGACTGTGACTTTTTTTTTCATTGTAAGAAGATGAAAATTTCTGCACTCCAAAAGAGGAAGCTGGACCAAAAGGCGTTTGTTGTCTCTACATTTCCCACAAAACTGAAAGTACAATTCTTCAATAAACCCTACAATCGGCACAGGGTTCTTGCTACTGTCTTGGTGGATGGGGAAGGAGTAAGGTGTTCTCACCTCTTTTACCACCTCCCCCTGGGGCAGGAATTGTGAGCCTTGATGTCAATTTTCTTACCTCTTTCCAGACTGAGTGGCACATTTCACTCAACAAAGAAAGGAAGTCAGTGTGATTACTCAACAAAGAGTTTTAAAAGGAAACCTGTAGACATTATGTGTTCTCACTCCTCGCGCTACTGCCCAGCTTTCCTTCCAGGAACGGGGGCACACATCATGGTCTAACCTACTTAAGAATAACAGACGATAGGCACCGTCTGTTAATTTCAGCTGCTTCTTATAAGAAATAAGAGTCTGATACACGGTGATGTCAGGCCTCGAGATCATAAAAAGATTTCCCACAGGGTCTCCTAAAATAGGAGAGACAACCGGAAGTCATTTTGGTTGAGGTAATCGAGTACAGAACACTCCTCCAGCTGCAGGGGATAAATAACACTTTCCCAATATAGATGGCAAAGCATTCTCCGAATCCAGCAACAGCAGCACTATCGAGAATCCTGCTATCTCCTGGAGGCCTCACTCTATTACATGTAGAACATCAAATAGATTCCTGCCTTGTCCTGCTGACAATTTTACCTCCCAAATGGTAGAGAAAGCAATTAGGGAAACTGCTCTTCTTGACACAATTCTGACATCAAGGAAGAGCCAGCCAGCGATGGGTAGGTGGCAGGAATCTCTTGAGTGAGTAACCACTTTATTTCGGAATAAAGTGTAATCACTTGGGAAGGGACACAGCTTGAAGGTGGACGTGGTCACTATTCCCAGCCATCATCTCTGAGCAGAAACCAGCTATGCCTCCTGCCTTCCAAGAGCTTGCAGTCTACCCAGAAGATAAGTCATATCTGCAGGCATTTCATCTGTGACAAAGGAGAGGCCGAAAGGGGCAGGTGTTATAGAGTTCAAGGAAGGAAGACTATCTTGTGGGTGGGGTGATGTGATAGAAAAGTTATTCTACAGAAATCTGACTTGAGCTGACTATGGAAGGTGATGTATTATTTAAAGCACGCGCGTGTGTGTGCATGTGTTTACATGTGCATGCACGTGTGTGTGCGTGTGTGCATGCACGTGTATGTGTGTGTGCACATGTGTATGTGTGTGAAGGAGGAATGTACATTTCACACCTGGGCAGTGGTTGGAGAATTAGGATGTAAATGTTCGCAGGGAGGCCACTGAGTTTGGCCCAGTGGAGAGTTCCTATAAGGACACACTAAGCCATGAGATTGAAGACAGAAGGTAGTAAATGTCTTTTAAGTGTTAGTAAGCCACACCTCCTTCTCTGTCCTCAGAATCAGTTCCTGCAACCATATTTGTTCTAAGTGACCATTCACACTTCACCCCAGCACAGCTGTTTGAATTGGGGTGAACACATGACAAAAACTGAACCAAACAGATGCTTTCTCCCAAGAGTTTAGGATTTGGATTATCTGCTGGTCTGCTGCTCTATGGGTGCAGAAACTCAGGAGCTACAAGGAGACCATCTGCTCCTAAGAACCAAAAGAAGTGAAAGACAGTCTGCAGAATGAGTAGAATGAAGCAGACAAATGCAGACAGGCAGAGATGAGCTATCAGGACAGAAGGGACCATACTAGCCCCTGCCTTGTTCCATTTCTTCTTCTTTCTTCTTTTTTTGTTGCGGGGAGGAGAGACAAGGTCTCACTATGTTGCCCAGGCTGGTCTCTGGCCTCTAATTCTTGGCCTTAAATGATCCTCCCGCTTCAGCCTCCCAAAGCACTGGGATTATAGGCATGAGCTACCATGCCTGGCCAACTTTGTTCCATTTCCATCCTGATCTGAGTTCTCTGGGGTCAGGCTGCTCTCCTTGTGTGGGAGCCCCATGAAAGCCCTGCACCTTGATGCATTCTCCTTTTCTTTCTTTTTCTTTTTTCTTTTTTTTTTTTTTTTTGAGACAGGGTCTCTCTCTGTCACCCATGCTGGAGTGCAGTGGTTCAATCTTGGTTCACTGCAACCTCCACCTCCTGGGTTCAAGTGATTCTCCTGCCTCAGCCTCCCGAATAGTTGGGATTACAGGCACATGCCATCATGCCCAGCTAATTTTTTATTTTTAGTAGAGACAGGGTTTTGCCATGTTTGCCAGGCTGGCCTCAAACTCCTGACCTCATGTGATCTGCCTGCCTCGGTCTCCCAAAATGCTGGGATTATAGGCATGAACCACCACACCCAGCCGCATTCTCCTTTTCAAGTCAAGCTGGATTGCATGGGTTCTGAGACTGCACCCAAAGGTCATGATAATATATGCCAGGCACCGAACTGAGCACTTTACAGAGTTATTGCAATAAACCTGTAGGTACATATTGTGGACTGTAAGTAACCTGCATAAGGCTATTTAGCTTCTAGGATGACAGCAGAGCCAGAGCTGGAGCCCAGACAGTGATTTGGAGCTGGTGCTCTCGACCCTATTACTATTTTCCCCCATGTCTTGGCAAAGGCATGTGTTCCGCGACCAGAGCTTATGGCAAATGATGCTGGACTTCATCCTTTATATCATAAAAGTAGTTGAAGATTTTTAAGCAGGGAATGATACATGCAAGCAGGGAATAGTCCATAGGCAGGAAGATCCTGGGGGTCAGACCAGCAGGAGAAAATTTTTTCCAGGGTTATCTTTGAATGCATTGAGCCTAATTGGGAAAGAAATGAAAACAAAACTGGGAGGAAAGCCAAGGCTGTTAGCCCAGAGGGATGAGAACCTGTCAGTCTGATAGGGCAGGTGAGGACAGAGAGGTTGAATGAACTGCTAGGTCAGCAGCAAGGTAAGAAAAAGCACTGGAGCAGAACGCAAGGTAAGGAACAAGCCAAGAAATGCAGTCAACCAGCACACAGTGAGGAACGTCACTCTTTACTGTAGAGCCTGGTATTCGCTGCCTGTGTGGGAACGGCTCTTCGGACAACCGCACTGGAGCTCATAGTTTCAAAGCATCAGGAGACCAGCAGTCCGTCTGCAAAGGACCAAGGAAAGAGTGGGTGGGAGCAAATGATAGGGCAGCGGGACTGTCAAGGAATGTGGGTGCAAATGCAAAAGGAAGATGTAAGAGAGATGCCAGAGGGGATAACACAATCAAAGAGGGTTTTTCTTTCTATCATTTTTTCTTTTCTTATTTTAAATCTTTTTTTTTTTTCATTTTTTTCCGGACAGGGATGCTCTGCTTATCTTTGTAGGTAGAAGCTAAGGAGCCAGCAGGAAAAACTGAAGCTGCAACAGATGAGGAATAAAGGATGGAGCGAGGCACTGGGTAGGCACCTGGACTTGAGAAAAAAATGAATGGAAAACATTATTGGGGAGAAAAATAGGTAGAATCCCATGGCTAGGCAGGCCAACAGGGTAAGCCCTTCAAGCAAGAAAGATCATGAAAGGTCAAGTTTCAGCGCGACAATCACAAACAATCCCAGAGGGGGAAAAAAAAAAAGAGTAGAGGCATCTAAAGAGGGCCACACAGTCACCAGCTGTCTGCCAGAGTTGGAGCATTGAAGTGACAGGGACAAATGTGGGGAGGAGGGGTCCCCAACCGCACGGGCACACAGCTCTGCCACAGGGGTCAGGGCATCTGTCAGCAGGGCTGCAGGCTCAAAAAGTGCTAGAACATTTTTAAAAGAATTTTTGAGCTACGTATTGGGGGGGAAAAAAACAAGCAAGAAATGATGAATCCACTGCTCAGAGAAGATAATTTAATGCTCACAGATGGCAATAAGAAGGCAAAACTCTTAGTTTGTTTGCCTTTCCTTAGGAAAATGATCTTGAGAGGAAGCAAGGTAGAATAAACACCATAAAGAAATAAGTGAAGCACAAGAGAGTGAAAGGATAATAGGAGAACAGTTGGCTTCTTTAAATGAGTTCAACTATTCAGGCCCCGATAAAGCACTGCCCAGCACTGAAGGTGGGGCTCACAGGTCCATGTCTGGGGACATTTTCAAAGAGATGCCAGAGACCTGAAAAGGCTCAGATTTTGTCTAGATCTGGTGGGAGGAGAGGGGGAAGGCACATCCTCAAAAGCCCAAGCTAAAGCCCACAATGGAATTAATTATGAAACTGGTGGCTCCTGAGTATATGGAAGAGATGTTGATTACTGAAAGCCACTGGGGTTCATAAATTGTGCTACATAACCTCATTTCTATATTTTAAGAGGGACAACTACGCTGCTAGTTTTTATGACCTATATCATTCCAAAAAGGGTTGAGGGTTGATTAAAGGGACACCAAAAATCCACCAAGTCACTACAAATTATGAATATATGAGAAAGAAAAACAAAGGATATGAGAGACATAAAAATTGAGCCATAAATAAGACCAATAATAAAATGTGCAGTATAGAGTCCTATCCACTTGTTAAAATAAGTTCTATTCACTTGCTGAAGATGAACCACTAATTTGGCTCTAAATGTTCTTAGAGCCAAATTATCAGGCAACAACAAAAGGGAATTGTGATCAATTATTCATTTCACACCATCTATGAAATTTATAAAAGCAGGTAAGAAGAAAACAGGATATAAGGGGAGGTGGATGGAAGGAGGGCGAAAAAACAGAAAGGTAGAAAGGAATAAAGAAAAGAAGTGCAATTATTACTGAGACTAGACCCAAAAGAGACTTCTCCCAAGGATCCTCAGAAAAAGGAAAGGATATAATTGTAGTAAACAAGCGAGTCAAGGACTTTCTTACAGTTACATTTAATATATAACCTCCAAGAACTCCCCTAACTTTCTAGTCTAGATTATTTGTAATTCAAATTTGAATAAATGTCATTAAAAGTCCCAGAACTGTAAAAGTATCCTCAGTCTCTAACGTTGGCCTGATTATTTTAAGCAATGTTCTGTACAGATTAATTATAGACAAGCCAAATACCAACACAACAAACTCTGGAGGACTCTCCACATTCTTCTTTCTAGTGCTGGCTCAGGGTCACACATCCTCTATGCAGTCTGTCCAGGGCACTGCTTTGGGAAGACTTAGGGTCCTCTTGTCTGTGGAGACCAGTGGTAAGTGTGATTCTCCCCGAGGTTGGACAGGCTCGCATGGACAGCAAATGACCCAAGCTTGGAAGGGTCTTGAGAAGCCAGCATCTCTGTCTTCAAACAATATGATAGCCAGGCCATGTCTACCACGTGAATGATTATCTTCAGCTGGCTCTTTAAGTTACCATACCATCTCTAAAGAAAGAGGTTTCACATGGGTTGTAATGGTTGGGATAAGGGCAAAATATACACTAGAAAAACACTAGACTAGGAAGAAAACTGAGGTCCTGGCTCTATACCTAAAACAATGTGAATTTATCTAAGCCATTTCACCTATTTGGGTAATTCTCTGTAAAATAAAAAGTTATATATTTAGATGACTGTTGACCCTCCTTTCTTTGCTAATATTCAATAATTTAGGAGTATAAAGTAAAAATGCATATGTTCTGTCATTGTACAATATAGATAGTATCAGTTATCTTGATAATTTATGATGTAAGTCGTTTGATTTACAGGAACCAAATTTCTTTTTTTTTCTTTTTAATTTCAGCTGTTATTATTATTATTATACTTTTAAGTTCTGGGATACATGTGCAGAACGTGCAGGTTTGTTACATAGGTATACCCATGCCATGGTGGTTTGCTGCACCCATCAACCCGTCATCTACATTAGGTATTTCTCCTAATGCTATCCCTCCCCTAGCTCCCCATCCTCTGACAGGCCCTGGAGTGTGATGTTCCCCTCCCTGTGTCCATGTGTTTTCATTGTTCAACTCCCACTTATGAGTGAGAACATGCGGTGTTTGGTTTTCTGTTCCTGTGTTAGTTTGCTGAGAATGATGGTTTCCAACTTCATCCATGTCCCTGCAAAGGACATGAACTTATCCTTTTTATGGCTGTATAGCATTCCATGGTGTATATGTGCCACATTTTCTTTATCCAATCTATCATTGATGGGCTTTTGGGTTGTTCCAACTCTTTGCTATTGTGAATAGTGCTGCAATAAACATACGTGTGCATGTGTCTTTACAGTAGAATGATTTATAATCCTTTGGGTATATACCCAGTAATAGGATTGCTGGGTCAAATGGTACAGAAATCCAATTTCTACATAAATTTTCAGGAAAATATGCATTACAATATGTACTATATGATGATCAAGATGGGGCAATTCTAAATGCACTGTGGAACCCTGAATTGGCCAGGCGCAGTGGCTCACACCTGTAATCCCAGCACTTTGGGAGGCCGAGGCAGGTGGATCATGAGGTCAGGAGATCGAGACCATCTTGGCTAACACAGTGAAACCCTGTCTCCACTAAAAAAAAAAAATACAAAAAAATTAGCAGGATGTGGTGGCGGGCACCTCTAGTCCCAGCTACTCGGGAGGCTGAGGCAGGAGAATGGCGTGAATCCGGGAGGCAGAGCTTGAAGTGAGCCGAGATCATGCCACTGCACTCGACAAAGCGAGACTACGTCTCAAAAAAAAAAAAAAAAAAAAAAAAGAAACAAGAATCCTGAATTGGATCCTGGGGCAGAAAAAGGGACATTAGTGGAAAAACTGGTGATATCCAAATAACGTATGTAGTTTTTTTTTTTTTTTAAAGAGCTTTCACATACACTTTTCAGTCTGGTAGGCTTGACCTTTTATCTCACAACCAGCTCCACAAAAATATAAGCACCAGAATTCATATCTCTAATTGATCCATTCTTCTTGATTGGTCTTAGACTCTGGTCTCTGAACTATTCTCAACCTTCTTGGCTCCCTACTGAATCCCTGCATAAAGTCATGGAGCCCCTTTGATCACACAGTTTCCAATAACCCTTGATATCCTTGAGATAATACTGAGCAGTCCAGACCCTCACGGCCAATGGTCGGTCTGATTCACCCTTCAGACTGGGTTTGAACAGACAGTAGTGTTGTTGGTCATTCACTCGTGTAACAAACCTCACTGACCCCATATTATGCCTTGTATTGTTCCATCCTAAGATACTTTGGAATAAGACCATGGCATTCTATGACAAATGCCACTTTCACTTTCAATTCTTGGTAAAGATAATGGAATCAGCAAGGTCTAGAGAAGGGCAGCTAAAATCATCAAAAGACAGAAAAGTCGTCTTCCTAACGATAAATTAAATAAATTAGGAGTCTGCAAGACAAATAAAAATGTTAGGAGGAGACAATGTCAATGTTTTCAAAGCCTTGAAGAGAAAAAATGGATTTGTAAACCATATTCCAGATAACAGACTGAGGTATCATCCCTTGAATCTTAAAACAGACAAATTTAGGGCAGTTAGAAATTACTAATAACAACAAAACTGGTGATATCAAGAGCCAGTAAGGACTAAAAACGTAAATTTAAGGAGGATGTAGATAAAGTCATGAAAAAAATCTACGTAAGAACCTTAAGAGGAAACTGAACATCTCTAACCTCTGGAGACAGGCTCAACTCCCGAATCGCGTGGCATGTTGACTACCAACAGCTAAGCTCTACTCACTGCAGGACTTTGAGAGTTGCTTGTTTCCTTAAGCCTGTGTTGTTCATTTGCTGTGAGGATCAACCATGTAGAAATGCATTGCACTGTGCCCAGAACACCAAGCCTTAATAAGTAGCAGCAACAGCCATGCAGCAGGCATTCTTGCATGATTCGGCTGAAGGAGGTCGGGTTCAGCTCAACATAACAGTTCTGCTGAGTTATTATTCTGTCTTCAATAAATCAACAATTGCCACTTTTCAATAATCAGATTCTGCTGCCAGGTCCCTCTCAGCTCAACACTTGGGATCATTCTGGAGCATTCCAGATAAGTCCTTTCACACTTAGAAAGAGGATCTAGCACTAGAAATTTTTTCAGTATCAAGATCATTCTGGTCCCAGAGAAAACGTTTTTGCCAAAAAATAAGTGTATATTAACCAACTGTCATGCGGTCCTCCCCTCACCCCTGACTCCAGTGATAGATGGTAAGAAAGCTTATGTGCTGAGAAGTAGAGGGTCAAAGAGCTTATGCTGTGGCTGCCTCAGGAAGAACAACAGGAAATCTCAACAAACACTTCAAACATTTGTCTTTGCAATAAGACACGTGAAAAGTGAAACATACAAAATTAAAAGGTGAAGAATAAGAAAAAAAGATTTCTAGAGAAATGCACACTTAAAAGCAAATCAGAGTCCATCCAGGGGGAATGCCATCCCCTTGCTGCAGGACACAGGATGGTAAATGTTTAAGAAGGAAGCCACTGCTGGGACTCCCATATTCCTCTGGTGCACTTGAAATTCACCGTCTGCTTCCCCAGTCTGGAAGACTGATATCTTCATTCCCACTGGTCACTCTCAGCTTGGGCTAAAGCACATTTGCTGGATTCCTGGGGCCAGAGGCAAAGGCAACCACAGGAGGAAGAAGTTGGTTGAATGTTACAGCCAGAGAGCACGTTAGAGGCATTTTGAACCAACCTCCCTTTGCTGACAAATAAGCTGAGAGCCAGTGCATTTGGGAAAGAGCTGAGTCTATGCTCTTAGGACACAGCCAGGCCTGCCCAGTTGGGATGGTGACATCCATGGAACCAGACTTGTGACCAACTGGCCTTCAAGTTCTTCAGTGCCAAAACGGGGATAGTAATAGTCCCTCCCTCATAGATTAGAGGAAGCATTATTAGGTTGGTACAATTACTTTTGTACCAACCTAATAGATGAGATAGTTTGCAAACTAGACTCAGCACAGTGTCTGGCACCACCTAAGCATTCAATAAATTATATCTATCATTATACCTAGAATTTTTCATTATTATTTCCTGTCCTTCTTTTTCATCCCAATGCAGTTGGGGAGAAAGAATGAAAAATGAAAATATTTTGAGATTGTTATCTGCCATTCCTGCATCTTCAAGTGTTCATTTGCTGAATAGGCTGTGCCTTGATTACAGTCCTATGTGGGTTTGAATTTACATTCACAAGTATGTTTGAATTTCACTAGCATTCCTCTCCAGGGACTCATACTAAGTCAATACCTCTCATGCGATAAGGCTTAAATTGGTGTTGTAAACTACCATTTGGACTCCGTAAAAGAATTACAAATGGAGTGATCATTAATGAATTTCCCAATTATTCTCCCCTATTCCAGATTTATCAGGCATTGCCTCTTCAAAGTTGTTCTTCACCCTCAGGGATATGGTGTGATAATAATGAGCAAAAGAGATAAAAAAGGAAAGCCCTACTGATTATAGGCAGGTGGCTTAATTCTACAATTCATTCCTTATAGTTGAGCCCTATCTTAGCGTCTTCTCTTCCATCCTCTCTCCAACCACTGCAGTCTGTTTCTCCAATCCACCAGTGGATGCTTCAAAACTGTTCTCCCCAAGGGCAGGGTTACAGAAGCCTCACAATTGGCAAACCCGTAACTTGCAAACCCAGGGGTATTTTTCAGGCCTTATGAATATTTCCTTCTTTGCATTTTCTCTGTTGGCAACGGATTTTCCTCCTATTTCCCTGGCCACTCCATCTAGGTCTAGAGTGCCTCTTGTTCTGCTCTACCTTCTAAACACCTCTTCTTTCGACCAGTTTTTCATCCCCAGTGCCCTGGCCTGGTTCACACCTGTAGCACTGTTCACCCAAACCACTGCCATAGCTGTCAAACAGGTTTCCCTGTCAATCTCACACAACTACCAATACAATCCCTACTCTACCAGCAAAATGGTCATTCAAAACAAAAAGCAAATCCAATCACATCACTCTCTTACCTAATTTTTTTTTCACCTCCAGAATAACATCCAGACAGTTCCAGGTATACACAAATCCACTCTTGACTGGGCCCCCAGGCCTGCCTGCCACTTGGCCTGCCGCTTTCCTGTGCTCTCCTCTCATTCACTTGCACCTCCACAATGTCGTGTCCCTCCCTTTGCACACATGCTGTTCCCTCTGCTGAAAGTATCTCCCCCCACTAGAAAACTCTGACCCATCGTTGGAGACTTGGCTCCAGGGTGACTCTTCTACGAAATAGCTGACTCCCCAGAAAGAGGTCTCTGTGTTCCTCACCGGTAGCACACAGGACAAACAGGAACCCTCCCATTACCAGGGTGCATTTGCTTCTCCACCTTCACACTAGACAGAAAGCTCCAGGGACCGTGTCTTAATGGACTTCATGTTCCCAGTATCACGCCCTGCAGTCCTTGGTCCCTGCCAGACAGACAACGCACGTTCGCTGCTCAGTCCTCAACTAGAGACTAGATAAATGACTGGAAGGTAGACAAGTGTTCCTTCAAAAGGATATTTTTAAACCCCAGAAAAGAAAAGATGACAAAAATCCCTGTCTGCTCATGTGAGTGGTGTTCTGTGAGGCTTTCAGGAGGAAAAAAAAAATCTATCTTGTGGGTCTCACTGATGGCACCAGAAGAGCAAGCCTATCCCTGAGGCACTATTTAAATTCCACTCCGTGATTTTCTTTTTAATTCATTTTTATTCTAGGTGCAGCCCTGCAGCTATTTTAAAACTGAGACTTAAAATAAACTAATACTAATAGCTGGAGTTATCACAGGCTCTCCGGTAACAGGGTGCCTTGAATCCAAAAAAAAAAGGCCCTTCACAGAATTTTGACAAACCACAATATCCCTTCCCAGGAGAGGGTGCAGAGCAAAGAGAACAAGGGGGCTCCGTCATCAAAAGATTGTGCTTCACCTTGCAAAAGCATTCATCCCTAGATTCCCTGAAATAGTTCACTTTGTACATTAAACCATTCGTTTTCAAAATATTAACTGCCTGAAGGAAAGACCAGAATGCTTTGCAGGAAAACAGGAAAAAACAAGAAAGAGAAGCAGCCTCCAACTGTGGCCAGCAGGCCACCTGTGTCATTCCCCCGAGACCCAGGGTCTGGGCACAAATGCCAGTTCCAGGTCTCACCCCAGACCCGTGGAATCAGAACCTCTGCTAGGAGGAAAAAAGTGTCATTTAAATGTATGTTTTCTGGAAAGCAACTCCATGCTAAAGAAAGCTGCCCCAGAAAATGGAGTTTTGTTAGTGGTGCTGTATTAGTCCGTTTTCACTGCTGATAAAGACACACTTGAGACTGGGTAATTTTTAAAGAAAAATGGGTTTAACAGACTCACAGTTCCACGTGGCTGGGGAGGCCTCACAATCATGCTGGAAGGTGAAAGGCACGTCTCACACAGCAGCAGGCAAGATAGAATGAGAACCAAGGGAAAGGGGTTTCCCCTTATAGAATGATCAAATCTCATGAGACTTATACACTACCACGAGAACAGTATGGGGGAAACCACCCCCATGATTCTGTTATCTCCCACGGGTCCATCCCACAACACGTAGGAATTATGGGAGCTACAATTCAAGATGAGATTTGGCTGGGGACACAGCCAAACTATATCAGGTGCCCAGAGACACAGGCCTGCTTCTGACCTGTTTGGGTAGTCAAGAGCCAGGGTTGTTTCTTTCAACTCATTCAATGAAAAAAAAAAATCATGCTTTAATTACTGGTCTAAGCCAGCAGGGAGTCCACCATATGAATGGAGTCCAGACAGGGAACTTTCCCAAACATGCAATACTAGACATTTCTTATTTGTTCAGAACGGCACCTCTCTTTATTTCCTTTTTCTAGAGGATGAGCCCAGGAAGGCCCATGGGGGCCCCACTTACCCTACCCTTGCCCCTCTCATGCCATGGGAAGTGAGCTTGCAACTGGATTCACCAAGCTGGGTTTCTGTCACTTGCAACTGAAAGAGTATTGTGTATTACACAAAGTCAACGAGTGAAAATGGAGTCTATTTGAGAGTTTGGACTTCTAGGATCCCAGAAGTGAATAACTTGGGAATCATGGAGGTATGCAATGGGAATCCACCGATGGCTACAGAAAGGGCCATCTAGGAAGAGAAGCCAGTGCTATTTGCTCACGGCTGGCTTCTCGAGAGACACTCCAGTCATTTTGGTAACTGAGGTCAGACTCAGGGTTCCAGCTTGGGGCTGCCCTAGCAGAACCCCACCTGAGGCCCAGGGCAGCCTCTCCTTCCCAGCCAGGAGTGCACGCCTCTGAGTCCAGCTTGCTAGATTTTGCCTTGCTAAGGGAACAGTTACTTTGCCTAGAACAAAGGTGGCCAGCTCTCCCTTCTACAACTTGTCACAGCATTTGCTCTCCCCATCCCTCTTCTTATTTACAGTCTGTGACAGCCTTCGAGTCAGAAAGAAAATCACACAGTGTTTCCCAATATTTAAAATTTCACAGGCCTATAAAATCCTCTCATAAAAGGAGTGCCAGCTTATTACTTTGCTAAAAGTAACACTGTTTTAAAAACAAAACCCTTTAACACCATCCTATCATAAAATAAAGAACATTCTTATACCAAAGAAAAATGAAAAGCACCTGAAACACACAATCTCAGAATAAACAAATGAAAAGTTTACTATGTTGCCGTCTCCTGTCTCCTCTTTCTACTTTTTTTCATTTTGCTTTGGACCAGAGAAAATGGCCTCATAGACCAGCCCCAGACTGCAGAAAAGCATTCCTGAGCTACTCACCTAGGAAGTTCTCTGGCCCAACTAATCCAAGACAAGGACCCATCGACGGTCAGCATATGACCTCTGTTTGACCTCACTCTGAACAGAATCTTACCTTGATCAGACATTTTGAGGTTACATAATGTTCACACATGCTTTATTCACATTAATTTTGGTGGATTCTCATCACAAAGCTATTTTGCAGATAGAGCTAAAGTGCTCACCCTGGTCTAATGGTGATAAAGGATTTTCCTTACTTGGGTCCCAATTCTGCCTGCCTTTAATCTCCACCTTTCAACCCTTATTTTGCCCGTTGGAACTTTTCTTCTACACGATTATTCTTAAATTTCACCCTTCAGTCCTCTCTTTTCCAGGCTAACTAGACGGACCTCAGTAAACTCCCATCTAAATCCCTAATACGTTCCACAGCGCTGGTTGCACATATATATTCAAGCAGTGTTTGCTGAAGAATAAATGATGGAATTGCTCCTTACTCAACATGATTTCTAGACCCTTCACTTCCCTGACCATACCCCTCAAGAGGCATTTGCAATCTTTATTTTTTATTTTTTTATTTTTTATTTTTTGTGAGACAGAGTCTCGCTCTGTCACCCAATCTGGGTGCCATGGCACAATCTTGGCTCGCTACAACCTCCGCCTCCCGAGTTCAAGCAATTCTCCTGCCTCAGCCTCCCAAGTAGCTGGGATTACAGGTGCGCAGCCCCCAAGCCTGGCTAATTTTTGTATTTTTAGTAGAGACAGGGTTTCACCATGTTGGCCAGGCTGGTCTCGAACTCCTAACCTCAAGTGATCTACTGGCCTCGGCCTCCCAAAGTGTTGGGACTACAGGTGCGAGCCACCGTGCCCAGCCCTGCAATCTTTTGATGTCATGCCCATGCACAAGCCATGCACCAGAGGGGCTTAGCTATGCAGAATGCCAAGGCCCCTCGGCCCTCTTTCCCTGGGAACAAAGCCTTCATTCTGAAGCTTGAGATTGTGTATATTTCCTTTCTGGAAGCTATTTCCCACTGCCGACATCTATGAGACTGTAGTCATCTAAAATTCTTAGATATTCCCAATTCTGAATTTCTTCATTGGTATTTTAAATCTAAGAAGAATTCTCTAACATTTAGCCCTGTTGTATTTATTGTTATTAGTCTCCAAAGTTAGTGTCTTCTGCTCTTATCTGACTCTTCATATCTTCATATCTTATCTCTCCAACAAGATTATAAGGTCCATGAGATGGAATGTTGTATACTTTTATGTTAGGAATAAGTGTAAATGTTCAGCATGGTAACATTCAGCAGATATTCAATATATATATGCTGGTTCATTAAGATTCATTTTTACCCTAATATCCTTTTGCCCAGGACTCTCAACATTTGATGAATCACATCTAAGTCCCAGGGGCAAGCACCTGAAGACTTAGGTCAGCTGCCCCTCCATACATACACACAGTCACGAGCTGCAAAACGACATTTCAGCCAACAGTGAGCCACGTATATGACAGTGGTCCCAAGAGTTTACAATAGAGCTGAAAAATTCCTGTCATCTAGTATTTACTATACTATACTTTTTACTGTTATTTTAGCATGTACTCCTTCTACTTATATATATTTTTTGAAAACAAAGTTAACTGTAAAAGAGCCTCAGGCAGGTCCTTCAGGAGGGATTCCAGAGGAAGGCATTGTTATCCTAGGAAATGACAGCTCCCTGTGTGCCATTGCCCCTGAAGACCTTCCAGTGGGACAAGATGCGGAGGTGGAAGACAGCGAGATTGATGATCCCAACCCTATGCAGGCCTAGGCTAATGTATGTGTATCTTTGTTTTTAACAAAGAAGTTTAAAAAGTAAAAAATAAATGAAATAAAATATTTTACAAATAGAAAATAAAGCTTATAGAATAAGGATACAAAGAAAGAAAATATTTTATACAGCTGTATAATGTGTTGGTGTTTTAAGCTAGTGTTATTACAAAACAGTCAAAACGTTTTTAAAAATTAAAAGCTTTATACAGTAAAGTTGATTATTGAAGAAAGAAAAATATATTTTATAAATTTAGTGTAGCCCAAGTGTGCAGTGCTTATAAAGTCTACAACAGTGTATAGTAATGTCCTGGGCCTTCACATTCACTCACCACTCACTCACTGACTCACCCAGAGCAACTTCCAGTTCTGCAAGCTCCATTCACGATAAGTGCCCTATACAGGTATAGCATTTTTATCTTTTACACCATGTTTTTACTGTACTATTTCTATGTTTACATTGTTTAAATACACGAATACTATTGTGTTACAGTTGCCTACCATATTCAGTACAGCCACATGCTGTACAGGTTTGTAGCCTAGCAGCAACAGGCTATGCTGTATAGCCTAGGTGTATAGTAAGTAGGCTCTACCATCCAGATTGTGTTAAGTATGTTCTATGGTATTTGCATAACGGCAAAATCACCTAACAACACTGATATGGTTTGGCTGTGTCCCCACCCAAATCTCATCTTGAATTGTAGTTCCCATGATCCCCACGTGTCATGGGAGGGACCTGGTGGGAGGTAATTGAAGCATGGGGGCAGCTACCCCCATGCTGCTGCTCTCATGATAGTGAGCGAGTTCTCATGAGATCTGATGGTTTTATAAGGGACTTTTCCCCCTTTTGCTCAGTACTTCTCCTTGCTGCCACCATGTGAAGAAGGACTTGTTTGCTTCCCCTTCTGCCATAACTGTAAGTTTCCTGAGGCCTCCCCATCCATGCAGAACTATGAGTCAATTAAACCTCTTTCCTTTATAAATTACCCAGTCTCAGGTATGTCTTTATTAGCAACATGAGAACAGACTAATACAAACTCATTTCTCTGAGTATATCCCCGTCGTTCAGCGATGCATGAGTGTATTTCCAGCTCTGACTCATGCTTGTTTCCACAGGACTCACTGGATGTGCCCAAGGCAGCCTGCTGTCACCCAGGCACACCCGGCTCTCTATGACCCTCCCTTCCTCAGTTCCCATCACTGCCATCTCAAAACTCACTGTTTCCATGAGCCCCAACCCACTGCATTTTCCCCATGTCCCCTCAGCCTTTCTAATACTCAGGAAAAACATCTGGAGCAAACTGGTGAGCACTGAGGTTAATCAAAACAGAGGAAGAATCATCCTTTACTTTAAAATGGGATTCCCTCTATAAAAGTTGTCATGGATTTATTTTTATAAAATATGATCAGATGTGCCCATATGTACTTAACATGCAGCTCTCCATGAACACATCCATTGTAGCACGAGGAGCCTCTGAATCTTCACAAATCATTGTTCTCTGCAGCAATGATGCTTCCAGGCTCCAGCCAATGGCCTTGAGAAACAGTCTGTCATTGATTAAGTGATAATGAATTCTGTACAACAAATAATTATGTATAGAAGTGCTTTCCTTGGACTGTATATATTGCCATTTTTCCATGAACCTTATAATGAAATTAAAGAAAGCATAGTCTTATATCCAGAAGGCACCTTGATTGAGCTATTTACATTATGAGCAAGGTAAGCAGAGAGGTTTGCAACTTCTTTATCCTGCTTTCAGATACTAACAATCCTTCAGTGAAACTCACCCATGAGCACCCCCTCTGGATGCTGAAGGGTGGTGCTCCCATCCTTCCCCTACAGGGTTCAAAGGATTATTGCCAACTATCTTATAGGAGAGGCTGGACATCAGTGCCCTTTCATCTGAAGCTCCTGCAGACGAGTGGGGTGTTACAAGGCAAACTACACAGTTTTCAACATCTCACTATCACAAAGTCATCTGGATACCCCGTTGTATACATTCATAAAAACTGCAGCTATAAGTACTTTACTGACTCAAATATGACTTTGATTTTGTCTTTTCTTAGGAGAGGTACTACACTTGGGTAGAGCCTTGCTGGGACTCTTCCCAGTTCCCAAGACAGTGCTGGGCATAGGAACTTTTGTTGTTGTTGTTGGATGGTTCGTTAATTTTATTGAGTTTTGAGTATCTTGAATACAAATCCTTCATCAGATATGTGATTTGCAAATAGTTCTCCCAGTCTTTGGCTTGTCTTTCCACTCTCTTAGTGTCTTCCAGAGAACCAAAGCTTTACATTTTGATAAAGTCCAGTTTTCTGATAGTATTTTTATCTAAGTTTCCTTTTCTAAACCTCCACATTGCTAGCTCTTGAGAGATAAAACTTAAATCTTCGGTTTTTAGGCAGCGGAGGGAAGGCACATGTTTTTGGGACTTCACTCGTTTGGTTCCATCCACCCTTGGTTGGAGTCTGGGTTTCATCCCAGGCAGCGCTGCCATTAGACCAGGGCAACAGAGCTGCCTCCTTGGTCCCTGCTTTTTAGAAGGCCCTGATTTGGCCCTCCTCCAGCTGTGCCTTTGCCCAGGGGCCAAAGGGATGTTCCCATGCAGACCTCACCCTCCGCCCTCCTTCTAGATCACAAACTCCAAGTGTCCAGGACTTTGGAATTCTCTGTCCAAAGAAACAGCCTATTCTTCATGTTTCTTCCCTTGAGGGCATGGATTTGGGCATGGACAGAGCTTGGACCTGCAGATTGGGTTGCCATACCTGTGGAAGTGAGGACCCTCCTGGAATGGAACAGAGCCGGAATAGAAAAAGAAGGGGGTGGGCCTTCTTTGGATTCCATTTGCACTCTTGCTTCAGCCCCAGGCCCAGGTATACAATCAAACATTTCCAGGAGTGATTTATGATAGAGAGTCAGAACCTATGAAATCCAAATTTTTGCAGCAAGTGAGTTGTTGGATAGACGAATATGCTGCTAATAGAACCAGAACACACACAGAGGAGGGGTCTGGAATGGGAAGAAATATTATAAGTTAATTAAGTCATTTAATAAAAATTTGTTGAGCACCAACTTATGTGCCTGGCATAAGACTGAATAAAACAAAGATTTTGGCCTGGTTGAATTTATATTTTGGTGGGAGAGATGGACAAAACACAAAGCCATTTATAATGTCAGGTGGTAACAAGTGCAAGGAAGAAAAAGTAAGGCGGGGGAGTGAATGGGAACTACTTTCAGAAGAGGAGTGGCATAGAAAAGCTCTCTAAAGACGTGACATTTGAGCAGAGTTCTGAAAAAGTCATTATGATATCTGGGGAAAGTGTTCTAAGTATTCAGTTTGCTGAAGAGCAAATGTAGAGGGGCAGAGGCAGCAGTTGGTTTGCCGAAGAAACCACCACCAAGTGGTATGGATGGGGCTCAGTGAGGAAGAAACCTAGGAGTAGGAGATGTAAGTCATCTTTAGAGACTAGTTGTTGAGTTTGAGAAACCTATTACATCCAAACATATGTCCACATGCCCAACAGGCAGTGGGAACTAGAAGTCCAGAGATCAGGACCAAAAGTGGTACTGTAGATAAAGAAACGGGCATTGCTAGTGCCTGTATGGAGATGGTGAGAGCAGTGAGAGCCTCGGGCAAGGGAAATGCTGGCAGACCTGCTTATAGCTGGAGGCAATGAGAGAATAAATACAAGGGCACACTCTCTCCGCAGTCATAATTACTGGTCAATTTTCTGAAATAGTATCTGCTTAGATGATTAATAATCACTATTCTATTCGTTGTAGAATGCAATGCTTTGGTTTGGTTTTATAATTATATCTTAGTTTGGCATCATATCTGTGCCTTAATGTTTCTTCAAAAATGGCTCCATTTCTCACTCGCTTCTTATATTCCAAGGACCCTCAGGGTTTAACATTTTGTTTCTGTAGCATTTTTTAAATATTTAATTGATGAATAAAGATGGAACATATTTAAAGGGCACAATGTGATAATTTGATACATGTAGACATTCTGTAATAATGATCACAACCAAATTAATGAACACATCCATTACCACTTATGCTGTATATGAGCTCCCCAGAACTTGTTCATCTTATAAGTGAAAGTTTGCACTCTTTGATCAACATCTCCCCATTCTCCCACTCCCAGCCTCTGGTGACCATCATTCTACTACTCTGCTTCCACGAGTTTGATTTTTTTAGATTCCACATATACATAAGATCATGCAGTATTTGTCTTTCTTTGTCTGGCTTATTTTACCTAGCATATGTTCTCCACGTTTATACATGTTGTTGCAAACAGCAGAATTTCCTTCCTTTTATGGCTAAATAATATTCCATGGTGTGTATATATGTGCGCATATGTTACATTTTCTTTATTCATGCATTGATGGACAGAGGTTGATTCCATATCTCGGCTAGTGTGAATAATACTGTAATAAAAATGGAAGTGTGGATATCTCTTTGACAGACTAATTTCAGTTCCTTTAGATACACACCCAGAAGATGATTGCTAGATAGAACGGTAGGTCTATTTTTAATTTTTTGAGGAACCTTCATGCTGTTCTCCACAATGGCTGAAAATCAAGTTGCTGCTGTTATCTTGTCCGCAAGTCATGTTTAAAAGCAGCAATGAGAAGCAGTGCCTACACTGCTCAGGGTGGATGGCAAGGGCAGCCCACGGGCTGATGTGCAGAGGGGAGCTCTCAGAATCTCTGGATTTGTGGGCAGGAAAGAGGTTGTGCCTACAGATATAATTCCCAGCACTGGGGCTCTCAGGACCTCTGGTGGAATGACCCAACAGTTACATTTCAAAATGGAGGTTTTGTTTTTTGGCAGGGAAACAGCATAGTTGACACTGAATGTTATTTGTAGATTTAACTTTAGAAGGTTTAAACCATTTTTCTTGTTTTCAGTGAATCATTTCATGGAAATAGCCATATATTATTCCTTGTTTTAGAACCAGATTATTTCTTAAATAAGGGGGATTGGAAAAGTGAATTATGCTAGTAAAATTCTCAAATTGCTTTGCACGATATCAATTCAGTGAGATGCATTCCTGCCTTCACAGGTAATGGCCCAAATTTAAAGTAACATAATCAACAACCAGGATTTGTCAAACATAACACTATGTGGGAATGTATGCTAACCACTGCAGGAGATGGGAAATGCATTAGGAATTGCCCTCAGAAAATGTGCCACTCAACTGGTAAGCAGAGGCATGAAAATGAACTATAGCATAAGGCAGTGAATGGTAAGCAGTTTGTGCTACCTGAGCTATATGAGTCCATAGAAGAGATCACTTCTGTCTGGGATGTCCAAAGAGGGGGTAGGACTTGAACTGAGCACTGAAGCATGGAGAGAAGGAGGCCCAAGCAATGGGACAATATGTGCAAGGACATGAAGATGAGGCACAATAGGGCAGATCTGAAGGTGGAAATGCAAGTTTAAATGCTGATACTTACAAGCTGTGTGACCATAGGCAAGTTTGACCTTTCTGAGCTGCCATTTTCTCATGGTAAAAGAGAGATACTAGAGGAACCTGCCTCACAGGATTGTCATGGAGAATAGAGGAGATGATACAAGTGAAGCACTAGGCAGCACCATACTTGGAACTAAGGGAAAGCCCGCAGTCAATGTTCAGTATTGTTACACTTGCCAGATTGTGAAAGAGCGCAGGCAACCCTTGAGTTGAGCTCAACGCTGGAGCCAAGATCAATGACAGAAGGATTTTGTTTTGAAACAGCAACTAATGACCAGAGAGAGGAAATGGGTCATGAAGCTCCATGGTGCCTTTCATGAAAATGAATGTAAGGGAGTGATTCAGGAAAAGGGACCACGATCAATACCAGCAGACTCTTCCTATGCACTGGGGCCCATCTCATGATGAGCATGAGAAATGGAGTCCATTCACCCTTGCCCAGCTCCTACACCAGTTACACTCTTTAGACCAAAAAGCTCCTAAGAGGAAAGTCAGAAGGAAACCAACTCAGGGAAATACTTGGGGATGGTGCCTTACAATCTTTGCCCCCTCATTCCTTCCCCTCAGGAAACCACAGGAAATGAGAGTTTACTGAAGGCAGAGATGACTGAGAGTACTTGCTACAATGCTTGGGACATGGAGAGATTTTGAAGCAGGCCTCCTGCCACCCCAACTCCAGCCTCTCAGGAAATGGATGAAGGAACAATACTCACTGGAACCAGATACAGCTGCATGTCTCACCCAGGAGCCATTGCTGGGGTAGGGACTCCTCTGTTACTCAGGGCAACAGATAAATGGAGGAGACAATCGATTGTCCCTTTGAAGTCCCAGGGGAGACTTCTAGAGCCCATATTGAACATACCTGGCTTAGAGGACTTGGGAATGAGAAGGCCTGCAATGTACCTGCCTGTCAGCTAGTACTACCATCCACAATGTTGAAGATGGTACAGCAGAAATGTACAGAAGTGAAAAGAACCAGGAGGCTTGGGAAGGCACAGGAGAGACAAAAGAGGCTGACTGATGGAAACATTCTTACACACCTGGGCTAAGCAAGCTAGCTCAGTGGCCAAAGTGCAGTGGCATTTTCTTTTCTGATACTAGAGAGATAACGACATCGTTACTAAGGACATGACAACATTTAGCAGCGAAGGCTAGCAAGAGCTATGCTTCAGTTTCTGGAGGCTTGTGAAGAGAATTTATCTTTCTTTGTATCCTTTTGATTAAACCTCAACTCGAATCCTATAGTGTTTTTAAAAAGCCTATATTTTAATTAGAAATGATGCTTTAGCAAGACTGGAAAGAAGAGCAACAAAACAATCATTCAAGGTAGTGAAACAACTCTTGGTGAACACATTTCACAACCAGAAATAATGTTAAAAGGTGGCTGAATACACTTATTACTACATTACATGAATCTTTAGGATTGAGAGAACCTACCCAAAGAAAATTCCCGAATGTCAGCTTCTTATTGTCCCTCGGCAGGAGAATTGCTTGAACCCAGGAGGCAGAGGCTGCGGTGAGCCAAGATTGTGCCACCTACAGCAGATGCTTCCTAGAGATGTAGACTGCTCACCTGAGCTTCCGGGCCTGACCCAGGTGCTCCCCAAAGCTGTAGACTGTCTGTACCCACCTGAGTGTCTGGGCTTGAACCAGGTGCTCCCCAGAGCTGTGTACTGACCATACAAAAATCAGAGCTTTGAACAGGGTGCTCCCTCAAAGGTCTTTACTTCTGCTACTATATTCTTCCAAAACCATACAATTCTTTTCTGTTGTTGCTTTTGTTGTGTTTTTTTTATGAGTTTTTTGTTTGTTTGTTTTTTTGAGACTGAGTCTCACTCTGTCACCCAGGCTGGAGTGCAGTGGCATAATCTTGGCTCACTGCAGCCTCCACCTCCTGGGTTCAAGCGATTCTCCTGCCTCAGCCTTCTGAGTAGCTGGAATTACAGGCATGCGCCACCAGCCCTGGCTAATTTTTGTATTTTTAGTAGAGATGGGGTTTCACCATGTTGGCCAGGCTGGTCTTGAACCCCTGGCCTCGAGTGATCCACCTGCCTTGGCCTCCCAAAGTGCTGGGATTACAGGTGTGAGCCACCCTGCCTGGCCGCAAAGTCACACAACTCTTATAGTAGAACTTCAGGCACCACTGCTCTCCATTCAAAAGACATAAAGTCATCGATATCTAGGGAAATCTGTCCTGTCATGAATGTCTAGCCAGTCACTGCATTTCATACTGTTGATAAATGAGAAACACAAGACTCCAAAAATTCATGGAAAAAAGATTAAAAGATAAAAATAAAAAATATAAGCTTCATTTCTCAACATAGCTCCATCAAGCTCAAGATACTTTTGTAAGAGATGATATCAGCCATTCAGTTCATCCCTAAAGTAGTGGGGGTACTGGGAATTTAAGCATGTGAATAAAGTCTTTTTTACATTATTAACTGAAGAAAAATTGTTTCTCTTTAAAGCTGTTTTAAAATTAGGAAACAAAGGCCAGGCACAGTGGCTCGTGCCTATAGTCCCAGAAAGCACTTTGGGAGGCTGAAGCAGGCAGATCACCTGAGGTCAGGAGTTCAAAACCAGCCTGGCCAGCGTGGTGAAACCCCATCTCTACTAAAAATACAAAAATTAGCTGGGCATGGTGGCGTGCACCTGTAGTCCCAGCTACTTGGGAGGCTGAGACATGAGAATTGCTTGAACCCGGGAGGTGTAGGTTACTGTGAGCCAAGATCATGCCACTGCACTCCAGCCTGGGCAACAGAGTGAGAATGTCTCAAAAAAAAAAAAAAGAAAAAAAATTAGGAAACAAACAGAAATCATAAGGAGCCAAATTAGGACTGTAAGGTAAATGGGATGCCTAACAATTTTCCTGCTGAAACTCTTGCAAAACCCCCTTGAAGGATGAGAGGAATGAGCAAGAGCATTGCCGTGGTAGAGGACTCTCTCCACCACGGCATTTTCTGCTAAAGCTTTGTTAACTTTCTCAGAACACTCTCATGATAGGCAGGTGTTATTGCTCTTTGGCCCACCAGAAAGTCAATAAGCAAAGGGCCTTGAGTATCTCAAAACTGATGCATGACCTTTGCTCTTGCTTTCATTTTCTCTCTTAGAAGCCACTGTTTTAATTGTGCTTTGTCTTTGAGATCACACTGGTAAAACCAGGTTCCATCTCCTGTTACAATTCTTCGAAAAAATGCTTCAGGATCTGGATCCCACTTGCTTACAATTTCCATTGAAAGCTCTGTTCTTGTCTGCAGCTGATCTGGGTGCAACAGTTTGGGCATTCATTGAGTGAAAAGTTGTGTCACCTTTAATTTTTCAGTCAAAATTGTATAAGCTGAACCAGTTCAGATGTCTATAGTGTTGGATACTGTTTCTGTGGTTAATCACGGGTACTCTTCAATTACAGCATCAACAAGATGAATTATTTCCTCACAAATTGATGTGTATGACCTGCTGCTGCAGGCTTCATCTTTAACATTGTCTCAACCCTTCTTAAAACAAGTTATCCATTTGTAAACTGCTGATTTATTTGGGGGCATTTTTCCCATAAGCTTTTCATAAAACATCAATGATTTCACTATTCTTCCGCTCAAGTTTCACCATAAATTTGATGCTTGTTCTTGCTTCAATTTTAACAGAATACATGTTGCTCTGACAGGGACTTTTTTCAAACTAATGTCTTATCCTTCTTAGTGCTTCAAACTGGGTCCTGATCAGACATGTTATTGCAAGTTAGTGCGAGTTTATTTTGGTGCAAAAAAAACAAAATTAGAAATCCATTGCATAGTTTTTTCATAATATGCATTTTCCATGAACATTTTGTAGAATGCTTGCATGGGCTCAATGTAATTCTGTAAGTCTATATAAGCAGAGTGGCATGGGAGACAGAGCCACAAATGGGCTGGAATCAGGCTCGTGCCTCTTTATCAGCTCCAACACTGACTTTCAGGGTAAACTTCGAGAATACTTAAGGAACATCTGCTAAGTGCAGGCACCTGCTATGTTCTGAGGAGGAAATGGTTATCAGCCTGGCCCTCTTTTGCCCCATCCCCCAATTATATGATGAGGAGTAGAGAATCAGGCCAGCAGAGCCCTTCACAGGCATTTAAAGGAAAGCTGCTCTAGACAAGGATATATCATAAATTAAATATAAAAATGTCCCAAGTGCTGAAGCAAGAAAGCTGGAAAAGCCTAGAGAAGACTGTAGCAGTGCCGGTGAAGCCTGAAGCACACAAGGCTTGGTAGCCACTCCTGCATCTCTGCAGACATGGCTTGGTTTTCCAGCCTGATGCTTGATGTCAGTCCATAACTGGGGATGCCCACATCCAAGCCTGGGCCCTGGAGGATGTTGGGTCAAAGCCATGGCCAACCTAATGCAGAGGAAGAGAAGGCTGAGGGGAGCCGACAATATGATGAGCTAATGAGGGTCACCCTCCAATATCTTCTCCGTTACCAAGGCCTCCAAACCCACTACTGGCTGGGCCTTGTTTTAAATTAGGCAATGTCCTCTCTTTTCAGTTCTCTCTAAAAAAACAAAAGCTGTACTCTAGGTAGGACTCACTCAAGCTCCTACTACTTTAGTGAGAACGAATTTAACAATTATTTAAGGCCTTGTCAGGATAGACAGGAAAACCCATTAACCATAGAAATTTGAGGTACGTAGAGGACCCAGAAACCAGGAGACAGAACCAAGAAAGGTTACAGAGCTTCGCTCGTTGGCTGAATTCTCCTGGGCCAACAAGCTTTTAGCTGTAGATCGGCTGTCATGGGAGGATGCTGTGTGTTGTCACATTCATCCTGCTCCATACTCACCTCTTCAGGTAGCAGGAAAGGGCAGGTGACACACCTGCTAACCTACTACTGTCACCCTGGCCAAGGGCAAAGCCTCCAGAAGGATTGCCTCATTTCAGAGAAATGAGAGGCAGGCCCTGTGGGCTTGTGGACAGCTCTCAGGAAACAATCTGGGCCAGCCACATCTTCAGAAAATTCAACTGTAGTAAGAGCATTGAAAAATGCTCCCTAACTCAGGTCTGGTTGTCCTCTCCTATCTCAGTTAATAAATAAGTTTCCCATGTGAGTAACAACTTCATCATCAATCAACAGCAATGCGGTATTTCTGAAAAATGTCCTGTAAATAATAACTCCCTTTTCATGCCTTAGCGTTACACAAGTCATCCTTAGTCCTGAGTCCCCCTGAGACTAAAGGCACCAATGGCTCGCAGAGAAGCTGCAACATGTGTGGCTGAGACTTGCTCAAGATGTCCAGAGGCAGCCCCTAGCCCACCGGAAGACTCTCACAGACTTCCTTAAGCCAAAAGCCTGCAGGAACCACACCTTTGTTACTCCTCCTGAGGTAGGGAGTATGCAGAACTGAACCCACCGGGAATGCTCCATTGACACAGGGTTTTCCAGAACAAACAGCTCAGAGTGTACAACATCTGTTGAGAAAGCAGTTACACTCAGGATTCTGAGTTACTAACAGATAACTGATGGGCACCAGAAATGAGGCTTCTCTCTCTACTCAACATTCCAGGGTCACTGGGGTGAGGTGTCCAACCTCAGGCATGCCTTGGCCAGTTAGCAAGGCAGTTACTAATCATGGTCCAGGTGGCTTCTGAAGGCACCTGGAAGATGAATGCAATGATTCTCCCCCACAGAGGGAAGTCCCAATGAGTTGCACCAGAAGAGGGGCTGCTCAAGGCTTTGGAGCTTCAAATATCAGTATTTTTCTTAAGGCATTTAAGAGGGTATTTAAGAGACATTGTCTCTCCTAGTCCCTAAACAGCCTCTGAGTTAAGGTCTCTGATGCCAGAAGAGCTGATGTGCTCCAGAATGGGCTAGATGATGAAGCAGGAGGAATTCCACACTCAGGACAAGCTCACAGGGGACTCTGATCCCTCAGTCAGGCACCACATCCAAGGCTGATGAATGAGGGTGAGCTCCAGCCCAACTAGTAAAGAGCCTTCAGCTGGGGAAACCCAGACCTTTTGTCACAATGCCTCTCCAAATAACCAAGATCTCGGTTCTCTATGAGTTACGTGGCCTTCAGCAACTCACCAAGGAAGTACATGAGAGCACCTTAAACTATACAGTTTACCTTAAACTACAAATGTCAAGTGTTATTTTGAAAGTACTTGGGAGCCTTTTGAAAATGTACCTGGTGGTGGAAAAGCTGATTCTGCTTCTTTGTTCTTCATCCAACCCAATCCCAAAAGAGACGTGCCCCACCTAACTGCCTTGTGTATCTACCCACTTGGTTATCCAGCAATATTCACTAACCTTCTCCAGGGTGCCACGTACTATGCTAGATGCTGGAGACAGAACAATAAATAAGATACCCTTAGAGAATTCCAACACTGCCTATTCCTATCTCTGTTTTTTATATTCTTAATCTGTGAGTCCCACCCCAGAAAGATCCCTTCTACCAGGAGCAAATATAAACCATCTCCTTCCTGGTGTAGATGAACAGGCATGAACATGCAACCTCACCCTGTGAGCCAGGGAGTCCCTTGAGGTAAAGTCTGCGCCACAGTCCTGAAGCCATGAAACTCAGCCCTCTCCCACCCCACCCCATCATCATGGCCCCATTCAAAGCCTTTCACCACTGAGGCTCTTGGTGCACCCAGCCTCAGTCTTAGCAGATACAGTCTTTTGAAGCCACTTTTGAAATAAACACATGAAAGACCAAACCAGGAAACCAGAGGTTTATCTCTACCTGCGAAGCCCTGTTAACCATGTCCATCATGGGGACTTGTAACAGGTTGAGTATAGACACTAAAGTCAGAAAGACCTGGGTTTGAATCCTGGCTTTGTCACCTGTGAGTCTTTAAGCTAATTGACCACTCAAAAGCTTAATTTTCACACTTATAAAACTCAGAGAATAATATCTCCCCCATTAGTGATATTCAAATAATTAAATGTGATAATGTTGGTAAATAATGTAACAGTGCTTGGCACTTGGAAGCACTCTATAAATGGCAGCCTTTATTATTTATCATTATAATAGTCATTACTATTGACATGCTCGCAAAACACAGTCCATTTCCTCCCATGCAACTTGGTATCTCTACTGCCTATATGGATGTACAACAAAAACAAAACCTCCATTGACTCCAGAGCAAGTTATTTCCAACTGTGACCTTAATTCATCTTGCCTTTTTGGCAAGACTAGCTCTCAGTCCTGAAGGTTAAGATATATTTATCCTTGGTGTAATACCCACCTGATGGACAAAATGAAAGAGTAAATCACAACCTAGAACAGTATTTCACTTACCAACAAATCCACTGGGTTTCATGTCTCCCACTCTATTCATACATAAGCTTTCAGCACACTTCTTCATAGCGGATCCCTTCCTTGCCAGCTACAGTCACTTCCTCACCCCCCTCCCTCATCTGTGGTTCTCTCACTTCCATTTCCATGACTGCCAACTGCCTCCTACAGCTCCAGAACACCCTACCACAACGGAACACATTTCTGCATCTGGCATGGGAAGTCCCAAAGAAGATACAGGCAAACAAAGATAGACTGTGTAGTAAAGAATTAACCTTGCCCAAAGAGAGTCTGGCCTTTGCCCTTGGCTTCTGGGAGGTCGTCTCTAAGGCCTTGAAATGTAAAGTCCTGAGAGCAGTGTCTTGGTTTGCCTAGGACCTTGGGTCATGCAGTTAGTATGATGTGACAATGTGACACAGTGAGGGCTTTGGGTCTTGCTGAGTCAGCTCAACCTCCAGCTGAAGATTGGACTGGAGACTGGAATGAACCCTACTTATGTGATGGAGCCCCCCACCAAAATATCTGAATGCCTAGGCTCAGGTGTGTTCCCTGGTTGGCAATGCTCCGTGTATACTGTCATGTTGATGCCAAGAAAGTACCACTCTCCATGACTCCAAGGGGAGAGGACAACAGAAGCTCCACATTTGGAATTTTCCTGAATTCTTCCCTATGTGCCATTTCCCTTGGCTAATTTTAATCTGTATTATTCAACTGTAATAAACTGTACCATGTAATAAACACTTTTGGTACATTCTATGCATCCTTCTACAGAACTATGGAAAGTAAAAGTGGTCCTGGGGACCTCTGAATCTACAATTGGTGTCAGAGATGAGGGCAGTCTTGCGGGCTGTTCCTCTAACATTGCAGAGGCCACTGGGAAAATCCCTGCAGATGAGCAGCCAGATTCCAGTATGTACCAGGAAGTTTCCAGGAAACTGAACAACCACATCCTTGGGCCATCCCCTGTCGTCATCATAAGGCAAACCTCAAAGCATAAAATTGTTACTCTGCCTTCACTTGCAAGTCCTTGTGTAGTCTCAATGATCAACACTCCCTGAATTAATGTATACAGACAGACCTTTCCCCTACCCCAGCCTTCACTCTGTCCTCTGACCTCCATGTACAATATGGGAGAGGTCCTATCTCTGGGTTATTTGGGATTTCTAAGTCTGGCATAAATAGCAATGGTAGGTGGTGAATTGGAAGCAATATCAAGTGGAAGACTGTACCTGGGAAACTGCCACCTGTGCCCATGTATCCCATCAGCCTGGAAAATGTTATCGCCACTATTCCACTGAGCCTGGTCCTCAGCCCAAGAGAAGAAATTATATAGGCAGAAGAAAGAGGAAAAAGGAGCCAGAGGAATGCTCAGGGAAGCCAGAGGTCAGTAAGAGTGTCAGCCACAACAACGTCTGAAATCCTCAGGAATCACACCCCTGTAAGGATGTCTTCCCTCCACTTGCTGGGCCCCTCCGCTTAGAAACAAAGCTCCTTTTCAAGATTGTGCTGCTATCTGCAGTGGTTTAGTGTCCAGATAACTGGGAAGCAAGGAGGTACATTCTTCTGTCAAGGCTCATGGGGAAAATACAGGAAGAAGAAATGTCAGCATTTGGATACCAGTGGAAATGGAAAGCCTCAAAAAAAATCAAAAGGGAAAGAAAATGCATTTTGGTGGTAAAGGCCTAGAGTGAGCTGATGCTGGCTGAATGCTATATTGGGTCTGAACTAGCCACAATATCTTCCTTTGTTAACCCTGAGTCCCAGCCAACTGCCCCAAGAATACGGAGTAAAAATGAAGGAACAAACTGGACCCCATATGTTTAAAATGAAGAGGTTTCAGGGCTGTATCAGTCACTTACGCCTAATATTTGGCTTTCCTTTAAATTGCATTGTCGTCAATGACTGTTCAGGCTGAGTTGCTTAGACAGTAAATTCTGGTTCTAGCTGCCATTTCACATTATGCTAATGTATGTGAGAAGCTGTCTCCCTGGATACTGTAGCAAATTGCCAGCTGAATCATAGAAATGCTGTCAAGTTTTTTTTTCAAGTTTTCCATTTTTGCTTTGCCATTGTGTGTAGTCAAGAGAAACCAGGAAAGGCAGGGAGGGATATATATATATATATATATATATATATATTATATGTATTTATCAAGCTTTCCATTGGAATGGTTTTACCTCTTTAAGAAAAAGCTGTCGCTTTCTCCCTTGTTTCCAAAGCAACTCACATGCATGCCTCCATTTTATTTGAAATCATTTCTCGGCCCAAATATCTGTGTCAGTTTCAGGGAATCAGCCTGGAGAGCCAGCAGAGGGAGAAAGAGAGCACCAAACCCTGATTTTCTATAGATTCCACTCAAAATCAGAGCCTGAAAAAGTGGACACTTGCTGAGCCCAGAGAAGTATGCAAATCAAATGGATTCACTAAGTGAAGCCACTTTATAAAAGATGGCCCAGGGTTCCTGGTGTGAAGCAAACTGCCTTGGCTTGCAAACTGGTTCTAGTTTTGGCACCTCTATCTTCTCTCCTTGGATGACTCCTGTTGTGAACAGTTATTTTATCTATTAAAAGTAGGAGAGGAAACTGGATGAGCTGTAAGGTCCTTGTGGCCCTAACATTCTAAGTCTCTAGGGCTCTTTTCTGGCCTTAGCTGCCTGTGGGGCTAAGGATAACAATAATTTATTTTGTTGGAAACAGGAGCCTAGCAAGGTTCCTTCCAGGTCTAAGAGCCAGGATTCTATGAAGCTCAAGGTGCAAAATGAGTAATTTCCCTTACTGTTTGTTGGTAGATAAGACAGATGCATGCAGGGGTTAAAGGCAGCTGCAACAGACAGAGCACGCACTCCCTGTCTCCCACTTCTTTTCACTTTTGGACTCCACTTTTCTTTCCCTGGCCCTTGTGCTACTTCCTGAAGTTGTGATGGAGGCAGAAGCACCCAGCAGAGGACCTGGAGCGGGGCCGGAGCTCAGTCTGGGGAAGTTGTAATGATAATCACGTCCACTCACAGCTCTCAAGCACTCACTCGGTCTTAGACTTCCTGAACTGCTGCTTTGTTAGCTCTGAAACCATATATGACTAACGATCCCTGCACTTGGGACCCTCCTCTGCATCTACAATTTCTTTGCCTCATCTGTCCCATTTCCAACCACCCAAAAGTTCCACCTATACCCCAATGGTAGCGTTTCCTGCAGACAAAGGTTCTAACTTCTGCCCCTGTTTCACCTGAGCCCTCACCTAGATTTCAACCAATTTAAGGGTAGCAAAGTCAAATGGCTTTGGGAGACAATAAAAAAAAAAACCTATACAAGTGAGGTTTCCCAATTTGAGGCAAATAGGAAGAAGTAGAACCACCTCTTAATAGAAGAGAGCGCACTGCCCTCTTCCTCACGAACAGGGCATTCAAATTGAATTTCTAAAAACTTTGTGCCCCAAACAAAATGGTTATGCAGAAATTAAGCCTCCACCCCAACAGTTTTTGACTGCAAGCAATACATTCATTAATTTTGGATTTCTTTTTAAATACAGAAATATACTGCATTGAGAATTCACAATTCTTTTCAGTCACTAAGGCTGATCTTGGGTTATCATTTATATTATTACAAAATGGTCTTTTTAAGTTTAATGAATCCTAAAGCTTTCTTACCATAAAGCCTATATTATCTTTTATTAACTGTTTTAAGCCTAATCTCTATAATATTTCTGTAATTTTCCAATGGAAATACTTCTGAGCATGAAGTGATACCTGTGGGGTTACTCCAAAGTGGCCCCAGTAAGTGTAAAATTCCTCTGATATCTTACATGGTTTTATCTTTAAAAAGAATATTTTTTGTGAATTTTGTTTTCTACTCTGTATCTAGATTTATTAATTTGAAAATAATGTTTTTTTAAATTACTTACCACCTACATAACATTCACTCCAAATCTTCAAGTAAAATAGAAACTTCTAGAAGATGCACCATGTTTATTTCACCATATTCCAGATGGGGCCTGGGTTGCCCTGTGCTGCATAAATAAGATTACTTGACCATTACCTGCTTCCTAAGGATGAGGTAGGGAGATGATTTTACACAAAAGTGGCAGAGTCAGAGATGACCAAAATACAAGGATGGGGAGGGACTTCTGGAATGGTGGTGAGAAGTCTGCAAAATCCTTTTCCCAACAAACGGTGATAGAACTGGGGGAAAAAATGGTCAAAAAAAAATATAAAAAGTTTGGACATTGATGGAAGACACACATCAAATTGAAAAACGTTTATCCAAGATCAGTGGGAATCTGCTGGGTTTTAGCTTAGGAGATGTTCCCACCCACCTCTTCCTCCAATGAAACAGTACTTCAATTAAGGTGGAACAAGATAAGAAAATCATCAGCTTTGCTGAGGAAGGCAGCTGGCTTGATTTGGAGTATACTGCAAAACAAAACAAAGCAATCTCCTGGGCATTGTCATAAACAGTAGCAATCTCGGTGGCAAATAAATGAGGAAGGTCAATGCCAAGGTGAAGCAAGCAACTAAATGGCAGACAAGCTAGACATACAACAAAGAGATCCAGAAAATAAAACATCGGGGTCTTGATACAGTCCCATATAACCCTGGTGGTCTGAAAGGCTGCATGCATTACAAGGCTGTGCTCACACTCAGGAGAGATCAGAGAGGGCCCCAGCTATCCACACACCCCTGGGTGAATGTGAGGCATTGTGCACAGACAGAGGAGACACAAAGGGCATAACGGAAAGTAAAAGCCAGGGAGACCCATAAGCTGACTGAACTTTGAGTGTATGTCCCAATCCATCCATAGATTCTTCAGCAAGGGATGGAGGCCCTACCAGATTAAGGTGTTGGGCATAGCCTCTGACCAATTGCTGGCTAACCACTAAGCTATGCTGACCTAGAAGCAACCCCTAGAAAACCAGCTTAAAAATAAAAATGAGAAGTAAAGAATTAAGCAGAAACATTAGTAGCTACGTATTGTCGGGGAGACAGATTTTACTTAGCCCAGACAAGTCATTAAACTAACAACAAGCAACAGTGACAATCCCCATGGAAAAATCAGAGCCTAGAGTTCTTACAATATATTATCTAAAATTTCCAGTTTTCACCAAAAATTATGAGATATGCAAAGAAATAGGAAAGTGTGACCCACACTCAAGGCGAAAAAGAAGCAGTCAATATAAAATGACTCTAAACAGGTTCTGGAATCACCAGACAGACTTCAAAGTAACTATTATAAATATGCTCAAAGAATTAAAGGAAACCATATTTAATGAATTTTTAAAGTATGACAATGACTCATCAAATAGGTAGTATCAATAAAAATATTTTTAAACAGAGATTCTGGGGTTAAAAGATATAACAACAAATAAAACTTCATTAGAGAGGCTTAAAAGAGTATATCATATGGCAGAAGAAAGAATAAGCAAACTTGAAGATAGGACAATAGAAATCATGCAATCTAAAGACCAGAAAGAATAAATACAAATGAAGAACATCTCAGAGAATAGTGGGATACTATCAAGCATACATATAATAGAAGTCCCAGAAGACAAGAAGAGAGAGACAGGAACAGAAAGTATATTTGAAGAACTAGTGGCCAAAAACTTTCCAAATTTGATGAAAACCAGTAATCAACACATTCAAGAAGCTTAGTAAACTCTAAGCAGGAAAAACAGAAGAATGTCCACACTCAGGCTCATTATAGTCAAAGTGTTAAAAGCCAAAGATAAAGGGAAAATCTTAAAAGCATCAAGAGAAAACTGACTCATATATATAGGAGAACAATAATCTGATTAACAGTTGACTTCTTATCAGAAACAGTAGGCCAGAAGACAGCGAGATGACCTATTTAAAGGCTGAAAGAAAGAAAGAAGACAAAAACTCGTTTAACCAAGAATTCTATATCCAGCAAACTGATGCTTCAAAAATGTAGCAAAATAAAGACATTCCCAGATAATTAAATATGGAGAGATTTCATCGCATCAGACCTGCCTTACAAGAAATAATAAAGGAAGCCCTCGGGCTGAAAGGAAATGACATTGGGCTGTAACGTGAATCCACATGAAGAAAACAGAGCACAGAAAGGTAAATATAAATGACTAGGCAAATATTTTTTCTTTTCTGCCCTTAATGCATTTAAAAGGCATAAGATTTATTATTTAAACCAAGCTTGTCCAACCTGCAGCCCACAGGCCACATGTGGCCCAGAACACCTTTGAATGTGGCCCAAAACAAATTTGTAAACTTTCTTAAAACATTATGAGAATTTTTTGCGATTTTTTTTAACTCATCAGCTATTGCTAGTGTTAGTGTATTTTACATGTGGCCCAGGGAAGTCAAAAGATTGGACATCCCTGCTAAACAATGTTAAACAACAATATAAGAACCATATCTGGGGGTTTATAACATATGAAGATGAAATACATACATATATAACATGCATATATATATATATATATATATGAGATAATAATAGCATAAAGGAGAAGAAAGAAATAAAGTTCTATTGGAGCAAAGTTTCCACATTTTGCCAGAATTAAATTAGTATTAATCTGAAGTAGATTATGATAAACTGAAGATCATAATGTACTCTCTAGAGAAACTACTAAAAAAACACAATAAAATACAGGGAAAATTTTTAAAGCAAATAAATAAAATGGTATGCTAGAAAATATCTATTTAACTAAACAAAAAAGGAAGTAAGGGAGGAACAGATAAACAAAAATGATAGGAGACCATATAGAAAAGAAATAGCAAAACTGCCAATGGAAATCCAACCATATCAATATTTACATGAAATGTGAATGGATGAAACATTCCAATCAAAAGGCAGAGACTGTCCATCTAGATTTAAAAGAAAATAAATAAATAAATAAAAATTTAAAAATAAAAGATAAAAAGACCCCACTATATGCCGTAGAGCTTCTTGCCTAGCTGCCTTGCCTCCCCGCTCCATCTTCTGGCTTCACTGTTCTTACAGCACACATATCAAGAGCTGAGGAGCTGAAAGTGGAAACTGTCAGAGGGGAGTTTTTGCAGTCAGAGTGGGAATACCTAGAAAGCAGTCTGTGATCTGAGGACTGGATTTTAAAACTTCAATGGTCATTCAGCTCTTAAAAAGCTGCGAACTGTGGAATCCCCACATATTCCAACAGTCATATTCCTGAAAAACATGACATAACTTGAATTTGAGTATTCAGAAACATAGATCCTACAGATTTTTTGTGTCAACATCTTGAAAATATAACTCTCAACAGCAAGAGCTATTAGGAGGACAGCTTGGACTGAACCTGAAGTTAGAACCAGAGAAAGAAGAAAGTGAGGGACTTACTTCTTCCATTATTAGAGGATCACCAACAACCAGCTAGTTTCCCTGGTTCTGAATTTTCACCTCATCCAGGCTTTCACTACATTTGAAAGAGTTGAGCACTTCGTCTTTCTTGAAATATCTTATTTACCTGCTTCTGCAACATCAATCTCTTGGGTTTCCTTCCACATCACTGGACATTCCTTTTTAGTCTCCTTTCTTGGATCCTTCCAATTTCCATGACTCTATGTTGGGATGTCTCAATACGAGTTGTTGGGCTGCTCTCATCTGTACGCTTCCTTTGAAGGTGATCTCGTCCAGCACCACAACTGTCAATATCATGCACACTGATCCTGTTCCCCTCAACTCCAGATACAAATATTGTACTGTCCAACTCAGCATCCCAATGTGGATGTCAAATAGGCATTTCTTAGTGTTGCACATTTCAGAAATTGATAATTCCATTCTCTCACATCCTACATCCAATCACGTCAGCAACATCTTGACAATGTATCCCAAATCCAACTATTTTTCACCT